>NC_000015.10:53901874-54526874 GCF_000001405.40 Homo sapiens
CTCTTATCTCTGACTTATCTCAGCAGACCACTTTTTTTATTTATGGTGAAAATTGAGGATTCCTATCCCTCTATCTACAAAATTAAGTTATTACCCATTTCCATTTTCCTCAATGGAAGAAATGACCTTTATCCTAAGACTAATACCACCACATGTGCATTAGTTTTCACCTCTCCATATATCCTTTAAGATCATGTTCTCTCAGGCATACTTTTTTTCTTCAATATTTTCAATATATCCTACTCTTTTGGTTCTTTCCTCATAGCGTATAATAATACTTAAATTTGTTTCATGAAAAATCCTTTCCTCATCCTAGTTTTCCCTTCTAGTCCAAATGGGCTCTTTTTAGGAACCATTCTCCTTGTCCTCTATGATCCTTTAATACTCCCTAACCCTAATCCCACCTAGGTATACCTTCCTAGATACAGGAGACAGACAGATTGAAGGAGGTTGCAGCCAAATTTCTGCCTCAACAGAGCTGGCAGTTGAGGCCAAGATCTGGCAGTAGTGGAAGAGAAAGAAGACTGATATGGTCAGTAAGTGTACTGAAAAAAGGAATAACCTATCAGTTAGTGATTGCAGAACATAAGGACTTAACATAAATAGTTTAAAGCAGCAGAAAACAAACATGGTAGTAGAAGGAGTAATTAGGGAGAGAAGAAAACACCTGTAATGACGGATGGGAACTATAAAATATTGAGACTAGCAAGTCTGCTTTATTCAATAACTTATTTAATTAACTCATATTAAACACTTTCTACATGCAAGGCAGTGGGAATATAGTGCATAAGGGGGTATATAATTCATTGTCAGTACCAACAGAAGCAAAAAATTTGGAATGATAGAAGCCAATACAGAAACAGATTGGTAAGGGGTCTTCAGAAGGTTTAGGGGGCTCAAAATGCTTGGTGAGTACTGCATCAAATGGATTCTGATATCAACAATAGCAAAAAGGCCAGTGAAATTAATTTTGCAATAATACAAGGTATGAAGGCAGAAAATAATGGCAAAAGAATGGGTGATAGACCAGATGGAGGAAAAATTGAGAAGTAGAAGCTTCAAAGGGTTGGTAGGGACAGTGGTGGGGCTGGAATGCTGGGACATAGTTTCTGATGAAAGCAACTTTGGAAGATGCCAGTGATGATCATACAGTCAATTTGGATTTTGATCCTGTTTGAAATAAAGACAAGATAATGCCAATGTAATTATTTGCTTGTCTAAAACATATTCTCCAACACAGAGGATAAAATAGTCATTAAAAATTCAAATACATTATGGTGACATATAGATATTTGTCTCCATATTGGAACTGCAAAGCTAATGCAGACTGCATAACATCAGATCATCTCAGATTTCAAGATTGGCTTGATCCCAGAAGATGTAACATATTACAATTTCCTGGTGTAAATAAAAGGGCTCAGACATATTGATCGACATAACATGATTCCTTGATGGAGCCTATCAAAATAAATCAGAAGCACATCCATCAAATGTCATTTGAAATATTTCAGGGTTTAATCTCTCAAGAGAAAATGATTTCCATTCTAATTAAGTTTCCTGAATTTGAAATCCAACCAGAGCAACACAAATCCAATCAAAGCCCTCTTCACTAATTTAAGATTGTGACAATATCTCCATGTGGAACTGGATGGCCACAAGGCCAATTAGATCATTTTGTCCTTTTTCACTACCATTGCCCTCAGCCAAATCAACAGAGCGAGAATTCCCATAATCTCCAAGGTGTTCACAATGATCAGATCAGTGACACGACTGTTCAAGACCTACTCTGACAATGTTCTGAAGCCTGAAAGTAGGATAAGGAAAGCAGGCAGTAGACAGTATCTTCTCGGAAAATTGGAGGTCGAAGGGCTGTGTTCAAGTCTAGGTTGGACAAAAAGCCATATGTATAACCTAATTTGCTGTGAATGAGAAGTTACTTAATGACTGAAAAAATTTCTGACAGCTACATAGCTACATTGGTGTTGTGGAATAGTGAATATAAAGGAAGATATTGAAATTTCCATCTGAGATAGAGAGCAATTAGTATTTAGATCTTGGAAGAATATTAAAAGGAATTATGATATGAAGTACAGTGACATTGTGCAGGGACATAGAAGGTCAAAAAACTTGAACTTCAGTGGCTCTTTAATATGAATATCACACACACCTAATAATTTTTAATTGGTTGGCTGGCTTATTGATTGACTAGTTTACCTGGCCAAATGCAAGGCTTAGAATTATGATTTTTAATCTTGTTGGATGTTCAATAAGGAAACTCTTTGGTTGGGGAAAACTGAACCTTCCTGCTGAGATGGTAGACTCTCTTGGTTCAGTTTCCATTTCAGAATAGTACCATATTTATCAAATAATTTCTTTAAGTAGCATTTGAGGAATTTATGGGATTTTAACTTTACTCATTTTTTACTCAAGTGATAAAACATTTGTTATATCCAAAATAATTTATATACATAAATGTACATTATAAAGCATACTAATTTGTAATACAAATATTATAAAGAAAAAATAAATCTCATTTACATTTCTATCTATATGCACTGCGCCCTTGCCCTGTACAAATAGAAGATATCATCATAAAAATAATTTCATTAAAAATGAAAAAAACCATTGTTTTAGTGTTTGCCGAAGTAACTCTTTTCTGTTTGCCTCCAGGTCATGAGGGATATCATCATATTACTTTCACAAAGTAATATTCTATTTTGGAAAATTCCAAACATACAAAGTACGATATTCTGAACCTTATAGGAAAACCTTAAAATGTTGACATCTCAAGCTTTGTTTCTTGAATAAAATGTTATTTTCATCAACCTCAAATCAGATCATTGAGAAAAGACTCCACGTTTTCATGGGCATGAGCATACATTTTGGAATCAGCTTCTGTGTTTATACCCTGGCTCTACCATTAATTAGTTATGATACCTTGGGCAAGTTACTTAGCCTTTATGATGCCTCATTTTATTCATCTGAAGAATAGTTATAATATTAGTTCCAACCTAGAGATGTTGTGGATTGATGAGACAAGTGAATAAGAACTGTAACAGTACATAGTAAGTGTTGGATATGTTTTTTAAATCTCTCTAAGGAAAATAGACATTCCAAGGGCCTTGGAATTGAGGCATGCATAGACAGAAAATCACAAGCAGATATGACTTATATTTGTGGGACAATGAATGCATAACACACGAAACTCTGCTTAAGTTTAGGTTTTAAAATATAGAAGGCATGTAGTGTAACTATCACGGAAAACAGTATGAAGGTTCCTAAAAAAATTAAAAGCAGAACTACCATATGATCCAGCAATCCCACTACAGGTATAGTCAAAGGAAATGAAAACAGTATCTCACAGAGCTATCTCTACTCTCATGTTCATTGCAGTGTTATTCACAATAGCCAAGATATAGAAACAATCTAAGTGTCTTAAGTGTCCTTTGGCAGATGAATGTATAAGATTTCATCTTTATATATATATTACATCATATATATTACATTTATATTATATTACTTTATACACACACACACACACACACACACACACACACAATGGAATATTGTTTGGTCTAAAAATAAAGAAAATCCTGAACATGAATGAACCTGGAAGACATTACGCCAAATGAGATAAGCCAGGCAAAGAAAGACAAATACTGCATGGTCTCATTCATATGTAGAATCTAAAAAAATATAACTCATAAAATCAGGGAGTAGAATGGTGGTTGTCAGAGACTGGGGGTTGGGGGAAGTGGGGAGATGTTGGTCAAAGAGTACAAAAAGTTTTAGTTGTGTAGGATGAGTAAGTTCTGGAGCTCTAATGTCCAGTAAGGTGACTATAGCTTACTGCATTCTACACTTGAAATTTGCTGAGGGTGGATCTTAAATGTTCTCACCACACACACAAAGGTAACTATGTGAGGTGATGGATATATTAATTAACTTGACTTTGGTGATTATTTCACAACATATATGTATCTCAAAACATCACTTCATATATCTTAAAAAAATAGAGGGCAGGTCCCTACTTTTATCATACTAAGCAGATTGAAATAACAGACACTGTAATACAAATTTAGAGAATATGTAAATATCTATCATCCCAAGCTCTTGCCAGGATGAGGTGTTTAAAGACTAAGGGAACCCTGGGAGTCCATTAAAAGTCTCTGCAATAGGCTTGGCACAGTGGCTCACATCTGTAATCCCAGCACTTTGGGAGGCCGAGGCGGAAGGATCCCTTGAGTCCTGGAGTTCAAGACAAGCCTGGGCAACATGACAAAACCTTGTCCCTACAAAAAATTAGGTGGGCGTGGTGGTGCATGCGTGTAGTCCCAGCTACTAGGGAGGCTGAGGTGGGAGGATCATCTGAGCATGGGAGGTGGAGTCTGCAGTGAATTGTGACTGCACCACTGCACTCCAGCCTGGGTAAGACCCTGTCTCAAAAAAAGAAGTCTCTGTAATTGAGTTATATGAATATCCCAACTACTGCACTAGGTCTGGCAATCCAACATGGACTATTTGCATTCCTGCCTGTGATTTCCACAAAATTATGACACTCAGCATCCACTTTAACAATATGTGCATAGGTAGCATCTGAGGAATCTGTCTAGCAACTATTCTTCTTTTCTTCTAATAAATGGCCCCTGTCTCCCTTTTTGCATGGCATAGAGATGGAACTGTCAGTCAGGATGTCCCATCTTTCCTAGCCAAGGGATCAGCCAGGACAATTGAATTTTCCCTTCAGGAATTGAATCTTGAGTGGAGTGACTCAAGGGCTAAAATGGTTGTTGTCAATTCTTTCAGATGGCCATACCCAGTACCCTGTATTAGTCCATTCTCACACTGCTATAAAGATACTACCCGAGATTGGGTAATTTATAAAGCAAAGAGGTTTAAATGACTCACAATTCCACTTGGTTGGGGAGGTCCTCAAGAAACTTATAATCATGGTGGAAGGCGAAGGGGAAGCAAGGACCTTCTTCACATGGTGGCAGGAGAGAAGAGTGAAGGAAGAACTTCCAAACACTTATTAAAACATCATGTCTCGTGAGAACTCACTCACGATCATGATAACAGCATGGGGGAACCACCCTCATAATCCAACCACCCCCCTCTCTCGACACGTGGGGAGTATAGCATGAGGATTATAATTCAAGATGAGAGTTGGGTGGGGACACAGATCCAAACCATATCAACACAGAAGAGATTGTTTTTGTTTGTTTGGTTGATTTTTTGCAACTGAGAACCCTAGTGCTATTCTGCTTTCTGCTTCTTCCAAAGCCTGTTTCTGAACTTTTTCTTTGGGTGTATGAACTACCAAACATCCTTATGATAATGTTATTATTTTTAACTTAGAATATATTTCTGTTTTATGCAAACAACACCAAATATCAAGAGGTATTAATATAGTGAAGTTCACTTCATGGTTTTCCCTATTTTCTTTGATGGTTGATGTAAATTCTTAAAACACAATGTACCAAAAAGAAAGGATATATTTAATTTTTGAAATAAATATTTTTAATACAAGTAAATATTTGTAATAGAAGATCAGCACTGAGCAGACTAATAGAATAGATGATGTATGATATAGCGGAGAAAGCCAGATGGGAAGAGCTCTTCTTCAAATTTGCCCCAGGAATTGAGTATTCCTCTTATATTTTCTTGTTAAGGACCTTGATCAAGTCACTTAACCTCTCTTTTGGAGTCAGTTTCCTCATATGTAATGTGGAGATAATAATGCTATTATTAAAAAGTTCCTATAGTTACTGACTGAGATGATGCATATGAAAGTGTCTGGCATATAACTTATGAACTTTATAAATAAAAGTCATTTATTATTATCTAAAGAATTATTCAGGTATTTCTCCTTTAGCAGAGAGCAAGGTCTCTATCTATCTTCATTGCTACTATATCTCTAGTTCCAAGCACAATGCTTAACATAAATGATGCTACTTAAATATTTGTTGAATAAATGAGTAAAATAAATAAAAGCAAAATAATAAACAGAGCCATTTTGGAGATTACATCACCCTTGATATTTAATTTGTTTCTGGTTTTATTCTAGTTAGAATTTAGAAATTACTAATTTTCATAGATAATATTTTAAATACATGTATCTTGAAGTTTTAGGATTTACTGCAATTACTGAGTAGTTAGAAAGAGGGGCAGTGGGAAAATTATCCTTTAGCTGTTGAATATTCTACCACTTGTTAGCATTTCTTATAAATGTCAACGTAAGAGGAGAATAGGGGCTTAGAAATATTGTCCCTGTTCAGTGTTAGGTGCCCACTCATTGTCCACAGCATATCAGAAACATGCATGTGTCCTTATCATTTAATGGGTGCTCCTTTTTTTGTCCTACTTTTCTTGTTTGTCCTATTTTTACCCTAGCAAACTTACAGAGACTTGCATTTTAGAAGAAAGACTTAGGGAATACTGTAAAGTTTCTAAGTAATGGCATATATACAAGTTCACATACACTCTTAGACTTAATAGTAGTTACATTATTCCAGGGCTTACACACACAAAAATGAAATGGTCAGGCTAGCAGGATACAACCCTTTGGGGAGTATACATTATGTTAAAAATGTAGTATGCATGCCTGTAATCCTAGCACTTTAGGAGGCTGAGGTGGACAGATTACTTAAGCCCAGAAGTTCTAGACCAGCCTGGGCAACATGGAAAACCTTGTCTCTACAAACAAACAAACAAACAAACACAAAACATACAAACCCAGGCATGGTGATGTGCACCTGTAGTCCCAGCTTGGGGGACTGCAGAAGGAGGATCAGCTGAGATTGGGAGGTTGAAGCTGCAGTGAGACGAGATTGCACCACTGCACTCCAGTCTGGGTGACAGAATGAGAACCTTTCTCCAAAAAAAAAAAAAAAAAAGTGTATCTAAATATTTGGTTTTATACATTTTTTCAAATATTGCTGTTTTAGAATACTTAATTATATTTAGCATTAGTTGAGTGTTATGGCACAAATGATACATGCTAATTTAGGTCACATTAACAAAATTATAAGAATGTTACAGATGATTTTATTGTTAACATAAACATTATTAATCATTGGTTCAACATATCTATAAACACATTTGTATATGTGGTTTGTTTATATATATGCACTATATAGTGGTATAAATAATATTGTTTTATCAAAAACTTATATGCATAATAAAAATCCAAGTGATAAAAGTATATTCAATGTAAACTAAGTTTCCCTCCAAAGGCAGACTACCAAGACCCACTTCCTGAGTGCCAAAGTCCTACTCTTCAGAGAAAATCGCCATCGCTACTTTTCTCCTTATTCTTGCAGAAATGCCCAACATATATGAGTTATTTATGTGTATCACTTTTTAAAATTCAATATCAGAGCACTTTTCTGCACTGTGCTTTTTTTTAACCATTTTATCATGGAGATTTTATTCCATATCAGCACATATTAAATGATATATCTAACAATGAAATATGAATCAAAATGTAGTGTAACCCCTGAAGCACCAAGACATGATTCTCCTGCTGATAGAATCCTACTTCACATTTTAGGGATGAGGAGACAGGCTCAAGAAGGTAATGTGAAAATGAAACAGTGGCCGGGCGTGGTGGCTCACGCCTGTAATCCCAACACTTTGGGAGGCTGAGGTGGGTGGATCACGAGGTCAGGAGATCGAGAGCATCCTGGCCAACATAGTGAAACCCCGTTTCTACTAAAAATATTAGCTGGGTGTGGTGGTGCATGCCTGTAGTCCCAGCTACTCGGGAGGCTGAGGCAGGAGAATTTCTTGAACCTGGGAGGTGGAGGTTGCAGTGAGCCAAGAGTATTCTAAGTCTGGTGACAACCCCCTTTTAAGCTAATTTATCCAAAACCCTTATTTCCCTCGCTTCTTTTTAATTCTTTCTTTGAACTATTGCGTTTCATGTTGAGTTTATCCATCAATATATTGCACCTGTCAGTCAAGTGGACATATTTTTTAAGAACACATTGTACAGGGAACCACTTGAGCACTGAATGCAGAGGAAGCAGTGTTACCTCGGTTTTGCTGGAAGTAGGCTTCTTGGATAGTTTTCTTTCTTTGATGAAGTTTCTGTATTTTCATGTTTTAAGTGGAAATACTTTTTTTTTTTTTTTAATTTGCCTTGGAGCCAATGTATTTGTTCCTGGTGGTAGGGAAACTGTGCCTGCGGGCCACAGGACTTAAAGGAAAACTGTGGTATGGAGCTCTGCTTGAATTAAAAACTTTTTTTTTTCTTTGAGTATCCTTAGCTACTTATCTGGCAAGTGCAGGACCCAGGTGTTGGCCTGAACTCTGCCAAACATATGTAACACTTAAATGTGTGCAGTTTCCCTTCTTGCTACATCCATGTTGTCACTTAACCCCCAGGAGGTTTTTATTATCTTTTTGTTAATGTCAGGCTGTGAGGTACGTGGATGTGATTTGGTCAAGGAATAGGCCTGGGCAGATACCCAGGCCTGCATGACTCACTGAGTTTGGCATGCAAGCACACACCTCCACTTATTATGTAACCTGTTTTTGTAAGTTCATATTTGGCTTTGAGCCACTATTGCTGTAAAAGGTATAACTGCCCTGTTGACACTGTGCACAAGAGACATGGCTCTTGGGGCTCGGCTCAGCTCAACATGGCTTGACATGGTGGGTGCGCTGGCGCCCAGAGAAAGAGAGAGTCAGAGCTTTCCATCTTTGCAGACAGAGGGGATCCAGGATACAGCTCGGCTTGATCGTGCCCAGAGAAAGAGTTAAGCTGCTGACCCTAAAGCCAAGGGAGAGCAGGCCGTGCAGTTGCAGGTGTGGGGGCAGCAGGAGCCACAGAGCCAAAGCAGACAGCCGAGATACGGGCGAACAGTGTAGAGAGCTAGTGTGAGAAAGCTGTTGATGAGAGCTGCTGCTGAATAAAATCATTTTTCACCTGCCTACGGCCCCCCGAGTGTTCTTTCTGCTTACCCACCCACTCCCTCCAGACCTCAACATGACCTTTGGCGTAGTCATGTACCTGACAATTGCGACGTTGGCAGGATGAAGTGAGTAGGTCTTTGGCCCCTGAGGGCTCCTGGGTCAGCTATGTGGCTGCAGCACGGGCTGTACCCAGGGGCAGCGGTGCTGCTTGGATGAGCCCCAGTGGAAACGCGGGAGGCAGTGGAGAGGTCTCCTGCAAGTGTGCGAGCACACAGCACCAAGAAGGAATGCACCTTTGCTGGCAGCGTCGGATGGGCGTTTCTGACAGCACTGCAGGAAGTACATGCTCAGTTCCACAGGTAAGGGACCTCCCAGGACAAGCTGAGCACCTGGGGGCCCAAGTGCACAGCTTGGAGCAGGACCTGGGGGTGGGGGACCTCCAGGTGCAAGCAGGGCACTTAGAGGCCCAGATAAATAGCCAGGAACAGGATTTAGCAACAGCTGTCAGCCCGGCCTTGAGCCCATCCTCCTGGCGGGACACTCCGATTCAGTCTGATGCTGAGGAGGAGGTTCCTCCACTGCTGGATCACCCTGTGATCCATCAGAAGGTAGAACATGAGCAGCCAATGGGACCGCAGGCGAGATCCCAGGACCCCTCACAGTGGTGGCACATACCTCTTATAGTGCTTATACCCCCACTGATTTGAGGGAAGTAGGTAAACAGTCTGGCAGCGTCTGAAGGAGCTGATAGCATTTCTTGCTCCGCCTCTGAGATGGAGAATCTGGCTTCTATCACAACTCACCCTTCCCTTCATCGGCGGCTGCAGCTGTGCCAACGGTTAACACAAGGGCAAAGTGACTACATGTAAATCAAGTGGCTGACGGCAGCCATACGGACTGTTTGGAATGATGCCAGAGAGACCCCAGAAACTGTGAGTAAATGGCAATCATATACTGATTTGGTGCAGGTGCTCCGGGAGACGGATATGCAATATGCAGCAGGCTGTTTGATCAGAATATCTGGGGCCAGATGATGAACGCTTTACCTCCCCTATGAGGGATCTTGTGCTGAGTTCAGCACCCCCGGATGCTTTGGCCCTCTAGCTGCTGTTCTCACCCCGTATGTAGGACACCGCATACACAAAGTGACTATTGCTATGGCAGCCCTTGGGGAGGCAGAAGGCCATTGGCGGGACCTGGGAGTCCACGCCGTAAAGAAATGGAAGGTGCACCCTTCACAAGTAACCATCCACGAGATTAAAAGGGGCCCAGGCGGGTGACCCACATGCGGATGTGGATTGATTTACTTGCAGCTGGGGTTACTAGAGAGAAAATTGACAGGCAACCCAATGGAATGCTGTTGGCTCTGTGGAGGCAATCGTCCCCAGAGCTGCAATTCTGAAGAATGCCCAAGGAGGGGCAAGACAATGTTGTTCAACCCAGCCCCACCTGGAAACTTTTCAGCTCAAGGACTATTTGCAGATGGGAGAAGACATTAGGCCTTTCCTGTTTGATTAGGGAACTGGCTGAGTTGCCCAACTCAGGGGAACTGGACAACTGGAGGCTATATGAGGAGCTGGCAATCCTCTGGTCCCCTACTAATGTACAGCGGGCCCTAGCACTGGTAGACACTGGTGCAGACTGCAGTCTAGTTTATGGGAACCTGGATAAGTTTCTGGGAAAAGCTGCATTCATTGACAGTTATGGGGGCCAATCTGTGATGGTGAATCTATATTGGCATTGGCTACTCTGCTATCCACCTGTACACTCTGTATGTTTCTCCTATACATGAATATATTCTGGGGGTGGACATTTTGCATGATCTGGACTTACACACCACAGCCAGAGAATTTGGAATCCTGGTTCGTGTAGTAAAGCCAGTACTCCATACACATCACCAGCCCCAAGTTCTGCCACAACCCCAACAACTTACTTCCACTCATCAATACCGTTTACTGGGGGGCGGCGGGGGAGCACACAGAGATAACTGAGACTAATAAGAAGTTAGAGGAGGTGCACCCATAACCCCTATGATTCTCTAGTATAACCAGTCAAAAAGCCTGATGGAACTTGGCAGATGACAGTGGATTATCAGGAACTGAATAAAGCAACATCCCCTCTGCATGCAGCTGGACCTTCCATCATAGACTTGATGGCTGTTTGACAATGGAACTGGGACAGTACCACTTTGTGATGGGACTTGGCTAATGCATTCTTCTCCATTGACATTGCTCCAGAGAGCCAGGAACAGTTTGCCTTCATGGGAGGGTGACGACGGACTTTCACAGTGTTGCTTCAGGGCTTATATGCATAGCCCCACCATATGTCATGGTCTTGTTAATAATGTTATATTCACTTCTGATTCTCTTGCAGGTTTAGAAGCAGCAATGCCCTTCTTGCCTGGGATTGGGATGATGCAGCTGAGACAGCCTTCCTGGTAGCCAAGTAGGCTATTCAGCAAGCACAAGCCCTATGGGTAGTTGACCAGAGGTGCCCATTTAAGCTAGATGTGCATGTGACCACAGATAGTTTCAGTTAGGGCCTATGGCAGTGCATGAGTGCCTGAGTATGCCAGTAGGCTTTTGGTCCCAATTATGCAAGGGAGCTGAGCTCCAGTATTCCTTGATACAGAAGCAGTTAGTAATAATAGGATGGGTGTGTTCATGGATAACCACCCCCTGGACAGGGAAAGCAGTTAGTAACTGTATATACTGCCCTTCAGGCTCATAAGAGCATGGCAGGAATGGCTACAATCATCAGGCAGACAACTTTCCCAACAGTGGGGTGGGTACACTCGTGGGTAATGACCCCATCGACTGGGACAGCACAGACATCCACTTTAGCAAAGTGGGGAGCCTACTTACAGCAGTAAAGTACACTGATTACAAGTCCCTTAGCAGTAGAGTTACAGGAAGTCTTGGGACCTGTAGTCCTAATGCCAAGTAAGGCCATGGGGCCTGAGGCACCCCTAAACCCTAAGCCTTCATCATTAGGAAGGGCATTCTCCCATTCCTAATAGGGCTTGGTACACAGATATGTGTAGGCAGGGAGCTACTGCTGCCTGGATTGCTGCCACAGTCCAGCCTAGTACTAACACCATATGGGTTAAAACCAGGTGTAGGCAAAGTAGCTAATGAGCTGCACTCAGGGCAATGTGAACAGTAATCACCAATGTTGCAACACCTATGGTAATCTGTGCCAACAGCCGAGCAGTTTATTGAAGCTTATGTATGTGATGGGCTTGTGTGCCCAGAGCCTATGTATAAGGCTTATGTGTCAGGCCTATGTGCCCAGAAGCCTATGTGTATGTATCAGGCCTGTGTGCCCAAAGCTTATATGCCAGGCCTGTGTGCCAAACCTGTGTATAAAACCTGTGTGTCCAGGGCCTATGTTTCCCTCAGCCTAGGGGGTGGAGTGTAAGGTACATGGATGTGCTTTGGTCAAGGAATAGGCCAAGGTGGATATCCAAGCGAGTTTGGTGCGTGAGTGTGCACCTCCACTTGTTATATAACTTGTTTGTGTAAGTTCATACTTGGCTCTGAGCCACTATTGCTGTAAAAGGTAGAACTGCCCTGTCGACACTGTGCACAAGAGACATGGCTCTTGGGGCTCGGCTCAGCTCAACATGGCTTGACATGGCGGGCGTGCTGGCGTCCACAGAAAGAGAGAGTCAGGGCTGTCCATATTTGCAGATGCTCCCTGGGGAGCCAGGATACAGCTTGGATTGCTTGTGCCCAGAGAAAGAGTTAAGCTGTTGACCCTGAGGCCAAGGGAGAGCAGGCCATACAGCTGCAGGTGTCGGGGCAGCAGGGGCCACAGAGCGGGAGCAGACAGCCGAGACACAGGCGAACAGTGTAGAGAGCTAGCGTGAGAAAGCTGTTGATGAGAAGTGCTGCTGAATAAAATCATCTTTCACCTGCCTACGGCCCCCCGAGTGTTCTTTCTGCTTGCCCACCCACTCCCTCCAGACCTCATCATGACCTTTGGCATAGTCGTGAACCTGATACAGGCTCATTTGGCGGTAATGAGATATGTGATAACTGTTTTAGGTTTATATGACCCTCCTCTCCTTTCCCTCCCCCTAAATATGTGTGTGTATGTATACATATATATTATGTATATACTGTATTCCTTTGTTTCTTTGTCTACTAAAACCAACCATAAAGGAGGGAGCTGCCTTCAATACCTAAAGTATAAGAAGGGTGCCGGGGAATGTCATAATGGAGGCTTTCCCAACTGAATTTGAATTATTTCACTAAAGAGAACATGAGTTGACTCAGCCCTTTCCTCACAGGAGGGAGGGTTCAATTCCCCTGACTTCACACACTCACTCCATAAGGCCTGCTTTGGCAAAACTGCCACAGGGGCCTGTGGAGCTGACTCTGGTCCTACCTGGTTTCAGTAGAAGGTCCACTTTTTGTTTTTCTGTTTAAAAAAATATGTCCTATGTGTCCTCAGAAAACTGTACTGGAAGAGTGGGTGGAAGGAACTTGTATAGGTCAGCTTCCAACACTTTGGAATAGATTAAAAAGAGAATCTTTTAAATGAAAACTTAAAAAATAACAAATAAAAGGGCAATATAACAACCGGGCTGTAGAGAAGACAGTGTCTCAGGTATTACAGAGGCCTAAAGAGAACCTGTGAGGAAGACAATTATGAACCTTACCTCAAATTGTAGTAGCTTAGTTAATTAATTAGTATTACAGCACTTATGACCAATGAAGGATAGATGTTTGTAATACGTAATGTTTTCATATAAATAAAAAGTCACAAAGGACTCAAAACACAAATGGCAAATAGGCAAAATATTTAAGGGATACCTCAAAAGTGATAGAATATGATTAGTAAATATTTTTAAAACAAGTTCAGCTTTACTAGAAAGAAAAAATGAATTAAACAATGTTGTATCATATTTTGCTTAGCATATCAGCAAACATTTTAAAAGTCTATAAACCAAAGTTGTTGCATTGTAGTGCAAAAATAAATATTTGTCAGATGACTCAATAAGTGGAGAGATGGATTGATGACTATTAGGGAAAACATCACATACAAAACCATGGTTGAAATCTATGCATATGAATTAAGGTACATATAGATGCATGGAAAAGTACTTGTGGGATGATATTCATTGCTCTTTAGGTTCCTTGTCTGTAAAATGAAAATAAATGCATTACTTAGGGTTCTTTTGTAATTTTTCCCTAATTTTCTTTATCCCCCAAGTTTCTGTTATAGTGTTAAATTTCCTGTATTTTTGAAATAAAACTGTAAAATAAGGGTTTAAAACTGTTTAAAAATGGGAAATTGGACATAAATTACTGTGGTGGACTGGGAGACTAGACAGAGTTCGAAGAATGGTAATAGAAGAGCTTGGATCCCACAATTGCCTGTAGTACAAATTAACGTATTAGCTATACCTAAACTTGAAAGGCAGACTATGGGGACTGAGCCCTGTAACTATAATCCAAGTCTTAGGGTCTAGTGGCAAGATTTTCAGGTCAATAGGAAGTAGTCCAACATGATCCATTTGAGAAGGACATCCTGAACAATGAGAATTCTATTTGTGATTTATCTCTACTGTAGCTGCATATTCACTGAAATATCTTTACTCTTAATGAAGCTTCCTTGTGCATTTGAATCAATAGAGAAGGCTGACCTGGAATGGAAAGGATGAGGGGAAGCAGCCCTGAGAAACAAACCAGAGAGAGAATGGGAAAGGCCAGGACTTGTAAGTTGAAAGAAAACTGAGACATAGCAGTAGTGAAGAGTTGGGAAGTAGAGCTGCTTGCATCGTCGAGCACCTAGAAGCTCTATGCAGTGTGGCTAAAAGTGTGCTCCTATTTCAGAACTACCAGAGTTCTTTCTAAAAATGTGGATTGCTGGGCTTAACTCAGAAATACTGAATCCCAGTCCCTGAGGATGTGCATTTTAAATGTTTCAAAGTGATTCTCATGCACTTTAGAAAGGTTTGAGAACAATCACACATCAGCATGCTTAAGAAACATCAGGAAGCTTATAAAGAAACTATGTATTCCCGGATCGGATCCCACCACTACAGTTTCTGATGCACTGAAGCTGGGATGCTGTCAGAGTCTATATTCTCAGCAAGCATCTTGGGTTTTTGAGGCAGGTCGTTTACAGATTATACTCTGGGAAACAATGTTACAGGTTCTTTGAATATAGTTAAATATTGGCATAAAAGAATCAGATGACCAGACTATGATTTGAAATTAAGCACAGCATCAGTAATGGCACATTAATTTCTTCTTTGCTTATTTATTTATGTTTATGACAGTCCAATCCTGGTGAATTTGTTTAACATTTAAATAGACATAATGTGAGAATTTTGTGAAATAATCTTGTTCTTCCCCACACTATCACTATGGGTTATAACAGCAGGGAGTGACTTTTGTGAGCTCACTTCCAGAATGGAAGAAGTGATTTCACCTGATGAATAAACCTCCCAGCATTCTTTAACAGTTGGGTGCAGCTGAAACCTGCATCAGGAGTAGCTAGTCTCATAGTATCAAACACCTTCTTTCTAGCTGACACAGCTTTTAAGACTGGAAACCTGAACAAAGTGAGAAAGAACTAGGCTCCCGAAAAAAAGAAAAGGAAAAAAGAAAGTTGAGTTCTCTTACTGGCTCCAGAAGGAACTCCTAAAAGTGAGTACCTAGTTCTTAGGTAACAAGTGATCGTTGATTGTCATTTGCCTGAACACAGGCTTGATACTGGTGGAGATCCAGGGAAATGAGCACTTCAAAACTCTCCTGGTGAAAATTTTGGATTTAGAGTAGCATAACTCAGTGGTAATTCAGACCTTGGACAAAAATGTGACACAAAGGGCCTCTTTTCTATCTCCTCCTCTCTTTCCCCACTCCACTCACCACACGCAGACATTTTAGTTATCTGTCATACTTTCCCTAGAAAGTAACAAACTGGATGGGCAAGGAATGTTCAAAGTAAAACCAGTATTTTAGGGTTAGGACAACAGGATTTGAGACTATGTAAAATTCTTTGTCACTTTCATTGATTTTGAGAAACGGCACTTTTTATTTTATTGTCATTTTCTTTTTTTGCCCTTCCTAAATTTTTAGTAACTTAAAGCACAGTCACCTGTCTTAGCTAAGATAAAGATTGAAAAGGTTTCTGCTCAATAATGTTGAGTTTAGCATGTTTTAAGGAAAGTAAGACATTCTTTGGGCCGGGCACGGGGGGTAGCAGTTGGAACAAAAGAAGTTGATTGAGAATGCTTGTATAATAAATTCTCTGCCCAAGAATCTCCTGCCAGAATTTTATTTGCTTAAAATGTGGATTGTTTTAAAATTTTGTTTTCGTGAGAATGATTGGCTGTTCACTTTCAACCCTTTCTTCCCCTGCGTTTTGTTTTCGCTTTTGAAAGCCACTCCATCGCAGAAGCAACAGGGACGCAAATCCGTGGAGTCTTCAGCCCCTGAGTGTGCTGCTCTCACAGGCTAAGCTGCAGCTCCAGGGAGATGAGCAGGTATTTGGCCTCGAGCCCAGTTTTCTTCCTGTTGTCAACAAATTGTTTATTTCCTACTCAGATTTTTTTTTTCTCACTCTCTTATCACAAGTCATGCTTACTAACAGCTTGTTAACAGTCTCTTTGGTTGGGACAAAGGTGAAAAATAGTAGTAATTTAACCTTCAACCTTTCATAGTTTACAAAGTCTCCCACTCCCTCAGACGCAGCATCAGTCCATGACCTTGATATTTTTATGTCTCACTATTGAGTCATTTTAAAGTCTGTCCCTGGCTGTGACAGCCAAGGCAGTGCTGAGCACAGGGACTGTCCCCGTTCTTGTAGCTGATATTACACATTGTCTAAGGATAGTGGAGACTGCACTCCCATTGCCTGGTGACTGCTGGGTCCCACAGGGACTCAGAAATGGGCTGTTTTCCAAGGCAAAGACAAGTGGTAAAGTGAGGATTCTGAAGCCGGATGCTTCTTCCTGGAAGTGCCTGTCATCAGAGAGCCTCTCTCCCCCACACCATGGGATTTATCTGGTACTATAAGTCATGGGCTTGTGAATATGTTTGGGCCATTGCACAGAGCTTCAAAGTACTTTTGAAAATGATGAGACGAGCAATTTTTCGACAGTCACAGCATATATGCTTTCATGGCTCTGCAGCAGGCAGAAGTGAATGTGGGATTTCTTTCTCCTATTTTAGTTTGTTTCTGATGATATATGAAGTATAGGAAGCTCTATACTTAATGTGAATTTAACAATATAGGATTGAACCAATTATTTCCTAACTCGCCAATTTTTTTTCTTAAGTTTTGCAGACTCACATTTTCATAGTACTGCAGAGTAATGCTTAAATATGTGGGTTCTAGGTCTAGTTTCTGACTTAGAACACCTACTAGCTGTGTGAGCTTGGGCAGGTTACGTAATAATTATGGTGTCTCAACTACTTTAATTAAAAAGTGGGGGTTAATCATAATGCCTAATCCGTAGGGTTGTTGTGAGGATGAAATATTGGTATGCTCAGTGATGTGTCTGGCACATCAAAAACGAACATCAGTTATTGGCATGAATAACAGAAGAACTTACTTGTCCTAGGTGACCATGTGTGCCTCAGTGAATCAGCGCTCTTAGGGTAGAGCTCACCTGGTTGAGTAATGAATTAACTTCCTAATTGGAATCAGGGAGGAATTCTCAGAGGACAAATTCTTGGAGCTGCTCAGGTGTTGATTTCTAAACAGAATGCAACTAAGTTCATCTATATTCCACACCAGCACGTGTCCATCTCCATTACCACCATGTGACTGAAAGCACGCTGTAATATTCCAAGGAGCTGACACAATCTTTTTTTTGGAACAATGTTAATTTTGGATTGTATTTAGGTATATTCAATAGCCATAAATCATAGAGTTACCAAGAATGAGATTGAGAGTCTGTTGGTACTCACAGTCTTCATTCAAAGGCATGACCCAATTGTTCTTTACACTGGAAAATATACAACATATAACATGCTATAGGATTCTCAAAGTAGGTATCTAAAGTTTTGGTTAAAAATATTTTACAGTCAGACTCTTGAGTATTTATGTATATTTTTAAATGATTCTCTTGATACAAGTAATATCACAACAAAAATAAAATTAAAATATTAATTATCACACTCCCATATCAAGTTGCTTTTCCTATCCATGTTTTTTTTTTCCAATCCATCTTTTTAGATTAATGTATGCTTTGTATATTAGAAGACAGCTATATAATTTGGTCTTTTGTCCTTGTTAGCCTAATTTACTATGAATATTTTTCTTTTTAAAAGATAATGTTCATAATTAATCATTTCAATGTATAGATAACACTCTATTGAATGGATGTACCTTGTTTTACCACTTCCTTCTTGTTGGATATTAAGGTTGTTTCTATAATATTGTTAAGATAACGCTACAGCATATAACTTCACACAAAACCTCTTTCCCTTTCTCTTGGATTCTTTCTTTAGTCATCAACTTAAAAAAGCAGAATTAGGCCAGGCAGGGTGGCTCACACCTGTAATTTCAGCACTTTGGGAGGCTGGTCAGGAGTTCAAGACCAGCCTGACCAACATGATGAAACCCTGTCTCTACTAAAAATACAAAAATTAGCTGGGTGTGGTGGTGTGTGCCTGTAATCTCAGCTACTTGGCAGGCTGAGGCAGGAAAACTGCTTGGACCGGGAGGCAGAGACTGCAGTGAGCTGAGATTACCACACTGCACTCCAGCCTGGGTGACAAGAGTGAAACTGTCTCAAAAATAATAATAAATAAAAAGCAAAATTATATTTATAATTGCTAACTTGATTATTTTATTCTCATAAAACATTAGCTCCTTGGTGTAGAAGGCCTTCAAAGAATAAAGATGTAGCATTTGGAGGAGGTTACGAAGCATAGCAACTGAGAGTGGATGGAGTCTTCTCCATAAGAGAACCATTTATTTTCTCAAAAAACATTAACTTAGTATTTTGCATGTTACAGGTGCTCTATTAGGCCCTGAGGGTAGAACAGTGACCAAAAAGACACAGTTCTTGTCCTCTTAGAGTTTGAATCTAGTATGGGAGTCATTTTAATCAAATAATTGGACAAATAAATAATAAATCACACTTCTATTAATAGCCACAACAATAAGAGGTGCATGTGCCATGAAAGTTTAACTATGGGAGTGACCAAGGGAAGAGGCTAGAGGGAGTAATATTTGAAATGAGTTTTCAAGGATGAGCAGGAGTTAAAGTAGGGTGCTAGGTGTTTTCTAGGCAGTGGGGAGAGCATCTGAGCTAGCCCTGTGGTAGGAGGGGAAAGGCTCATTGCAGACAAGAAAACCATGCTATGGTAGGTGGGGCACAGACATTGAGGCATCTTTTTTCTATGACAGGAAAGAACATTGCTCTAGAATATTTACTCTAAATGTGTATGGGAGAATTGAATCAATGTCTTTATTGTTTTTACTCTGCGAACTTCTCAGCTACTATAAAAACTGGTTCTAATAAAAAGGCCTTCAAAGTTGCTTTGTGGGCTATTTATGCTTATTAGAATATTCCATTTATAATAAGAAAAAGCTGCCATATTATTATATAGCTCTTTTTTAAAAGGAAATTCACATCTGTAACTTTATGTCAGTAAAAGACATTTCATTGTCAAGATGATCTCTGAGTGAATATAAACATTCTGGTTGACATTAAAGTTGGCCAATTCTCTGTGGAGACTATATATTGCATACGAAAGGAAGTCAAATTGCGTAAGCATCTCTTATTCTCAGAGTTCTCCAATCTAATAACTTCTTCACTGGGATATCAACTTTCTAAATGTCAGGACAAATTACAGCTATTTATGACAGTCTTTCTTGAGCTGTTAAAGACTCAAAATGCCTGCCCTTACCCTCTGGCATGGAGATAGTGATGAGTGGAGTTTGCAGTGCTTTGGGTCCATATAGATGCTCACATGTGATAAATGGGTGTGTTACGGCCACCTCACATTTATATAGCACTTTAAATTTTCTAAAGCATCTTCATGTTTACTTACTGTATTAAATGTCCAGTTTTAGAACCGGAATGGACTTTAAGGGTCATTTCATTTAAATGGGGTTTTTAATGAAAAAAGCATGTGTGTCATGTAATCTAAGACTATTTTCTAACTGCGACTTGTGAGTTAGTTGGTTACAAAATCAGTTTAGGGGATTGTGACTAGGATTTCAAAAGTATAATATATTGAAATGCAGTATGAATAATGTTTTCTGAAACTTTTGTTTCAGTAGCATTTATGTTTGTAAGCATAAGCATGTGTTTATTTGGTCATGCTTGAAATTTAAATACCATGATAAAGTGAATAAGTAGTGGTATTACTGGTTTTTAAAAAGCAATGGGTTTGCGAGCTGTGTTCAAACTGTAGCCTTGTAACCCACTAGCTAAGTGACTGTTGGAAAGTCAAATAAATTCTCTGCAACACAGTCTCCTCATTCTAATACCAATTGTGTCAATCTGGCTCAAGTTATAACAGAGGGCATATATGAAAAAGGTTCCCAGAAGATGTTTAATCGATATTAATAGTTTTTGAAATCCAACACATATTCACTTATAAACTGAGAGACTTACAAATGAATGGCCAGGTATTATTGACTTAATTTTACAAATGAAGAAACGGAAGCCAATGGGGGCAAATGGCTAATTCAAGACCACTTAACAAGAATGAATCACAATCAAATCCAGCTTTCCTGGCTCTTGGTCTTTCGTACTTACCTCCATTCTTGTCCCTTACCTTTGGAATTTCTTTTCCTGCCTCAGGTTCTTTATTCCTTTTTATATTAAGCAGAAAATAAATAACAACCCTCTTGTGTTTTATTAACCTAAACCTCTGACCTCAGAGTACCATGCTTACGTATTACAGAGGACGTCGCTAACCATAAACTATTGACTTACATCAACAGAGCATGCAATATTGAAGAAAGAAACAATGGGATGTCAGAAACTTTTATTTGCAGTATTTTTAATTTCAGTGATTAACTGTGATTTTTAAATAAGACATTTAATCTTTCTGTGTCTTACCAGAAAAGTTGGATTGAACTAGGCTATAGCTGAGAACTTTTTTGCTCAAAATATTTTGAGAATATAAGTATTCATTACTTACCAGAAGCGATTATTAATGGTGAAATGCATAAGGTGATCAGTAGTTCTTGTTTACTAAGCCACTCTATACATTGTTCTAGAGGCTTTCTATTAAAATATTTCAGTCTCAGGTTTGTAGAGACCTCCCATGGGAATTAATGTATTCATTTGCATTTATATGTTTGTTAATTTCAAGAGGAATAAAATACTACCCTTTCCATTCCTTGTTGCTGAACTACTGCTTAATCTGTAAGATTCAGATCAAATGACATAATTTCTGCAAAGCTGTCCCATTCACCCAGGTGGAAACAATCACATCTAAAGCCCTTAGCTATACCACTCACCAAAAGGTAATGTGATTATTTTTGTGATGTATACAAGACTGACGTAGCCTCAGAATCCAGACTACTGCCTGGCATATAATAGATGCCCAATAATTATTTACTGGATGAAAAAAGACTCTAGAAAAATTTATTAAGTCTCTGTGTATCTGTCAGTGAATGTAGTAGACAGAACAATTTACAGATTCTTCCATGATAGAAGGATACATTTATGGTAGAAACAATAATGAAGAGGATTGTGATAACTTGACTAACCAACAGCCTTGATAACTTGAAGGATACTTCCCCTATGACCCTTGAGCCATCCTCTAAAAGCAGCCCTGCAACCCATACATTGCATCTTCCTTCAATATTAGCTGTCTCTACAGAGCTCACATTGTTTTCTGGTGGAAATCATTTATTTAGAGCTGCAGAGAGTAGGATTCAGTTGGAAAGAGATGAGTGCACAGAGAGCATGGGATATTGGGAGAGAGTGTGCTTCTTCCTTGGAATGGAACTAACACCTTAAGAATCATCTCTGTTTGTAAGTGCTCCAAGGCTGCTTCTCAGGCACTTTCCTCCCACGCTTAGCACATTTGGATAGATGGAGCTAGAGTTAATTCACCGCAGATGAGCAACCAATAGCAATTTAGGTTCTAAGTTGATTAATCCAGGTAAGGGCAAAGGTTATTCAAGAGAGACAGCACGGGCTGGGCGCGGTGGCTCGCGCCTGTAATCCCAGCACTTTGGGAGGCTGAGGAAGGCAGATCACCTGAGGTCGGGAGTTCGGGACCAGCCTAACATGGTGAAACCCCATCTCTACTAAAAACACACAAAAAAATTAGCCGGGTGTAGTGGTGGGCGCCTGTAATCCCAGCTACTTGGGAGGCTGACACAGGAGTATCGCTTGAACCCAGGAGACGGAGGTTGCAGTGAGCCGAGATCACACCATTGCACTCCAACCTGGGCAACAGAGTGAGACTTTATCTCAAAAAAACAAAACAAACAAACAAAAAACAAAAACAAAAAAAGAGATAGCACGGCACAGTTCAGTGCTAATAGACTAGATTTGTTTCCGGTGTTGCCATTTACCAGCTGTGTGACCTTGCAGAAACCTCGTAATCTTTTTGAGATTCAGCTCTTCATTTGTAAAAAGGGAGGAATGATGCTTTCCCTTTTCTTTCATGAAATTGTTGTGAAGCTCAACTTAGGAAATAAATAGCTAAATGTTTATAAGTGTAAAATATTAACCTTTTCCATTTATATTTTTATGAATTAAGGAAATAATGACAGAGCAAATTAAGGAAATAGTGAGAGGGTGCACTGTATTTTTAGCCTGTAGTAAGGATAAATTTTAGTTTTGTGTAATAACAACAATGCTGATTATCTTGTGCTTTGTTTAACCTAAATAATTATGTAATTTACTCAGAAAATTACAGTGACTTGATATGCCATACAAACTGGCTTTTAGTTAGAAAAGCTAAAAGCAAGAGGTATCCTTTCCTAATCCCAAAGAAAGCCTATATTTCATTTGACTAAAATCAAAGACTTTTGAACACTGAATCATTTTGAACACAAAATTCAAACACCAATTCTTATCACAATCAAAATTTACTTTTTAAAGCACAAATAAATTCTGTTGATACCAAAAATTAATGTTTTCCCTTTAAGATGGAATGTTGTTTATAAACTATGTGTTTAGGGTTATATGGTTATACGTGTTTTCTAGCCTGCCTATAACTAAGATTCTCAAGGTGAGATGGGATTTAAGCTATCAATAGAAAATTGTGCTTTCACAGCTGTTATGGGCCAGATATTGAATCAGAAGTTTGTTTCAGTCAATGGTTCTTATAAAGAGAAAACAGCACTTAGTTTCATGGGGAATGTCACAGAAAAAGGGGAATCTGTTTACATTATTTTGTGTCTTTAATGGAGGGAATAAATGTAACCAGCTGATGTGACTGGGATGTTCATGGATTTTTACAGTAATTACATGAGATTCTTATTTCAGATAGTCTCTCATAGGGTAGATATCCTCCCAAAATAAAGGTAAAAGAAAGTATACATCTTTTCTTGTTATAAAATTTAAATGCTATAGTCTATAAAAGAGGAAACACAACAAGACACTTTGTTTGGGACCTGTCAAGATTTCAAACCCCAAAGGGTCTGTGTTTGGCAACACAGCCTGTCCTTCCCATGAGCCAGAGGCTTGTTTTCTCTGTAGCAGTTAGCATTGGCCACACACCTGGATTTGGAAGGACTTCTGAGGTGAGAAAAAACTCACTTTAGAGCTTTAGTATAAAGCTTGTCTTGCAGAATAGAAGTGTCAAGCAGGATAGAAGTGTGTTTGCATGTTAAATTCCGGCTTTTCTTAAACTCCTTAGAAAGACAGACTATCTCTTTTGTTTACATTTTAAAGACATAGCTCTCCCCGTAAAATGACAGGCTCCGAGAGTCTAGCTGCCTCATTTAATCTGTAGTGTCGGGAGAAACAATCCCTGGTGAAAATGTAAACACCAGACTATTATTTACCAGTGACACTAGCTCGCAGCCTAATCTTCAGGTGTCTCCGAAATCTATTTTTAAAGAAAGATCTTCCTTGTTCGGATCTTGTGAATGATCGCCATGCCTGACCAGGTGCTTCTCTTTTGTGACTATTCCTGGCTAGGCCTGTAAAATATGAAATGAATTTGCAGACAAGGCTTCCTTATCTGACTCCAAGAACTTTGTTCCCTTGAAGAGCAACCACGGATTTTGATCAAACCCCAGTGGGAACACAACATATTTTTAAAAGACACCTATCTGGGAGCTTACAAAGCATATTTGTAAGTAATGAATGCATTTGGCCAGGAGCAATACTATTCTTGTTGATTAAAACAAGATGATTTAGTTTTTTAGTTTTTGTTTTTTTTTTCAATGGGGTTAGTATGACTCATAGACATTAAAGCAGAGGTGCTTTCTGAAGAAGGTGTAGGGAGCAGAATCATTATTTTCCCAGAGTTTAATACAAAATAGTCATCTTCAAGGGAGGGTAGGTAATTGTGAAATGGAAAAATAATTTGTAGGATTTGGAATTACAAGCCCTGGATTTGAATAATGGCTGCATGATCCTAGGGAAACCACTTGATTTTTGAAACCTCAGTTCTCTCACATGTGAGAATAATTATTTTTCTTTTATTCTGTGGATCAAAAAAGGGATATCATATGTTTTAAAGTGTTCTATGTATATTAAGGCATCATGATATCACTGCTAATACTATTGAGAGGGGAAGGAAAACACGTAGAGGATAATGAAACAGAAATATTTGTTGTATCCTATATTCCATGCTAGTTATTATGCTATGTATCAAAGAGATAAGGATACAGGACACAGTCACTGGCCTCAAAAAGCATGCCTAATAGGGGAAGGAGGCTTGTCAGAAATATTGCAAGGCAGTGTGGTAAATGGAATAATAGAGATATCTGCCAGATTCTATGACAGCACCACAAAGGAAGCGAGTAACTTGGCTTGGCTTAAAAGGAAGAAGATACCAATCTTTAATGCCTGAATGATTGGTGGGAGTTCACTTCATGTTCCAGAGAGAAGGACATTCCAGAGAGAAGGGCATGGGGGAATGGAACGGCAGGACAGGATCAGGGATCTGCCAATAGTTTTCCGTGCCTATAGCTCTGCCCTTATGTGGGATAAACTGAGTTGGACTGGACAGGTAAGCAGGTGCTGGATTACGGAGGGTTACTTTCCGTGAGTAAGCATTTTCCTCCAGAAAAAGGTCTTAAGCAGATAGATTGTCATCCATTTATTTAACACCCACTTATACAGTATTGTACTTTCTATATTCCAGGCACTGTTCTAAGAGCTTTATAAATGTTAACTCATTTCATCCTCATAACCACCAGGCAAAGTAGATACTATTTTTATTCCAATTTAATTCTGAGGAATACAAAACAGAAAAGTTAAGTAACACTCCCAAGATGACAAAACTAGTGAGTGATGGAATCAGGATTTAACCTAGGCTCTGGAGTCCACGTTTTTAACCACTTCACTCTGCTGCCACTCAGGGTTAGTTCCATGGAGATCACTTTGTTTGCTATGCAGGGAATGGACTGGAGAGGAGGAAAGGCTGTAGGCAAGGAGAACAGTTGGGATGTGGGTGTAAGAGTCCAGATAAGAAATGATGCATCAGTGAGGTAAGAGAGAGGGACTGAACAGGTTCAAAGGATATGTTTGGAGATAGAATTGATAGCAACTGGCATGGACTGACTGTAGAGTGTAAGGGAGAAGGAGCTAAACATCTCAGTTGTCAGGGTGGGTGATAATTCCACTAACAAGACACTTATTAGAGTAAGAATGGGAGGAGAAATGTCATGTGGACTTGAAAGCAGCTGTGGAATATGAAGGTGCCATGTACAGAACACAAGTGGTTATTTGAAGCTGGAATTTCAAAGGAGGGTTCTGAGCCTGAAATTTAGATTTGGGAGTCATCAGTAGAAGTTGTGGGTATGTGTGTGATTGCCCAGGGAAGTTTTAGAAATGGATCCCTACTGGCTTGATCTGACTTGCAGATGTAAGTAGATGGTTTTGCTTCCTTTGGCATAAACTGAGAAGAGCAGGGAGCTTGGAAGAGAATTCCAGGGAGAGCCAGCTACCATCATGTCTCTAAGAGTAGAAGAATGAGAAGAAGCAAAGTAAATGATAGAATGCGCAAAATTATATCACTGTCTTCTGCCAGCAACTAGTTGAAATAGACATGTAAGTACTCAAAGTTTGACAACTTCAGAAATAATAGTTTATTAAAGAAGGGATAAAGGACGTCTACATGTTGAGGATTTCAGCACAGAGATTGCCGAGACCAGCTCAGTCGGGGAGACCCTAACCCAGTGGCGCTAGAGGAATTAAAGACACACACACAGAAATATAGAGGTGTGAAGTGGGAAATCAGGGGTCTCACAGCCTTCAGAGCTGAGAGCCCCGAACAGAGATATACCCACATATTTATTAACAGCAAACCAGTCATTAGCATTGTTTCTATAGATATTAAATTAACTAAAAGTATCCCTTATGGGAAATGAAGGGATGGGCCAAATTAAAGGAATAGGTTGGGCTAGTTAACTGCAGCAGGAACAGGCCCTTAAGATACAGATCTCTCATGTTATTGTTTGTGGCTTAAGAATGCCTTTAAGCGGTTTTCTGCCCTGGGCGAGCCAGGTGTTCCTTGCCCTCATTCCTGTAAACCCACAACCTTCCAGCTTGGGCATTAGGGCCATTATGAACACGTTACAGTACTGCAGAGATTTTGTTTATGGCCAGTTTTGGGGCCAGTTTATGGCCAGATTTTGGGGGCTTGCTCCCAACAGAGATAGAATATCTAACTATGTAAAAAAAAAAGTTCTATTTAGACTCTCCTGGAAGGACATTTGAATATGTCTACTTTGAGCTTTGTTACAAGCAAGGTGAATGTGAGTTCTTGCAGTTGGGATTAATCATACAGTTTGGTTCACAGGGATGAGCTTTCTAAGTGCATTTCTGGAGGTACTGCTGCTTTCACAGAGTACTGGGAGCTCTAACTTAGCATTTCACCCACTGTATAAGTGATCTTAACATACAAAAGATTATGTCAGTGGAATAACCAACAATTTCAAGAGAAGAGCATGTTCTTTATGTTCTCTTTGGGAAGACTTCACGTTGAAATTCAGCCTTGAAGACAGTGGTGATGATTACATCATGACAAGAGTCATGAAAGAAAAGGATCATACTTAGTGTTTGCTGGGTGATATTATAGGGATTGTATTAGTCTGTTCTCATGCTGGTAATAAAGACATACCTAAGACTGGGTAATTTATAAAGGAAAGAGGTTTAATGGATTCACGGTTCCACACTGCTGGGGAGGCCTCACAATCCTGGCAGAAGGCAAAGGAAAGCGAAGGCACATCTTACATGGTGGCAGGCAAGAGAGCTTGTGTAGGGGAACTCCCTTTATAAAACCATCAGATCTTGTGAGACTTATTCACTATCAAAAGAACAGCATAGGAAAGTCCCACCCCCATGATTCAATTACCTCCCAGTAGGTCACTCCCATGACATGTGAGAAATATGGGAGCTACAATTCCAGATGAGATTTGGGTGGGGACACAGCCAAACCATATCATTTTTACCTCATTGTACCATGTAATTTTGAAATGCCACTAAGAAAAAATGATATCACCAGAGACTTTTTTGGTGAGTGTATTTACCTCAGTAATGTTAAAGCATCAACTACTAAAATTTAGAATGATACAGTAAGAAGTCATTTTGATTAGAAAAAAATTAATATTTAGAAATGTTTAACATAGATCAGCTTAGACCTCAATATTTTTAGGTGCGTGTGGTAGGGCAGACTACATTTAATTTGGGCCTTGCTCTTGTACTTACTACTTAACTATCAGCAGAATTTTAAGAGGAAAACTTCTATGTTTGAATATTTCAAGTACAGTGAATTTGATTATAAACACTTTAGAGACAAACTGTTTCCATTATAATAAAAGTCATGTTATCTGGCACTGCACCCATTGGAAAGTTTTAGAAACCAGCATTTTTCAAATGTAGCTCTTCATTCTTGAAACTTGTTTCAACACTACAACTAAAGCAACAGGCTAGAATTCCTATGAGAATAATATCAAAAAGAACAAAAATAAGATGCTACCGGTGATACAGAAGGAGAGAACTGTGATGTCATTTATTTTAGATATATCTTACTGTGTAACAAACTACTCATAACAAAGGCTGAAAATGACAATGGTTTATTATCTGTCACCATTCTGTGCATTGCCTGAGTGGTCCTTCTGCTCTGGTCACTCAGCTGGCCGCCTTGACCTGGTAACTGGGCTGGAATGAAGCATGCAAGGTGGCCTTTCTCACATGTCTGGGGCCTTGAAGCTGACTGTCAGCTAAGCTGATTGATTTCTCCTCCAGAGTTTCATGTGTCCTCTCTCTCCACAGTTTCTTCACATGGCCCCTTTCTTCATGGCCTCTCTCTTCCTCATAGCACGACAGTTGAGCTCCCAGAGAGCAGGAGTAGATACTACCAGTCCTCTCAATGTCTAGACTTCGAACTCACACAAGCCCCTACCATTGCATTCTATTGGTCAAAGCAAATCACAAGGCCAGATTCAAAGGAGGGGAAATAATCTTTACCTCTTGATGGAAGGAGTGGCCTGTAACTAAAAGAACTGGTGGAATTGCTGGTGACCATCTTTGGAGATAATCAACCATATCATTAAGAGTAGATTTTCTGGGAAGAGGGCTGCTTTGGCTCTTTCTAGGGCAGTGGTAAATACACAAACACTGGTACTTATTAAAAATCTGAATACACAAACTAAATACACAAACACTGGTACTTATAAAACACCCTATTGGTCTGTCTGTGCTGGGAAAAATTGTTCCTCAGTAGCCTTTGCTGGATTTTATTAGATCTGCCCCTTTGTACTCACACTTTATACTCATTACTTGACAGAATCATTATAATATACAAAATTTAAGATTATACTGTACTAAAGATTACATTTCTACTAAGTGTTAGGTTAAATGCTGGGGAAACAGCCATAAACAGCCAGACATAGTTGCTTCCCTCATGCATTTTAGTACTGAGATCTTAAGGTACTTTTTCAGTGTAAAGATTTTTAGAGCATGGAAATAAAAGTAAGATTTACACTCAAATGAAGTTATTGTCGACCTCTGCAGAGAACACTTAGTTTTGTCAAATGAAAAATACTCTCTAGTCAAAATGAGCTTTTGCTAAATTAAATATTCTTAATTTAAAGGGACACTTAAGAGATTTGCCAGGGAAAGAACCAGCAGTTGACAACTGTCGAATGCCATTCAATGACAGTGACTTCTGCTTAAGTGAGATGAGCTTACCATCTCAGACAGAAAGTTGTTTTATTTTATTGATTTATTTATTTATTTTTATTTATTTATGTATTTATTTATTTTTGAGACAGAGTCTTGCTCTGTCACCCAGGCTGGAGTGCAGTGGCACGATCTTGGTTCACTGCAACCTCTGCCTCTCGGGTTCAAGTGATTCTCCTGCCTCAGCCTCCTGAGTAGCTGGGATCACAGGGGCGTGCTACCACACCTGGCTAATTTTTGTATTTTTAGTAGAGACAGGGTTTCACCATGTTGGCCAGGCTGATCTCAAACTCCTGACCTCAAGTGATCCACTCTTCTCGACTTCCCAGAGTGCTGGGATTACAGCCGTGAGCCATTGCGCTTGGCCTTTTTTGGCTTATTAATCATAATGCTTGCATTACAAGGTGGGTGGGGTGTATGCATATGTGTGTACAAATTGTCTTTGCTTCCTTCTTCCTAATCTTGTATGCTTTCCACTTTCCTGGGTGATGCAGGGTAAGGGCTGATTTACAGGGCTCTTGCGTTCTGGCTTATATGCCTAGTCTAAGCTTTAAAATACATGGTTGAGACAACTAAACCAAGGTATACACTTGGGTAAGTTTTGAAAGACTCTGCGACTCTTCTCTTAAAAAGGGGTGAAATCAATTGAGGTGTGTTTTTGTTAAAATCGTCTTTCACTAGCAGGAAGTATGCCTAATGCCACATATAGAACATATGCTACAAATCAGGGTGAGTCCTTGGTGTTACAGTGCTGTCAACGGTTCATATCGTAGGCATGAAATCATTTACCAAAATGGAAATGATTAAGCTGATTGTTTAACATCTGGCCTACCATCAGTGTTAGTGTTTTTAATCATCCAAAATACACCCCTCATGTCACTCTTAATTTGTTACATACTAGGTGCTGGTTTAACAGTGCTGACCTAAGTCCGGGCACAGTGGCTCACCCCTGTAATCCCAGAACTTTGGGAGGCCAAGGTGGGCAGATCATAAAGTCAAGAGATTGAGACCAGCCTGGCCAACATGGTGAAACCCCATCTCTACTAAAAATACAAAAATTAGCTGGGCGTGGTGGCACGTGCCTGTAGTCCCAGGTACTCAGGAGGCTGAGGCAGGAGAATCGCTTGAACCCGGGAGGCAGAGGTTGCAGTGAGCCGAGATTTCACCACAGCACTCCAGCCTGGCAACAGTGAGACTCCATCTCAAAAATCAAAACAACAACAACAACAACAACAACAACAAACAGTGCTGACCTCAGGTATTTAAGTGACAGACCAAAATGTTTAAGTACAGAATAATATTCACAGGTACCCCATTCTAAATTATAGAATTTCCATAACCTGTGATGTTAAAATTAATGCAATTTGTCTAACTGCAGGTACTCGGTAAATACCTGAAAGTGTTAACAAGAAAATGAACAAGGGAATGCTTTTTACCCAAGGCAATTAGACATACTAATTTTCTTCAAGAAACTCTCCCTTACCTGGGCTTCCATGACTCCTATCTCTGTTCATACTCTTCTTACCACTCTAACCCTTTCTTCTGAGTTTCTTTTTCTGCCTTTTCTTCCTATTCCTTTCCTTTAAATATTGCAGTTTCCTTAGCTTTGACCTCTTTTCTTATTCATTTCACTCTCTGGCCACTCGTATTCATTTGTATGAGCTTTTGATTCTAAGCCCTTAAGTCCCATGCATACTTAGGCCTAGGTCAAATCTCTTTTCAGAACTTTAAAACCCACATACTCAACTATCTCTTAAACATCCCCATTTAATTTTCACAAAAGAATTTTATAATTAAACATGCCAAAAGAGGAGCTCATTACCTTTGTCACCAAACCTCCATTCCTAAGCTCCAGCCATTCTGGTTGGCACTGTCATCCAGTCATCAACCCAGGAATACAGGATTCATTTAAAGATGCCTCCCTCTTCTCACTTTGATTTCATAAGTGACTAAATCCTGTTGATTATTTTTGTGTAAGATCCTCCAATAACAGGCCTTGCCTTTCTCTTCAACTCTAAATCTACTGCCATAGTTCAGATCCTTATCATCTCAGCCTGGACAATTAGGATAGCATCCTGTTCTTCCTTCTCTAACCTACACTCTATGCTGCCCACTTCCCCCTACCATGAAAACTTTTTAATACAAAAATCTTATTACTTTGTGGCCCTGCTTAATAATTTAGCAGTTGTCTTCAAATTTTATAGATATATAATGTACCTCTTCAATAAAGAAAAAACATCAACATATGCATATATATATACATATATATATCTTAAAAACTGTCAACATGTATTACCACACAAATATAAGATGCACACAAATCAAAACGATGGTATTACTATAATGTGGTTAGACATTTAAATATTTACTTCCAACATTTCAGCACTGTATTCCACAGCACTGGGGGTGGATACACCCCACTGTGGAAGCCTCTGAACGACTGGATACATTCCAAAGTTTTAATATGGTTTACACTGTCTGGTCTCTCTCTGCCTCTCTAGCCATAGACCTTAACACGCACAGTTAGCATGCTGTAATTTAGTCATTCTGAACCACTGTAGCTCCCTGAGTGCACTATGCTGTTGAATACGTCTGTGCCTTTGCTCCCTCTGTTTTCTCAGCTCGTAGCACCATCTTCAGCCTTGTCTATCTGGTGACCATTTATTGAACTTTTAGGGTTCCGTTTATAAACCTTCTCATTACTGAAGTTTTTCCTACAATTTTACTCAATAATGCTCTGTAGAGAACTTCTGCAAGAATGATGTGTTAGGCCATTCTTGCATTGCTATAACAAAATACCTGAGACTGGGTATTTTATAAAGGAAAGAGTTTTAATTGGCTCATGGTTCTGCAGGCTGCATGGGATGCATGGTTCTGCAGGCTGCATGGGATGCAAGGTGCCAGGCAACTGCATGGCTTCTGGTGAGGCCTCAGGAAGCTTAAAATCATGGCAAAGGCAAAAGGAGAGCCAGCATATTACATTGCAAGAGCAAGAGAGAGAGTGAGGGAGGTGCCACATACTTTTCAACAACCAGATCTCACAAGATCTCACTTGCTATTGAAAGGACAGCACCAAGTGGATGGTGCTAAACCATTGTTGAGAAATCTGCCCCCATGATCCAGTCACTTCCCACAAGACCCCAACTCCAACAATGGATATTAACTCTCAATATGAGATTGGGAGGACACATCCAAACTATATCAAACACTCACACCTCACTGCATTTCCTTGTACCTATAATTGTCTACTGATGCCAGACTCTGTAATCTGGTGTAGTAGAGTTCTTTCCAACCCCCGCCTTTTTCTCTCACTTTGTATTTCTAACACTTAAGCAAATAGTATGATTACATGTTTGCCGAGTGCGTGAATAAATCTATGTTTATCTGAAAATCAGAAGGTAAAGCCAAGTCCTAGAATAACAAGCAAAGCTACCAATTAAAGAGAGTCAGCTATTTCTAGACAACTGTAATATGTTTGTAATTGACATTATCTCCAATCCCTCAAATAGTCGTAGAAGGTATATGTCTTATTCTGTTCATGCTGCTATATCAGAATACCATAGAATAGGTGCTTATGAGTAACAGATACTCATTTCTCATAGTTTTCAAGGCTGAGAAATCCCAGAGCAAGGCACCGACACAGTCAGTGTCTGATGAGGGTTCTGTTCCTTGATTCACAGAGATCTGTCTCCTCACTGTGTCTGCTCATTGTAGAGGAGGTGAGGATGGTCTCTGGGAGCCTCTTTTAATAGGTTACTAATCCCATTCATGAGGATTCCACCCTTACGATCCAGTCAACTTCCAAAGGTCCCACATCCTAATATCATTACATTGGGGAGTGGAGTTTCAACATATGAAGTTAGGGGGACATAAAGATTCATTCCCTAGCAGTATATATTCTCATATCTATTTTACATATGAAGGAGCCAGGATGCAGAGATGAGAAGAGTTTTCTCCACATCAACCAGGAAGTTTAATTATATTGCTGGTGGTGGCCATTGTCACAATATCTCCTACTTTTCTTCTTTTTCTTAATTACTTTTATCCTCCTGATTAAAAAAAAAAACCTCTTTCAATGGTTTCTGATTTGAGGAGGAAGGGGCCACCCATTATGAGTGTTGCTTACCACTGAGAACACTCCTTCCCACCCACCCACAGTAAGAAACCATAATGTATGAAGGGCATTTCTCAGTTCTTAGCTTTATTCCCCTCTGTTCATTTATTTGGGAGATTTTAAATGACTTTTCTTTGGTTTCAGAGATATGGGGTTTTGTTTTACTTTTCTGCATCTGGTTCTAGATCCATGAAAAACTACTTTGTAATACTGAATCACAAAGAAATGTATAGAATAAAAATAAGGTAAAAAGCAGAGAAATAAGGACTTCTCATGATCCACCTACCCAATTTAAAAATTAGTACATTTTGGCCAAGATGGCCTATTTGGAAGCAGATACAGTCCATGGTTCTCATGGAGAATGAAAATGGCGAGTTAATTCCATATCTTCAACTGAGGTATCCAGGTTCTCACATTGGGACTGACTAGGTGGGCGACTCAACCCACAGAGGGTGAGGAAAAGCAGGGTGGGGTGATGGCCCACCTAAGAACAGCTTGGAGCCAGAAGAGCCCCCACCCTCAGCCAAGATAGGTGGTGAGTGTTATGTGACCCTGCCCAGGAAGCCACACTTTTCCCATGGATCTCTGAAACCCATGGAACAGGAGACCCCCTTGTGAGCCCATGCCACCGGGGTTTTGGGTCCAAAGCACAGAGATGTGCAAAGTCTTGGTGGGGTGCAGGGTGGCCACTCCAGCACGCACAGAAACCTAGGAGTTGTTACGCATATTCTAGCCCTGGGAATTCTGGCAAAGCAGGAGATCTGATCATTTATTCCCCTAGGAAGGGGTCTGAATCCAGGGAATAAGTGGCATCATTATGTGGGCCCCACTCCCGTGGCACCTCACAAGTTAAGACTCATTTGCTTGGAATTCCAGCTGTTTAGGAGCAGCAGGCTGAAGACTGCCTGAGACTGCCTGAGACAGACCAAGTTCCTGGGGGAGAGTCAGACACCATCTCTGCAGTTCCAGTCAGCCATTGTAGCCTGCTGGCTCTGGGGAGTCTGGGCAGTCCAGAACAGCAGTCTTCCACAAGGCAGCAGATCATGGCCAGACTGCTCCTTTAAGTGGGACCCTGATCCATCCCTCATCACTGGGTAGGGGCTCCCTGTGGGAATTTCAGCAACACCAGCCAGGGTTATACAAACAGATCTCTGATCTCTCCCTAGGATGGAGCCCCTGGGAGGAGGGGCAGCCACTGTATCTGCAGTTCAGCTGACTTACCTTTCCTGCCTGCTGGCTCTGGAGAGTCTGGGTAGTTTGGATGAGGGGTGTTTCCCCCAGTGCAGTGCACTTGCTCTGCCAAGGGGCAGCCAGACTACTTCTTTAAGTGAGACCCTGGTCCCATTCCTCCTGACTGGGTGAAACCTCCCAACAGGGGTCTCCAGACACCTACAGGAGCATTCAGGCTGGCATCAGGTCTGTGCCCCTCTGGGACAGAGCTCCCAGAGGAAGGAGCAGGCTGCCACCTTTGCTGTTTCACAGTCTTCACTGGTGATAGCTCCAGATGTGGGAGGGACCAAAGTCACTAGGGTCTGGAGTGGACCCCCAGCAAACTGCAGCAGCCCTATGGTTGCTAACAGTCAGTGGCCTGTTTGTTAAAGAAAAACAAATGGAAATCAACAACAACATCAACAAAAAGTCCCCCCAAAAACCCATTCTGTGGTCAGCAACCTCAAAGACCAAAGGTGGATAAGCCCACAAAGATGAGAAAGAATCAATGCAAAAATGCTGAAAACTCAAAAAGCCATAGTGCCTCTTCTCCTCCAAATGACTGCAACACCTCTCCAGCAAGGGCACAGAACTGGGCTGAGGCTGAGATGGCTGAATTGACAGAAGTAGGCTTCTGAAGGTGGATAATAACAAACTTCAGTGAGCTAAAGGAGCATGTTCTAACCCAATGCAAAGAAGCGAAAAATCATGATAAAACAATTTCGATGTTGATAACTAGAATAGCCAGTTTAGAGAGGATCATAACTAACCTGATGGAGCTGAAAAACACAAGATGAGAATTTCATAATGCAATCACAAGTATCAATAGCAGAATAGGCCATGCAGAGGAAAGAATATCAGAGCTTGAAGACTATCTTTCTGAAAAAAGACAGGCAGGCAAGAATAGAGAAAAAAGAATTAAAAGGAACAAACAAAACCTCCAAGAAATATGGGACTATGTAAAAAGACTGAACCTATGACTAATTGGGGTACATGAAAGAGATGGAGAGGACAGAACCAAGTTACAAATCATACTTTAGGATTTCATACAGTAGAACTTCCCAACCTAGCAAGACAGGCCAGCATTCAAATTCAGGAAATGCAGAGAACCCCAGTAAGATACTCCATGAGAAGATCAACCCCAAGACACATAATCATCAGGTTCTCCAAGGTTGAAATGAAAGAAAAAATGTTAAAGGCAGCCAGAGAGAAAGGCCAGGTCACCTACAAAGGGAAATCCATCAGACTAACAGTGGACCTCCCAGTGGAAACCCTACAAGCCAGAAGAGAGTGGGGGCCAATATTCAACATTCTTAGGGAAGAGAATTTCTAACCCAGAATTTTATATCTGGCCAAAGTTAGCTTCATAAGTGACGGAGAACAATGTTCCTTTCAGATAAGCAAATGCTGAAGGAATTTGTCACCACTGGGCCTGCCTTGTGAGAGGTCCCGAAGGAAGAACTAAATATGAAAAGGAAAAACCATTACCAGCCACTACAAAAACACAATGAAGTACACAGACCAGTGATACTGTGAAGCAACCACATAAACAAGTCTGCAAAATAACCAGCTAGCATGATAATGACAGGATCAAATTCACATGTAACAATATTAACCTTAAATGTAAATGGACTAACTGTCCCAATTAAACATTACAGAATGGCAAGCTGGATTAAGAGCCAAGACCCATTGGTATGCTGTCTTCAAGAGACCCATCTCATGTGCAAAGACACACATAATAAAGGGATGCAGGAAAATTTACCCAGCAAATGGAAAGCAGAAAAAAAAAGAGTCACATTCCTAGTTTCTGACAAAACAGACTTTAAACCAATAAAGATAAAAAAAGACAAAGAAGGGCATTACATAATGGTAAAGGGTTCAATTCAACAAGAAGAGCTAACTATCCTAAGTATATATGCACCCAATACTGGAGCACCCAGATTCATGAAGCAAGTTCTTAGAGACCTGCAAAGAGACTTAGACTCCCACATAATAACACCTCACTGACAATACTAGACAGATCATTGAGACAGAAAATTAACGAAGATAATCAGGACCTGAACTGAGCTCTGGATCAAGGAGACCTGATAAATATCTGCAGAGCTGTCCACCCCCAAACAACAAAATACACATTCTTCTCATGGCCAAATGATACTTACTCCAAAATTGGTCACATAATAAGAAGTAAAACACTCCTCAGCAAATGCAAAAGAACTGAAATCATAACAATCCCTCAGACCACAGCACAATCAAAATAGAACTCCAGATTAAGAAATTCACGGAAAACCACAAAACTACATGGAAATTGAGCAATCTGCTCCTGAAGGACTCCTGGGAAAATAATGAAATTAAGGCAGAAATCAAGAAGTTTGTTTGTACTAATGAGAGCAAAGAATGTACCAGCATCTCTGGTATACAACTAAAGCACTGTTAAGAGGGAAATTTATAGCACTAAATGCCCACATCAAAAAGTTAGAAAGACCTCAAATCAGTAACCTAACATCTCAGCTAAAAGAACCAGAGAACCAAGAGCAAACCTCAAAGCTAGCAGAAGACAAGAAATAATCAGGATCAGAGTGAAACTGGAAGAGATAGAGCCAAGAAAAACTCTTAAAAAAATCAGTGAATCCAGGAGCTGGTTTTTTGCAAAAATTGAGAAAATAGACTACTAGATAGACTAATAAGGAAAAAAGAGAAGAATCAAACAGATACAATCAGATACAAGGGGGATATCACCAGTGACCCCACAGAAATACACACAACCATCAGAGAACACTATAAACACCTCTATGTACCTACACTAGAAAATCTAGAATAAATGGATAAATTCCTGGACACGTACACCGTCTCAAGACTGAACCAAGAATAAATTGAATTCCTGAATAGACCACTAATGAGTTCTGAAATTGAGGCAGTAATAAATACTCTACCAACCAAAAAACCCCGGGACCCGATGGATTTACAGCTGAATTCTACCAGAGGTACAAAGAAGAGCCAGTACCATTTCTACTGAAACTATTCCGAAAATTTGAAAACAAGGCACTCCTCCCTAACTCTTTCTATGAGGCCAGTATCATCCTGATACCAAAACCTGGCAGAGATACAACAGAAAACGAAAACTTCAGGCCAGTATCCCTGACAAACATTGATGCAAAAATCCTCAATAAAATACTAGCAAACCGAATCCAGCAGCACATCAAAAAGCTTATCCACCACAATCAAGTTGGCTTCATCCCTGGGATGCAAGGTTGGTTCAACATATGCAAATTAATATAGATAATTCATCACATAAACAGAACTAACAACAAAAACCACACAATTAGCTCAATAGATGCAGAAAAGGCCTTCAATAAAATTTGTCATTGTAAGGTCAGCCAAGAGAAAGGACGAGAGAGAGAGAGAGAGAGAGACCCAAGTTCAGGCAAGCCTTTATTTAACCTGCTGGCTGTTCCATTACAGACAGAGGAGACAGCCTTGAGCTTACAAGATGATGGGTTTATATTGGGGAGAGAGATCCTGGGGTCGTTTGTTGGTTAACTTTGCCATATGTCATCTTGTGATGTTTATGGTAGCAGCTAGATGAAGGAACTTAGAGGAGGGAGTAGGTAAAGTTTGTTTATGCTTCCCACCATCTCCCTCTGTGTGGTCTGGATGGTTTGTAATTGGGGTTTGTTTATTGTAGCAAGACCTGATAGGTAAAGTCTGTTGGCTTCACCATGGCACTTAGATAAGGGCTTAGAAATGTAAAAAGGTTTGGGGGAAGGGTGGGCAGCACGGAGAGGTTTGCGGGGAGTGTTGGCAATACCAAGAAGTTTTTGGGGTGGTTTGTCCCTAACCGTTGTCCCTTTATGTTAAAAACCCTGAATGAACTAGGTATTAAAGGACCATGCCTCAAAATAGTAAGAGCTGTGTATGACAAACCCACAGCCAATATTATACTGAATAGGGAAAAGCTGGAAGCATTCCCCTTGAAAATCAGGACAAGATAAGGATGCCCTCTCCCACCATTCCTATACAACATAGTATAGGATGTTCTGGCTAGGGTAATCAGGCAAGAGAAAGAAAGAAAGGGTAATCAAATGAAAACAGAGGAAGTCAAATTATCTTTGTTTGCAGGTGACATGATCCTCTATCTAGAAAACTCTACTGTCTCAGCCTAAAAGCTTCTTAAGCTGATCGGCAACTTCAGCAAAGTTTCAGGATATGAAATCGATGTGCAGAAATCAGTAGCATTCCTATACACCAACAACAGACAAGCAGAGAGCCAAATCATGAATGAACTCCCATTCGCAATTGCCACAAAGATGATAAAATGCCTTGGAATACAGTTAACAAGGGAAGTGAAGGTCCTATTCAAGAAGAACTACAAACCACTGCTCAAGGAAATCAGGACACAAAGAAATGGAAAAACATTCCATGCTCATGTATAGAAATAATCAATGTCATGAAAATGGCCTTACTGGCCAAAGTAATTTATCAATGCTATTCCTATTAAACTACCAGTGCCATTTTTGACAAATTAGAAAAAAAATCTATTTTAAAATTCATATGGAATAAGAGCCCAAATAGCCAAGACAATCGTAAACAGAAACAACAAAGCTAGAAGCATCATGCTACCCAGCTTCAAACTATACTACAAGGCTACAGTAACCAAGACACCATTGTACTGGTACAAAACAGACACATAGACCAATGGGACTGAATGGAGAACTCAGAAATAAGGCCACACTCCTACAACCATCTGATCTTTGACAAACCTGGCAAAAGCAATGAGAAAATGATCCCCTATTTAATAAATGGTGCTGGGAGAACTGGCTAGCCATATGCAGAAGATTGAAACTGGACTCCCTCCTTACATAGTATACAAAAATGAAGATGGATTGAAGACTTAAATATAGAACCCAAAACTATAAAAACCATAGAAGAAAATCTAGGTAATACCACTCTGGACATAGGCATGGGTAAAGATTTCATGACAAAAATGACAAAAGCAATTGCAACCAAAGAAAAAATTGACAAATGGGATCTAATTAAACTAGAGTTTCTGCAATCAAAAGAAACTATCATCAGAGTGAACAGACCACCTACATAATGGGAGAAAATTCGTGTAATCTATGCATCTGACAAAGGTCTAATATCCGAGGTCTACAAGGAACTTACAAAAAATTACAAGAAAAAAACAATCCCATTAAAAAGTAGGCAAAAGACTTTTGGAAGAAAATTTGTGTAATCTATCCATCTGACAAAGGTCTAATATCCAAGGTCTACAGGGAACTTACACAAAATTACAAGAAAAAAACAACCCCATTAAAAAGTAGGCAAAGGATATGAACAGACATCTCCCAAAAGAGGACATTCATGGGGCCAAATATATGAAAAAAAGCTCAACATCTCTGATCATTAAAGAAATGCAAATCAAAACCAAAATAAGATGCCATCTCATGCCATACAGAATGGTGGTTATTAAAAAGTCAAGAAACAACAGATGCTGATGAGGTTGCCGAGAAAAAGGACACTTTTACATTGTTGGTGGGAGTGTAAATTAGTTCAACATTGTGGAAGACAGTGTGGCAATACCTTAAAGACCTAGAACAAGAAATGCTGCTTGACCCAGCAATCCCGTTACTGGATATATACCCAAAGGAACATAAATTATTCTATTATAAAGATACATGCACATGTATGTTCATGACAGCACTATTCACAATAGCAAAGACATGGAATCAATCCAAATGCCCTTCAATGGTAGACTGAATAAAGAAAATGTGGTACATATAACATGGAATACTATGCACCCATAAAAAGGAGTGAGATCATGTCCTTTGCAGGGATATGGAAGGAGCTAGAAGCTGTTATCCTCAGCAAGCTAATGCAGGAATAGAAAACCAAACACCGCATGTTCTCATTTATAAGTAGGAGTTAAATGATGAGAACATATGGACACATGTGGGGAAACCACATACACTGGGCCTGTTGGTGGGGATGAGGGGAGAGAGAGCATCAGGAAGAACAGCTAATGGATGCTGGGCTTAATACCTATGTGATAGGATGATCTTTGCAGCAAACCACCATGGCACTTGTTTACCTATGTAAAAAACCTGCACATCCTATACATGTACCCTGGAATTTCAAATAAAAATTGAAAAAAAAAAAAAGAATTAGTTCATTACCAAGGCATTTGAATCTGTGTGACTCATTATTATGCCTGTTTTCCAGGTAACGATTTTCCTGAAATATTTTTCTCTGTTTCTGTTTTTGAGACAGAGTCTCACTCTGTCACCCAGGCTGGAGTGCAGTGGCGAGATCTTGGCTCAGTGCAACTTCCAACTCCTGGTTCAAGCAACTCTCGTGCCTCAGTCTTCCAAATAGCTGAGATTACAGGAATGTGCCACCATGCCTGGCTAATTTTTGTATTTTTAGTAGACACGGGGTTTCGCCATGTTGCCCAGGCTGGCCTCAAGCTCCTGGCCTCAAGTGATCCACCTGCCTTGGTCTCCCAAAGTGCTGGGATTGCAGGCGTGAGCCATTGTGCCCAGCCTATCCTGTAGTTTTTGCTTGATATCTTATTTATGAAATCTTTCTTTTCACTAAGAACAGAAACATGTTAGTTTATATTTTATTCTAAAATTTAAAGTTTGTCATTGACAAATCTTTAATCACTGGAATTGATTTGATATAGATATTAGAGATCTAACTCCATTCTCCATTCCAACCTCCATTTTAATAGCCAATGGTCAAAAAATTTAATGAACTGTTTTACCTTTCCTCACTGATTGGCAGTGCTGCTTCTTCATGTATCAAGTTTAAGTGGCTCTGTTTCTGAACATGCAATTCTATTTTATTTGCTAATTTATCCATACTTAAGACAAAATCACATTCTCTTGTCACAATCACATAATACATTTTTCAATCTGATAGGACAAATTGACCACTTACTTTTTCTCCTTTTAAGTATCTTCATTATTCTTGGTTCTTTGTAATTCTCAAATAACAAGAATTATCTCCTCTAGTTTCTAAACAGCAACACAATAAAAACAAGAACAAAAATAATAATTTCTCTTTTATTTTGAGAGGGATTGATTTGAAGCCATATAGAAATTTTGGAAGAACTGATATTTTGTTGTCTGTGATAAGCAGATGTCTCTATTTTTAACTGTTTTAAAATATTTATAATTTTATCCATAAAGGGCTTATGCATGATTTAAAAGTTAAACTTCCAGGGTTTTTTTCCCTAAAAAAATTATAGTATTGTACTTCACACTTAAGTCCATGATCTGTTTGAGTAAATTTTTGTATAAAGCATGGATTTATGATTTGTCTATTTCTCCTTTCAGTTCTATCAGTCTCTGACATATTTTGAGGATCTGTATTTGGTACATGTACGTGTAGGATTGCTATATTTTCTTGGTAAATTGGCCCTTTTATGACATTTTGACTCTGGAATGTCTAAGTATCTGGTAATTTTTTTTTCTCTGAAGTCTGTGTTTTTATCTGATAGTAGCATAGTCACTCCTGCTTTCTTTTGATTAATGTTTACATGATATATCTCTTCCCCTCCTTTTACTTTTAGTGTGCATATATTGTTATATTTGAAGTTTCTGGTAGACAGCATATAATTGTGTCATGTTTTTAAATCTACTCTGTTAATATCTGTCTTTTAGTTAGTTTATTTGGGTAATTAACACTTAATATAATTATTTACATTGAACATAAAAGGCTTATGTCTGCCATCTAAGATGCCTCCAGGCTTCCTAATTGATGTGTCTTAAAACTTCAAAAAGAAAAGAAATTATTTTATTATTTTAATAATTTAATTTGGCTCTTTTTTTATTTTAAACTTTTATTTTAGGTTCAGGGGTACATGTGCAAGTTTTGTTATATAATTAAAATCATTTCACGGGAGTTTGTTGTACAGATTATTTTATCACCCAGGTACTAGGCCTAGTACCCAATGGTTATTTTTTCTGATCCTTTCCCTCCTCCTGCCTTCCATCCTCAAGGAGGCCCTTGTCGTTCTGTTGTTCCCCTCACAGGGTCCCTGTGTTCTCATCATTTAGCTCCCACTTACAAGTGAGAACATGTGGCATTTGGTTTTCTGTGTCTGCATTTATTTGCTAAGGATAATGGCCTCCACCTGCAACCATGTTCTTGCAAAGGACATGATATCATTCTTTTTTGTTGCTGTATAGTATATATGTACCACATGGTATATACGTACCACATTTTCTTTACCCAGTCTGCCATTGATGGGCATTTTGGTTTATTCCATGTATTTGCTATCGTGAATAGTGCTGCAATGAATCTATGCATCCGTGTGTCCTTATGGTAGAATGATTTGTATTTCTTTGGGTATATACCCAGTAATAGGATGGCTGGGTCAAATGAGAGTTCTGTTTATAGCTCTCTGAGGAATTGCTACACTGCTTTTGATGGTTGAATTAAGTTACTCTCCCACCAACAGGGTATAAGCATCTCCTTTCTCTGCAACTTTACCAGCATCTGTTATTTTTTACTTTTTAATAATAGCCATTCTGATTGGTGAGAGGTTGTACCTCACTGTGGTTTTAATTTGCATTTCTGTAATGATTGGTGATATTGGATTTTTTTATATGCTTGTTGGCTGCATGTATGTCTTCTTTTGAAAAGTGCCTGTTCATGTCCTTTGCCCATGTGTTAATGGGGTTATTATTTTTCTTGTACATTTATTTATAGATGCTGGATATTAGTCCTTTGTCAGATGCATAGTTTGCAAATATTTTCTCCTGTAGGTTGTGTTTACTCTGTTGATATTTTCTTTTGCTATGCAGAAGCTCTTTAGTTCAATTAGATCCCATTTGTCAACTTTTGCTTTTGTTGCAATTGCATTTAGCAGCTTCATCATGGAATCTTTGCCAGTTCCTATGTTCAGAATGGTATTGCCTAGGTTATCTTCTAGAGTTTTTATAGTTTGGATTTTATATTTAAGTCTTTAATTTATTTTGAGTTGATTTTTATATATAATATAAAGAAGGGGGTCCAGTTTCAGTCTTCTGCATATGGCTAGCCAGTTATCTCAGCTCTATTTATTAAGTGGGGGGTCCTTTCCCCATTGCTCATTTTTGTCAGCTTTGTAAAAAATCAGATTGTTGTAGGTGTGCAGCCTTATTTCTGGACTATCTCTTCTGTTCAGTTGGTCTTTGTGTCTGTTTTTGTACCAATACCATGCTGTTTTTGTTACCATAGCCCTGTAGAATAGGTTGAAGTCAGGTAGCGTGATGCCACCAGCTTTGGTCTTTTTGCTTAGAATTGCCTTTGTTATTTGAGCTTTTTTTTTGGTTCCATATGAATTTTAAAATACTTTTTTCCTAGTTATGTGAATAATATTATTGGTAGTTTAATAGGAATAGCATTGAATCTATAATACTGCTTTGGGCAGTATGGTCATTTTAATGATAATGATTCTTCCTATCCATGAGTATGGAATGTTTTTCCATTTGTTTGTGTCATCCCTGATTTATTTGAGCAGCGTTTTGTATCTCTCATTGTAGAGATCTTTCACCTCCCTGGTTAGCTATGTTCCTATGTTTTTTATTCTTTTTGTAGCAATTGTGAATGGGATTGATTTTCTGATTTGGCTGTTGGTGGTGTATTGGAATGCTAGTGAGTTTTGTCCATTGATTTTTTTATCCTGATACTTTGCTAACATTGTTTATCTGCTGAGGGAGCTTTTGGGCCAAGGCTATGGGGTTTTCTAGTTATAGAATCACGTCTACAAACACAGATCATTTGACTTCCTATATTCATATTTGGATGCCCTTTATTTCTTTATCTTGACTGATTGCTTTGGCCAGGACTTCTAGTACAATGTTGAATAGGAGTGGTGAGTGAGGACATCCTTGTCTTGTGCTGGTTTTCAAGGGGAATGCTTCCAGCTTTTGCCTATTCTGTATGTCAGTATGATGTTGGCTGAGGGTTCATCCTAGATGGCTCTTATGATTTTGAGGCATATTCCTCCAATACCTAGTTTACTGAGGTGTTCTTTTTTTTGTTTTTTTTTTTTTTTAAACGGAGTCTTGCTGTGTCACCCATGCTGGATCACCTGAGGTCAGGAGTTCAAGACTAGCCTGGCCAATATGGTGAAACCCTGTCTCTACTAAAAATACAAAAATTAGCTGGACACAGTGGCACACGCCTGTAGTCCCAGCTACTCAGGAGGCTGAGGCTGAAGAATCACTTGAACCTGGGAGGGGGAGGTTGCAGTGAGCTGAGGTTTTTTTTTTTTTTTTTTTTTTTTAACATGACAGGTTATTGAATTTTATCAAAAGGTCTATCTGTGTCTATTGAGATAATCATGTGGTTTTCATTTTAGTTCTGCTTATGTAATGAATCATATTAACTGATTTGCAGATGTTGAACCAACCTTGTATTCCAAGGATAAAGCCTACTTGATCATGGTGGATTCACTTTTTGATATCCTGCTGGATTTGGTTTGCAAGTATTTTGTTGAGGATTTTTGCATTAATGTTCATCAAGGATATTGTTGGCTCACTTTTTAAAAAGTCATTAACACAGAGTCTAGCGGGTTCTAATAAAAGTTCTATTAATAGCTTGTTATGCTTGGAATGTAAGCAAACAAATGAAACTTTCAATTTTTTATCTTTTGTTCCCAATATTTCCAAATATAAGTATAAAACTTGATCTCAAACCTATGGTGATGACTTATATGTAACCAATTAGCAAGCCATATGGTCTGTCCTGGACTATTCAGTCTATGTTCTGATGAGTTCCAAAATTGTATATTTCCTGAATTTTCCAATAAGGCCTAAGAAAAAGCAGGTGGATAGATGATATTAGACTTTTAAGCACCATTAAGTTACAGGCTGTGTCTTTTTTTCACAACATCATATTTAGAGCATAGTATAATGTGGCACATAGAAGATTTTGATTAATATTTGTAAAATGGATGAATGAACAAATGAAATAGAAAGCTGATTTATTAGCTCTCAGCTCAACAACAGTCCTCATTTCATCTTCTTCTGTCCATACTCAATCCCCATCTCCAAGGTACAATTTGAAGTTCAATTCCTTTTGCAGCATTTCCTTAATGCTCTACCAACTGGAAGTAGCTGCTCCTTTTCCTGAAAACTTAGACCATCATGCCTCTGATCACCTTGTACCTCTCATTGGTGATGTTTGTTCACATCTTTTGTTATGACTCTTGAGCTCTTTTTATTTTTTGAAAGGGTCATCTGTGTCCGTTCGATCTTGTCACCGCAGCTCCCAACACAGTGTTTTGTATCCATCAGAGGCTCTCATTGAATTTCTACTGCAGAAAGTTGTGACTGCCTGAGATGGCTGTTGTTCTCATCTGGGACTTGTTCCATTATAATGGTGAAGGGTTGTCAAGGTTGGAGGATGACTCTTTAGGCTTCACTGTAGAGGAACACATGGGCAGAAAAATATCTAGAATCAAAACTTATATGTGGTATCACAATGACTTTGTCTTCAGAAACATATCATGATACACATTGTTGAAACTGGCAGCCAATACCTTCTGAATTAAAATTTAATTGTTTTAACTTTATCAGAAGGATTGATTTGCTATCTGATTCAGTAGCGCAATTAGGTGAACATATTCTTAAGGTAAATGAACAAGAACTGAAAATAACCAAAAGAGTAGGCTGGGAGTGTAAGCCAAAACCAAAATCTTGATTTAAAGGTATTTTCCATCTCAAAAGCTACTCATGTAAGAACTAGCTAGATTTTCTAAAATAATAAATCTTGTTTGTTTACTCTTTTTATTTTTAGTTCTTTAAAGTGCCAGGTTACTGTTATTTTTTGAAAGTGGTTCTTGTGGAGATTAAATATGGAAAAATGATACTGCTTTCAGAAGAAAGTACTCTGTTGAGAAACTTCTGTCATAAGAAAGAGCTACCGGTGCAGAGGCTCATGCCTATAATCCCAGCACTTTGGTAGGCCGAGGGGGGCGGATCATGAGGCCAGGAGATTGAGACCAGCTTGACCAACATGGTGAAATCCCGTCTCTACTCAAAATACAAAATTAGCTGGGTGTGGTCACAGGCACCTGTAATCCCAACTATTCAGGAAGCTGAGGCAGGAGAATCGCTTGAACCCGGGAGGCGGAAGTTGTAGTGACTGGAGATTGTGCCGCTGCACTCCAGCCTGGGTGACAGCAAGACTGCATCTTAAAAAAAAAAAAAAAAGAGTTATCAACAGAAATTTATTATACTCTTTCAACATAGGGCTAGGGCCTTTTATTTTCTGAACTCTTAAATTACAAAAAGGTTGGAGAGGGCAGAAATGATGTGAGAAAGATGTGTAGGAATTAGCCAGGTGAGGAAATGACCTTTCAAGCAGAGGAAAAGGGGACGGTGAAGGCACACAGCTGACACAGAGTAGGAAGTATGGAGAGACCTGAGACTGAATCAAAAGGCAGAAGAATGAGAAATGAAGCTAGAGAGGGGAATCCAGAGCCTTGCATTTATTGTACTTAAAGAGCTTGGAATTTATTCTTTACACAGGATAAACCATTAAAGGTATTTTCCATTAATCTGTTATAACTATTTATTGTGCTAGGCCCTGTTCTAGGGATTGAAGATACAGCAGTGGGCAAGACATAATGTCTTCCCTCAAGGGACTTATAATCTACAGAGGAGTACAGAAAATAGATAAGCAATTATAATATAATACATGCTTTACCTTTGCAGTGAAGAATCTTGGCACCTTATTAAGAACTTACCAATATTTTAGGTTGTTCACTCTTCGTGCAGTTTGGAGTATGGCTACAGGTTGACAGAATGTGAGACACTGACCTTATTTAGATAAAGTGCCTGCTACGTAGTAGATATTCAGCCAGTGTGCTAAATCCCGGACTGCTTTCTACTTGTTGGGTGGGAGACTTGCAGCTGTTTAAAAAAATTTAGCACCTGGCTGGGAATGATTTATTGATATAACCCAGGAAATCCATAGACATTTATTTTGGTTCTATGATGTCTGTTATTTTGAGAGAGAAATAAGAAAACTACAAGTTATCTAAAATAATTTTTGTAGAATAATTTCTCAAAGATTTGACTATGATCTTGAGCACTTAGTCATTTTTGCTTCTATTTCTCTATAGCACTCAGTATACAACTCCATTAGTGTTAATTGCAGTGTGTTAATCATCTGATTATATATCCCAGGTTTGGAGAACTATGAGCACACCAGGACTCTGAGATGAATCCCAAACAGAGGACCTGGCACATCAAAGAGAGATTTTTCTCAAAGTATCATCCCAGGACTACCTGATGGGCTTGCAAAAATGCAGATTCCTGGAACTCTGCTCCAGACAGAATTAATCAGATTTTATTAGGAAGGTTGGGAATTTGCACTTTATAGTCCTCAAGATTCTTATGTATACTAAAGTCTGAATATAATGTTTGCTGTTGAACTGAAACTCAAGAACTTACTCTTTTTGAGTAGAGAAGGTGTCTTATAATAAATTCAGGTTTAACTAACATTAAATTTGACCTTAAGCTCTGCTATTTGTTTTTTCATATTTTTGGAACCACTATTCTCAATGTCAGAAACACAGGAAGAAGATAAAAATGTCAATACACAGAAATATATCTAGACAAACATCTGTGACACTCTTACCTCAGTACCTTATAAAAGTACATGTTGGGGGAAAAATCCACATTAACCCCAGTCAGGCAGGCAACTGAAAGAGGCATCTCTACTGCAACTTCTAAAACTTAAAATGCAAAGAGGGGGCTTGGTAAAGATGATCAGGTATTGAAAGCCCATCACGTGGAACAAACCTTATATTAATTTGTTTAATTTTCACAGTAGCCATGTGATGTAGACAATAATAGTCCCATCTTATAGACAGGAAATTGAAACTTGAAGAGGCTAAGCAATTTGCCCAGAGAAGATCTTCATTTTTATTTTTTCTTAAATAAGTTTTTTCCCCTTTTCCTTTTTCTCTTTGCTTAGAAAAGTATCAGCAAAGACTAAAATAAAGATTTTTTTTTTTTTGCCTCTGTAGGATTGGATATTTAGTAGCTAATGTGATGGTAGCTTTTTCCAGTATAATTCTTCAGTACTCTAATTTTATAATAATTTCTCATCTCTAACAACAGAATACAATAGCTGGGAAATCAAAGGTGTCAACTGATACTCCAAGTGTTTTATATTTAATTTTAGATTACATGCAGTAGATCGGTCTCTAGCATCCAACCACACTGTAAGACATGGAATGCTTCTGTAAGACAGTAAACCAACTGGAGAAAATCACATTTGATTCTGGATTCAGGGCTGAAGACACAGAAATAGCCAGGGGTTATGCATTTTTCTCAGCTGAGAGAGCAAGCTCAGGGTTGGCATTAGGTTACCACATTTTGCATTGCTTAGAGAAGACACATCTGTGTTCAAAGAGGGTTTCAGGAAGCCAACTAAGACAAGTCCATGTCTTCATCAACGTAATCCTAAAAGTTTCAGGTCTTTTTGTAACAACAGTTATTATATATTACAAAGCGAAATGTAATATAGCAATCTAGTGAAAACAGCCCTATAGTTATACTCTGCTCTGTGATTCTCACGGTGAGAAGAATATGGGGAGATGAAGCCTTTTCTCTGAAGATATTTCTTAAACTGTAAAATATGAGCAGTAAATTCATATTTTTAGGACCTCATTTCTAAGGTCCTTTTGCCAAACTTTTAAAAATGATGATTTATATATGTCTGCAACAAGTGTGAAAATATCTAACATTTCTCTTAATTCTGATTTAACTCAATAAACCTACATGGCTGGGTGACTTGGCATCAGAAATGCCCTGACAGGGAGTCAGCATACAAGCTGAATTGGGTATATTGAATTCCAACTTGACTCATTTCAACATTTTACCCTGATTTCACATCTATCTAATGTATAAAGGCTTCCTATGGTATTCAACACAGTAATGTGAATAATCAAGCCATTTTTTGGGCTGCCCACTATGTGGGCTGACCCAGGTTTGCCAGGGACAGATTGGGTTTAACTCCATTACAGATTAATTAAAACCTATTAATTATTGTGGTGACCCCTTTCACTCTCAAAAGTGTCCTGGTGTAAACGGTAAATCACATGGCCACCCTATTCTTCACAGCCTTTGTGACATAGGTATTGGTCTCCTAATCCCACAGATAAGGAAATGGTAGTTGGCTTTGAGAGGCTAAGCAACTTGCTTAATCTAGCTAGTGGTGGAGCCAAGATAAAAACTCAGTTCTGTTTGGCCCGCAAATCCATGTTTTTAACCACTACCCTTCAAGGATCCTTTTTCTTCCATATGCTAGGAAAAAATTACTTATAATACAGCGCTGAAATGGGTATCACATCCTTTATTTGTTTTTAAAGTGCAAGTAACCTTTCCTCCTAGGACATTTATCTTTATGTTAAACTTAAATTCATCTTATTGAAAATTCAAGTGATTCTTTGGGCTCTGTCCCAGTGGATCTGGAGACCAGCTGGTCATGAGGATTTTAACTTTTTTCAAGTGTATTTATCCCTCAAGCCTCTGTAAATGGAAAACGTTGACTGCAAGGAACAAAGCCTAGCAGTGCTTTGCATAGCATCCTATACTGCGTTGGTTTATGTATCAGCAATAGGATGATGTGAGGGTTTGGGCAATGCTGAGGCATGTAGTCATGAGCTGAGGTGATATTCTTAAGGCCAAGGACACAGTAAACCATTCCTTGGTTGTCCTGAGAAGAAAAGAGGGCAGTATTTCTAAAGAGTAGGGATTCTGAAGATGTTGAATACATTGCCCTAAAGGTGTGCTGATCTGGAGAAAAGTGGGGTGGTTAGGAAGTAAATGTGGCAATAGTGGCTAAAATTATAAAGTTACCTGGCAGGACAATATCATCTCTATTGGACAGAAAAGGAAATAGATTCATTCAGCTTTTGACTTGCTTGCTCAAGGTTACACACAAATAAAAAGGCCAGATCTTGAATTCAGGGTTTCTAACTAAATAATTCTCCCGTTCATTCTCTCTTCCCCCATCAACTCACCTTCTAACCTATCAATTAATTTATGTTACTAGTTATCAAACATTTGAGTACCAACTTTTGTACCCAAATAGTTCTCAAATTTTGATGGTTATTTGAAACACCTTGGGACCTTTAAAAAATACTGACTTCTTTCTGGCTGCCAACATGGACTTCGTAATTTAATTGCGTGGGCTGTGATCTGGGCATCAGAATTGTTTTAATAAAAACTCGCCAGATGATTTTAATGTATAACCAAATTAGGAATCCGCTGTGCTGGCACTTGATTGAAGCTAGGCATAAGATGACCCAGGCAAACTGATGCTCTTAAAAATTGTAAGGAAATAGGGGATTCAAAGTCCATCCTTCTTACTTAAAGTATACAGAGAAAACATTTAAGCATAGGGGCCTATGGTGTTCATAATATTCAGGGCATACGTAATAAAAGTTTCTAAATGTTGCAGTCTCTTAGAGTGTCTAATTTTTTTTTCCCCTGAGCGGTTTGGGGATGAACACAGCAAAATAAGATTTCTTCAGTGTCTTGTACTTATGTGAAGTGTACAGAGTGAAATATATGCCACTTCTATGTTCGAAACCTGAAGTGAAATAGATATGAATAAGTTGTAATTGAATTAGCACCTCACAACAGCTGCTTTCAGGGGGTAATTTAGGCTTCTTTTTATATCATGCTTCAGACTTTGATGTGATGAAAGGATTTCGGAATGTACTTTCAGAATTCTTCTTTTCCTCAGAGTCACATGGTTAAATGATCAGAGATCACATTTTATTTCTGTGTGGAAAAACCTCCATTAATCTGATGCAAAGTAGGCACTCTTGAATCCTGAGGGAAATGAGAAGTGGCTTTCCTTTTAAGAGCTTGCCAGCTAAGCAGGCAGCTAGGCTGTGCCCATGGGCATCTGCCTCGTGGTGCTCCAGGTGTTTCTCCTCAGGAGGGCCCCAGAAGTCAAGGCACATTAGCAATGAGTCTCCAACTTCTGTCCAATTCAACCCTAAGGACTCTCTAGATCCAGGGGTGTTTCTGGAACAGTAATATTAAGGCATCACCCAAGAGTATTACAAGAGGAGCAAAATAGAGATTCTCCTTTGCAGACTTGAATAAAGCTTGAACCAGTTTGCTGTAAACATGAATGCATTACAAATTGGGGGCAGTTGCTTTGTGGCAGAGACTGGAGGCAATGGCTCAGAGGCAGAATGAATATTCAGATATAACCTGCATGTCCAACAGCCTTTGTTATTACATATGCCAGCACATTAGATATTAATTTAACCTGTGAGGTCATAGAATCAGAAGGGATGATATGAAGAGATCACAGGGCTTTCTGATTCCCTGTTAAATTGCCTCTAAGCTATTTAACATTTAGGATTTATAAGTTTCCACATCACAAAACTCTCCTTGCTCTTCCATCTGCTGGAAGCAGTGTCAGAGCACAGTCCAGACCTGCTTGTTAATTGGTGGATAGATGCTACGTGCAGTTGGCATCAAGACTTCCATGGTGACTGTAAGGGACAGAGTACAGCCAGGTTGGGGGTGCAGGGCTCCGAGCTTCATAGTGAAGGAGCAGCAAGGCAGCACAGCTTTTCATATCCTCCTTTATCTTTGTCTCCTTTCTTTCTCATTCATCATTTCCTATCCATCCTTTAAAGAGCCTGAATTTCTTGTATTCATGGATTGTAAATGGAAAAACTACTAGGTGCCCAATTTTACATACAGAATCTCATTTAACACAATCTGTTGGAAATGGTTATCATCAGCTTATTGTTTTCCTGCTGCATTCTTACATCATGTTCCATGTGCATATCTATAGTGACACAATGTTTTCTCTATTTGTCCCACTAGAGTGTGTGCTTCCTGAGAGAAGAGACAATGTTTCTTTCTGAACTGTTACTGTTAAGCACAGCAGTTTCATATGATGATAGATGCTGGGCATAATTATAAATATATTTAAAAATTTAGTACCTGGTATTTGCCAAGGAAGTAAATATTGAGTGAAGAAAGAAAACTAAAGTCCAAGAAGTGGAAAAGTGTTTTACACAAAGTTACACATAGTTATAAATTGATTCTAACCCCAAAGCTATCATCCTGCTATTATGCAGTCTCCTTTGATGAAGATGAAATCCAACATTAGATGTCACCGTATGTTTTCACAACTTGCTATTGAGTGAGCTGCCCAGGTTTTGCCGTCTAATTATAGGCTTCAAATGGGGTATGAGTTAGATTGGCCTGTTACAGAGTTAGGAATTTAGATGGTTCTCAGGGCAAGCTTATAAAGAAATAGTGATTTCCCTTAATATTTTGGTTCATGTTTAAGAGAGAGGGCATTCTCATTCTCTCAAACTTAAAGGAGAAGCTTTATATGAATTACAAAATGCTACGGTTAAGTTTGTGCTTCAAAAAATACAGTAAATAGACTATATGCTTCTAGCCTTACACAGAGTATCAGTGTACTATTAGGTTGTACCATTAGGCTTTCATAACGAAGTCAAAATGACCAAGGCACCAGCATATTTTCACAGTCCAGCTATAATGCTAAGAAATGAGCTGGCTAGGACGTATGAAATTCAACTTGTGGCTCTACTTATAACATTTTCATGACTATAAGAAGAGAACTGGAACATAGATGTTCAGTAGCATAAGTGCCAGAATAGTGCCATTAAGTGCAAAGCAATTTCAGGTGAACATACATTTTGATTGCAAGCTATCTAGATAATATCTTCAATTATCTATAGTATTTCCCCTGCATAGCCACAGATGCTGAATTGCTTTGTGAAGATTTCCACTTCCTTTTGTACTATGATATCAAAGCTATGACTTTTTCTTACACACACACACACACACACACACACACACACACATAAAACTAGGAGAGAAATCACAATGGGAAAAGAACAACTTAGAAATAGTTTTTGATACCAAACATACTGAATTAAGAAATAAAAAATTATGAGATGGGGTTATTAAAAGACATGATTTTTCAGCTGCTGTATTCTTGTTATTTCATTAGAAAGATATAAGTAGGAATTGAGAAAAGTTGAAACTGCTCCAGCCAAAAAGATGTAGGTAATTAGAGCAATCTACCCTTGGCTGAAACACAATGAAAGTGACAGGGCTGTTGAAATTCCATCTCTAAAGCCTTTAAATACAGTTTGAGTATTTTCTACAGAAATTTGAGGCAGTGATAATGTGTAGGGATATAAATGGGAAGTGGCAGCAGCTCAAGAAAACATGGAAAATAGAGTGTACAGAAAGAGGATTGGTTTTAAAAATCTGGAGGCTTTAAACATGCTCCATCAGCTGGTCTAGTGATAGCACAGCCACTTACCTTCCCCATTCTGATGCCTCTTCATGCTGGCCATTTTAATCCGATTTCACCCATTTAAGAATACTGAGGAAAGAAAATAAATTGTTCTACCATAAAGACACATGCACTCCTATGTTCACCACAGCACAATTCTCAATAGCAAAGACATGGAATCAACCTAGGTTCCCATCAGTAGTGGAGTGGATGAAGAAAATGTGGTATATATACACAATGGAATACCATACAGTCATAAAAATAATGAAATCATGTCCTTTGCAGAATATGGATGTAGCTGGAAGCCATTATCCTAACTGAATTAATATAGAAACAGAAAAACAAACACCACATGTTCTCACTTATAGGTGGGAGTTAAACAATGGGTACTCATGGACAAACAAAAGCTGACAACAGTAGAACTGGGGATTCCAAAAGGGAGGAGGAGAGGGGCAAGGGTTGAAAAATTAACTATTGGGTACTATGGTCAGTTCTTTGGTGATAGAATCAATCGCATCCCAAACCTCAGCATCACGCAATGTACTCAGGTAACAAAGCTACACGTGTACCACCTGAATCTAAAATAAAAGTTGAAATTTAAGACAAAAGAATATTTAGGGGTGGGAAATTCACATAGCAAATATGTATTTGCTGCCTATAATGCCTCCACCGGTGCCAGCTGCTCAGAAGGCTCAGAGATCAAAAACAGATGTACACCATTTTGCCCCAAACTCTTGTTCTTAACTTTTATGTAATCAGGTCTTAGATGGGGTTTGTCTATAAAACAAAACAGAGAGGTAAAGAGGTTTAGGGTATAGCAAGAGTGTTACTTAGAACAGAAGCTTCATAAGTTAGCAAGTGAAAAAGGGAGAAGCTTGATGATTGGAATAAAGTCAGGAGCTTGAAGGGATGGATGACACAGAGAAATTGAACAGGGAAAACCAAAGGAAACTCTAAGCAGGGAATGATTGTGTAGTTGAAGGAATTCTGAGTAATGCCAATGTCATGATGTGGTCCAGGAATGGATGGTGGAAATAGAACGGAGAGAAGGATTATCAGAGTTGAGGATGTCATGGAACTGACAGGGAGCATTGTTGGCTGGGTTGTCCACGGGACTGGTAAAGTTAAGCTCAAGTGTGTGTGTGTGTGTGTGTGTGTGTGTGTGCATGCACACATCCATGTGTGTAAAACATGGCAGCTCTGCATGTCCAAGCTTATAAAATAGGAGCTGCATGTATCATAAAGTTCAAAACACTGATATTATCTTCATAGAAATATTTTTCACTAAAACAAATGCCAACAAATATAATCATTACTACATATGTGTTCATTATGACAATATTGTGATATTATAACATGCAAAGTGAGAATTTTCAGAAATGGGAATGTTCTTTTTTGTTTGTTTGTTTGTTTTTTTTGAGACAGAGTCTCACTCTGTCACTGAGGCTGGAGTGCAGTGCCACAATGTTAGCTCACTGCAACCTCCACCTCCTGGGTTCAAGTGATTCTTGTGCCTCAGCCTCTTGAGTAGCTAGGATTACAGGTGTGCACCACTACGCCTGGCTAATTTTTGTATTTTTAGTAGAGATTGCGTTTCACCAGGTTGGTCTCGAACTCCTGGCCTCAAGTGATCTGCCCACCTTGGCTTCCCAAAGTGCTGGGATTATAGGCGTGAGCCACCATGCCCTACCAAAAATGGGAACATTCTCAAAAGTGTTTTTAAAGGCAGTGGTTCCATTTCTTTTGGTAAATATTTTCATAGACTTTCAATATAATTTTTAAAAAATCTCACAACATCGTGAATGTACTAAATGTTGCTAATGGTAAAGTTTACACTATATATATAGTAGTACAGTAAAAAATCCTCCCTTATCTACCCTAAGCAAATCATTTTGTTTTATAGCCCAGAAATTCTGAGGAGATTGATATAAGTACCAATTTCTGTTGTTTTTGTTCAATATTCAATTACAGCATATTAAATAAGTACGGGAAAGAGAGGAGTTTGGCCTTATTTTAAACGTAGTTTAAGTCAGCACACATTTATTGAACTTTCAGTAGATGCTAGGAATAGTGCTCAGCCTTGCATGGGCATCAGCAACAAACACCAAATAGTCCCTGTCCCCAGGAGCTCATAGTCTAGAGGTTAACAGAGGCATCAGCAAACATCTTTTATAAGCAAAAGATATATTTAATGATTTCAACATGGGCTCAGATTTTTTTGTTTGTTTTTTGTTTTTTTGTGTTTTTTTGGTCAGAGGAGAAGGTGGAGATTGAGATAATTTTGTTCTTTATTTCTAGAGGACTTTAAAAGAGGTAATCAAACAGTAACTTGTTTCACATCTAAATTAATAGGAGCATGAGAAATACTACAGCCACTACTTAAAGAGAGCTGCAGATAATTTTAGACGAAGTTTGTCACCCAATCCCCTTTTTTCTCCCTACCTATACCAATGTTCAAAGAAATGAGGGCAAATTTCTAAAATCAGAACAAACCGAAATTTGGACAGCTCTAGAGACAAATTGCAACATCCCTTCTCCCGAAAACCATTCTCAAATTTCAAATGGACTCAGCCTCAGGGTTTCATATGACTGCCTAATTTAGATCATTCTTTATCTCTTTGTTTTCTCCACTACCACAATCAAAGTGAAATGAACACCTGGGCTTATTGTTGTTTTGCCTTTTTACCTGGTCTTGAAGACTTTGTGCTGCCTTACTTTCAGTGAAACAGTCTGTGCTCCAAGAGAAACTAGAAAGGGCTGAATACAGATGCTTCAGCTTATTGAGGAGGAAACGGAGGACTTGACTTGCCCAAATTATCCCATCTTTTGATAGTGGAATTATGATGATAAGGCTCAGGCTGTCTGATCCCCATCACAGGCTACTCCAATAGCCTCTGCTTCCTGTCTTATTTGTTTTTTAAAAGTATTTTATATTGGTATATAGTAGTCGTACGTATTTTGGGGATCCACATGATAGTTTGATACCCTTATGCTATGTATAATGCTCTAATCAGGGTAATTGGGATATCCATTATCTCAAACATTTATCTTTTCTTTGTGTTGGGAGCATTACAGTTCTTGTAGCTCTTTTCAAATATACAATCGATTATTATTAACTATAATTACTGTACTGTCGAATACTAGAACTTATTCCTTCCACGTAACTGCATTTATGTATCCATTAAGCAACCTCTCTTCCTACTTCCACCCTGCTTGCCCTCACAGCCTTTGGTAACCACCATTCTTCCTTCTACCTCCATGAGAGCAACATTTTTAGCTCCCACATATAGGCGAGAATGTGAAATATTTGTCTTTCTGTGTCTCACTTGTGCCACTAACATAATCACCTCCAGTTCCATCCACGTTGCTGTAAATGACAGGATTTCATTCTTTTTTATGGCTGAATAATTTACTGTGTATATATCACATTGTTTTTATCTGTTCATCCTTTGATGGGCACTTAGGTTGATTCCATATTTTGGCTATTGTAAATAGTGCTGCAATAAACATGGGAATGTAGATATCTCTTAGATATACTGTTTTTTTTTTCTCTTGTATATATTCTCAGCAGTGGGATTCCTGGTTCATATGGTATTTGTATTTATAGATTTTGAGGAACCTCCATACTGTTTTCCACAATGGCTGTACTACTTTACATTCCCATTAACAGTGTATAAGACTTCTCCTTTCTCCATATCCTCACCAGCATTTCTTATGGTTTCTTTTTGATAATAGCCATTCTAACTAGCCTGTCTTATTTCTTATCCTTGTTCATGCTCGTGTTGGTGGTCATCTTAGTTTAACTCTGTTGATTTTTCACCCATACCTAGTAGCTTACCCACTCTTTTAAGACTCAGGGTGTCCTTTGGTTTTCAGGGCTCAAAGACCTCTAACTCAGTTTGGTAATTTATTGCTTGCACTTCTACTTGATAGAGATTTCATGGCTATGTTTTGTATATTAAGTCTCACAACAGAAAACAGATCCAAGCTACAATATTAAAGTGGGAAACTCAATATAATATAGATGATCCATGTTAATCAGAATAAATCTTACAGCCAAGTTCTTCATAAAGTGGATTTCTATTTATATTTCTTCATGGACTTCATTACAGTATCTGAGCTGGGTATCACTGCAATAAATTGAAGAAGCAGATTTTTACAAATCGCATTTTAGAAAAAGAATTATTGTGGTATTTTAATAAATGGGGTGAACTAGGTAGAAGGCAGCATTTAGAACTCCTGGGATAAGCATTACTTTTCCCATTAAAAGTTTTTACAGTTTACAGTTAAAAATAACAGTGAGATCACCCTCTCTCTTACCCTCTCTGAGACACTAAGGAGATATGCTACCTCCAAGTAGTTGTCTATTTTCCTCCATTTCATGCAATTACAAAGGTTTTTTGAATCTGACTGGAATGAGATCTGGGTTTGGATCCCCATTCTGCTATTGTCACCACAGGCAATATGTAACCTAAGTCTTAGTTTCTTTACCTGTGTGTTGAGGTAATGCCTACCATAGGGAGTTGTGAGACTGAGTATGACCCTAGAGCAGACTAACCAAGTCTGAAGACTTATGTATATAATCTATATCATGTTTTTTTTTTTTTTCCTAAATGGTAGCTTGGGTTTTATAGGATCGTAAGAAAGGAACCAGAATGTCCCTATGCTTTGAGAGACTCTTTTGTATTCTTTGTCTTGTTCAAAGTTTTATTACCCTTTTCAGACCACTAGTGTATCATTTAATGAAAAGCTTTTGAAATAAGTTCAAGGACTATAGTCTGGAATGTACATATGAATTATGACAAAAATAAAACTTATTATTTGGAATTTCTATGAACACACAACACAAAGTAAGAATGTGATCTGGAAATGACCCAGAGGACTCATTAAATAGTAACTAACCACTCTGACAACCTAGATCCCAAAGTAGAGTGCTTTTGGAGGGTGGAGCATCATTTGGTCAGTTTTATCAGTTTTTATAGTCAGTCCTTTCATATCCATGTCAATAAATCCTAGCATCTAATCAAGTTACATGTGATAGATACTCCCATCTTCTCTGCAGCCAACTTGTTACCCTCATCCCAACTATGCACATATTAAGTTACTGTCCCCCACCACATAGCTTTCCTGATTTTATATATCACAGACACAAAATATAATGAAGTATTATAAATTATTCTTAGGTAATGGATGAGTTATAAACTTCTTTTTAAAAAGTCTCAAAATTGTTTGCTCTGTGTATGTGTGTTTGTATATGTTTGTGTGTATGTGTGTATTCCTGCACCTAAAATGGATAGAGGGGCAAAATTCAACTTTTGAGCAACTGCCTATTTTTTGATGGTTCCTAGGTTTTCCATCCTTATGCTTTCCTTCATCCCTGAGGTTTTGCTGCAGCCAGTAGTCAGTGAACAATTTCCGGAGCTCTCTGGGGGCACTCCAGCCAATACAGCATGGCCCAGCAGGGGGATATCTGTTTCTCCCAAGGCTTGCCCACTGGCACAGCACCGGACCATGAAGCCCCTGAGCCTTGGTGCTCTTATTCCTTTGCTGGGGGACTCTGCTGGGGCAGCCCTCCTCTCTGAATTGCTTCACCTCTCAGGAAGTTACTTTGTTTGCAAAGAGGGCTACAGAAGCTGGTGTTCTAGATCTTTTGTCTGAAAGACACTGCCCTTAATTTGTCTTCATGAGGAGGGATGAATGTACACACTGTCATTATGATTCTTTTGTCAGTGGGGCCTTGGATGCATGGTGCACAGTGGTTAAGAGCGGGCTAGAATCAGCAAGGGCAGCATAGAGTGGTTAACAGTTTAGAAACTGTTTGAATCTTGATTTTCTTACTGTGTGACCTCTCTAAGCCTTCATCTCCCTAACAGTAAAACAGAAAAAATGAGGTTGCTGAGAGCATGTTAAATTGGTTAATATATGTCCATGCCAGGAAAAAAGTAGTTTTTAGCCATTGAATAATATTACTGCTGTAACAACACAGACATTCCTGAAAAGCCTTGTAACTGGTTTCCTATTTACCACACACATATGAGATAATTCACCAAATACAAATATGTACAGTAGCAGAATAACCTGCATTGTAAATGGCACATCAGCATGAGAAATCTACAAACCTACTTCTTAGTGTCAAAAATTTGGGGGAAAAAGAAGGCAGAGAAATTACAAACTCCTTCTCTACTCTTCACTTATTCTTCTTTCTTATCTTTAATGTCTTTCTTCATTTCTTCACTTCTGATTTTATTATCAAATTTTAGGAGTTACTGAGTTAATGCGTTATGTTTTCTTTAAGAGATAGCTCCTCTCTATCTCCATCAAATAGCATGAAATTTGAGGCTTGTGTACTATCAAATTGTTTGCATTATTTTTAATCCATGACATTGATGATAGCTATAATATAATCTCAGATTCCTGATTCCTGCTTGTATTTTGTTTAAACTCTACTGCCTATTTAATATCTGACACTGCTAAGCATTTTGCTGGCTTACAGAATATCATTTTTCATGCTAATAACTTTAATGAAAATATCAGACAAATATATAAATCATTATATGTGAAATAGAAGAGTCAGCACAGACTTAAATACACTAATTTGCTAACCATGTTTAGATATTATTATTTTCAAATACTGGTGATATTTGAGTAAATATTTTGATATTCACTCTCATTATACGGTTATGATTTCTTTCAAGTATATTATTTGAAATTATTTTATTTTCATGTGTGAGTATGTGTGTGTACTTATTATATTCCAGTTCCACCCCTGTTCTTGCAGCACACATGGCTGATTGCATAATCATATCAATAGAAAAAATATGATTCCCTTAGCCCTAATAGATGCTGTACCAAACAGTGACAGTCCACCTGTCTCAAGAAAGAGACAAACTTATAAGATGCTGACTGTTCCATTTAAGCATTGCCATGCTCATCAGATAACTGGCTGCAAAAATGAATACTGCATTATTAAAGAGAAGAGAGGAATAGACTGGAGCAAATGCCATGGTTTTTAGTGACTTTCTTTTTCTTCAGACATAAATAGAATCACAGAGGTAAGCCTCTGCTCTAATTAATTCTCTCCTTGGTTACACTGTGAGCCTTCCCTTCACTGCCCTCATCAGAACCACCTGAAGGGAATAACTAATAAGAGTTCATCTGTCATCCTTTGTACATGATAAAATTCAGACTGCTTAGAAATCAAAGGTGCCAAGTTATGCCCACCTGCAAAGAAATCATAATAGAGAATATTTATGTAGCTTTCTCGACTGCATGATTTTTTCACATTACCTTACAGAGGTCAGGAAGCTGATTCTGCTGTCCTAAATTTAAACTACAGAAGGTAGGGTATGTTTTAATGACCCTTCAGCTGGGCACAAATTAGACACGCCAGCAGAGGGCGAGCATTAGCCATAAGAAAGGCTGAGGTTTACATTATGGTTTATAGAGGCAAACTCTCCCCCACTTACACTCACACAATTATTTTGGGGGCCTTATTTTAAAAGGTTTCTGTTACATGAAGACCCTCAACTTCTGTCTTCACAGCCTACCAAACTTATACTGAGACTTTTGTTATAAAAACATTTTCAGGTTTAGGGAAGACAGACTGTCACAATGAAATTCATTAAGCTTTGAAATAAATCAAGCCTGCCTGGGTTTGAACCCTTGGAAGTTGTGTGACCTGAAGCAAATTTCTTGACTTCTCTGAGCTTCAGTTTCCTCATTAGTAAAATAGAGATGAAAAGGGTACCTGCCTCATTGTGTTGTTGAGATACCCATATGGGACAATACACGTGTAAAGGATTTAGCTCAGTATCAGCCACAGGGTGAAATTCTGATAAGTATTATCTATCGTTAATTCTCAGTACAAATCCTGGGAAACAGTAGACACTGAAAAATAATAATAATGTGTATAAGAGGAGCCCTGCTAAGAGTGGATTTGGGAAGGCTTGTTAAAGATGAGTCTGCAGAACTGAAGGATGAGATGCTCAAGGAAGACATGCATATTTCATTAAGAAGAGGTGAAACCTACAAGAGTGAGGAACCAATGGCTGACATTCATGGTTCACAAACTTAAAATGACTAAGAAATTATCAGGGGAATTGAGTGCTGCACATGGAAATGGAAATAAAACAGGCTGGATGGTTTTATATCCAGAAACATAATTTAGTCAAGCAATTGTGTCAGGATAGAGGGATTTTCTACATCTATTTTAGCACCCAAGTTCTTTCTGGCAGGATTTGGGGAAGAACACATATTTTGGAATTTGGCAAATCACAAACAGGCCCATCTGTCTGGAAAGAAATGGTCTTTACCCATTTTTTTTTTCCAGCTTGAAACATGAAAGATGTGATTCTAGAAGCAAAAATGGGTTACAATTTTAGGAAATAAAATCAGTAAGGACCAACATCTTTACAGAGTAGGAGTACTGACAAATCTCATGGGAAGAACTATATCTACCTTTTCATTCTAAATGGTGTATGCAGGGGCTACTAAATCAAACAGCTTGACTAAGTGGGTTTGAAAGAGAATTAACAATTTTGCAGAGATGTTCATCTACTTGCTGAAAAGAGTTGGTATGATTGATCTGTCTCCCTAAATCCTGAATACTGTATGGAAGTAGGCTCTTAAATCTAAGAATTACACTTAGTACAAACACTATATTTTTACAGCTACTTGCACAGAGCTATCCCTATGGGTGTCAACCAAAAGTAGATAAAATGGTCTTTCTTCAAATAATTACTGGGTAGCCAATATTTTTCTATACTCTAAGGACATGTAATATACCTCTATAAGGTGAAATATTAGGTTGTAATGGCAAAAACTGCAATTACTTTTGCACCAACCTAATAAATTCTAAAGAGATGTTCAGGTATTCTTCTGTGGTATTTAAATACACATCTAAATAAAACAGGCCTTAGTACCTACCCGAGCCAGAAATCTATCCATGAAACAAAGACTATTAAAGATGATATATGAAATGCCACATTTAAAAAACACTCCAAGTAATGTTTTAAAAATAGCATGTCATCTAAAGCCAGATGAAGATTTGAAAACACACAAGACAATTTAGAATCTTTTGGCACTTTGGAGGATCTGACAGCAGCTAGTGTCGCTGGAGGGAAGAGGTAGCACATCTCGAAGCCACGTTAGCCACAGTCATACATGTACATTACATGTATACTAACAAGACATAGCCTGCCCCAAGATACACATCTTTTAGGTAAGAAAATACAATTGTTCAGAAAAACAATGTTAATGATTCTATAAGTTTTCTTCTCTGATTATACTAATAAGTCCAAAACAAGTTTTTATTTATAATAGTTTAGAAACATTTGGTGCATTACACTCACACAGGCAACACAGCACAAAATAACTGGTTCCTTCACAATGTATTAGGCATAAGACGATGTGAACTATGTTTTATTATGTAAAATTTTTAATGTAAAAAGTAGGCAAATTATTATAATGAACACTTACGTGCCTATCAACTGGTTTCAGTGATTATCAACCCATGACCCTTCAATCATTTATAACCCTCTCTTCCCCTCCTCAGCTCGTATTAATTTCAAATCTCATACATCATATCATTTTACCCTTAAACATTTGAACTCTTTTTAAACACAGCCTTCAGTACAATTACTTCATATATTCACAATGATTCTCTAATACTGAATATCAATTTGGATGTTTAAATTTACAATTATCTCACAAAGAGCTCTCTCCTTTTAATCAGAATCCAAATAATATTTAAATGTTGAATTTATTTATGTCCTTTCAGTGCACTTTCTTTTTTTTCCCTTATTTATTTATTTATTTATTTATTTATTTATTATTATTATTATACTTTAAGTTTTAGGGTACATGTGCACAATGTGCATGTTAGTTACATATGTATACATGTGCCATGTTGGTGTGCTGCACCCACTAACTCGTCATCTAGCATTAGGTATATCTCCCAATGCTATCCCTCCCCACTCCCCCTACCCCACAACAGTCCCCAGAGTGTGATGTTCTCCTTCCTGTGTCCATGTGTTCTCATTGTTCAATTCCCACCTATGAGTGAGAATATGCGGTGTTTGGTTTTCTGTTCTTGTGATAGTTTACTGAGAATGATGATTTCCAATTTCATCCATGTCCCTACAAAGGACATGAACTCATCACTTTTTATGGCTGCATAGTATTCCATGGTGTATATGTGCCACATTTTCTTAATCCAGTCTATCATTGTTGGACATTTGGGTTGGTTCCAAGTCTTTGCTATTGTGAATAATGCCACAGATTCAGTGCACTTTTATCTATAGGTTTCCCCGTGTCTCTCATTCTCCTTTTTTTATTCTTCTGAAATGTATTTGTTAAAGAAATTAAGTGGGTCATTCATAAAAGTCTCATATTCTAGATTTTGCTGATCATATTCATGTGGCATAGTTGACATATTCTTCTATTTATATTTTCTATAAGTCAGTAGTTGAACCTACTGGCTTGATTAAATTCAGGTTCAGTTTTCTTGGGCAAGACTGTTTTATTGATGGTTGTATCTTTTTCTATAACAAGGCACCTGATATCCAGCTGTCTCTCTTTTTGTGATGTAAACAACTATCAATGCTGAGTGTTAGCACTATTTTATGCCAACATTTTTCCATTTGTTTTGATTACCTGAAGCCCTTTTTATAGTCTATTCCTCAAGGAGATATCACAAGAATAATATTCCTTGAGTTTTTAAATGTTTATAGCAGATTATACTCTTTATCCTTGAAGGTGAGTTTGTTTGTGTTGGATGAATGTGTTGAATATCACATTTATGGTTCATATTTTCTTTACTTACTTTATTTTTTTTAACTTCATTGCCTGTTGGCATAAAATTTGCCAAAATTCTGAAGACAGTTTATTTTTTCCTTATGAATGACTTAATCTTTTTTTTTGTCTGGATATCCAAATAATTTACTAGAGTATATCCTGGCATTGCTCTTTATAGATTGATTTTTCTCAGGCATGCGGTATGCCCTCTCAAAACAACATATCTCAATTTTTTTGTTTTACATTTTAGTAAGCTTCCTTTGAATTTAAGTTTTTACTATCTTATTTTCTTCTTTGGGGAAGGGGTTCATGGGTTCATATTATATCTATGTTAGATTTTCTTTTCTTAGCTTCTATAGTTGTCATTTTATCTTGAATTCTTTTTACATACCTTTATTTAAAGCATAATTCATTTTACTTATTTTCCCAAGGTAGTAATACCAGTTGTGTTTATATCCTCTGCATTCTTTCACTTCTAAAATAATATTGCTTCTATTTCTAATTCTTTCCTGATCTGTGTACCCTCACCTCTAGTTTTTCCAATACGAATTTGTTACCTTTTCCTATCTTGTATCATTTTAATAAACATTTTGAACTTATATGAACTATGAACTATTAGGTTACGGTTTATGTTTTGTGAGCCTGTCTTTATGTCATGTTTTCATTTTCTGAGGGGATATCATTATGCTTCATATACTCATTTTTTTTCCTGTAGCAACTTTGTATGGATTTTGAATGTGTTTTTGCTACTTACTTTTTTATAAAATGAGTTTTTAAGAGCACAATTTTTTTTTTGTTGTTTTGTTTTGTTTTGTTTTTTTTCGAATCGTCATGAGTTGAAGTATGTACCTGCTGTTCTCAAGTGACCCACTGTGCTTTCAAGTGAGTACCTTTGTTTATTTGGGGCTTTACCTGTTCTCAAGTCCTTTACATTCCTTATTGCTTTCTTCTATTTCCTCTCATACAAAAGCAGACACCAGAAGGATTTTATATCTTTGTTTGTCCCCACTTGCTTATATTTTGTGTTCATAAGAATATCCTCTCAAGGACTTTTATTTGTTATCTGGATTTTTGCTTTGCTATCCTAGTTACTCTCTCTAGTTTCAAGAGATGTTTCCTTGAACTATTCTTAAAGAACAGCTCACCATGTGATTAAGGTGGTGGCAGAAGGGAAGGGGAAGTGTAAGTTACATTGAGCTCTTTTGCTTTAGTGAAGTATTTGCCAAATGGAGATAAATAACTAGAGTTGGCACAAGCCAATTTGTTGAAATTCGTTTGGTGGTTTCATATAGATAGTAAAATATGAAACAGTGCCAACTGTGATGCTTTGTTTTTAAAAAATGTATCTGTAGATTCTGTAGTCTTTGTTCTCAAATAGGTGGCTTCATTTTTTTTTCAGTTATCTGTAGATCTCAAAATATTTTGTATCTTTAGCTTGTAGAAACTACTCAGTACCAATTACATACCTGGAATTGATCTGTACTCTGTGTACAATGGAGAATGTCTCTGATGGTAAAGAAGTGTTATTGTTCTGATGGTAAAGTGTTATTGTTCTCATGGTTTTGCAGACTTGAGGACTGGAGTCTGGATACTAAGAGAAAAATTGTCCTTGTACCTGAGGATGAAGGGAAAGGTGATCCAACTCAATGATTATCAAAAGCATAATTTAGACAGGAGATAAGAGACTGCATTATGCAGTATTACTGAAGCTCATTTCCCTAGGCAACCCCCGTGGGTTCAGATTGCTCCTGTGTGAACTAGTTCTTAAATGAATTTTAAAATGCAGTTCACAGTTGTTCTTAGTGAATTAGGCAGGGGACCTGGCTATTGGAAGGCTTCTATCAATCCAAGAGTAAGATACTATTAAGAACCACAGAAATATAGAATGTATCAAACACTTACAATGAGGAAGAACCCAGAGAAGATGGTGGAGTTAAGCAGATATACCCAGTATATTGGGTGACAAAGGAAAGGGGGTTCTTAGTATATTCACTGAAATTCCATAGAAGGAGCTTAGAAAGAGAAGCCCCAGAAAAGGTATTCTGGTATTTCCTCAGCCAGGAAGCTGAGGAAAGATCCTAAATCCCAGGGTCTCACAAGGTCCTGCGTTTGGATCTCTCCATGAAAAAATAGGAGTCAGCCTTCCTTTTGTTTGTAATTTGAGTTTGAGAAAGGATCTAAATTTCTTATCTCTTTGAGCTTTATAGCAAGAATCAAAAGCTGATGGCCAGCAAACTGGAAAGAGTCCAGTTTTTGTTTTCATTCAGATTGTTTTAAACATTGCAAAGATTTACACAACATTCTGTATTTCTGCTCTATTTTGAAAACCAGCAGATTTAATTGTCTTGTGCTCCTCTCATTAGGCAACTGTTGTTCTAGAGAGGGCAGGTACTCTGCAGTTTCCTACAATCCCCACAATCCCTATCTTTTTGAATTTTATCACGCTCGACTGACTTAATCCAGTGACATAACCTTCCTTACTATTAAAGTATTTGTGTTTGCACCTCTGTTTTATAGGATAAAGAGAATAATTACATTCCAAATGCCTGGGTTGAGTTTTCATTCCAGAATCTCTGGAGTTCAGAGATCTATCCACAGATAGTAGAAGGCACAGCAGGGGAAAGTGATTGCACATTGATAAAGAAGAGAATCAGGGCAAGATAACTGACTATTGAAAATATGTCTAAAAGAGACAAGAGTAGGGAGGGAGAGTATTTGAGAAAGATGAAACACCACAGGGCAGCCCTGGTCATGCTCTAAGATGCTCAGGGTGGAGAGAGTTGCAGCATTCTATCCTCTAACTCAAGCAGGAATTTGATAAATTATTTTTGAATGTTAATACATAGCCTGATGCCTCCTTCAGATAGCAATTTAAAAATTGTTGTAAACACACATAATACATTTTGGGAGGCTGAGGCAGGAGGATTTCTTAAGGGCAGGGGTTTGAGGCCAGCCTGGTCAATATAGTGAGACCCTGTCTCTATAAAAAATTTTTAAAAAAATAGCCAGGCATGGTGGCACACACCTGTAGTCCCAGCTATTCAGGATGCTGAGGCAGGAGGGTTGCTTGAGCATAAGAGTTAGAGGCTGCAGTGGGCCATGATTGTGCTATTGCACTCCAGCCTGGGCATCAGGTAAGGTGCTGTCTCAAAAAAAAAAAAAAAAAAAAATCGAACGAACAAACAAAATCCCATACACTTAACATAAAATTTACCATCTTAAACATTTTTAAGTGCACAGTGTTAAGTATATTGACATTGTTGTGGGACAGATCTCTAGAACTTTTTCATTTTTTAAAACTGAAATTCTATACCCATTACCTGACTTTCTGTTTTCCCCCTCCCCTTGCTCCTGACAACCACTCTTCTGCCTTCTGTTTCTGAGTTTACTACTTTAGATATCTAAAATAACTAGAATCATATAGTATGTTTTTGTTTGTTTGTTTTATGACTGGCATATCTCACTTAGCATAATGTGCTCACAGTTCATTCATACTATAGCTTGTGACAAGTTTTCCTTTTTTTTTTTTTGTGAGACAGAGTTTCACTCTTGTTGCCCAGACTGGAGTTCAGTGGTGTGATCTTGGCTCACTCCTCACTCCAACCTTTGCTCCAACCTTTGCCTCCCCGGTTCAAGCAATTCTCCTGCCTCAGCCTCCCAAGGAGCTGGGATTAAAGGCATGCACCGCCACTCCTGGCTAATTTTTTGTATTTAGTAGAGACAGGGTTTTACCATGTTGGTTAGGCTGGTCTCAAACTCCTTATCTCAGGTGATCCACCCGCCTCAGCTTCCCAAAGTGCTGGGATTACAGGCATGAGCCACTGAACTCTGCCATTTTCTTTCCTTTTTAAGGCTGAAAAATATTCCGTTGTATATAAATACTGTATTTTCTTTACCCACTCATCCATTGATGGGCATTTGAGTCCTTCTACCTCTTGGCTATTGTGAATAATATGGCATTGAGTACAGTTATGCAAATACATCTTTGAGATCCTACTTTGGATGGAGCTGGAAGCCATTATCCTCCACAAACTAATGCAGAAACAGAAAACCAAATACCACATGTTCTTACTTATAAGTGGGAGCTGAACGATGAGAACAGATGGACACATGGGGGGAAACAACACACACTGGGTCCTGTTTGGGGGATGCAGAGGGAGGGAGAGCATCAGGAAGAAAAGCTGAGGGATACTGGGCTTAATACTTACGTGTTGCGTTGATCTGTGCAGCAACCACCATGGCACATGTTGACCTATATAATAAACCTGCATACCCCACACATGGATGCTGGAACTTAAAAGTTGATTAAAAAATAATAATTCTTTTGGATATATACCCAGAAATGAAATTGCTGGATCGTATGTTTATTCTATTTTTGAATTTTTGAGGAACTTTTCTACTGTTTTGCATAGTAGCTACACCATTTTTCATTTCCACCAACAGTGAACACAGGCTTCAATTTCTCCACATCTTGCCAATACTTATTTTCTCTTTGTGTGTGTTTTATAATGGCTACTCTAATGGGTGTGAAGTAATATCGTGGTTTTGATACGCATTTCTCTAATGATTAGTGATGTTGAGCATAATTTCATATTCTCATTGGGCATTTGTATATCTTCTTTTGAGAAATGTCTATTCAAGTTGGCAAACCACACAATGGATAAATGACAGCCTCTTCAACAAATAATGTTGAGAAAACTGGATATGCTCCTGCAAATGAGTGACATTGGATGCTTACGTTACACCATGTACAAAAATTAACTAAAAAATGGATTATAGTTTACAATGTAAAATATAAAACTATAAAACCCCTAGAAGAAAACATCAGGGAAGAGCTTCAAGACTTTCTCAGTGATTTGTTAAATATGACAGTAGAAGCACAGGCAACAAAAGCAAAAGTAGACCAATTAGACATCAAACTTAGAAACTTCAGTATGATGAAGGAAACAGCAAAATGAATAGGTAACTAACAGAATGGGAGAAAATATTTGCAGGAAGAAAATAAAAATGGAAGTATTTTTATTTTTTAGTATAGGATGATTCATTAAAGTCTCTACTAGCTGTTGGAATTTCAGTGTTATAAGAGGGCAATATTTTAGAGTAGAAGATCTTTCTGGAGTTTTAAAAAGTATACTTTCTTTTAAGAAATATATCTGGAAACTGGAAAATTCATCTATATGAGAAAGATTTTATTATCTCCCTTTTAATTCTTACTATGATCCTATCAGATACTGTTCCCTTCTAGCATTTCCAGAGGTAAGTATCTCTTCCTCTAGCACCTATTTATAAAATGACAATGATGGTGTTGATAAAAGGAACAGCTGATACTGTCAAGTACTTTAAATTTTTAAGTCATTTGGTTTTTACAACAAAAACATGAATAGGTAACACTCTTTATTTTCCTTCATTTTATAGATGACTCATAAATCAAAATTACCAACTGCAAAAATACCAGTTAGAATTATTTTTAAATGACTATGGGTTCATTGTCTTGACTTCCTTTTCCTCCCATGTGATATATTTTATTAATTTGTGATTTAGCTTTTGGTACTTTATAGAGCTTTCTCTCAATAGAGATTGACAAAGTAACCAAAGAGTTTGCTGAAGGAGAGAGAAAAAACGGCAAAGACCTGGACAGTGAAGGGTTCTGAAGAAAACATTACTTAGCTCACAGCTGACCTAGAGTCAACCCTTCCGATGCTTATAAGAGCTTCTTTTTCCCTGGCCCTAAACCAGAAATTAGGGTTTTGTTTTAGCTTTTGCCCTTCTGGGCTCTACAGAACATGTGGACGTGCTCTTTGGAGATAACAACTAGGAAACGGGAGAATCTGAAACCCTGTAAAAAGAAAGGATGCTATGTCCAATCATATTAAATAAAGTGCTCTATGTGGATCTATTTTGATACAAATATTTTAGACCATTTCAAAGAAATATGTTCTTGACTTGCTTCACATTTTATACACATAGTAGGCAGTTAGGTGGAAAGGTCTTTCAGTATGATTCTTGGTTATAACAAGAAATTGGGTAATTAAAATATCTCTAGTACCAAATATAGTTTCTAAAAACCTGTTAGACAAAGGACATCGCCACAAAATTTTGAATCCATGCAGTTTGTGGTCAATAATAATTCTCACCCAGTCATCAGGAAGCTTCTGTCACGGTTATTTTCACTGCTCTTGGGGTCATCAGTGCATATTGAATAACTCCTGAATGATTGGCATGTGATGTTATTCACATTTGTACTCTAGCCTTCAAAAAAAGGAAAGGAAGTCATTGTTGTTTTCTTGGAAGAAAAACCCAATGATCATTTATCACTGTGTACATACGTATTTAAGACATTCATCCTTTCCAATATTGAACAAGATTGCTCAATATATACATCAACTTTATTGTCAAGCATGGAAAAATGTCTAATGTACATAAGACATTTAGTGAGAATATGAATTATTAAGATTATAGTTTTCATTTTTGTCAAGCCAAATTGAAATTTGCATTTGGAAATCTGTAAAGAATAGAAAAGGAAAAAAGAAATAGACATATTGAACACATACAGAAAACTGAGGCTCAGGGAGATTACATAAATAGCATATGGCCATACAGGTGGAAAGTAGTGGAACTCTGAATCAAAGAATGGCTCTTTGGTATTCTAAAACTTATTAAGAATTTTAAAACATTTACTCCTCTGGAAACGTCGCCATTATGAATGGAGGGCAGATTATAGTAGAAAATGACAATATTTGGTAAGAAGTTTAATATATTGATTATTGCTAGCTAATATTTATTGAGTACCTACTACATAATAAGTATATACTATCTAAGTTGCTTTACATGGATTATCTCATTTGATTCATCAGCAAGAGTATAAATAGAAATTACATTTATACCTATTTTGCAGATAAAGCAAGCTTAGAAATGTTAAGAAACTTTACTAAAGTCAGAAAAATAGTACTTGCTAAAGCCCAAATTGGAAACCAGGCACCCTGATTTCAGAGTCTGAGCTCTTCAATGCTGTGCCATATCACTAAATCAGTTTCCTGAATCAACAAAATTAAAAAAAAAAATCCAAAAAGTGGAAAAAAAATTTTTACTTGAGGTCATCCAAATGCTGTGTCTTTTAAAAAATTTAGAACCTCTTTAAAAGTCCCTTCATCTGATGATTTGCTGGAATACAGTGCTGACACATTTTTAATTTTACTGAAGGAAATAAAAAATGAACAACAGAATGAAAGTATAGATGCCGTCCCACCAAACAGCATTCAACATCAAATGATATCTATCCAAAGTCTAACAATCATTACCCAAGCAGAAATATTCTAAAAAAGTGTCTGCTTGAATAATTTACTCCATTTAATTATTAATTTTTTTCAAAAAATTACAGATTGTGCCATTTATTATGCTTGTATAAGTAAATACTTGTCTGCTTTACAGGGGAACCAGTTTTGAAGTAGACGTTCAAGGCCTGATTTTTAATCCAGTCTTAACCACTTACTAGTTCTGTACAACCAGATAAGTCTTGCAAGACTTTGAGCCTGTTTCATCATTACAATATGGGAACCATATAATACTACTATAATGTTTTGCAAGTTTTTAAAGATAAGTATCAAATAAGAAAATGTATGTAATAACACTTTTAAGGGTGTTAAGTTTTAGACACTATTATTGTGTTACTGACTCACTATTGTTGGAATATATAGTTAGAAGGTTTGTTCTGGCACAAATTTGTGAGACAGCTGGTGAGAACTAAGGGCACCATTTGGACCAAGAAATAGAACAAAGCTAATTGGCTACACAGGGACTCAACCCGTGTCCTTAGCCTCATTAACTCTGTGCTTTACTAAGCAAGCACACTATTATTCACTCACTCATCAACCTACCTTTTATGAGTCTAGCCTTCAGCTGGGCATTGGTGATATAAAAATGAATGAACCATGGTCTCTGCCCTCAAGGAGCTCGCAGTCCAGCAAGGAAAATCAGGCAGATGAGTAAAATAGTAGTTAGCATACTGTATAATAAATCAGTGCCACAACAGAGATTTATGAAAGCGCTTAGAAGGCACTGCCAATACTGACTGGAGAAGTACAGCATCCATATCTTGTGACAGAATTTGTTGAGCCTAAAATTTTACTTCTTAAATCACTTAGATGCATTTAAATCCCACAGTTGAAAAATAATCTCATTCCTCAGTTGGAAAAGTCAAAAGCACTTTTTTTTTTTTTTCATTTAAACAATGAACATTTATTATCTCACAGTTCCTGTGGGCCAGAAATTCGAGAATAGCTTACCTGGGTTTTTCTGCCTCAGGGTTTCTCATGTGGTTGCATTTAGCATGTCAGCAGTGGTTGCAGTCATTTGAAAGCTTGAACATGGTTAGAGGGTCAGCTTCTAAAATGGCTCATTCGCATGCCTGTTGGCAGGAGGTCACAGTTTGTGTCTGGCTGTTGGCAGGAGTCCTTAGTTCCTTGCCACGTGGACTTCCCCCTAGGCTGCTTGAGTATCCTCATGACATGGCAACTAACTTCCTCCAGAGTGAGCAAACCAGAGTGGGCAAACAGGAAGTGGCAGTACCTTATGTGGCCTAGTCTCTAAAGTTACATACTGTCAATTCTACTCAAAAGTGCCATTTTAAAGTGACCCATACTTTAATGGAAAGCTTTAATTTAAGAACAGAACTTAACGTGTGTTTTACTACCATGTAATCTATGCTAGGCACATCTTTCCAAATTGCATAAGATGGTTTATTTCCAAATAGTCGTTCTCCTATACATTATTTACTTATATAGAGCTAGAAATGCCAACTTGCTGTTTTAAACATAATCATATTTTTCTCCGTAATTATCTGGACAACTAATCCATTTTGCCAATCCATTTGCATGGAAACAGAGAGCCAATGATTGGTCAGAGTATTGTTTTTTAAAAAATATAATAGTGAGGTTCAATGGTTGGTTACCAATTCCCTAAAATAAAGATCGAGGTTTTCTAAAACACTGAAAACACAATTCCATGCACACAGGATTGGTTTATGCTTTTTCAAGGATTCCTCTATTGCTTAAAGCCAGATATACAGGCCATGACACAATTCTACAAGAATGACCCCTTTACTTGATTCTTTTGGTTTAGTCAAGCTTCACTACTACTGTACTAAAAAATAAGCAGTGACCCAGGTTCCTTGCTTTTCTTCCACCTGAACCATAAATGAGACAAATGATCTGGCTCAGCTTATGTCTTGGGGTATGAGAGGTGAATGGTACCCTAGAGGTTTTATTCTTTCTGAAATGACTGCTGAAGCATTTGGAGGAGAAATGATCTTATTATTTAATCCAACCATCTATAAGTTTTGAGGCATGTACCTATGGATGGGGTGAGTGTATAAATAGAAATTACTTCTTATCCTGTGTTGTTTAATGTTATTAATTCAAGACTTTGAAAAGCTCCGTAGAAACAGAATGCATCTTACTGATAAGAATGTGGCTCTTACTGTTGAAATCTCATCGTTGTAATTACACATTATTCAAATCAGGTACTCAGTAGTGAAAACTACTCGTCAAAAGCCAAAACATTTCTACTAGGGATTTTGATGTCCCTGCAGGTCAATAAAGTCATAAAGCTCTGTCACTCTAACGGCAACATATTTTATTAGCAGCCAGAGTCCCTCACATACATGTTTCCTGCCACTTTCAGAGATGTAAACAATTTCCATTTTGAAATATATGACCAGAATCCTGATTATTAGAGCTTAGCACTGCATTCATTAAAACACACATGCTGGCATCGAAGCATTCATGAAACATTATTTCTTCTTTCCAATAAAAACTAATGATTACCACCCCTGGTGTGATTCATTTCCTCTACGAGAATATTTGAATTAGAGCAATATTTTCAAACTTTTCATGGCACTACATACATGGTGTTTTTTTTTCTTCTTTCTCTCTCTCTCTCTCTCTCTTTTTTTTTTTTTTTTTTCAGTCTTGCTCTGTCGCCCAGGCTGGAGTGCAATGGCGCGATCTTGGCTCACTACAACCTCCGCCTTCCAGGTTCAAGTGATTCTACTGCCTCAGCCTCCTGAGTAGCTGGGATTACAGGCACCCGCCACCAAGTCTGGCTAATTTTCCTACATACATGTTTTATAGACCGCTCATGGTTAGAATCATCTTTCATTTATTTCCTTCTGTAGGTTTAAACATTTACATCACTGACATTAAATCCAAATTTACTGAAGACGTATGCACATTTACCTTATTCTGGGTGCTAGGGTCTCTCAGCTGACCACAGCTTCTGTACTTTGCAGTGGTTATTTCACACCAAAAAGTGAAAACAGATTCAGTGAATAGGTGTTCTTTTCTCTATGTATTAAAACACGTTCTTCAAAATAGTGTATTGGCTAGCATGAGTTTTTCTGTATAAAAAAGTCAAGTTTCGCCCTATCAGGTGCTTCTAGGTCTAACCGGTTTTCCTGTGCTACTCTCCAGTGTTACAGCCGGGGGCAGCAGAGCTTTGTCCTGCCTGCCACTCCCGTGATGAGTGAAGGCAGGAATAAGACTGCCCTGGTACTTGCCCCTGATGCAGATCATTAGACCTTGAGCAGCTGCTCAGGTCCATTAACAGTCACTTAAGCAGCGGGTAAGGGAAGCTGTGCTGCTCTGAATTAAAGGTGGGGCTGATAGCTGGGAATGGGGAGGGCTCAGCTGCTAGTACCCAACATATATATTGTGTCACATTTGGGGACACTTTTTTAAACATCATGGAGAGGTTATTTATTGGTTGTCACATACGGTAGGTGAAATGTTTTGCCACAAGTTTTGCCACAAAATGCTATATCCGGTTTAACTGTTTATTTTGATGGCAACTATTATTATTGAATATTTAGGTGGAGTCAATTCTAATGTCAGTCAAGACATATTCATCCCTCCATGTACTGAAAAATGCCATACAAATCTGTATATATGCTTCCTATACTGTTTAACCACAGCTGCTAGTTGACGTTCTTCAGTCCTGGAAATATCCTTCCATTTTCTAAAAAGCAAAGAAAAGTAAAATTTTAAGTAAGCAGTAGAGCAGATGTAGCTTAAAACCTCCAAATTATTTCAGGCCTCAAGCTGCTTTAAGGCTGTATTTTAAGATTCAGTACTTTTTTATTTGTTTCAACAGGAGGATTAGAGGATTGAAAATGCTTTATTGATGGAAAGTGGGAACTGTTACTCCCCCCACCTCCTCTACTCAGCAAAACTAAAAGAGAAAGCAAGTCCATTCAATTCCCAGCCAGATCTTTAAAATGTTAACATCAAATGAAAAGACATTATTCCTAAGTGAGAAGAAAAACCTTTGCATCACTGTAAGTTACCCATCATTTCCCACTTTGATTTATGCATGTGTCATTAATTGAAATTGTTCAGGAATCACCTTCAAATGGTTTTCCACAAAAATAAGAGGAAAAACCAACTGGGATGGGATATCAGTATCTCCTCTATTTAAATACAGGGTCCTGTTAGCTGCATTTGGTGGCTAATAGGGAATGATACTGTGTGCGGTATACTTTCATAATTCCAAGTACAGTCAAGTACATCTAAAACAGTCATTGTTGAATAACATGGGTAATTTAGTATTATCCACGCTATTCCACTGGCAGAATTGGCCATGACTGTCTCCTAGGTCATCATCCAGCGATAAAGGGAAGATAGGCTGAGGAAGCTCTGGCATTCAGGCGTCTCCCAGCGATGAAGCTGTGTCCCACACAGTTAGTTGTCAGTGCGGTGGTGAAGGCCACACCTGGCAGTGGCTACAGTGCGTCTCCTGTGAGCAGGGGCTGTAGCTCACCCTCTCGGAGCTACGCCGTGCTACGGCGGCAGGAGAGGGAGCCCGGGCGCTCTCGGTGGAGGAGGCTGGGGATCGCAGTGCCGGTGCTGCATTCAGAAAAGACTCAGCCGCAGCCGGCGATGTGTGAAGTTCCCAGCACGCACTCAGCCCGGCTGCTCCTCACCCTCAAATGTTGATGAGCCTGGGCGCTCCTCAACACACGGGAGAGATCCCATTTTGCTTTCTGGGAGAAAGAGATGAGAAATGAGCCGCGGAAGGTATTTGGCAATGAGAAGAGTGAAAGGCAGTTTCTTGCCAGCAGCTAAGTTGTAGAATTGCTTCGGAGGCTACCCGGGAGTGCGATAGAATTGACAAGAAAAGAACAGACACCGTTGCAGACCAAGGCATGCCTGATTGCACGAGTCGGATCCCTGGGACGCAGCTTCCACTCCTGTTCTAACTATTTGTGATTGAAAAAAGGAAACGAGACTAGAAACACAATTGCAAGTGGTGTTCCTAAAAGGAAAACACATACACTCCAAAAGGAGGGGAAGAACAACCCAGTTGGCGTGCACATTTTTTTTTAAAGGAGAATTCCTCAGGTATGTTCTTTCCTCCGTTGCACGCACTGCTTCATCTGCATGCGATTTTCTGTCTGTATTTTCCTGTCCCTTCTTTTTGTTTGCACTTGGAAATCACAACCATGGGGTTCTCTTAGCGTAGCAGATATATTTGTAAAATCTCGGCTCTCCTGTTTTTATAATGTACATGATTCTATGGAGCATCATGACTTCTCAGTCATTGCTTTTAAAAAAAGAATTCAGAATGATAAATGACTGCTTAGTTTCCAGTCAACTTTCAGGAGAATATCTACATAGGGACAAATAGGGTTGAGATGAAAGGCTGGGATATTCCATAACCCCTCGGAATTTTGGAAGAAAAAAATAGAGCTCAACAGAGAACAAAAGTTGAGGGCTTCTAGGAAAGGGTTAAAAGCCAAGATGTCATACACTAGTGTGTCACCCAAGTGTTTTTCCAGCTCAGCATCCAGTCTGAAGCAAAAGAAGCTTTACCAATGATTTTTTTATTTCTAGCTCTTCATCAGTTCTTCAAGAAGAAGATCCTGCAGATTTACTTTCAAGAGATGAATTGCTTAAATTGTGTGCTTGGTTCTGTTTTACAACTGTTCTGTGGTGCTCAAGGAGGCAGTCTAAAAAAATCCCTTTGGTCCAACAGCATGAGTAAACCCTAACTTCTGCAATTACATCATCAATATACTTGTATCATCAAGAGTAAGACAGATATACAACAATAGTAATGTTGGCTGTCTTTAGTACCTAGACGGAGATGACAACACTTAAAAATCAATTTTCCTCGTTAGGCTTTTAAGGAAAAACAGGAAAGAGGTTTGAGGGTGGGTAATGCTTATAAAGATTAGTTTTAAAATACTCTGCATTTCTTTAAGAAGCTAAAATTGTAAGTTTATATAATTTTGAAATTAATAAAAAACTTAATGATTTTTAGAAAATCATCTTACCACCTTTTGCTCATCAATACTTTTCATAAAAGTGGGTTAAATTGTCAATAAATTAAATGTGCATATGTCTATATTAAATGAGATTTTCTGGAGGGGAGAAACGAGAATGAGAAAGTACTACATTTTTGTATATATAAAATATTTAATAGATTTTTAGTGTTAACACAGAGTTAATGCCAAAGCTCTAGGACCCTGGCTTTTAATTATTGTTGTTCCCACTTTCTTATGATTAAAAAGTTCAAATGCAATAGAGGTAAGTGGGCTTTAAATTGTCATTTATGCATACTGTAAAGTAAATCACCACCCTGCTCTTTGAAAACTATAAACCTCATTTTTGCCAAATGGTAGCTATCTGGAGCACTTAGGCCGTAAACAAAATGAGGAAATCATTTGTTTTAAAATTCCACGCATGACTATAACAACAACAATGTCAAAATATGGTAAGTATAGGCAATTCTTGATACCAGAGGAGTGATTTAGAAAATGAGCAAAGTATTAAGTTTATGTTTGTTAGTAGGGAGTGAAAAACATTGTGTGTTTCTTCTATGTTGACATCTTGTATAAAGAAGCTTATGATGTCTGTAGGTGAAACACTATAGCAGTAATTTTACTGAATCCATTAAGTAATTTTTTAAACTAATAAACTGATCAAGGATCATCTAAAAGAATATTTGAAACTCTAATTTACAAAATTGTATTTTCAAACTATAATGGAATTTTGTTGAGAAAGTAATTTCAGTAGAATTGCCAATGTTTTTTCAGTAAAATTTGAAGGTGGATAGTAGGTAAGGGTTTATTTCCTAGCATTCAATAATTTGTTGTTAGACCTCCATTAAAGAAATCTGGAAACTCCTTCCAGAGATCATCATCACTATGTGCTAGGTAAATTCATGCCCAGGTGAAATACGAGGTAAAGTGTTAGCAAAGCCTAGAGAAATCACTTTTCATGGGCTTATTGTTAATAAAGTAAACTGTTTTCCTTTCCAGGCCATATAATAACTTGCTATGGTTGCTAATCTTTAAATGTGAAGCAATATAGTTTGTGGTGCACAGAACTAGTTGCTTAAGAGCCCATGGGTCATTGGAAACACAGGATAATTGCAGTGATTCCCCTTTTAAAGACAAAACACACCAAATGTATGTTGGGGCTTAGGTGGGGTTGGGAGGAAGGTCAGTGCAGAAGAGAACGTACTTCGTTGTCTGCTGATTTAGGGCAAACCTCTGTTTTTTGTAATATCAGACACTTTTGGTATGATAATATCTTTTCCCCGATTCTCCAGGCACTTTCATTTCTGTTAACCTTTTCAGCTAATGCAATGCATAAACCCTGCCATAACTTCTCTGAAGTATTATGCCACCTGTACGTTGTCTTCCAGTTTCAACATATATGTTTCTGTTATTCATTCTTTCCATCCCATAGTCTTTACTACGGAAAGGCATTCTCTAGAATTTTTGAAGACATTAGAATCATTTTGTCACCCAAGAAAAACAATCCTGCTTTGCATCTAGAAATTTTAAGAGTTTTAAATACATGCCAAGTTTGTTTCTGAAATACACTTTTATAGCTAGAAAGCCACTTTCTAAATAGGTCATAGTTTGTACCTAATATCAATTCATTTGGTAATATGCATTTAGAATAACTGTAGCAAAAAATTGCAAATTCAAAGTATCAAATTTGTATTTCTGTTGTTATTACAAATCCTTTCTGGATCTTAAGTTGTCTGTGGTTGGATCACTAGGCTCCAACTTTCTTCTAGCTTAAAAAAAAGGATTTATTAATAGCCCTCTCAATCTGTAGCTTTTGAGAATGCAAAAGACTGATCACCGGTTCTATAATCTCTACAGAGAAAATGGATGCCACAGCAGTATTTGTTTCACTTGTAGTCTTTTAAGGCATAGGAAGGGAGACAGGAATAAATATTCTAACCTCTAGGTCAAAAGTCCCCCAGAGGAGAAGTAGACAATAAGACACACTGAATCGTTTCTCCATCTCTTGTCAAAATGGTTGTGATGCAGTAGGCATAAATGTTTCCCATCTCTTTTATATCCTAGTCATATTGTATATTTTAGTCTCAGCATACAGAAATTAATTATAATCTTGATATGGAAGAGAGTTTTATATTATTCTTCCTATGTAAACAGTTAAGAAAATATTTTGTAGAAATAAATGCTAGATAGAAAGATAGGAACTCAACATTATAAATTGTACTCAGAGATTTCGAAGTATTTTTAAAAAGTAATCATAAAAGATGGGCTTCCCTTTCAAATATTTTCTTGTCTCCCTACATTTTCACAATCCCATCTTCAGCCTGTCTTTTGCTCCCAACAGCCAATTTTTGTTGGCCCAAATCCTGCGTTCAGGATAAAACATACTTTGTTTCTGAGCCTTCTGGTTCTTGAGAATCTGGGTGCAATATGTCTTTTTGATGGGGAAAAAGTGTTTTGCATGAAAATATTTTGCTTCATGTGTTTTATAAGTTGAAATTATTTACTCTAGAAGTAGCTTCTCGAAGCATGTAAAATATAAAAGAAAAAGAGCAGTGATTGGACAGAGTGGGTGGCTATTTCCTTTATAGGTGGGAAGAACTAATGGCTTAGGCACATTCCCTGAAGCACGTTTCTGAAAGGGGGCACTGATGATATGGTCTCAGAATAACTGGAGGAAGAAGGGTTGTATTTTGAATCATGTCATTGTTAAGTGGCACACAACTGAAAAAGTCTAAATAGTTGCTTTATTAATGAGAAATCTTAAGTAAAAATTACCAGTGAGATAAAGCTAGAGAATTAATGACACATTCCAACAAGAGTCCAGTGCTTTTTCCTGTCTCATAGAAAATACTGTAATTAATCAAATCCTAGCTCAGTCACCAATTGTCTGGGTGAACTTTGGCCATCATTTTCTTTGTAAGCCTTGGTTGTCTGTTGGACTGGTTAGATGTTCATGAAGATCGCTTCTAGTTCCTCAACTCAGAGATTCTATAAAAACTGCACTGTGCAGACTCTGTAGGCTTGACTCCATTTCAAATGTAGCTACAGAATTACTTGACTCTGACTTGCTTCTCCTGAGAGGCCAGAGGCTTGGTGAATAGCATTTGTCTACCTGATAAACTGAAGAAACAGTGTTCATGGTTTTAGAATTGAGTAAGAAATTTGTCAACTTGTTTTCCTTCAGACAACAAGGCAGAAGTATTGGCTTAATTATAATCCATGGAACTGCACATTTTGTATAAGGCTCTTTACTGTGACTCATTAAATATTTGCTGTAGCTGTGATAGATGTTGAAGTACTGCTACTTCGTTAACAAGAAACAAATAGCATTAGGATACTTAGCTGCTAACTTTTTAAGAGTCATTTGTGGAACAATGCTTTTAAAAGTAAAGAATATGTACCTACTGTACTTAGTTACTGGAATAGATTGACTCTCTCCAGTGCCTTCCTCTCTGGATTGGCACACTCAATGAGAATATGTTAGACAAAAGAGGGCTGCAGGGAGCTCTCGTGGCTGAAGGGGAAATTTAACTATGAAGCTTCTCAGACCTAAGGAAAATTTATATTTCCTTGTCACTTTCAAAGAAGGTTGATTGGTAGGAGGCAAAATATATGGATAACTTCATATATGTAAAAATTAATACTTGATTCTTTTTAGAAAATAATCCCTAAAATTAGAAGATTTTGCTTAATTACACAAAAACTTGCCACAGTATTACTGGAGAGTGGTTGAAGAGCATATTTTTTTAAATAATAAATATAATGCTTGATAAACAAATACAGCAAATTAAAAAAATTGCCTACCGTAATTGCTTTCATTCTCCATTTGGCCTTGAGTGGGAACATTCCTGATACTCTCTTTCTACTTTTTGTCTCGGTGACCTGAATTTCTTCAGTAGCCTCTGTTACCTCTTTGACAGGATTTCCACTAACATGTCTCAAAAGTCAAGAAATTCAGCTCTGGGTCTCTCAAGCAGCTCCTCTTCCTAATTGCTTCAGCTTCTCAGACCCAAATCTCAAATCATCCTCACTGCCTTATCCTTTCTCATGGTTCATATTCAGTTACTCTTGTTTTCTCTTTAACACTTGGTCTCCAGCCATGTCTTCTGTTATCTTCCTATTAACACTACCCTAGTTCAAGTTCTTATAACTTTACGCCTGGAATACTGCTTGAATCTTCCAATTGTTTTATCTGTATGATTCTTTTCTCTGAGCATCTGTTCTGCATACTACTGCCAAATTCATTGTCCTAAAAAATGCTTTGAACATGACATATGTCACTCCCTGATCAAAAATTTTCAAGGACACTATATTGCTTATAAACTAAAGCCTTAAATACTTAGTATGGCAAAATATTTTTTTTTACAACCAGATCTGACTGCCTTCCCAGCTTTATCTCTTTTTCTATTTCCTTATCCAATCTCTGCCCCAATTAGACAGATTATGCACAGTTTCCAGATACTGACATTTTATACAATTCCACAGTAGTAAATGATTTGTCTGGTTGATTTACTAATGCATCATACACTGTCTTATGAGATTTCTTCTTTGGTCTTGGATTACAGTTAAAACCTATATTTTTGCATGTTACTTTTTAAAAGCCTTAGCTAGAGAATAAATCCCTTAAGTACAGTGTTTGTGCAAACTTTGGCAAGTTACTTAAAATTTCTGCATCTGAATTCTCAACTAGAAAATAATGACACTATAAAGACCATTGCTTCACAGAGTTTACGGGAGGATTAAGTTAAATAATATAAAGGAAGTTCTCAGTGAGCACTGGCTGTAAATTTGTCATTATCTGTGTATTGAAGATAAATGCTCAGTAAATATTTGCTTTTATATTTGAAATGTACATGTTATTAGACAAAAAGACTGGTAAGGGAAGAAGAGTATGATATGCAAAGTTGGAAATAACAAGAAAAATAATTCAAGTCAGAAGCAAACTGAAACCTCTGCTGTGTCCTAAAATGGGAATGACTGTATCAGCACATTTATGGCAAATTGGGATTGTTTTGGACAGCCTATTTCTGATTAAATCAATTGCCCCAAGATTCTAATATAAGCTTATATGTATTTTCCATAGTGTTATGGCAGCAAATCTTAGCGACTTTCTTTTTTTTTACTCTTTATTTCTTCTAAAGAAAACACGGGAATACATGTGCAGAACGTGCAGGTTTGTTACATAGGTATACGTGTTCATGGTGGTTTGCTGCACCTATTGACCCATCCTCTAAGTTCCCTCCCCTCAATCCCCACCCTCCAACAGGCCCTGGTGTGTGTTGTTCCCCTCTCTGTGTCCATGTGTTCTCAATGTTCAGCTCCCACTTATGAGTGAGAGCATGTGGTGTTTGGTTTTCTGTTCCTGTGTTATTTTGCTGAGAATGATGGTTTCCAGCTTCATCCATGTCCCTGCAAAGTACATGAACTCATACTTTTTTATGGCTGCATAGTATTCCATGGTGTATATGTGCCACATTTTCTTTTTTTTTTTCTTGGTTCTTTTTTTTAAATTTTATTATTATTATACTTTAAGTTTTAGGGCACATGTGCACAGTGTGCAGGTTTGTTACATATGTATACATGTGCTACTATGTATACATGTATACATGTGTTAAGTATACATGTGTTACATATGTATACATGAACTGTCTACCACCTGCTCCTGGGAACAAGAAGAGAGATTAGAGTCTGACCAGCAACCCTGATTTATTCTTACTCTTCAGGCTCCTGATTTCAGTAACTGTGGTGAACATGAATGTCAGGATCTAGTGTACATGTAGCTCATGAACACAACCACTGAAAGGCAGAAGATGTATAGCTATGAGAGTGGTGGAAGACGGATTTTTATTAGTAGGGGAGCTGCCTACCTGATGTCATAACCATGTCACATTATAGGTCAATGTCAACTCACTGTGGCGTTTGTCTTCCTCTTGTTGATCAGGGGGTTCTGAGACTACTACTTTCGTCTGGTTTTTGTAGTAACAATATTTTCCTCATTGGGTGTGTATCCCTTATCCTTCCTCTCTTCCTTTGGTCTAAATCTTCCCATTTTGACTCCAGCTGATAATCTCAACTTTCATTTACCTCCCTCCTGAGCACATCGAATGTGTTTATGTTGTTGTTTCTACTACTGTGGGTCCTGCTTGATGGCATCTAGCTCCCAGTGGATTTTTCAATAGCCACAATTATGGAAAGAAATCCAGGGAGGAATCCCCAATGGTCTTTTTTTAAGTTTTCTTGGGGAAATTCTTAGAGCATCTATCTACTTCAAGACAGGAGGCAGTGTGCCTCATTATAGACAAGTACACTCACCTGTGATATTTTATGTTGGAAGAAAATTTCTCAAAGAGTGAACAAAAGGTCTGAGCAAAATATGTCTTGAAGTCCTTGTTTGAACTTGAAATGGGGAGGGAATGCCAATTAGGAGAGACAAAGTGTGGGGTCAACTCTAGAATCTATTGAGATAAAATTTGAGCCTAGCTTTGTAAGTTTTCCTTTTGTTTCTCGATTTTGTATTACATTTCTCTTAAGATACTTGACACTATAAGCCTGGATGAATTTCTCTTATAGTTGATTCCACTTCTCTGTAACTCAGGCCCTACTGGCAAGATATTATTTGTTGATTGTTGTTTTAGAAATATACAGAATCCTTCTATAAGAATGAATAAGACATTTCTTAGAATTCTGAAAATTTGATAAGTACAGAAGATATGAAAAAATTCCAAATTTAATTAAGATTATAAAACACTAGATATGGTTTTTAAAAATTATACAGTACCAAGAAAGTACTTATTAAAGTAGTTACACTTTCTGGATGTCTGTTTTTCAATTGCTTCTCAGTTCAGTCACATATTGCCTCACTTTTCATTGTGAACTTAATCTCTTAGTTCAGTTATGTAAAACTCTTAGAGGACAGATAATTTACTGTACTACTTAACATCAGATGAAACTGGACCAAAAAGCAAAGCCTGTTATATGTTAATGCAAATAAATTTGTTACTATATGTCTGTGAAAGTGAGTGATAAAACCAACCAATCTGAAATGGAAAGACACTCTGAGATCCTATTTATCAGGAATTCAAACATTAATGAACAATTAACTAATTTATCATAGTAGCTTTAGAATAAGGATAAATATAATAGATATTTACAGGTGAGGATACTACTTATAGATTGGCTTACCTTTGTCTGCAATATTGCATGATAAGATACACATTATAATGTCATGAGAGATTCTTAAGATTTCTCTTTAGTGTTTTCTACAGTATAAAATATTAAACTATGTTTAGCATAATTTGTCTTCATTTCACTTCCTAATTATTTGAAATTGATAAACAGATATTTTAGATAAATAGGCATTTCTTGGTTGGTTAAATAACACATTGTTAGTGATGAGGAATGGCTGTCTGGGTAATTCAAATTTTATTTTATTTAGCTTGGGAGGTAGTAGAAATTATTGGGAAAGTAAGTTAACCTCCTATATGGATTATTTGCCTTGGGAGAAATAGGCCTGGATCCTAACACATAATCTTGCCAGAGGAAAACAATTGGTTTTAAAGAGGAACAGAAAAGAGATTGCAGTGACACAAAATCCATCACTTCCTCCAGAATAGCAATTCAAAGCCATCATCCTACAGAAAGGAAAGTAGAACATCAGTTCTAAACATGAAAGACAGGCTTTTTGTTGTTGTTGTTGTTGTTGTTTAATATGCTGCAGCACTAGCAGGCTTATCTTAGTTACCTTTTGCTTACAGTACTTCTGCAATTCATTTGCAAAAATGTCCTGAGGACTCAGCAATTGGCTCTGAAAGAAGATGGGGCGGGACTGTCATGGACAACAGCAGATAGCCAAGCTTGGGTTTGAAACATGCACACAAAATTCAGTGTAGCAATCCCAGTGCACTGATGTGACTGCGTTTACATTTTCTGTTCTTGCTGTGTGCCTTAGGCTATCTGAAGGATGTCTCTGTTCTTTCCTGATTGAGAGATATATTTCCTGTCTCAAGTTGCTGCTTTTGCCCTAATTAAACTATCTATAAAACATTTGGCATCTAGGGAGTTTCTTCTGGGTTAATTACAGAACTGTGAGCAGCTTTTGCAGGAGAAATGAAGTTCAGTTTCAGACGAGATGGGTTTGTGTGAGTTTAATGTGTGGTTACCTGTGCAGAGGCCTAAAGGTTTGACTTTCCCAATACTTCTCTCCCTCACCATCCAGGCTGGTCTGAATTTCTAGTGCCTGTATCTGGCTTCTCTTCTATTTTCACTAGCCTGTGAGTTCCTTGAGGGCAAGTCTTATGCTATTGTTCTCTTCACTGCAAAACTACTAGAATGCTTACATATTTTAGGTATGGGAGGAGGAGGGAAGGAAGAAACCCTGGTGAATTAAAATGGTTCTGATGAGATACAATACAGCAGTTTCCTATGTTTGACATTATTAATACAAAAAATAGTTCTTACATAATTTTCTTGATATTTGAAAGAAGAGGGGATGATATGTATTATTATTGGTCAGGGAGAATATTCCAGACAAAATGCTTATGGGACATAAAAAAATAACAAAATTGTTGTGAGTAGAGAGCAGGAGGCTGTTTTTGTTATTTAAGAAGCCTTTGGGTACTTTGCTAGGTTGCACAGAAGAAATGTGAAGATGAATCAAAAAGGATCTACCATCACAAGCTCTTGCATCTTTTGGGGGAAGGAAATATGAATACAGAATTATAAGATTTAGTATTGCAACAGGAATGGTCTGCTAGGGAGGATTTGGAAGTACATTCTTTCCAAGCAAAGAGGTAAAGAGATATCTTGGGTTAGAACAGAGAAAAGTATAGTAAGGGGCAGGGCTATTGTTGGGTCTGAATTTCATGAAGTGGACATCAAAGAGTCACTTCTTGCTGCAGGGAAAATCTACTGTTTGTTGAAATTGCTCACTTTCCAAACACTCTGTTCATTCCATTCTTAGAGGGCAGGGTCTGTTGCTGTTTGGCTCACCATTGTGTTTCTCAAACCTAGTATAGCTCACAATATGAAGCTGGTGCCCAGTAAATATTTATTGTGTGAATGAATAAAGTGTCGGTATCTCCATATTGTCAGTATTTTTAAAGCTTTTGAATTCAAATCCAGGTTTCTAGCTAGCTAGATTCCCCTTGAATATATCTTTCACTTCTTCATCGTCATCAGTAATCTACTCTGTGTTGACTAACATGCAGGTAGTGGGCTCATAAAAGATTCTTTTAAATAGATGCCATGCTTGGTGTGAGTAAAACAGTACAGAGGAAATTGAGCTGTCTCTCTAATGTCAGCATACGGGTCAATATTTTTGAATTTGTTAAATAGATACCTCCCTTCCAAATTGTGATCAAATATTTCTCATCTAGACACTGTATCTCAATTGCATTTATCGATGAAGGCAAGGTTATGCAACCTCAATTACAGTCCTGGAAAGCTGTCAACAAAATCTGATTAACAAGCACTGCTTAATTGTTAAAAAAAAAAAATGTAGGCAATGTTTCTTGGCTTCTGCCTGAAATCATAGCCTGGTAGGAAATTCGTGGATTTAAAAAAAAAAAGAAAAAATATTAATCCAAACAGTTCCTGAAGACACCACAGCAGGGCAGTGGCCTTAATTAAAACTATAACTCCTCTTGTTTTACCTATTTTGCCATTAAATCTATTTCTTCTTTGGCAAATGTAGGATATTTCTGTTTTGTTTATTATGCCACGTAAAACATGTTTTCTTTTTTTATTCTCAGATATACAAATAGCCAAATAGAATAATATCTGCAAGTTAACCGTAATTTTAAATTCTCCAGGGAACGAGCTTTTTGTTTTCAGGAAAATTGTGCTAAATGCCTTTGTAAAGCAGTACTCATCTTGATTTACCTGTTTTTGAAAGTATGAACTTATTTATACTAATGTATAATTGCACTTTTCTTGGAGACAGCAGCCAGCATGGCTACTCTGACAGCTGCTTTAAAAGGGGGCTAATCCTAAGTGCTGACAGGTAGCACTGCAATAGTTCGGCATCTCAGAGTTTGGAGATCTCTGACACTGTCATGATAAGGAAACCAGAGGAAAAAATGGGTGAAGAGTCTGACATGATTCCATATTTATGTTTCTTCCTGTGACCCTGTCCATTATTCCTAAGCAGGTTAAAGGACAAGGCTTACTTACTTGAGGCAAAATTCATAAAGGGAGAAAAGGTCAGCTTGTCCAAAAGCTAAACGGGCCATGATAACCAGGAGTTTCTCTGCTGAATCTTGGATAGGCTTGCCTTCTCACTGAAAGAGAGATAGATATGTTTACCCTATTAAAACATACTCTCTTAAAGACTCTCTTAAAGGACTTTAAAAAATATATACCTGTTTTTGTCCCATTCTCTTATTCAGGACTCTTTGAATTATCCCAAACATGCAGATAATTATTCCATGTATCAATGGGATCATCGATGAAGAAGAGATTATGAGTGAAAAATGAATACAGAATTATAAAACTTTCAAAAAACCCAGCAAAGTTTAGGAAGATTAAATGCAAAGTGAGAATGAAGGGGCTCTTCTGTCTTGCCCTCTGCTAGCCAAGAAATTGGTGATGCACCTCTAGCTTCAATTGACCTATTTGTATCTGTATATGAAGGACATATTGGAGTTACACTGAAGTGCTGTATAATAAAATTTTAAAATCTTTTGTTTTTACTTTTATTTTTCGGTAGTGATAGATGCACAGATCTTTCCTATCTCAAACCCCCTTCCAAAACCTAAAAAATTTCTTTATACTTTCGCTTTTATAGTTTAAGTGGATTCAAGTTTCCCTGCTAGTAAAGCTTGAACCTCTAGAGCCATCTTGCCACTTTGTTCATTTACAATCAAATTGGACCAGGGTTATGAAGCATTTCCTCAGTGGCTTAACTGGGTGACGATGTATTTCTCCTTGTCCCTATCATGTAATTTCAGCCCTACATTCTCTTAAGGGCCAGAGTCAATTCCTCCTGCCAAGTCTAAAGTGGCCAGGTGGCAACCATATGTTAAAAACCATATGATTTATCCACCTTGTCTCCTGATAGAAGGAGACCCCCTCTGGTAACTAGGTCCTATATAATGACAGAGAACGAAGTTGTAGGGATGGGGAGTACAAATACTCCAGTGGAACACTGAGAGTGGTAATAAGTAGGGCCACACCTACTTCCATTCCTTGGTTCCCAGACTCATGTATTTTATCTACTGGGGGCACAGTACCATGGGATAGTCATGAATTTAGGGTATATACTTCTTTCTGAATTATGAGACTTCTTTCTATTAGGGTATCATTTATAACCTGGTACTTGAAATATGCCTTAGAAGGGTATATATATGTATATGCAGATTGGAATTCTCTGGGCTTTGTTGTGATAGGAATAGTAGAGGAGTCTATAAGGTTAAATTGTAAATGGTGTGTACTTCCATGAGTCCAATGCTGCATCTCCACTAAGATGAAGTAGACCGCTTGGTCTAAAATTATGTGGGTGGGAAAGGTAAACATATCAAAAATCATGTCGATTCTAATTAAAATAAAACATTGTTCTTTCTAGAGCAGAAAAAGTCCAATGTGATCAATCTTTACCAAGTGGCTGGTCCATCTTCTTGAAAGCTGTTGTATCAGGTGCTCAACCTTTGTCTCAGCTGCTGGCAGATTGGGTATTTGGCAGCAGCAGCACCTAGATCAGACTTGGTGAATCTTACTGGGAAGGCTGTCCTCAACCTTCTAATCATCCATTATTTCTTTTGCTTGTATAAATTAAACAATCTCTGTGGAGCAGTGTGCATCTTCTTGCCTCTAGGAACTGCATTCTATTAGCCATCTCCATAGCTCTAAGTTAGGCCTCCATGGCTGCCACTCCAATGTTGCAACTTATTATGGTAATTGCATCCACATTGTTTCTGATAGTTAAACACTACTACCTAACCTCAATTGTTTTTGGTATCCTATTATTGCCCTTGTTATCAGAGCCTAGTCCTGTAACGTACCTGATATATAGATGATAGGTATCACTGAGATACTCAACAATGTTGTTCAGAATCTCACAATGACCTTACTTATCTCACTGGTGAATGGTGTGTACTCCCATGGAATATTCTTGGCTGATAGGTTTTCTGGCATTATATAGTATATTCACTCTAGTACATCTACTTCTCTGAGACTTATTATCCCTTTCTCTACCGTTTTCCATACTATTTCTTAGTGCAGACCATGAATTTTCAACCTTTTAAGAATTACTCTCGTTTTGTGTTAACATGCCTCCTATGGGTCCTTGCCAGGTGTTAAATTTAATATCACTGGAGAAGGAATGTATCCCATAATGATACATTCTCCTCTGTTTAACCTCGTATACCTCTCCATTGATGTAGCACTGACTGAATCCAGTCCATATGTGCTTTCCCAATTCCTACTTGTGCATACCTATTGGTGAGGTCTTACAGCTTCTTCAATATATAGCCTTTCTCCTCTCTTAACAGACCCTGCCATTTCTCAGCTGGAGAATGCTATGACTTTACTCTAGTTGTTGGTCTGGAGGTCCAGGAGGTTGTTTGTGGTAGATCTTCATGGTGGATGCAAAGATTTTCCTACAAGTAAGAAGCCTCCATATTGTCTTCAAGCAAGGATGAAGTGCTAGCCCCAACAAGAAGGAGAGGGTGACTTTTGCAATCTTAGAGGATTCAGGAGAATCTAGGGATCCAAGAGTTTCAGATGAATTAACCCAGATGTCCTATCCCGTGACTCACAGTCCTGTTTTTCCTAAGGCCTTGGCCTTGGCAAATCCAACCTGCCCAAGCTGAGAATTCAACCTTCTCTAGAGATTTATAACTCTTATGATTAATTCCTGGACCTGGTGCTCAGCTTTTTCTGAATCTGTGGCAAGAGGGAAGAATCTATATGGTGACATTGGAGGTCTGTTGTCTTTCAAGTCAGCTTTACATTAGTAATTAATCACTCTTCACTTTTGTTGTCTTTCTGTACTGCATCAAGAGGCCCTAGCAACAGTTACTGTATTCCAGAGTATGAATCACTTCTTCCCCTGAACCTCTCAAATACCTGAGATAGAGTATGTATGCACTAATTCATTCCCTTCTACTGATATCCCATCCCAGTCTACTGCCAGTGAAAACGTTAACAATCACACTGCTATAATACACCACGGACTATCCATTTTCTACATAGCATCAGTGATTAAGTCCTCATTTCTAGTCTAACTGAGGACATAGATAAAATATCTTATCTGGAGTCACTTCCTCAGTGCTTCCTTGCTATCAATTTTCTTAGGTCAGATTCCCAGGGAAGTAGGCTATGAGACAGAGAAATATACGCTGAACTTCTTTTGGATTAGGTAGAGGGAAAAGCTGAGCTGCAATGCATTTGCAATAGAGTCTTTGACCAATCTCACAGGAAACTCTGATGCCAATATGGTCCCTGTATTAAAGCAAGGGGTTCAAGCAATTGAACTCCCACATCCATTAGTCATTGGATGTATAAAGCAGCAGAAGAGAGAGAATGAGCACTTGACCGTGAACCTCTCTCAGGGAGTGAGTCAACTATGAACTCTTGGCAGCCAACATAACATTTTTGAAAGTTGAAGGGATGAGTGACTTAGTCCTGAAGGGGGTATCTGTGTGGCACGTTATGGCTGTGCCACATCATGTCTTTCCATTCATTCTGAGAGAAGGTGAGGATGGGAGGCTGGAATGCAAAGATTATGGTTGGCATTACATTGACTTGAGTATCAGGGATATTCAGAAAGTGTATGCACTGTGGGGTACCTCTTCCATGTCCTTCTTCCTCCAAAGACACAAAAGTTTACTCAGAGGATATTCTAATTGTTATTGTTGTTGTGTTTTTTTAATCTGCAACGTTTTAGAAAATAGCAGATTGTGGTCCCACGATCTGTGGTGTCAAAGATAGTCTCTCTAATTTCCTACAACATTCTTCTGGGTCTTTGCTTTATAGCTGTAGTCAAGGCCTCAATAATGGTCTAGGCTATGTAAGGGGAATGGACAAACACAGGTATAATTGGGGCCCTATTCTTAATGTAGTTTTATTGAAGAGAGAGATTTTACCTTCCTTTGTGAGAAGGAGCTTTTGATGGATAGACATTGTATATTTTTACCCCTGTGCTTATTATAGGTATAAAAAATTTCATATTACCTTCTTAATTTCTTCCTATTATTTCAATTACACCAATACTTGGACTTGCTATAGATCAAGTTATTAGCTGTATCTTTTGTGATTATTTATTCTCAGAGCTTGCTGATACTAAGCATGTTTTAGTTTTAAACAGAAGAGACGTTACACGTATAATTTGGTATCCCACAATAAGAATATCAAATTTTTAAAGAACTGGACTTGATATTTAAATTCCTTACTGGCAGCATGTATTACCTATACTTATATGGAACGTACTCTATCTTTGCAGAAAACTTTAAAAGATGTCTTGCTATCAGGTATTTTGAAATAATTTATTTATGGATTTACTTAAAGAGCACCTTAAGATACAGGAAAATGAAATTGCAGCTCTCTTTAGTGTGATGCTAATTTAAATTTTAATTATAAATGCCACACCCATTTCACTTGAGTGCCTTGAAGCATAAGTAATGGGCTTTTATCCAAGAATTAGAATCAAATGAAGTTCCATTGTGTGAAGAGAATCACACTAGATCAAATACTCTAAAGAGGAAAAGAGGGGAGGATTCTAATTCTGTAAGCATCTATGTTCTAGTCTGTTTTCTCCCAGTGCAACATTCATTAAAACTTAAAATTCTTACTTTTACTACAAAAGAAGGATGAATTTAGAGTTTTGCACAATTAATGAAGGGAGAACAGCTTGGAAGCCATGTCAATAGTCAAGTGTAAATCTGTGTGGTGAGGATTAATTGAATGTGTTTTTTAATGTGTATAGTATAGTGTCTGAAATATTGCAGAACTTATATAAAAATGTTTAATATTTTTAGTATTTTTAAAATAAAAAAACAAGATAATGACCTCAAGGGAACACTGATGAGGGCCTGAACTAAGGTGGTAGCTCTGGGAATGGAAAAGAGGTAGGAGGTATGGGAATGAGAGAAATTGTGAAGTTAAGGTTCATAAGATTTAGAAACTGGTTAGAGATGTGTGACAAAAAGATGGAGGAATGAAGGGTGAACCTGGATGTCCAGTGTGTATAATTAGGATAATATTGCTTTTGTATATAAATATTCTATGAGAAACTGAGGTGACATTATAGTTCATGCATGAAGATAAATTTGAAAATATTAAATTTGAGATGTTAATGGTTATATAGACCCAACTGGTCAACAAACAAATAGGAATTAATGCAAAGAATAGAAGATAGATGCAGACATATTGATTTGGTAGTTAGAAGAAAGGGGAAAAAAAGTCTGAAAAGAGCAGAGGGGCCAGTAAAGGACTTTGTTAGGGCTTCTTTGTAAAGAAGGAAACCTACTTAAATTGGTATCTTACTACCCTTCAGATAAAACTCTCATTAGCCCCAGTCTTCAACCTAGAAATCAATCAGAAAAAAAGGCAGCCCCTCCCTCTGGGGCCATCTGGTCTCTTATTTCCCCTCTTGTTCCTCTTGTCTACATTCTTTGCCCGCCCACCCCACCCCCCTGAAAGTTTTTTCAATGTTCAACTTTTACAAGGTTTATACTTGACTGCTTAAGTAAAAACTTTGTCACTTTCTTGTTGAAATGCCTACAAAGGCCTGATGAAAGACTTCATGTTCTCTCTCAAGTTCCCAAGAGAGAAACTTTCTGGACGAGTCTTAATCATGTGACCACCCAGATAGAAGTAGCTGTGGTCAGAGAGAGGCTCCAGCAGGTCCCATTGTCGTGGAAGTAAATAGACTGATTTAAAGAATGCCAAGTAGTTAATGGTTTCAGATGCAGTGATAGGTTGGAGAAGATTAAGATTTTATACAAATACTTTTTATGCCCAATAAAAGAGAAATTTCAGTAGAGTACTGAGGCTGGAACTGGATGGTGAGAGGTTGGAGATGAAAGGACTCGTGGAGAAGTAGAGAGAGAGAGGTTTCCATGATGCTTTTCAAGAGTTAGGTGGGAGGTGCAGTAGCTGGAGGAGGTAATGCTATGGAAGGACGGCCGAAGGCTCTTGTTCATTTGTTTGTTTTTTGTTTACAACATGGAAGATATAAATATGCTTATTGCTTAGGCTGGGTGGACCAGTAGGGAAAAGAGACTGAAGATGTGAGCAAAAGGAGAGATAACATTCCTAGAGGTGGTGAGAAGTGATTCCATTAAGAGAACAGGAAGAGATGTGATCCTTGGAAAGGAAGAATTCTTGCATATTAGAGATGTACAGCAAACATACAGTACTGAAACACGTATCTTTTTGAATACTTATTGTAATTTTGTTCCAATTGTGTGACAGTGAAGCTTTGGACAACTTCAGTTCGTCTTTAATCAAGAAGACGTTTCTGTATCAGGTAGAGGATTTCCAAGCAGGTTTAAGAGGTGAGGCCTGGTCTTTGCGGTAAAGATTAATGTCAGAAGAACCTTTTATTTCTTTAACACACTGCTTAGGCCCTTATGTCTTTGATTGCAGGGTTGAACCACTTTTTCTGTATATATTCGTATTTTATTATTTAGATATTTTTATTGGAGTACAATTTACAGTGAAGTGCATATATTTTAAGCTTACAATTAAAAGAATTTTTAAAAATGAAAACACTTAACCACTCTAAGATATAGAGCATTTCTATCACCCTAGAAAGCTTTCTCATATCCCCTTCAAGTCAATCTCCACTCTTCATAGCCAACCGTGTTTCAGATTTTGATTATCATAAATTATTCTTGCTTTGAACTTAATATACATAAAATCATAGAGTATGTATTCTTTTGTGCCTGGTTTATTTTGCTCAGCATAATGTTTATGAATGTCACATGCAGTAGTGGTTCATTATTCAAATATACCATAATTTGTATATTCATTCTCCTGATGGGTTTTTTTTTTTCATTTTTTGGCTATTATGAAAAAAGCTATCAGAAAAAATCTTATACACATTTGTTTGTGAAAATATGTTTATTTCTCATGGGTGAGTACTTAAGAATAAAGTTACTGAATCATAGGGTGCATGTAGGCTTAACTTTGTAAGAAATTAGCCATTCCTAAGGTGATTTTATTTTACATTGTCCTCTGCAATGTATAAAAGTTTCAGTTGCTCCATATCCCTTCCATCATTTGGTGTAACCAGTCTTTAGAAATTTTAGCCATTTTCATCTGTATGAAATGATATCTCATTTTGATGTTTTTATTTGTATTTTCTTTATAATTAATGCTGTAGAGTACAGTTTTATGTGCTTATTCGTCATTTGAACACCTTCCTTGGTGAAGTGTTTATTCAAGTCTTTTGACCTTTTTTGTTTATATTGTATTTTTATTGTTAATTTTTTGGGTTGGTGTGTGTGCATGCATGTGAGTGTGATACAAATCAGATGTGTGCATTGCAAAGTCAATCTGTGACTTGCCTTCTTATTTTGTTAATGGTTTTCAAAGAAGACAAGTTTTTAATTTTGATGAATTCCAAGTTATCAAATTTCTGTTTTATATTTAGTGCTTATTTATACTTCTAAGAAATTTTTCTATACCTTTAGTTTGCGTTAACATTCTTTTATATGTTATACTCACAGCATTACAATTTTAGTTCAGCTGAAATTAATTCTGTATGCAGAATTATCTACTTTTCTTGTGTTTATAAAATTGTTCCAGGATCATTTATTGAAAATATCCTAATTGAATTTTTTGTACCTTTGTAAAAATTAAAGTTATCTATACACATGTGTCTATTTCTGGACTTTCTTCTATTCCAATTATTTCTTTTCTCTAGTTATATCAGTATCACTACTACTGCAGCTGTTAGTAAATTTTGAAATTAGGTAGTGTTAATCCTCCAATATTGTTTTATTTTATTTTATTATTATTATTTTCTTTTTGAGACCATCTCACTCTGTTGCCCAGGCTGCAGTGAAGTGGCACAATCTTGGCTCACTGCAACCTCCACCAGCCAGGCCCAAGCTATCCTCCCACCTCAGCCTCCCTAGTAGATGGGACTACAGGTGTGCGCCACCATGACCAGCTAATTTTTGTATTCTTTGTAGAGACAAGGTTTCGTCATGTTGCCCAGGCTGGTCTAGAATTCCTGGGCTTAAGTGATCTTCCTACTTTGGCCTCCCAAAGTGCTAGGATTACAGGTATGAGCCACCACTCCTGGCCCAATCTTGTTCTTTTTATAGAGTGTTTTAAGTATTCTAGAATCTTTCCATTTCCATATACATTTTAGCATTTTATTTCCAAATTCTCAAAACCAAATATACTGGGATTTTGTTGTGGTCTATTAAATCTATAGATCACTTTGGGGAGAACTGATATATTAACGTTGAATTTTTCAACTTATGATCATATATTATCTCTTTAGTTATGCCTTAATTTCTTTCAGCAATATTTGTAGTATTCAGGAAAATATGTCAGTAAATTTTTTCTAAAAATTTTATGATTTTGATGTTATAATTGATTTTTTATCTTATTTTTCAATTTTTTACTGCTAGTAGTGAGAAACATAATTTATCTATACTGAGCTTATGTTCTGTGAGCTTGCCAAATTTAGTTTTCAGCTTTTATACTTATTTTGAAGATTCCTTAAGATTTTCACATAAATACTCATGTCAACTGTGGAAAAATGCAATTTAATTTTTTTCCTTTCTAATACTTTTGATTTCATTGTTTTGCCTTATTGACCTATCTAAATCCTCCAATTCAATGTTAAATACAGGTGGTGAGAGTGGATATACCAAGCTTAATCCCTATCTAAGAGAAAGCATTAAATATTTTGCCTTCAATTATAAGCTCATATGTAGATTTTGATTTTATTAGATTGATGATGTTTTCTTCTATTTTGCTAAGAAATGTTTTATGGCATAAATGGGTGTTGAATTTTGTTAAGTGCCTTTTTTTTCTTTACATGTACATAAGTGATTATATGCTATTTTTCTCCCTTTTTTAATGTGTTCAATTGCATGACTGATTTTCAAAAATTAAATCAGCCTTACATTCCTGGAATAATTATGCTTGATCGTGATCTATTAATCTTTTTACACATTTCTATATTTTATTTGCTAATGTTTTGTTAAACATTTTTCATCTACGTTCATGAGGGATACTAATCTGAATTTTTTCTTCTCTTGTAACATTTTTGTCAAATTTTGAAATCATGGTTTTGTGGCCAAATAAAGCAATTGGACAGTGTTCTTTCCTCTTTTCTGAAAGAGTTTGTTTCAAATTAACACATTTTTCCTTAAAGGTTTCTAGAATCCTCTAGTTTAAAAATTCCGCCTGGAGCTTTCTTTATGGAAGATATTTGATTACATATGTATATGTAAGATATCTATATATATAAATCTATTCTCTCATACATATAAAATATACATAAGATATATATACATAGAGAAAAATTCTTCCTTAGTTTTTATAATATGTGGTTTTGAAGGAATTGATATATTTTATCCATTACTGAATTTATTGACATAAAGTTTGTACAATATTCTCATTGTCGGTTTAATATCTGTATGATTTGTACTTATATTCTGTCTTTCAGTTCTGATATTGGTAATTTGTATTTCTTATTTTCTTCATCAATTTTTATTACCTATTTGTTAACTTCTGGGTTTTTGTCATTGACTTCTTCTCTTATTTTTGTTATTTTCTTCATTCCACTTGCTATGTATTTAATTTGCTCTTTTTTTGACAGCTTCTAAAGGTGAAATTTAGATGATAGATTCTTAGATTATTTAAACCTATAAATTCATGTTTAAGCACTGCCTTTAGCTGTGTCCCATACATTTTGGTATGTTGTTTTTTTAAATTATTCATTTCAAAATATTTCAGTTTTGGGGGGTTTTGACCCATGGATTATTTAGAAGAATGTTGTTTAACTTTAAAAGATAGCTGTGGAGATGGAGTGTTTATAGATATTTCATTCTTATTGTTTTTTAAATGTCTTTTATTATGGTCACGATATATGCTCTGTAAGATGTTAGTCTTTTGAAATATTTGAGGCTTATTTCAAGGACCAGTATGTGTCTTGGTTAGTGAGCTCTGTGCATATGAATAAAGCATATCTCTTCTACAGTTTTTGTATGTAATGAGTATGTGATATTTTGACAGAAAAATTAGATGACTTCCATATTTTCCTTACTTCAAAGACAGCTAAATTGCTTGAGACAAGCAATTCTGAGGGAGAAGTTTTAAGTTAGAATGGAGTATGCCTCCTAAAATAGAGTCTTAAAGAATGATTCAAAGACTTCAAGAAATGTCATAAAGATATCAGAGTCAAGAACAGCATCGGGTTATAATAAAAAGAGTCAATTTCCACAAGCCAAACTAAAACTACTGGATTTTAGTTTTGTGCCCTTAAGCAAGTCAAGTAACCTCTCCAAACTTTGATCTACTGAAGATAATGACACCTCCCTCCATGGCTAAGCATTGTAACTATTCTTGGAATCAAGCCACAGAATATATATGAACATGTTTTGAAAACTAAGTCAAATGAAAATGCAGGTGGTGATATTATTATACCATTACATAGCATAAATCTATAGTTAATTTTAGTAAAATCTAAGAGTAAAACCAATTTTAGATGATCTATCAAGTGGTTTTAACATTGCTAAAATTCATAAGTCAGCCTCTTGTTCTTCACAGAGGTCTTAGAAAATCACATTAGAAATCAGTCTGAAATTGCCACTAATTACTAAACCCAGTGTGTTGCTTTTAAGGATGTTCTTTTGGCATTAGAGTGAATTTATGGACAGATAGAATGTAATAAAACTAAGCAAAATGAGTTAGCAACACCTAATCATATATAAAGAATACTTTGTGAACAGATTTTTGTTTAGACACTCGAGGTGCGGCACTCTTTAGACTTCATAAATTAGACTTGTGGACATCTAATCAATGTACCAACTTCCCAGCAATATTCCTAGTTTCTTGTTATACGTATATTTAATGTAATTTTAGCAAAGGACATATTTTTGGCCAAAATACTTCATTTTGTAGGCAACACTTAGAGAAATACAAAAAAATTTTTTTAGTTTGAACCTTACTCTTTCGTAATGTGTGATAATTTTTACATCTTAGGAGGGTAATAGATTTGTATTAAGGACAAGATAACCCTTTTCCTCTTCCACCCTACTAACATTTAGGTCAAGTTCTGTTTGTAGCTGAGCAGGTTGGTGATAGTTCATGACAGGTTTTGATAAATTTATTACTTTTTTCCAATGAAAAGTCATTAAAGAGCTATTAACTATCAGACACCCTGGTACATTGCTTTGGGAAAATTGAGGCAAAAATGAGGGATTATATTGCCTCATGTTAGATCCTATAATACATGTCATACAGTATAGTAAGGGTGTTTGTATGCATTGGAGAAGGTATCTGTGATGATCAAATGAGCCTGTGACACAGATGGAGGAGTGCATTAGCTCCTGTCTGGGAATTTAAAACACTTTTAACTGCATGTAACACTATAGATTTTTATCGTCCTCACGAACTTTCAAAATTAGTGTGAAATTTACTATACCTTAAAAAATAGACTAATGCAACTGAGCAGCTTGCATTAGTCTAAATGAACCCCAAAGAGCGTCTGTGTCACTGTGGTGATTTCTTGGCTGACCTGCAGTCAGTAAACGAGTAGGGGTAGAGGAAGGGTCTGCTCAGATGGGAATCGTATTATTTAATAATAATGTTAACATTTTTAGTACTTTTGATGTTGTGGGCACTTCTCTAATTATTTCTTATTTAGTCATTATAGCAATATGAGGAAGGTGGTACCATTATCTTATTTGTTAAATGAGGAAACTGAGAAACAGAGAGATTAAATAGTTTGCTCAAAGTGCTCCGTGGGGACACGGCACAGCCATGATCTAAAGTAGCCAATCTGACTTAAGTCTTTCCTCTATACCTTCCCCCACCCACAGGGGATGATAGAGCTCAGGTGGGCACCAAATGACACACATGACTCCGTCCCATCAAGGATGCAAATGCTCCGTGATTTAACTGATGTTATCCCACTTGAACAGTATGATGCGGTATGGTTTGGTAACCATACAGAAATTATTCAAATCAGCCAGGCGTGGTGGCTCACGCCTGTAATCCCAACACTTTGGGAGGCCGAGGCGGGTGGATCACGAAGTCAGGAGATCGAGACCATCCTGGCTAACACGGTGAAACACCGCCTCTACTAAAATTACAAAAATATTAGCCGGCGTGGTGGCGGGCACCTGTAGTCCCAGCTACTCGGGAGGCTGAGGCAGGAGAATGGTGTGAACCTGGGAGGCGGAGCTTGCAGTGAGCCAAGATTGCACCACTGCACTCCAGGCTGGGTGAAAGAGTGAGAATCCATCTCAAAAAAAAAGAAAGAAAAGAAAGAAATTATTCAAATCCTAACTGTATGTTTGAGTAAGTCTCGAGTAAGTCGCTTAGAAGCTCTGAGTCTAGCTTTTTTTTTTCTCTTCTGTCTTTAAAATGAGAATAATATTTTACCTTGCGGGGTTGTTTTCAAGATACAGATTAATCCAAATAAGAGACAGAGTAGACCTTAGGAGACACAGAGGAGCAGGTAATTTGTTCAAATAGGAATATGGCTCCTTGCCTTGGTATAGGACACTCGGGTGGTAATGTGTCAAACGTGGTGGGACAGAAGACGTGAGAAACATTTCAGCTAATGGAAGCTTTTGCTCTAGAATAGCAGTGGTCCTCAATGGCCTTCCTTTATACAGCTTAACTCTCCATCAATAATTCTAACAAATGTCAAAATTACTCACAGGATTTACTTTCAGAAATCTCTTTTAATCTCAAACAGTTTCCAATTCCAGAAAATTACAGACATTGAGTGTAGAGAATCAAGGTAAAAGTCAAATTATTTAAGGACAGAGTTAGATTGCCCTATCAAAGAATGTTGGGCACAGTGGGAAGGTGCCAAACCCTGGGATGTGATTGCTATAGAGGAAAGGCAGCACAGCACAGAGGAAAGAATAGTGAAGTCGGGGTAGGAGGCCTGCGTTTTTGTTCCAGCTCTGCTGTATGAACTAAGGCAAGTGTTTTGACCTTCCCAGCTTTCCTTTTCATGCTGTGTACAATTTGAGGATCAGTGCTGTTCAAACTGCACTCCCCAACCTCAACGACTCTGTAGAGGGTTTCTGAAGGCCGCAATTTTTGTGGAAGCAGTGAAGTGGGACTCTAACCCTGCTGCCTGAATTCAGCTAAAGGAGCTCTGCTTTTTCAATCATATTGAGTTTCAACATCTTATTTTGTTGGAAAAAAAGTGGGAGGGGGCTTGTTTCTGAGGATAAAAATCAAAACAAAACAATACCTTATAACAAAAAAACTCATCTTTGAAATGTTAGAATTCTAAGTTGCTTATCTGTAAGCCAGGGTACCTGTATTCTGCTCTCTGTGCATGTGATTAGGAAAATGTTGCAAAGATTGAAAAAGCAACAGTGCTTATCATCATGTAGCTGGGAATGGGGTCGGGCCATGCCAAGATAGTAAACAGGCAAAGCTTATTCAAGGTTCCTCAGTAGCTCATTTCTGGAATACCCTCTTACCTGTCCCCTTTGAAGGTGGACTGTTCCCATTCTCAGACTTTAATTTTTAAAAAATTGTTGTGAGTGCATAGTAGATGTATATATTTATGGGGTACCTGAGATATTTTGATACAGACATGCAATGTGTAATAATCACAGTGAATAGGGTGTCCATCCCCTCAAGTATTTATCCTTAGTATTACAAACAATCCAGTTATACTCATTTAGTATTTTAAAATGTACAATTAAACTCTTGCTGACTATAGGCCGGGCGCGGTGGCTTAAGCCTGTAATCCCAGCACTTTGGGAGGCCGAGGAGGGTGGATCACGAGGTCAGGAGATCGAGACCATCCTGGCTAACATGGTGAAACCCTGTCTCTACTAAAAATACAAAAAATTCATTGGCATGGTGGCAGGCACCTGTAGTCCCAGCTACTTGGGAGGCTGAGGCAGGAGAATGGTGTGAACCTGGAAGGGGCAGCTTGCAGTGAGCCGAGATCCTGCCACAGCACTCCAGCCTGGGCGACAGAGTGAGACTCCATCTGAAACAAACAAACAAACAAAACAAACAAACAAACAAAAAAACCAAACTCTTACAGACTATAGTCGCCGTAGTGTGCTATCAAATATTAGATTGTATTCATTATTTCTATTTTTTGTACCCATTAACCATCTGCATCTTCCTTCTACCTCCCCGTTACCCTTCCCAGCCTCCAGTAACCATCCTTCTACTTTCTATCTCCATGAGTTCAGTTGCTTTGATTTCCAGATCCCACAAATAAGTGAGAATATGCAATGTTTGTCTTTCTGCGCCTGGCTTATTTCACTTAACATAACTCCAGTTGCATCTATATTGTTGCAAATGACAGGATCTCATTATTCTTTTTACGGCTGAATAGTACTTTATTATGTATATGTACCACATTTATTTATCCATTAATCTGTTGATGGACACTTAGGTTGCTTCCAAATCTTGTCTATTGTGAACAGTACTTCAACAGGCATGGGATTGCAGATATCTCTTTGATATAAGGATTTCTTTTCTTTTGAGTATATATCCAACAGCAGGATTGCAGGATCATATGGTAGCTCTATTTTTAGTTTTTTGAGGAACCTTCAAACTGTTCTCCATAGTGGTTGTAGTAATTTACATTCCCACCAATAGTATACAAGGGCTTCCTTTTCTCAACATCCTCACCAGCATTTGTTATTGCCTGTCTTTGAGATAAATCCATTTTAACCGGAGCGAGGTATCTCATTGTAGTTTTGAGTTGCATCTCTCTAATGATCAATGATATTGAACACCTTTTCATATGCCCATTTTCCGTTTGTATATATTCTTTTGATAAATGTCTATTCAAGTGTTTTGCCCATTTTTAAATTGGATTATTAGATTTTCTTCCTGTAGAGTTGTTTGAGCTCCTTATATATTCCGGTTATTAATCCCTTGTCGGATGGGTAGTTTGCAAATATTTTCTCTCATTCTCTGGGTTGTCTCTTCACTTTGTTGATTGTTTCCTTTGCTGTGCAGAAGCTTTTTAACTTGATGTGACTCCATTTCTCCATGTTTGCTCTGGTCACCTGTGTTTCTGTGACTCAGGCTTCTTAATGTTCTCTCTACTCTCCCTCCAAGTCCTGAGGGATATCCTGATAAACCATTTATACCAAAGTACAATGTGCCTGATAAGCCTTAAAACCTAGGGGCCCAGTGGTGAGACTTGCATTTCAACAAAGACCAAAATTTTAAATAAAAGAAATAAAGCTCTAATAATAAAAACTAGTATAGATTATTCTTGAGTAGGGGAGTTCTTCAAACATACTACATAGGTCACCACCTATTTCCCTAAGATTGGTCCTCCTGGGCACAGTAGTATAGAATAGTGTTTATGAGAAAGGGCTCTAAAACCGGTCACGTTGGTTGCAATGCTGGCTGCATCACTTCCAAGCTATGTGGCTTTGGACTAGATACTCAGGCTCTCGTATTCTTCATTTGTAAAATGGGAATTCATAACAGTATCTACCACAAGTTTACTATCAAACATTAATGTAATCTATAAAAAGCACTCAAGACAATGCCTGGCATATAATAGACATTAAAAATGGAAAAACATATGTAAGAGCTGTTTGGTAAACAGCTTAGAAGAATAATTAAGGACTAAATATCATGGTTCAGACTATATAGACTGTAAGGACTATAATGAAAAGAAAAGATGACAAGTTAAATAACTTTTGTGGAAAACATGAGTCTCGATTTCTCATTTGAATGATTTGGAACAGATTAGGTGGAGGACATTCTAGACAGAGTGAAGAACAAGAATAAAACAATGGAAGAATACACGTGTGCATCCACGGTACCATGAAGTGACCTAGAGCAGAGGGTATACAATCATTCATCGGGAGAAGGAGGAGAAGAAAATGATATTTAAGGGAAATTAGATGGGATATTTAAGGGAAATTAAATCAATGGGAAGGTTTGAAATGGTGGAGGATATTACTTTAGGGGGCCGGTAAACTGCTGTAGTATTCTATGTCTAAAATAAGGAGAATGTAAATTATTATAGTAAAATAATTTTAGAGTTAGGCGATTTGGGCAACTACTTCAGCATCTCTGAGGCTCAACATTCAGCATTCCTGATCATAAACTGAGATACTATCCTTACAAGATTACCATGAAGATTATTTGAGATAAACCACACAAAAGGACTTTGTAGATCCTAAGTGCTATGGAAATATTAGTACTCAGTGCCATTGTTTACTCTTAAACAAAAGTAGCAGCAATGGGAATGAATAAAGTATGTATGTGGGTTGTAGTTGGGTGAAGAAATTCACAAAATAACTGATTAGCTAGAATTAAAGAGTATGCTTGAGTCATTTGACTTTCATTCTTGGGAGAAAGGGATCTTTCTGTTTGTTTTTAAAAAATAGTATATTAGCTTAGGATAAACCTTTTAATCACTTTCTGATTTGATCATTTTTGTTGAAATATTTTAATATTTACTGGTTTATTGCTTTTGCCTTAAAGTAAGGCAAAAAACTAACAGTTCCCCCAAACATTATTTAATGTGTTACTGTGTTCCAGCAATTCTCACTGTCAGAGTCATCCCTGTGATCATCAGTCACATTATATACACATCCTTTTACTCCTTCATGTGGAAAGGATATATAAAACAGGTATAAATCTTCATTGACCTGATAAAGACATTCTAGAGGATGCTTTTTAAAATTTAATCTTTAATATCAACCTATTTGCTCATCATCTGCCTTGTCCCAACTTGTTCCACCTCGACATGCTCCCCTTTATCAATCCTTGTGGCTCCTCACACGCTATTGGTGTATCTGGCTTGCCCTTCCATCTCCAGCTACTCTGGTTTTCTTCTTTGCTGTGTTTGGAGGAGCCTGCTTATAAAGTTACTTGGTCGGTGTGCTGCTCAATGCTGTTTTGCACAGGGGCCCTCTTGCTCAGTTGCACCTTTTCTGCACTTTGTGAGGGTTGCTTCCTTCTCTGTTGCAGTGATTCTGCCCTCCTACCTGATGGGAAGCTTCTTTGAGTCAGCTACTTTTCAAATCACCAAGAATTTACTGTTGAACAGATATGTGGTGAACCATATTTATGTATCACCCTTTTATGTATTTTGAAAGAATTTCTTTTAAATCAGCAATTATAGGGCATTTACTGATGAGGTGCTGTTGTATTGAAAAGCAGAGGCTTTCTTTCTATGTTCTTGTAGGAAAATAATTCTAATCCTAACACAGTCCAGGACACGTAACACAACTTAATGCAAATGAAGGAGCAGTTAAGACTAAGGTTATTCTATTAGTCTAGGATTAAGCAAATAACAGTAAAGAGAAAGTCAAAAAGTCAAGTGATTCAATAGCAAAGACATGGAATCAACCCAAATGCCCATCAAAAATAGATTGGATAAAGAAAATGTGGTACATATACACTATGGAATACTATGAAGCCATAAAAAGGAATGATGTCATGTTCTTTGCAGGGACATGGATGAAGGTGGAAGCCATTATCCTTAGCAAACTGATGCAGGAACAGAAAACCAAACACTGCATCTTCTCACTCATAAGTGGGAGCTATACAATGAGGACACGTGGACTCAGGGAGGGGAACAGCACACACTGGAACCTGTTGCAGGGTGGGTTGTGGGGAGGTAGAGCATTAGGAAAAGTAGCGAAATGTGTGCTAGGCTTAATACCTATGTAATGGGTTGACAGGTGTAGCAAACCAGCATGGCACACATTTATCTATGTAACAAACCTGCACATCCAGCCCATGTAACCCAGAACCAAAAATAACAAGAAAAGCCAGGTAATAAGCATATTTCTATACCAAAGACAGGAATACAGATCAGAATAAGGGCCAGTGAGACAAGCGTGAGTCCTGAGGCCAGGACTTGGGGAGGTGAACTCCTTGGGCTGTACCATAAGAGGTCCTGTCCCTTTGTCTTCTTTGTCTGTCTTGAAAGTTAACCTCTAAATATCCAGCTCACCTGGGTATTTAGTACTTTACTGCCTTTAATAAGGAACATAAAATACTTTACTGCATTTAGTAAGGAACATAAAATTGTTTGTTGATCTGAAAATGCTTTAACTTAATTCTGGTAATGATTTAGCAATAAATTTTTGACTGTTTAAAAGTTCATTATCTCCTTTAGCTCACTAGGGTATTAAATAGTTCTCTTAAAAATGAATATGTTAACATATCTGCAAAACATATTTCCCATTAAACACTAATATTAGTTTCCGAGTTTACACACTTTCTGTTCAAATCTGGGGTTCGGAGTCAAGGCTGTGTTTCATGTTAATCGCATGACCTTAAGCAAGTTTTCAGAAACTAAAGCTTGAGTCACTTTATCTGGAAATTAAAAATACTTATTTTTTACAATTATTGTGAGAATGAAATGAGATAAACTTTAGAAAATTGCATACACAGTGCTTGGTACATAGTAAATAATAATTGAATGTTATTACTAAGGCTTCCTATAACCGCATAGTCTATTGTTTTAATCTCTTTCAAAGACTTTCTTTCCAAAGTCTTAAATCTTATCCCTAAAGTTCATTAATGAAGACAATGTGTAGTTATTTAACTAAAGTTAAAATATCTAGAGAGTAAGTTGGAGCTTTGGAATTCAAGTAGTTGAGATGATGTTATCTTTGCGTTCACCCTCCAGCTACCTCTCATCTACCTTGAGTTTTTCCTGATTTGAGCTATTTTACTTTAAAAAAATGAACTTCAGAGAGAGGAGTAGGTATGTGGGTTTGTATGGGCTGGGTGTAAGGGTTTGTGTCAGTTACCACTGGTAACATTCACTTTACGTACAAATGATTGTTTCATAGACTCCAGGACTAGGACCAAACTACCTTTTTGCTTTGTTTAGCTGTGCAGTTTTTGGTTGTATCTCTTTATCTCTTTGAATCTCTTATCTCCTCATATAATAGGCATAATAATGCCTTTTTTAAAGAGTTTCTGGGAGGATTACGGAGATAATTTAAGTTTCTGAAACATAACAGGTGATCATTAAATGTCATCTTCCTTTCCTATCTCAGTCACTTGTCTGAAGGAAGTTCCACAGCTGGTATTTTGGACTCACCAACTCTTTCCCTAAAGCATCTATGGTTTTATGATGGGATTGTATCACACACACATACAGTAGGAGCTCAGTAACTAGGAAGGTGAGATTTCAATATTAGGAAATTGTTGCTGGATCATAGAGATAAAAGGTATCTTCCCTTTCACTTCTGACTGCTTCTTTAGAATGCTTTTGTTCTTCCTCTTTCATTCTCCAACCTAGCAGAATTCTTAGATTGCCCCCCACTATATCATAATTTTCACATCAGATACCACCTGATTAGTCTTCTGTAATTGCTTCTTGAACTTTTTCACTACTCTTCTCAGCACTAGTAATTAATATTTACTGGGCTTTGCTATCTTCTAGACATTGCTCCAAAAATTTACATGTATTAACTTATTTAAACCTTACAACTATCCTATGAGGAAATGCTATTTCTGTCCCAATATAATTAATGTACAAGATAAAGCAGTAGGAAAGTAATTTTCTTCTTCTTCTTCTTCTTTTTTTTTTTTGTTGAGATGAAATCTCGCTTTGTCACCAGGCTGGAGTGCAGTGGCGTGATCTCGGCTTACTGCAACCTCTGCCTCCCGGGTTCAAGTGATTCTCCTGCCTCAGCCTCCTGCGTAGCTGGGACTACAGGCATGTACCACCACACTTGGCTAATTTTTGTATTTTTAGTACAGATAGGATTTCACCAACTTGGCCAGGATGATCTCGAATTCCTGACCTCATGATCTGCTGCCTTGGCCTCCCAAGGAAGTAACTTTCTTATGACCACACAGCTAGTGTATCACAGAGTTGGGATTCCATTGCAGGTAATCTGGATCAAGGGACTGTGCTGAAAGCCAATAACCATTAGTGCCTACTCCTCAAATGGGATTTCTTAAATTTCAAAACTGTCTACCTTCTGATTGTATTTTGTCAATCCTCTGCTCCCCATCAGAGGCATCCCTCTCTGGACAAAGTGGATGCTTCTCCACCTTTGCACATGACATGAATGTCTCAGATGCTTCCCTTCTGCTCACACTGCTTCTCCTTCTCTGGATTGTGTAAGGCCCAGTGCAGCCAGTTTAGGCTTACTGGAACCTATATTGTTTATGTTTTAGTTCATGGTTTTATTACTTTCATTCATTTACATGATCACCTATCTGACAAACAGTATGAGTCTATTATGTATAAAGGAATATAAAAATTTAAAGTTAAATAGAATATGGCTCCTGCTCTTCAAGAGTTTATAGTCAGATAGGAGAGGCAGACATGCAGATAAAATATTTAACGTAAATAATTATGGTATTTTGAGAGTACAATGCAGGAGCACAGAGGAGGAAGTGCTGTATGCTGAGGAGGTAAAATGAGCTGATGTTGATCCTTGGCTGGGTCTCAAATATATAGATATTCTATAGATATTTATGAAAGAGACATGTGAATAGAGAGGGGAAGGGGAAAGGAATCGGAGGAAGAAGGAACAGCATGGAAAAAGGCCCTTTAGTGAGGTAAAAATATGGTAATCAGGGAACTGCTACTACTTCACCATTGCTGAGGCAGATGTGCTTATGGGAGTGACAGAAAATAAGGCTGCTAAAATAACGTTTCAAGAAGGAGGACATATATTTTTAATTGTATGAATTTTAGAAATTTAGGATTTGAAAAAAGAGTCAAATTATCATTAGGAAGACCACGTCGGATACAATTGCCATAGTCTAGATGAGAAATGACAGTGTTCCTTACTAAGGCATTACTATGTCACCTCAGGTATGAACATGGGATGGATGACACATGATCTAGAATGACTCCTGGGTATATGCTGTGGGCAAGTGGATGATTATGATGACATTATTGAGATTAGTAATTCAGGAAAATTGCTAGGTTCTGGATGGGGTTTAATTTGGGGCAACTAGGTGGAGATACTAAGTGGCTGAAATGTGGCCAATTCTTCGATAAAGAGTGGCTAGGAGAGAGATGAGCTCAGTTTGGGTGGTTGCTGAAATGGTTTTGGAGTTTAAACATAATTTTTACAGATAGTGAGGGCTGGATAATGAATGATATTCTGGCTAGAGAGGACATAAAAGTTACTGGGGCATGAAAGAGTGTGGAGCCCTTAGTGAATAACAGGTTGTTCTCTGTGGTTGGAATACGAGCAAGTGAGTTCGTGTGTGCAACTGTGGACACCTGTTCCTGAGTTTGCATTTGGTGGGCTTCATTTCGCATTGAACTTTCCCGCTCAAACTTTTTCTAACAATTGTTGCCTAGAACAGTAGCTTTGAACCAGTAATGCCAGTCAGGAAATTTAGATTTGAAAACATCAGAGGCATTAACAGAATTGCTACTTTGATTTAAACAAAAAGAACCATCTGTTTCTAAGTTTGGAAGACCAAAGATTTTGGATTGAGTGATGGGTAGAAAATTTTATTCGACTAAAATTAGTTTAAAAATAATTTATCTACCTGATTGCAGCTTAACTTTCCAAAGCCTTTTCTTCACAGGGAGATGTCACATAGGAGTATAAAAAATGCTTTTTAAATTAACTCAAAAGTAAATTTCTTGACATTTTTATTAGTAGAAAATAGGTCCTGGTTTGTGTTTGTGAATGAATACCAAATTGTTTCAGAGCAGAAGAGTTATACCCTGATAGTATTTGAAACCCAGAAAGACTTGGACTTCTTTAGAGTTCATCTCTTTCGCTCCATCTTTTCTCCTCCTCTTCTATGCTCCCCTTGTCTCTTGTGGAGCTTGGCTCCTGGCCAGAACATGTATCCCCAAATCCCCTGCAGAGCCTGATTGAAATGCAACTGGCAGATTTCCAAGTGGAGAGAGCTGATAAAAGAGCAGATTTCTGAGACAATCTGTAGTTTATGATGTGTTCTTTAATGAATTAAGTAGATTATCTTCCCAAACACATACTGGAATACCAACAAAGCCTTTTGACTGTTACTATTATTCTGGGTTACATTTCACTGATAAAATATTAAGTTCAATTCAACAAAACTTTGAGTTCCTACTAATATGAGGCCCTGTGCTGGCAAACCAGCAAAATTAAATGTAAACGTTATTTTCTTTTTCTTCACATAATTCAAGAAACTAGTCATCATAGAGATTATTTATTTATGTGGTCAGAAAAAGATTATTTGAATGAATCAAAAGAGGTTATATATATATAGATAATATTAATTTGTGAATTTTGAATATCTTGGATGTGAGGGGAATATACATAGATTTAAATCCTTACATTTGTGTAAGTAAACATGATATTAGGAAAGAAAGTAGAGTAGAAATGACTTTATGAAGTCAATATGGCTGTATAAATTGACTGTCGTATTACTCAATGTTTTCTAAATAATCATAATTACCTTTTATTACTATTTCAGTTGTGTCCACCCATAAATGATTTATCAAAAAACATTATAAACATAGTTATTGGTAGTGATTTGCTTTCAGTAGTTATTTTAAAAGTAAATTTACATTGAAATTCATATATTCTCCTACTTCCTCTGCAATTTTTCACACATTGTGTATTATGAATACTTTTGAAACGTGTTGGAAATGGAAGAAATCTAGAATTGAATTCTGATATTTATTTTAACATTCATTTCTTTTTAGACACTACATGGAGTTATGTGGAAATGAGAGAGATTCATGAAACCCCTCCTCCAGGAAAGAATGTCTTTCACAGATGGAGCTTTGCTTCTGGTTTGCACAGGACAGCGACAATGTGGCAGAGCCATGCCTGCCCTTCCTGCTCTTTCCAGTGATTCACAGAACTTCTGAACAGTGATGCTTGCCTTGGATTTTCAGGTTTTCATCCTGATACTTGTTTACTTTTCTGGGGCAGAAAAGCTTGCACTAATTGCTCTCCATGGTGGCTAATTTTTTCAAGAGCTTGATTTTACCTTACATTCATAAGCTTTGCAAAGGAATGTTTACAAAGAAATTGGGAAATACAAACAAAAACAAAGAGTATCGTCAGCAGAAAAAGGATCAAGACTTCCCCACTGCTGGCCAGACCAAATCCCCCAAATTTTCTTACACTTTTAAAAGCACTGTAAAGAAGATTGCAAAGTGTTCATCCACTCACAACTTATCCACTGAGGAAGACGAGGCCAGTAAAGAGTTTTCCCTCTCACCAACATTCAGTTACCGAGTAGCTATTGCCAATGGCCTACAAAAGAATGCTAAAGTAACCAACAGTGATAATGAGGATCTGCTTCAAGAGCTCTCTTCAATCGAGAGTTCCTACTCAGAATCATTAAATGAACTAAGGAGTAGCACAGAAAACCAGGCACAATCAACACACACAATGCCAGTTAGACGCAACAGAAAGAGTTCAAGCAGCCTTGCACCCTCTGAGGGCAGCTCTGACGGGGAGCGTACTCTACATGGCTTAAAACTGGGAGCTTTACGAAAACTGAGAAAATGGAAAAAGAGTCAAGAATGTGTCTCCTCAGACTCAGAGTTAAGCACCATGAAAAAATCCTGGGGAATAAGAAGTAAGTCTTTGGACAGAACTGTCCGAAACCCAAAGACAAATGCCCTGGAGCCAGGGTTCAGTTCCTCTGGCTGCATTAGCCAAACACATGATGTCATGGAAATGATCTTTAAGGAACTTCAGGGAATAAGTCAGATTGAAACAGAACTTTCTGAACTACGAGGGCACGTCAATGCTCTCAAGCACTCCATCGATGAGATCTCCAGCAGTGTGGAGGTTGTACAAAGTGAAATTGAGCAGTTGCGCACAGGGTTTGTCCAGTCTCGGAGGGAAACTAGAGACATCCATGATTATATTAAGCACTTAGGTCATATGGGTAGCAAGGCAAGCCTGAGATTTTTAAATGTGACTGAAGAAAGATTTGAATATGTTGAAAGCGTGGTGTACCAAATTCTAATAGATAAAATGGGTTTTTCAGATGCACCAAATGCTATTAAAATTGAATTTGCTCAGAGGATAGGACACCAGAGAGACTGCCCAAATGCAAAGCCTCGACCCATACTTGTGTACTTTGAAACCCCTCAACAAAGGGATTCTGTCTTAAAAAAGTCATATAAACTCAAAGGAACAGGCATTGGAATCTCAACAGATATTCTAACTCATGACATCAGAGAAAGAAAAGAGAAAGGGATACCATCCTCCCAGACATATGAGAGCATGGCTATAAAGTTGTCTACTCCAGAGCCAAAAATCAAGAAGAACAATTGGCAGTCACCTGATGACAGTGATGAAGATCTTGAATCTGACCTCAATAGAAACAGTTACGCTGTGCTTTCCAAGTCAGAGCTTCTAACAAAGGGAAGTACTTCCAAGCCAAGCTCAAAATCACACAGTGCTAGATCCAAGAATAAAACTGCTAATAGCAGCAGAATTTCAAATAAATCAGATTATGATAAAATCTCCTCACAGTTGCCAGAATCAGATATCTTGGAAAAGCAAACCACAACCCATTATGCAGATGCAACACCTCTCTGGCACTCACAGAGTGATTTTTTCACTGCTAAACTTAGTCGTTCTGAATCAGATTTTTCCAAATTGTGTCAGTCTTACTCAGAAGATTTTTCAGAAAATCAGTTTTTCACTAGAACTAATGGAAGCTCTCTCCTGTCATCTTCGGACCGGGAGCTATGGCAGAGGAAACAGGAAGGAACAGCGACCCTGTATGACAGTCCCAAGGACCAGCATTTGAATGGAGGTGTTCAGGGTATCCAAGGGCAGACTGAAACTGAAAACACAGAAACTGTGGATAGTGGAATGAGTAATGGCATGGTGTGTGCATCTGGAGACCGGAGTCATTACAGTGATTCTCAGCTCTCTTTACATGAGGATCTTTCTCCATGGAAGGAATGGAATCAAGGAGCTGATTTAGGCTTGGATTCATCCACCCAGGAAGGTTTTGATTATGAAACAAACAGTCTTTTTGACCAACAGCTTGATGTTTACAATAAAGACCTAGAATACTTGGGAAAGTGCCACAGTGATCTTCAAGATGACTCAGAGAGCTACGACTTAACTCAAGATGACAATTCTTCTCCATGCCCTGGCTTGGATAATGAACCACAAGGCCAGTGGGTTGGCCAATATGATTCTTATCAGGGAGCTAATTCTAATGAGCTATACCAAAATCAAAACCAGTTGTCCATGATGTATCGAAGTCAAAGTGAATTGCAAAGTGATGATTCAGAGGATGCCCCACCCAAATCATGGCATAGTCGATTAAGCATTGACCTTTCTGATAAGACTTTCAGCTTCCCAAAATTTGGATCTACACTGCAGAGGGCTAAATCAGCCTTGGAAGTAGTATGGAACAAAAGCACACAGAGTCTGAGTGGGTATGAGGACAGTGGCTCTTCATTAATGGGGAGATTTCGGACATTATCTCAATCAACTGCAAATGAGTCAAGTACCACACTTGACTCTGATGTCTACACGGAGCCCTATTACTATAAAGCAGAGGATGAGGAAGATTATACTGAACCAGTGGCTGACAATGAAACAGATTATGTTGAAGTCATGGAACAAGTCCTTGCTAAACTAGAAAACAGGACTAGTATTACTGAAACAGATGAACAAATGCAAGCATATGATCACCTTTCATATGAAACACCTTATGAAACCCCACAAGATGAGGGTTATGATGGTCCAGCAGATGATATGGTTAGTGAAGAGGGGTTAGAACCCTTAAATGAAACATCAGCTGAGATGGAAATAAGAGAAGATGAAAACCAAAACATTCCTGAACAGCCAGTGGAGATCACAAAGCCAAAGAGAATTCGTCCTTCTTTCAAAGAAGCAGCTTTAAGGGCCTATAAAAAGCAAATGGCAGAGTTGGAAGAGAAGATCTTGGCTGGAGGTATTCATGTTTAAATGCTACATTGTGAGCTAATTGTGTTTTAACATTGGGTAGCACTTCTTTAGAGCATGCTCTGTGTTTACTTGGGTGAAAGAGTTTACTTGCAATGACTTTCCATGCTTTACTCTGAGGAGCATTTTGTTTTACTCAGGCAGCTCTCCTAAGAAGTTGGGCTTGATGATTTAAAATCAAAGAATATGTTAAATGGGTCATATTGGAATGAGCCCAAACTTAACCCAACACATTGTGGATCAGATTTCTCTGCTAAATTTAGGCACAAACCCCATTTAACATCAACTAACTTTGTGGCATCAGTTGTCAAACAAAAGTTGAGTGAAACCAAAGGTTAAGCCAACAGCCTGGCATCTATTTCTTGGTTCCATTAAGTTTACAGGGATGGAGAAAAAGGTGTAATCTTAAAAAAAAATGTGAAAAGATGGACTCTGAGACTTAACCACTCATTTTCCTATCCATTCAACAATTTAGGGGTTGCCCATAGGAAAAGTTGTGTGTGCACAGGACAGTCCCATGGAAGACCATGGACTCCCTTACAACCTACTGGCACAGTCAGGGAGAGCAATAGAGCCAAGGCCCTAGGTCATGTCTGAGTGGTCACAAGCTATTCTTTGAGAAGAGATCAGTAAGGGGATAGAGTTGAGTGGTTACCTTCTTAAGAATAAAGTCCCTTCTCCACCATGGAAATGAGAAGAGTACCTTAACTAACTATTTTAATTGCTTTCTTGTGGGAACAACTTTGGATTATATACTTTTGGAAAGTGATAGTTATATGTAAATGTAAGAGTTTGTTTACTTTCTATTTCTCAACCCAACTTCCTCCGCACTTATTCCACTCCCTTACCATTTATTTTAGTTGCATGCTAATTACTTACATTTTTGGAATAGTCTGTTACTATCTAAATTTAAATGAATTGCATATTATTATTATGTTCCCTGATCATGGGATTGTCATCATTAATTAAGCTATTACTCTACATAATACTTCATAAAGGTGTATATGACCAAGTGTTACTTGCTATTATCAAATAACATAATAATATCTGCAGCCAGTAGCTGGTTATATCTTCTCTGTCTTGACCAAAGCTGTGATCAAACTCCCCTAAATGAGCCATTTTGTGGTTGATGTGAGTAGATTATTGAATAATCAGAAATCTTTACTGCTAAACTATTTGAATTTCTAAGACAACTGAAATAACTAGGGTTTGCCACTCTAAAAATCTATCTTTATAAAACAACACAGTTTATGTAATTTATTTAGGAATGATATAAGTCAAAGGGATCTTGAATGCACTGGCTGTTGCAACATTTTGTGTTTTTGTTTTTTTTGCAGGGATGGGTAGTTCTCAACTATATTTAAAACTGATTTAAGAGTGAAAAGTAGTCAAATGTTATGCAAATGTAATGCATATGGTAATAATATCTATCTTATATTGGAGTGATTTTTGAGAGTCGGATATCCTTGTTACTGAAATTCATTTGCTATTTCTTGGGATACAGGCCAGCAGTTTGACAATGTATTTTATTTGCTGTTGATTCAGAGTTTACTCAAAGGCAAATGAAGACTAAGAAGTGCATGAGCATGTGTGTGTGTGTGTGTGTGTGTGTGTGTGGTTTGTATATATCTGTTGTGACATAATAGAGAAATGTTTTAATGGCAGTTGGTTAATGTAGTTGCTTGAAATGTTAGGCAATATCATAAATAGGACAAGATGATACATTTCAGAAAAATGGATCTTCTTCAACTTCTAAAAATTCCAAATTAGCAAGCCTCTGCAAAGCAGATTGTTACTGATGGTGACCCTTCAGCCAGCTAACAAACTTAGTCATCCAGTGAGTGGCACTTAACCTTGGAATACACACATGCTCTTGGTTATCTATAGCCACCTGGTTAAGAATAAAACCACGGATAAAACAATCCTGTGCCATTTACCTGCATATGAGGCCTGGCTATAGAGGACTCAGACCCCTCCATCCTCTTGGAGCTTGGCTTCTTATTATCCTGTGAGCCAACTTTGAATGGAATCTGTTGGATATCATCTGTCCTAGAGGAAATCAGCACACACATCTTTAAGATGGTCTCTGGTTGCTGAAAGGTACCAGATTGACTACCCAGGAAGCTGCGGTAGCCTAGATTTTAAAGGCTATCTCTGCTCCCCTTGGCAGCAGTCAGGCAGTTTTCCCCATCCTGTGCCACCCATATGCCTCTGAAGGAAGGACAGCCAAAGAAGGACATTTTCCAGGCCCCTTTCCTGCTCAGAGCATCCCAAAGAGGTGCCAATTGTCATGATGGTTTCTGTTCCCATGGCCATCTGCTTACTGGGCTTTGGGAAGATGCCAACATATTTTTTCTCTCCATGGCTACGTAGTTATCACGAGGTAGCAGTGCTGTCTTTTCTCCATAAGTAACCTTAGCCAGATTGGAGTGCAGAGCTCTTGCTGTCAAACTGTGGGATGCTGTCTCTCTGACACAGCTTTATGGAATTATAAGCTCACACATTTGAATTATTTATTTCAACTGTTGTCTTCAGGATCCAGAGGACCAGAAAACTCCAATGTTTATAGATGTGGATATTTGATGATAATGTTTCAGAGAACTTTCCACCTTAAACAGCATTCCAGTAGGAAGAGACCTTAGAGTGTGTGTAGCCAGAAGCTTCCCCATGAGTCAAATTCTTCCATTGTTGCTGGCCCCTGCTGAGTTGGCACCATTTGTGCAGCTGTCTTGATTCCTACACCATGATGGTGACTCTCTGATCCCCCACCTTCAGCCTTGTACCACCTATCAACTGGAATTAACTATTTATTGTCTCCTCAAAATTCCCATGTACTTGCCTCTTATCACACTGACTCTCATATTTATGTGCATTTCTCATTTTCTATTCCAGAATAGTCTAGAGGCAAGTTGTCTTTTTTTTTAATCCTTTAACTTGTACTGTGCCTAGACCAGTGTTTTATACCCATATGGCATTGAGTTAATATGTGTTGGATAAATGCCTGAATCAAGAGAGGTGGGATACTAAATAAAAAAACACAAACTTTAAAGTCAAATCCAAATTCAAACTGTGGCTTTTAATCGCTAAGACTATGACTTTATCTCCTGAGAACTCAGAAGAATAGACATAAAAGCTTATTACTCAGAATTACTATATATTAGGCCCTTTCCAGGCTGTTTACCTGTTTTTCATTCTTTTACTTCTTATAACACCACTATTAATTTTATTTTATTATTATCCCATTTTACAGGTGAGGAAGCAGATGCTGAAAACTTACCTAGCTTAATGTCATTCAGCTAATAAGTGGTGGATCCAGAATTACATGGATTGTTACTTTGGCTATTTAGAGCAGCAGTATGCTTATTCACTTCAAAGGTTGTTTTTATTCAAGTTTTAAGTTGGAAAAACTGATAAGAGATGAAGAACAGAGTCAGCCACTAGGTTTAGTTCAACTCAGAGATATTCACGAGAAACCAGTATGAATATGAAAGGCACTAAGTTTCTGGGACTCTCAGGTTTTGATGTGAAATAGTTCATTCTCAGTGTTTCTACTTCAAATCCCTGGTTCATTTTATAAATCAAGATTTGTAGAGTGCAATAAATACTGTACTATAACAGCTGCTTGAAGGATGTTGTATTTGCAGTCTGATACACTTTACCTGAAATCAGAACCTGACGTCAGTTTGAAGTATTAATAGTTTTCCTAGCAGAAGACCAAAAATCTTGTTCTGAAAGAGACTGTGATATCGGAAATTAGCATACTTCCTAGTTTTTACATCATGTATATATTCTGTTTTCTGAATGGTTATAAAACTGTCAGAATATGTTGACTTCCAAGTAAGGATATAAAACTGAAGGTATTAAAATTTCCTAAGGTAGATACTTTGTTAGACTAGTGGTTCCTAATCTGGCTGGTTGTTAGAATCATCTGGAAAGCTTTTGTAGTAGTTGTTCCTGGGATGTTATTTTAAAATGACCAATTATTAGCATATTTTCACAGATTATTGTGACTTGGTGGTCCTACAACGGGGCCAGGCATATGCCTTTAAATTACACGAGTTACTGATGTAATATATGCCCTTTAATAAAACAACAGCAACAACCACACACACAATTAAAAACATAATAAAACAAAATCTAAAATGAAAAGTAAAAAAGCTCACCTGTGGACAGTCCAGGTCAGGAGGATGCAGTCTGGCTATTCAGATGCTCCCTTGACGGTTCTGAGGGATGTGATCATCAGAACACATTTGAAGAGCACTACTAAAAGCTATGTAGCAAATATACCTGCTCACACGGCGTTCTTAATTTCCCCCTTTTTAAACTTGAAAGAGATAAAATCAGTCTAAGGAAAAATATTAATAATTTTTTTCTTTTTTTCTTTTTTTTTTTTTTGAGATGAAGTCTCATTCTGTCACCCAGACTGGAGTGCAGTGGCACGATCTCAGCTCACTGCAACCTCCTCCTCCTGGGTTCAAGCGATTCTCCTGCCTCAGCCTCCCGAGTAGCTGAGACTACAGGCATGCACCACCACGCCCAGCTAATTTTTTTTTTTTTTTTTTTTTTAATTAGAGATGGAGTTTCACCATATTATCCAGGCTGGTCTCGAACTCCTGACCTCGTGATCTGCCTGCCTTGGCCTCCCAAAGTGTTGGGATTACAGGCGTGAACCACCACACCCGGCCGATTTTTCTTAACTTAAAAACAAAAGATGTTTTGTCAACCTTTCAGAGTTAAGTAGATTATTACATTTTGTGAAAAGGCTTTAGTAATATCTACATATGAAAATAGAGCAATAAAGATGTATTCCTTAAAAGGTATGTATGAATTTAAAATTTTAGAAATCATCTGTATCAAAAGTCCTAGGGGATTTTCCTGTAGAAACCATTTAGTGCATAATTTTGCCTACAAATAAATTCCTATCCTTCCACATTTTATCTGACAACTTGGGGCTTTTTTTTTGTTTGTTTTTGGTAAATCTTCCTTCAAGCATAGCAATACTGGTAATAGTAGAAGGCAACTTATTTGCAAAATGTTCCATAAAAATGCAGTGCATAACAATAACCTTTTGTCTAGTATTTTTTGCTTCTAATACACTAGAATTATCTATAAAGTGATTCTCTTGTTTTTTTAATTGACATTTTTATTTGACAGTAACATTTTTAATCGACAATAACAATTGTGTATATTTATGCGGTATAATGTAATGTTTTGAGTTACATATACATTGTAGAAAGATTCAAAGAAGCTAATTAACATATCCATCACCTTACATATTTTTTTTTTAGTGAGAACATGACAAATCTATTCTTTCAGTAATTTTGAGATATACAATGTTATTATTGACTGTGGTCACCATACCGTGCAGTAGATCACTAACATTTATTCCTCCAGTCTAGCTCAAACTTTTTACCCTTTGATCAACATCTTCCCTTTTCCCACCTCACTCTCTACCCCAACCCTTAGCCTCAGGTAATCACCTTTCTAAAATCTGTTTCTCTGAGATTGACTTTGTTAGATTCCACATATAATTGAGATCATACAATACTTTTCTTCCTGTGCCTGACTTATTTCACTTAGCATAATGTCCTTCAGTTACATCCGTGTTGTCACAATTACAGATTCCTTTCTTTTTAAAGACCGTGTAGTGTTCCATTGTGTGTACATCTACTTTTTTATCCATTCATCCACTGGTAGACACTTAGGTTGCTTTCATATCTTGGCTATTGTGAATATTGCTGAAGTAAACATGGAAGTGCAGCTATCTCTTTGAAATATCAGTCTCAATTCCTTTGGATATGCAGCCCTGAGATGCGTAATGACACTTCAGTTGATGATGGACTGCATATATGACAGTCTGTATACATGATGGTGGTCCCAAAAGATTATAATACTGTATTTTTACTGTACCTTTTCTATCTTTGAATATGTTTAGAAACACAAACCTTTACCAGTGTGTTACAATTGTCTACAGTAATCACTATAGTAACATGCTCTATATGTTAAATTGTAAATGTTTATGTATCTAAACATATCTAGCAGCAATAGGCTATACCATATAGCTTAGGTGTATAGTAGGTGATACCATTTACGTTTGTCTAAGGTACAGTCTATGATGGTCAAGCAATGACAAAATCACCTAATGACTCATTTCTCAGAACATATCCTTGTTGTTAAGCAACACATGACTGAATATGAAGAAGTGGGATTGGTAGATCATATTTTCTAGTAATTATATTTTTAGTTTTGAAGGAACCTCCATAGTATTTTCTGAAATGGCCGTGCTAATATACGTTCCTACCAACAATGTACAAGAATTTCCTTTTCTCTACATTCTCACCAACACTTGTTATTATTCATCTTTTTGATCGTCATTGAAACAGGTGTGAGGTGATATCACACTGTGGTTTTTTGGCTGTTTCTTTTTTTTTTAAGCAACAGGTTCTCTGTCACCCAGGCTGGAGTACCTTGACGATCATGGCTCACTGCAGCCTCAAACTTCAGGGATCAAGAGATTCTCCTGCCTCAGCTTCCAGAGTAGCTGGGATTACAAGCAAAAGCCACCCCAGCCCAGCCTCTTTGTGGTTTTAATTTGCATTTCCCTGAGATACTGAGCATTGTTTGATATATCTTCCATTTACATCTATCCTTTTGATAAACGTCTGCTCAGGTTCTTTGCCTATTTTAAAACCAGGTTACTTATTTTCTTGCTATTGACTTGTTTGGGTTCCTTATGTATTTTGGACATTAGCCCCTTATCAAATATATGGTTTGCAAATAATATTTTCTTCCAATTCATGGATCGTCTCATCTTTCTGTAAATTGTTTCCTTGGCTATGCAGAAGCTTTTTACTTCGATGTAATTCCATTTGCCTATTTTGCTTTTGCTGTCTGTGCTTTCGGAGTCAAAGGAGACCTTTGAGGAGTGAAGTGGCCAAGGGCCCCTAGAAGCAGTAGAGAACCAGCTAGGGACACTACTTCTTGCTAGAGATAAAGCCTAAAAGATCCAACAGTAAAATTCATCTAGGAGGCAAGACTAGAACCCAACGAATACATGTGTTTGTAAATTGGTTCAGAGGGGAGAAAGATAATATGTATAAGGAGATTAGTCCCAACTGGAGCCAAAGTGTTTAAGTGTATTCTGGTGTGAGATGGAACTAAGAGAAAGGGAAAGAAACCAATAGGTATGCTATTCTATCAGACTCAGTTCTAGGCATTTTAATTTCATACTTGTCACCATAGCTTTGGGAAGAAGGTACTGTTAGCCTCATCTTACAAGTGAGATGACTGAGTCTCAGAGGAGCAAAACAAGGAAGGCCCAACATCATATAGCGAATTAAGGGTGTTGGTTGACTCCTATTGTGCCTTGCCCAGAATCCAAAGTCGATGCTCTTTCCCTGACATCCTGTTGCCAATGCAGGCCAGTCTTGTCATGAAAGATTATGGCTTATGTTTTTAAGCATCTGTGTAAGTTGTACATTTAAAGTCAGCCAATTTTGTGTTAGCAAATGTAGTTACATACTGAGCTCTCTTAATAAAAGGTGAGTGATAATAGTTTGTGCTAAGAGATAGTATCATATTTTTAGGAAGTTTTGTAAGTCTGGGGAGGTGATGCTAGTCACTTGAAAAGATTTTATTAGGGGTGAAGAAGTTAAGTGCCAATAAGATTAGTTTTTGAGAATTACAAAATTTTTATAGAAGGTAAGAAATTCAAAAGGATATACAAAGACCCATGAACAGGAACAACAAAAATGTTGCAGAGTTCATAAACACAGTTAAGTTATGTTATAACTATTAAATGGCTCCCAAACTATAAGACTGGAATACCTGTATTTGCAGGGAAGCTAAAGGCATGGTGCATTTTTTGAGGAAAATATTAACTGACGATGAAAGATGGCAGTTTCCAGGTTGTACTAGGAATGTTGTTGCAAAGTGTACAATGCAAAATACTGTATCTCAGAGATTCAAGAAATGATGTTATGTCAAAACCTCAGATGAATAGTTTTTATTTGCTTGTTTCTGCTCATGTCATCATTCATGTTATTTCTTCAAGCTCAGAGACATATTTTTATAGAAATTATAAATCATTTTTGAGATTGCTGTGTGGAATAAGATAAACTCTGAACTCTGGTGTAAGATAGCAAAGGATAGCCTAATCAATTATGATGAATTATGTGAGAATGGGGTAGATGGAATAGCTACATCCAGTGGGGCAATTTAGGCTCTGGCATAAAACTCAGGAACAAGAGAGGAGACCGACTCCAGTGCAGCAGAGAAAACCTGCCACCTGGAGAGTACACGTCAGACCACAGATGATGGCTTCTAAAGCATTTAGGACTCTAACTCTGGATATCACTTGGATAGGCTCTCAACATCCCAGAATGAGAACTATTAAGAGAAATACAAATCCTAGGAGGGATTGAGGTACTAGAGAGGTTATCAAGAGAATTACCTAGTTACCTAAACTAAGACCCAAGGTGAGAAATGAGTATCTGAAACAGGTAAAAGCTTTATTGTTCAGAAGGTATCCAAGGACTGAGCCCAATTTGCAAGCAAAATGTTTTGATGCTGAGTCCAAGGGAGATGGACTCAAATAGAACTGTTTCCTGCACTAAAGATAGTAGCTTAGGTTGCCTCCATAGGCTGTAAAACTGGACAGAGCTAAATGCATTGATTGAGTTCTACACCATGGCTCATTTCAGCCTATTGTATGCTTCTGTTAAAAAAATATGCTATGAATGCCGGGCGCGGTGGCTCACGTCTGTAATCCCAGCACTTTGGGAGGCCGAGGCGGGCGGATCACGAGGTCAGGATATCGAGACCATCCTGGCTACACGGTGAAACCCCGTCTCTAAAAACACAAAAAAATTAGCCGGGCGTGGTCCCGGGCGCCTGTAGACCCAGCTACTCTGGAGGCTGAAGCAGGAGAATGGCGTGAACCCGGGAGGCGGCGCTTGCAGTGAGCCGAGATGGCACCACTGCACTTCAGCCTGGGCGTCAGAGAGAAACTCCGTCTCAAAAAATAAAAAATAAAAAATAATAAAAAAATGCTATGGAATTTTGCTAACCACTTCATTCATCAAACTTGATTTACTGACTCTCAGCTACTTCCAAATATTAAATAAACCATCTGAAGATAAAAGTGATTAATAATTGGCAGATTCAAACAACTGTGAAATAAGAAGAAATGATCCATAGGCAATGCCAAAAGGTCCCAAGATATATTGAGCAATGTCACTTTATTTAGAATAAGTATGTCTCTCCCTCATCCCTCCAAGCATCTTCACTGCCCTCAACATATCCTTCATTTTCTCCCTAACTCAACCATGATGACTTCAAAAAGGATGCTTTTTATTTTGGAGTATGAAATTTGTTATGCGTGTATGTGTTTTATATAGCATTGGCACACACAAACACATACTTTCTTTAGTTTTCTTAAGAACCCTAGAAGGTGTGGAGCTTAATACTGGGTAACATTTATTAATTCCTTTCTTATGTGCCAGATACTATTCTAAATACTTCACTAAATCATATCTTCACAATAACCCTATGAAATGGGTATTATATTTGACTTCATTTTATGGATGTGAAACAGAAATACTGTAACCTATCTAAGAGGAGGGGGAAGAAAACCCAGAAGTAGCAAATCCAGTATTTGTACTTTGGCGTTTATCTTCCACATTCTGTGTGCTTAATTAAGCATTACCCCATGCAGCCTAGTTTAGGATTCCAGAAATTAAGTGTCGGTGTTCAACTATATAAGATGAGAAACTGAGGTGGTAAATATTGATTTACCCGACAGCACCAATTTGTCAGTAGAACTGCAATTACAAGCTATTTTCCCAAATCATAAGCCAGCACTCAAACGATCAGATCTTTCTCCCATTTTACATGATGATATTACAGGCAACATGATTATTCAGGTGTCATTTCTGTATAATTTGTGATAAAAGAAATTGTTGACCGCATATAATCATGGCAACAAGAAATGACAGCTTGAATATAATCTTCTTATTTCCCAGAGATGTAGGTTAAGCTTCCCCTGCCCTTTTAATGCCTTTTCTGATGCTGACAGTGTCTTGTGGAAAGCCCGTGGTTTTAGATTTACATTTCTGTTCTTTAGTGATTACAGTTAAGGCACACATACTGGTGTTCCTATACACATACATAAAATGATAATTTACTTAATGTTTAAGAAAGCATTTTACTATCTGAGAGAAATGGATAGGAAATTCTCGAGCTGATCAACATGCCCTTTGCATTTTCTAGAAACAAAATGCAAATGGGATATTTTAAAAAGTCACCTATCATATATATTGAATCCTCATAAAACGTTAATGGAGTAGACTATGGCTGAAGTCCTCAAGTCTCTATTCCCTGAAGATAGTTACCGGTCATTAATGTAGGTTGTAAATGTAGCATATGATGAGATCAGGTGACAGGCCCAGGATTTCTGAATCCTCCTCTGGTATTCTTTGCACAATAACATGCTCTTAGCTACTTGTGCACGTTTATGCTTCTTTCTTCTAGAAGTTAGAACACCTGGCCTGTAATACAAACTTTGGGACTGCGTCAAGGGTATTTCTCTACTGATTGCTAAAGTTAGTGGTTCTCAGGTTGCAGTAAAATCATCTGGAGTCATTTATTAAAGACATAGATTCCTTCATCCAGTCTCCAGCTGATTTTGCTGTAGGGAAACCCATGGATCACATTAAGAAATACTTAATAGTTGATAATTAATATATCATCCCAAGTACTCCTTTCACTCTTTTTTGAGTGATTTGATTAGTTCCATTGGCTACAGTTATCATCTGTATCCTGATGATTCCAAATCAGTGTCTTTGGTCTAATTTTCCTCTGTCAAACCTAGACTGTTATATATATTTATTCTTTCAGTCATTAATTCATGCATTGGTTCATTCTTCAATAAATCTTTAATTTCCTGGCTGGGCGTCTGGGATATAGCAGTGACAAATCATATTTGGTCTTTGTCTTCAGTGAAGTGGGTGAGAGGAATTTAATTTTAAAAATTACACAAATATATTGTTTCCAACTTTGATAATGGCTGTAGAAGAAAATCCAAAGTGTTAAGAGAGCACATTACAGCTTAGAGGTTACAGAAGGCTTCCCTAAGGAAATGGTATTTGATCTGAGATTTGAAGAATGAATACATTGAGCCAGGCTAAGAGAAAGGAAAAGATCCCCTCAGGCAGAGGAAATAGCATGAGCCACGTTCTATAGGCAGGAAATGGTATGATGTGTTTGAGGAATTGAGAAAAAAAAAGAAAAAAAAAAAACAGGAAAAGCATGTAAGAGAAATCTGGTGCAATAATCAGAGGCCACCTTTTCTGTGTCTTTTGAATTTTTCGGAGATTTTATTTTTACTCCTAGACACTATGGAAAGCCATGGAAGAAGAGTAAGATAATGAGTTGTAGGAGTTATGTCAAACAAGATATCCTGTTGAACTCTCCTCTTTTGTTTTGTTTTTGAGACAGAGTCTCGCTCTGTCGCCCAGGGTGGAGTGCAGTGGCAGGATCTCGGCTCACTGCAACCTCCACCCCTCCGGATTCAAGTGATTTTCCTGCCTCAGCTTCCCAAGTAGCTGGGATTACAGGCATGTGCCACCACGCCTGGCTAATTTTTGTGTTTTTTAGTACAGATGGGGTTTTATCATGTTGGCCAGGCTGGACTTGAACTCCTGACTTCAAATGATCTGCCTGCCTCTGCCTCCCCAAGTGCTGGGATCACAGACGTAAGCCACAGTGCCTGGCCTCTCCCTGGGTTTTCTGTCTCAACAGATGGCACCACCATCCTCTGTTTGCTTAAGACAGGGTTGTCCTCCTTAGCAGTTTATTTGACACACTGTAGTGAAAATTTGCACATTTCCTTTTTTTTTTTTTTTCTGGCTTTTCAGCATCTGAATTCCTTTCTTATTGGTGTCTCCTTACTAGTAGGTAAGCCCTTAGAAGGAAGTAGTGCTCTGTGTGCTACCACAAAGCTGAAGGGAATAGAAGCGCCTTCTTCCCACCCCTATCAGCCATGCCTTGAGCACATGTCAAACTTGGCTAACTGGAAATGCCTGCCCAGAACTTTGAATTGGGAGGAAGTGGTAGGAGATAGGGATAAGTAGACATTGTACATTAACACTGTACATAAACTAATAAATCCAGGTTAATAGTTGCAGCTGCCCATGGTTTAAGTACCAGTAGTGGTGAACTTACTGTAGTGAGTGTTGGCTGGGATCTATGTCATCTTGACTCCTATATCTCAAGCTAAGTTTTTCAGACTTTCAGTTGATTTCATAATGTACACAATGAACTATTTTCTCCTTTTATTAGCAAAAGTGAATTTTCCTATGTGGGGTACATTCATCACCTCAAACTCAGTTATTGAATAAGGCCGGGCAACTTTGCCTTCTAATTGTCTCTCAATCTCCATTGAACATCGGACAACAATGGACCATTGCTGTAGCCTCAAAACTAGTCTCCGTCTCTATTTCTTTCCCCATCCCTGCTCTGCCACTAATCCATCACGTCTCAGCATCCAGCGATACATATAAATTGGCAAAACTAAAAATGTCTTTATATAACTTTTAGAGTAAGGGCAAAATGACAGCGAGCCCATAGCGCTGAAAATTGCTGTTTTCCTGCTGCCTCCCTCATCTCCTGCGAGGCAAGTGGTATGCCTGGTACCCTTGGCATTTTTCCCAGTGCCCGCCAGTGGTCAACCATGACTCAGCCAAGCACAGTGGTTAAGACCCTGGCCTCCAGAGTCAGCCTACAAGTCTTTTTTTTTTTTTTTTTTTTTGAGACGGAGTCTCGCTCTGTTGTCATCCAGGCTGGAGTGCAGTGGCCCAATCTTGGCTCACCGCAAGCTCCACCTCCCGGGTTCACACTCTTCTCCTGCCTCAGCCTCCCGAGTAGCTGGGACTACAGGCGCCCGCAGCCTGCAGGTCTTAGGAGGTTGGGCAAGTTGTTTAACCTCACTGTGCTCCATTTCCTCACTTAAAATGTGGTGATAAAATAAATACATAAAAGATGAATTTTCAGCCAAACCAGTAAGTAATCAGTAGGGAGGCAACCTACCTAAAACGCACAGACTTCTTTTGATTTTAAACTATTTATGAGAAATATTAATCAGAAGCCAAATGCTACAGTTACCTTCCTAAACATTTCTTAACTAAACCATCCAGAATGCATTTTGGGAATTGATTGTGATTATTTTTGGGTTTGAATTCTTGAAAGACTCTGGGCACAGACAGCTTGGTGAAACTGGACTTAGCATTAATAGCTTCAGTTATTGATGTTTTCATGAAACACAAAAAATGTGCCTCTGCCTGTACTCTCTGGCTTTTTAACTGTGTTGCCTCGGGGCAATTTCAACATAGGGAACCAAATAAGTCAATCAACATTTATTGAGTGCTAGTAGTGTGATGAACTCAAGATTAGGGCTGCAGGGAGAAGGCACATGATACAAACACGTGGTTTCCTTCCTTGATACTATTATGATCCGGTTCAAGTGAATTCACAATTATTTCTTGAGCTGACTGTTGTGAGAGGCATTGTAGCTGATACTCATATTATCATTCAATTGTTTTTTGAAAATATTTATTAGCACCTACTGAATGTATACAGTGAATGACATCGTGGTTATAAGTAGAAGAGAAGACACAGAAAAATAAATAACTGGATAATTAATGACATTACAATTAAAATACTAATTATTACCTATTCATTATTATTAGTAATCAGCAAGAAAGTAAGACAATGCCATAAAATGGCACTTATGCAGCCAAACTGACAGAGGTGAGCACTTTGCATGCATTTTCCCACTTAAGCCTTCACACAGCTTCAGAAGGTGCGGCAGAGGTTCCCGGGACCCTATGCGGCCCTACTCAGCCTTGCTCTGATTTCAGCTGCAGCTCCGGTGGACCAGAGCATATGGTCATGCTCAGCTTCATCTTTCACTCAAGTGAACACCTTCATCTTTTCAGATCTCTGCCTCAGTCTTCTCTGATATTGAGGGATTCCACTCAGCAACCCTCAACCAGTAAAGGACAGCAGATCCAGGATAAATGCTGCAGCTTTCTACCCTTTGGGAGGGCAATTCAGGGCAGCACACTGAACCCAAGTCTGGAGGTCTTAGCTGAGTCAAGTCCCTATTGTCTGCTGCTGCAGCAGCGGCAGCAGGTTCAGTCATTCATCCTTATATAGGCTTTTTCTCCACCTCTACCTCATTCTCCCTGCCCCTCTTCCTGCTTCCAGGGACCACCTTCCAAACTACCCACCCCCATGTCCGTGTCCCAGGCTCTACTTTTGGCAAGACCCAAATTCAGACCCGAGGTCATGACTATTAATATCCTCATTTTGCTCCTGAGGTGACAGATCCCTAGACCATTAAGCTGAATGTTACTTACTTAGTTAACGCCCCTTAAGCAGAGCCAGTATTCAAATACCTGCCCCTGCGGTTAGTTGTTATACAAACTCCTGTGAACAATATAAAGGTAACTGTGAAAAAGGTCTAACTGATTGCAGTCCAGGTGTGAGAGAACTTAGAGATAATCTCAGACAGTAAGGTCAATCGGGTAGAAATTATTGTTAGTAGTAGTAGTAAATAAGCAAAAACTTTTGTATAAATGTTGAAAACTATCACAGCAAAATTATGTAGAAGTAAATGTGGCTTCCATCATCCTCTTCTTACCCCCATCTTTGTTTGTATTGCTATAACAAAATATCTGAGACAGGGTAATTTATAAAGAATAGAAATTTATTTTCTCACAGTTCCAGAGGTTGGGAAGTTTAAGTCCCGGTTCAGTTTTCCAGTGAGGGCTGCTCTCTGCTTCTAAGATGGTGCCTTGAATGCTGCATCTTCCAGAAAGAAAAAAACACTGTGTCCTCAGGTGGCAGAAGGAGGAAGTGCAAAAAGGGATGAACTATCTTTATTAAGCCCTTTTATAAGAGCCCAAAATCCTATTTGTGAGGGCAGAGCCCTCCTGATTTTATTACTACCTTCTAATACTGTTGCATTTGGAATTAAGTTTCAGCATGAATTTGAGAGGATGAAAACATTCAAACCATAGTACACCTCTTTTTCCAGTCACACTCCCCAGTCTCTTAGGCCTGTGATGCTGTGTCTCCCAATTATCAAGTATCTAGTAGCTCATTGGTCTTTGCTTCATCATCCCCTGACCTTCCTTTCATTGCTTTGTAGAATGAGTGATATTTATCGTAACTGATTTTCAGTTGATAAGCTGCATCTCCTGGAGATGTTTGCATTTTATGTCTTTTCTATTATCAAATGGAAGCACTCCTGCTGATAAAGATATTTAGGCATTGGAAATTCAGAAGGGTGCCGTTTTTGGATAGCCCAGGCTGGAGTGCAGTGGCACGATCTCAGCTCACTGCAAGTTCCGCCTCCCGGGTTCACGCCATTCTCCTGCCTCAGCCTCCTGAGTACCTGGGACTACAGGCAGCCGCCACCGCGCCTGGCTAATTTTTTGTATTTTTAGTAGAGACGGGGTTTCACTGTGTTAGCCAGGATGGTCTCAATCTCCTGACCTTGTGATCTGCCCGCCTCGGCTTCCCAAAGGGTGAAGTAACATTATTTTAGCAACTGAACACACATCAGGCTGGGCTTGAAGGAATCATCTTTGGACAATTTGAAGTTTCTACATTTTGACAGGAAGTTATTACTGATAGAGGGACATAGAACCAGAGCATTAGTTGTACCAAATATGTAGGAAGATGCACAAGTGTATGTGTTTGCCTGTGTGCATGTGTGTGCATGCATAATGACTTACCTGTACAGGTAACTGAGCAAATGGCTTTCATTGATGCCTTTTATAGATACTATAGAAATAAGGATCAAATATTAATACAATAAAGCTTTGATATGGCTGCATAAAATTAAGCATAATTATAGTCAAGTATGTTATCTGCTTAACATGGTCATGTTATTATCAAAACAAATTATGCAAAATAAATTATGGCATATCATTCATGAACTTTATCATACATTTTGCTTGTTACAACATTTAATTTTTCCACAGGGCTTGATCTTTATGGTCTGCTGCTTAGGTAAATCACTTTTCTTACCCCAATGTAAATAGCTACCGGAAGTATTAATTAGAAGGATTTTCTTGTCTTATGGCAAAGGCATGAGTCTACATGTCTTAAAGACTGAGGATGATTATAGAATGAGGAAATATATGTACTTTGCAGTTCAGGGTCAGATGACTGCTTTGTCCTGAGAGGTATTACTCAGTTGCAAATGTACTCATTTATTACAGTAATTTGATTCAATTGGTAGCTTTGCTTTCTCTGGCATTGTTCATTTTTAGTATGAACGATTTAGAAAGAATAGCAATTTGTGTGGAAGGAAGTGATTTTCATGTCAAGGTACGTCAAATCAGGTTGATAGGAAAACACTCCTTTGATTACAAGGCCGGATAAACATGAGAGATGCTTGGACAGGCCTAACAGCCCAGTCATCAAATAAACTTTTCCCACCTTCCTGGGTGCCTTCATTGCGTTGATGAGTGATTGCTCAGGTTTGAAATTCAGGTAACTAGTAGGGAGTTGTTTATTTTGTCATAATCTATTTAGCACAAGGTATCCAATTTTTGAAAAACTCTTGCTTTTAAGATGCAACAGTAGACAACAAAGGAAGATATGTATATATATTGTGACATTTCTTAGAACTCCAGGTTTTCTAGGCTGGAAGGGACCTTCTAAATCATTTAGGCCAATCCTGTCACTTAAAAGCTGAAATAATAATAAGAGCCTAAAGGTTAAATATTTTGTCTGAGAAAATACAAGTTATTGTGCTGGAGGATTTCCTAGAAACTGGTTCTCCTCATGTGGTCCCCCATAGAAGTAATAACAGTACGCTGATATTAAAATAGATTTTCCTTTAAATGAACTAATGGGATTTGCAGGAATCCGGATGGGATTGGAGACAATTATTCTAAGTGAAGTAACTCAGGAATGGAAAACCAAACATCATATGTTCTCACTCATAAGTGGGAGCTAATCTATGAGGAAGGAAAGGCATAAGAATGATACAATTGACTTTGGGGACTCAGGGTGAAAGGGTGGGAAGGTGGTGAGAGATAAAAGACTACAAATTGAGTTCAGTGTATGCTGCTTGGGTGATGGGGGCACCAAAATCTCAAAAATCACCACTAAAGAACTTACTCATGTAACCAAATACCACGTGTTCCCTAAAAACCTATGGAAATAAAAAAAATTTAAGATGTTCCTTTAATAATGGCATAGATGTAATTAATAATGAGACTTATCGCCTCAGAACCCACCCCTTAGTTTATAAAAAAAAAGATACAAATAAAAAATACACAATGTACTTCTATTTACCAATATTCTGATAAAAAGCTGAAAATGCAAAACATAAAGTGTTCACACATTTTGGAAGAGGTTAGAGAAACACTGTTACTTTGGATATACCTTAGTTCCTAATTTTTTTAATTAAATGACAAGAAAAAATTTTTGGATTATTTTGCTAACTTATTGACTTATCTTATTGTCGTGGGATTTTTGAACTGGAATCTGTCTTGAAGATCATTGAGAGCAGCTGTTCTCAAGCCTGGATGCATGCCAGCAAAATTTTATATACACACATTCCGTGAACCACACACCCAAGGATTCTGATTCAGTGGGCCCCAAGAAGGACCTGGGAATAAGTATTGTGAATAAAATCCCCTAAAGTTTTGGAGACTGGCCACGTTGGAGAATCCTCTATCTAATTCAGTCCTCTTGTTTTGCAGATGAGAAAAGCCAAAACCCAGAGATATTATGTACCTGGGTAATTTTTAAATGTTAGGACAGCACATGATATGGTGAGAGAGGGATCTAGCACCCCTCAGGAAAATGGTCCAAGCACAAGCCAAATGAAGGTTCTCACAGTGAACTCCTTGAGCATAGGAGATCTGTATGTCCTTTCACTCTTCATTTCTGTGGGCTAGAAGAATTATGCAAAAGCAATGAGCTCTCTAATATAAGCCTCTGCTATATACAGTGGGGTTTCATCACAGGGTCATTGAATTTAGTCCAACTTTGCTGGCAAAGACAAAGAGAAAAGGAGATACAGATAATGATTTAAATAGTGCTAGCGATTTCTCTGGCCAATCCATTCTGCGAGCTTTTGTTCCAGAATGGACTTCCCTGGCTTGCTGTCTGTCCCAGGAGGCTGACCCCTGTGTATTGGATCACCCAGCCTTCTTTGCCAGCAGGCTTGTGGTCAAGTTTGCAGGTCAAATAGCAGCAGGGAAAGGTCAGAGTGTCTTTGCTCACTCCCTGTTTTGGTGCCTCAGCTCTAGCTGTAAGTGTGTGTCTACCATTTACTGCTGTAAGCTACTGAAGCAGCTTGTGTTGGGCACCGAGCACACAATTTCCTCCTTTTGTCTTAGGTGTTAGGCATGACAATCATTTTCTTGTGTACAAAGTCTGTCTCTCTCTGGGGCCTTACCATCTCTTTTTGTTCCCTTACCTTATCTTACACCTCTGTAATTTATGCTTTTGTTAAAGAAATCTATTTGAATTAGTGGTATTAACTCTGTTTTCTTCAGGCACCTAGGTTAATACAAGATGGGAAATATAATTGTTTCTCTCAATAATTCTAAATTTTTGAGTTTCCTTAAAAAGTCACTATCTCCTTGAACCGAAAATGATTAATGTTTAAGAATACAATGATGTGAAATTCTTAGTGTATTTGCTTGATTTGCATGGTACATTGCTGTACATTTTATCATCTTGCATGCATACTACTGTACAGATTTGTTGATACAAAACTATACACAATGTACTTTGTGAACTGTTTAAGATGTTTTGAAAGATAATTTTGACTACATGATCTTTACTCCTTAGAAGCTGACTTCAGAACCTCCTCAGTGGTTGCAGTTCAGTTTAGTTTGTTTCACTGTATCTATCACAAAAGATTTTAAACCTGGGAGACTACTCTGAAGTAAGAGAACCGACGTAGAAATAACCCAGTTTATCTAATCCTTTTAACCTACAGTTTGCTGTGGCCTAGGAGTCTGAAACTCTTCTTCCCAATGACCACTTCAAAATGCCTCCCAGAAGATATAAACTAGTACATCCACTTCCAAGGATGATTTGGCAATATTTAGCAAAGTTTTAACATACCCTTCTTCCATTGTTTTTTTTTATGAATGACTCTTCAGATATACATTTATAGGGATATTCTTTGCAGCATTGTCTTATGAAAAACAGTATACAACCTACACATGTCTAAAGGGGCCTTGTTAAAAAATGTATAATGTACCCAGAAAATGTATTAGTCCACTTTCATTATAAAAAATGAGGCATACCTAGATGCTTGCGATATATTAAGTCAAACAAAAATCCAAAGTGCAGAATAGCATGTTACATGATTACATATACACACTGTATCTATTTCCCTTTATATCTTCCTATGTTTTTATTTTTTTTTGTTCTTTCTAAACATCATAGGCATGCATGATTTGTATAGCAAAAATCAAAATGCTCCAGTGATGGTGATGAGAATTTGGAAGCACCCAGTAAACACTGTTAGTCAGATGACAAACTTCATAGGAACTCATTTTCTCCAACTGAGAGATCCTTCTGTATGGGAAGCTCCCTCTAAATTTCACTGGCCTTCTTCTACTCACTTTAAACCTAGAGCCCATTCTTAGATGCATGCACCTTTGTCACTGTGGAGGTGACTGGATTTCTGACCCGATTTACAGAGAGATGCCTGTGTCCCAGCACCATCACTCAGAGAAAAACGTGGAAGCCAATTTGCACAGGCATGGGAAGTTTTCCATCAACCAAGATAGCAGAAACACAAATGAGAATAGATGAGCGCACCCAATGCTAGGAAGCAGAGAGTCTGGGGCAAAATTCCAAAAAGCCGAGCCACTTACAGAAAAGTTTCACAAGGTGGGGAGGTATTGCAACACCGAGAGGATGATTTGGATTCTTACGTGCAGCCGTTGGATGCCAGAAAGATAGAGAAGATGAAGATATGGTCATACATTTCTGTCTTGAGAAGAAGATCTGGTAGTAATACTTCAGGGATTTTGTAGTCTTCCCATCTAGGAATTGAGGTTATAAAGAATTATTGTCATTCTAGGTGACTGCAAGCCAAGTTGAGAGGTTTCTCTAAAGAGAATGACCCCTTCCTTTCTGAGGACACTTGATTGTCTCTGTCAGCCTTCAGTCTTGTATTCATTCTCAATGAACCTTAGAATTCCAGGATGTGAGAAATTAACCGCAAGTTGTTACTGATAAAAGCTTCAAAGTTTCCCTGGCACCCTAATATGCCAAGGCTGAAGATGTCTCTATAATGGTCTAATTCAGTGGTTTTCAACTTGAGGTGCGACTGACACTACTGGGCAGAGGCCAAGGATGCTGTTGATCATTCTGTAGTGCCCAGGGCAGCCCACAACAAAGAATGATCTGGTGCAGATGGAGAAATCCTGATGTTGTTCAAATCCTTCAATTTACGGAGAAAGAAACTGAGGCCCAGAAATGTTATGCATTTCCTAAAGCCATTAGGGACTGCATCTCTCACTTAACGCGCTCAAAAGTCGTTCTGTCTCAGTTCTTCAGAAACTTCTTTTGGGGACTCCTTCCAATGTGCCAGTAATATAAATTCACTCAGCTTTGATTTCCACATACATGAAAAGAGGGGAGGGATAGAGCCCAAGTAACTTTCTGCTTTGGCCTGAGCCTGTCCAGGAGAATGTAGCCATTCTTCTCTGTGTTACCTCTCCTTAGCAGCACTAGATGCAGTTAAATCTGTTTCTCTCCTTTCTTCTCATCCACCTTCATCTGTCATTCCTGTAATGGATGGAGTTGGGGCAGTTTGCTAAATTGTAGCAAAATTTGAGGTGTTCAAAGACCAAAACAGAATAGATAACTTCCAAAGTTCTTTTGCCTCTGAATTTCTATGACTTTATGAACATGGAAAACCTTCGGTGATTCAGTTGAGAGGATTCTGGGAAAGCAGGGAGAGTCATTAAATGAATGGACCTTCTGCTCTTAAGTCACGAGAAGCAGGCCACTGTGCCTGCATGAAGGGCAGGAATGCCAAGAAAATGGGCCTGCTGTGGATACTAAATGTAATTTATTTTATATGATTTGGGCTACTGAAAGACCTAGCATTAAGGGGAGACCTGTCCTAAGTATTTCTGTGTGCTTTCCAGTTAAAGGTGTTCCTAAACCTTAAATGCTTCTTGAAAGAGAAATAGCTGCCTTGAGTTTAGCACCACTGCTTCCATCTGTTTTGAGTACTAGCTACCTTTCTAGTGTCTACATAATTTTGCAGGTTTCCTGTTCTACAGTTGTTGCCCTTTTAGGCACTCCGGTGATGTGGTTTAAAGTAGGTGCTTCACAGTCAGAAAGATACAGTTTTTTCCACCCTGAGCATCTCCACAATGTGCCGTGGGCAAATAGTTTAAACCGTCTGTTCCCTACCTTCTACAGCTGTAAAATTGCGGTAATAAGAGTATTTTTCTCATTGATTTATCATGCAAAAATAAAAAAAAATTGTCCAAAAGGCTTAGCACAATGCTTGTCATTTGGTAAGTGATTACAAGGCCAATAATTGTTTCACTGTTTTGGAGGAAAAAGCAAGTTTGAATTCATTTATACATCAAAATGAATTTATATATATTTTTTTAAATTACGCTAGTATCTATATACATTTGACATATGGTAGGAGATACTTCTAACATTAGAGATTTGATTGGTCTGTTTTTGGATGTGGTGTTCACTTATTAGAATAGTTGTCTGATTTATATAAGATACTCCCATAAATTCTTCTGTAAGTGATCTAACGCCATTCACTTTGCACTTAGGGACAAAATGGTTAGGTTTGCCATTTATGCAAGTGCTGTTATGGAGTACATTCATTTGGGCAGTTTTCTTTGTGTACTATTAATGTATTTTTTATTAATATTTGTATAGTATATAAAATTTAGCAAATATATGGAAATCTGTATTCTTTTACCAAAAAGTGAGAAGTGTAAAAGCAATGGAGGTTTTTTGCTGTCTTTGAGGCAGCTTCTGAGCAAGTACATTCTGTTTACATATATCATTTTAAAATTAATATTTAATTTATTACAGTTACCTTAAAAATAGATTCTCTTATGCTTTTATGTTATACTTGTATGTATATGTGTGTGTGTATATACATATACATATATATATATATATATATATATATTTTTTTTTTTTTTTTCCTGAGACAGAGTCTGTGTTGCACAAGCTGGAGTACAGTGGTGTGACCTTGGCTTACTGCAACCTCCTGCTTCCCTGGTTCAAGCAATTCTCATACCTTAGCCTCCTGAGTAGCTGCAGTAGCTGGGATTACTGGCACGTGCAACAATGCCTGGCTAATTTTTGTATTTTTAGTAGAGGTGGAGTTTCACCATGTTGGCTGGGCTGGTCTGGGATTCCTGGCCTCAAAGTGATCCGCCCACCTCTGCCTTTCAAAGTGCTGGGATTACAGGCATGAACCACTGCTACTGGCCCCATTTGTATATCTTATTCTGTTTTAAATATAGGAGATGTTAGCAATCACTTGTTAAAATTAAGGAGGCTTTAAATTAATGTTATCTCCCATTTACAAATGAGGTTAGCAAAACAATTTTTAACTTTTTAAACTGCAGTTATACTTGAAAATATTTAGTTTTCTTTATGAAAACTTTGATAAACAGAATCTTTCCAAGTGATTAAGTGATTCTTTAAAATAAATTAAACTTATGAAGTCAATATCAAGTTATCTTAAACATCTCAACACTGTTTAAGAAACCTAACAGTTCTCTTTGAATAACTAAGATCACAATTTCAAAATCAATTATGTTTCAATTTAGAATCCAAAGACTCCTATGTTTAATCAAATTATCTTAAGTATTTCTAACATTTTAATACATATAGGTTATTTCCATTTTTACATAAATAATTTTCATGAACTTAACACAGTTACAATATAATTGTGGGCTTGATGTAGCCTCTCTGTGGTAAATTCCAATCCTTTCTGTTTAAAGAATGGTTGTACTATCTTGGGCCAGTAAAGGCTACAAATTAATGGAATATATGGGGTCTAGATGCAGTTGATTCTCCACATGTCACTTACCTACAAATCAACGTGCTTTTTATAATTGCTATAGCAACAGGGACCTCATGCCCTTTAGAAGACATTGTGCCCCCTCCTGCATTCAGATTATTGTTATATAACATTTCTGTCCAGTCTCATCGAGATTGTTTGTAATTTTTCTTCACTGTTTTGTTCGGTTTTGCACTTATTTGATTCTCTTAGTATGTTTTAATGTTTTCTCATCTGGCTCAAAACACATTTTCTTTCCATTCCATCAGAAGTTTCACATGCTTATGTAATACTTTTGAAACTTCATTTAATTTTATTTGCCTGATTTGAGTTGTCAAAATATTCTAGATTCTTTTCATATTGTTCCTGACTGGCAGGGCGACAATGAAACAGAATGACATGCCATTGGTGTTGCATATCCCTTGGGTCTTTGGCTCCACAGATGACACTAAAGTCAAGCTAATGAAAGTAAGGAAAAATAACCAACTAGAATCCCTCCACACAGATATTTCTACCATTGACTTTGAGCATGTTCACTTCCAGTTTTCTAAGCCTGCAGTGTTCCAGGGCTCAGTTCTTGGACTCTTTTTTTTCCTATTTATGGTTGTATATTTTCCTACTTACACTGGCATTCTCGGTGATCCCATTTGGTCCCATAACTTTGAATGCCACTTGCGTGCTGAAGATGACCACGCTTATATTTCCTAGTATGAACTTCCCTCCTAGACTCTAGCCTATTAGGATGTAACTGTTTCCTTGACTGCTTCACTTGGGTGTCTAGAATCTGATGACTTCTTACATGTCACTCCCCCACCTTCATTTGCTTCCCTTTCCAGCCCCCCATCCTTTGCCTTCATCATCTCTGCACTGGATGCAATGGCCTCCCTGCTTCTTCCCTTGACCCCCACCAGTAGCCAGAGTGAGGCTGTTAATGTCAGTATGTCATAATGTCATCCTCTTTTCAAAACTCTGCAATGTGCCTCCCCCACCCCACCCCCATTTTACTCAGAGAACAAGCCAAACCCCTTACTGTGGCCTTTACGCTCTTTCCTCATTACCTCTCCAAGCTCCTTTCTTGTTCTTACTGCTGAAACCTTCAATCACTCTGTTCTAGTCACCTGGATTCACTATGTTCTTCTAGTTTACCAGGCTCATTCCTATGGGTAGGTTTCTCCCAGAAGCAGACAGACTCTAAGACAGGGTAAATGCAACTAGTTTATTTCAAAGGTGATGCCAAATTAAAACTGGGAGAGAGACTAGGAGTCAGGTATAGAAAGGAAGCTGACACAAGATAGACTTAGGCTGTAGGCAGGTGGGTCCAATCCCACTTAAGAACCCTGACCTTGCTACTTAAGGTGTGGTCTGTGAACCAGCATGATGCTATCACCTGGGAGTTTGTTAAAATGAGATTCAGGCCCCACCCCAGACCTACTTAATCAAAATCTTGTTAAAATTTTAACAAGGGCTTCAGGTGATTCTTACACCCTAATTAATGTTTGAGAAACACTCTCTAGGGGACAGTGTGGAACATGTCTCTGTGTTATCCTACACAGGCTGGGAAAGCTGGGGGTATTTTTCAACAACTCCCTAGCTGTCATTGGTTGAGTTTTGCTTCCAGGGCTATTAACTTCCAGCTTGCCCCAAGTACTGGCTTAGGATGCTCTTTGGCCTGAAAATAAAGGCCTGCTGGAAGTGAGTCACAGGTGTTTGCAGTAAACTGTCTTCAGGTGTGTAGAGGTGAGCACCCAGAATATGCCTATGGTACTAACAGTGTCTGCAACTGAGCCTTTGCTGTAGCTGTTCTCTCAGCCTGAAATGTTCTTGCCTCAGGTATTCACTTGGCTAAATCCTCTACCTCCTCCCAGTCTTTACTCAGATCATACTGTCTCAGTGAGACTTATCTGTATTTAACTTTGCAACCTGCATGCACCAACCCAGCATACCCAATTCCCCTCACTCTGCTCTGTTCTCTTTGTAATTGCACTTAGCCTTTGAATTCACTGCATAATTTATCCACTTAATATACTCATTGTTTACCTGCTTCCATGGAAAGTTAGCTACACCAGAGCAGCAGACTTTGTCTGTTTTGCTTATTAATGGATAACGTAGAGGAGCTCTTTAATGTTTGTTAAATGAATACCTTTCTATATTTTAAAATATAAGATGGTAGTATATATAAAACTTTGTATCCTGCATTTGGCTTAGCATATGTCACAAATATTTCCCATATCATAAAAATCCTTAAATATCATTTTAATTGGTAGTCAAATATTTCATTGTCTCTACAAATTATAATTAAACACTCTCATAACACTTGGCATATTTTCTATTTTCTTTTTGTGATTATAAATAACACTTCTCTGTATATAAATCTGTTTCATTTTAAATATTATTTCTTTAGAATAAATGCGTAGAAGTCAAAATATTAAAGACTAAAAATGACTGTCAAGACTCAGAGAGATACATAAGAAATTGTCTTTTGGAAATATTGTTCCCATATACCTCTAACCAGCAATGAATAGACATGCCTGGAACACCATACTCTTTTCATCAACCCAAAGCTACATAGCATAGTAGTTAAGAGCATGATTCGGAGATAATTGTCTTGGATTTAATACCAGCTCTCTGATTTATGAGTTGTGTGACATTGGCCAAGTTGCTTATCTTTTCCTCACTTTGTTCATTTGTCAAATGAGAATAATGAAAATAATATTACCTCATGGGGTTGTTGTGAAGATTAAATTACTTAGTATAGATAAAGATGGATATCTGGTACATAATAAATGCTATGTAACTGTTAGCTAATACCATATTGAGACATTTTAAAATTGATAAAGTAATAAATAGTACTTTGTTTTTACTTTATTTGCGTTTTGAAGTTGGGGGTATAGTGCCGTCAGTGATGAAGAGGATTAGTTGATAAGATTTGTGTAATGTTTCACAATCCGATCGAGTACATCTCAACTTAGCATGATGGTGCTGAGGCTTGGCATTCCAGGTTGAGCATTCCTAATCTGAATATTTGAAATATGAAACATTGTGAGCACCAACAAGATGCTGCGATTTTTAAATTTGGGGTGCTTAACTGGCATATAATGCAAATATTCTGAAATCGGAAAATATTAGAAGTGGAAAACACTTCTTTTCCCAAGATAAGGAATACTCAACCTCTATAAAATATCACAATACTTCAGAATCAGGTTTTGGAGCCCTAGATCAAATAATTGTCAGAAAAATCTTATTTTTGACATAAAGCATGAAATGAAAATACATAGGGATTTATCACTGATGAATTTTGAGCTTATCATTGAAAATGTGAGTCCGTAGGGATAACTTCAATAGTGACTTTTCAACCGGAACACACCTGCAGGTTTAGGCAAATGGGTAAATATACTGATACTGCTAAGAACAAAAGTTATCCCTATGAAAGAGGAAAGATACAAATACAAAATAGGGGAAGTGAAGAATCTTATATTCCAGTGGAGGACAACTGATAGATGGTAACCACATGTCACCTGGTTATTTGTCATTCATTAACTTAGTGGCTTAGAAACCACTTACTGAGGCCGGGTGTGGTGGGTCACGCCTGTAATCCCAGCACTTTGGGAGGCTGAGGCGGGCGGATCACAAGGTCAGGAGATCGAGACCATCCTGGCTAACAGGGTGAAACCCCGTCTCTACTAAAAATGCAAGAAATTAGCCGGGCATGGTGGTGGGTGCCTGTGGTACCAGCTACTCGGGAGGCTGAAGTAGGAGAATGGCGTGAACCCGGGAGGTGGAACTTGCAGTGAGCCGAGATCGTGCCACTGCACTCCAGCCTGGGTGACAGAGCGAGACTCTGTCTCAGAAAAGAAAAAGAAAAAGAAAAAGAAACCACTTACTGAGAATCTACTGCGCATAACATTGAGCATCAATGTTACGAAAGTACGACAAAATGAGTCTATCACACTTCTTGTCCTTAAGAAGCCCACTAGATGCTCCCTATTCAGCCTGGAAACATGACTGCTGCTCTATAAGGAAAGGCTTATAACATGTTCTTGCCTCAGAACAATGATGGCTTCATCCCAGGACTCTACTAAAATAAGCTTATGGTAAATTTACCTTATATGTGGATGGGTTTTGAAATCATACATTTTTAAAACCATATATTTTTTTTCACAAAGTGGCTAAAATAATTCTGGACATGGAAATTTATTTTAATGCATTTATGCAATAAAGGAGGCAGCCTTGAGCAACATGTCAATTTCATCAGGAGATCACTATGCAACAGACAGAGAATTTGGGCAACATTTACACTGCAATTTCTGGAGATATTAAGCCAGCAGATACAGGAACATGTGTCACTTCATGTATGCCTTGCTAATTAAATGTACATGGACTTTGAATTTTGAAGCCCAGTCAAAGTTTCCCAGTTCTCTTTTAGCAGCCGTTTATTTTTACTCTGGATTTGGTCAGATGTAGAAACCACAGAAATGGAGGCTGTAGGATTCTGTCTTCTCTAAGCAAGTTTGTGCTTTTTTCCTCTGGCTTTCCTCTTAGGTAGGAGCAAAGATGTATGACAGAGGAGTTTGTAAACATCCAGCCATTTGGGGTGATTCATTTGGTTCTTGTCAAGGGAAACAGGTTTCTACTCTTGCCACAATTTCTATGCAATCTTGTATTAGTTAATGTGTAGACAACCAGAACTTGGGATACCCTATTTTGGGATGATGTTTTGTCCCTCAGTGGGGTGTCCTACTCTTTTCATCTATTCTGTGCCATCATATGACTTCATTTACATACTCTTGGGTCCTGGTTTGATAGATGGCTCTATTGACAGGTGGCATTATTAAAGACCATTTCCCTTTGGGCCTTGTATCACTCACAGCTTAGGCTTTAATTTCAGAATAAGTTTTTCCTATTACAACTTTATCAAAATAAATTTACGTAATATAAAATCCACCCTTTTAAAGTGTAAATAAAATTCAATAATTTTTAGCATATTTAGAGATGTACAACCATCACCATAATCTAATTTTGGAACTTTTGTCACCCCAAAAAGAAACCCCATGTTTATTGTCGTCACTCTCTTTTTCCCCTGCCCCCAGCCTCTGGCAACCACTAATCTACCTTCTGTCCCTGTGGAGTTGCCTTTTCTGAACCTTTCATATAAATGGAATAATGTAAGATGTAGCCTTTTGCATCTGATTTCTTTTACATATTATAATGTTTTCAAGGTTTCTCTATGTTGTAGCACATAACAGTAACTTCATTCCTTTTTGTGCCTGAGCAGTATTTCATATTATGGATATACCACACTTGTCTATCCATTCATCCCTCTATATGCTGATTGGAAAAAGCTATTTCCACTTTTTGGCTATTGTGAATGCGGCTATGAATATTTGTGTACAGGTTTTTATGATAACATATATTTAAAGTTTCCTTGGATGTAGATCTAGAGGTAGGATTACTTGGTTCAGTGGAACTCTTTGTTTAACTGTTTGAAGAATTTCCCAACTGTTTTCCAAAGTGGCTGCACAACCTGACAATCCCACCAGCAATGTGGCAGGCGGGGTGGGGGGTGTGGGGGAGTTCCACTTTCTCCACATTCTCACCAACACTTGTTATTACCTGACTTTTTTGTTATACTCATCCTGTTCGTGGTGAGGTGGTATCTCATTGTGATATTTTTTAAAATAAATTTTATTGTGCATATTTGAGGTTTACAACATGATGTTATCAGATACATATAGATAGTAAAATTGTTATTATAGTCAAGCAGATTAACATATCCATCATCTCGTGTAGCTGCTAGTTTAAATTTGCCTTTCTCTAATTACTAAGGGTGTTTTTCCGTGTGCTTATTGGCCATTTGTATATCTTCTTTGGAGCAAAATATATATTCGAATTATTTGCCCAGTTTTTAGTTTGGTTATTTTTTCTTTTTATTGTTGAATTGTATGATATTTTTATATATTCTAGTTACAAGTCCCTTATGCCATATGTGATTTAAAATATTTTCTCTCAATCTGTGAGTTGTCTTTTCATTTTCTTGATGGCGTCCTTTGAAACACAAAAATTTTAAATTTTGATGGAGTGTAAATTATCAATTTTTTCTTTTTTTGCTTGTGTTTTTGGTATCATAGCTAACCATTGCCAAATCCAAAGTCATGAAGAGCTATTTATATGTTTTCTTCTAAGAGTTTTATTTAGTTTTCAGATTTGTTTTGAGTTAATTTTTGCATATGGTATAAAACAGGGGTTTAGTTTCATTCTTTTTTATGTGGATATCTAGTTGTCTAGCAACATTTGTTGAAAAGATTTTTCTGTTCCCCATTGAATTTGTTTAACAACCCTGTTAAAAATTCAGAATACTTTTAACCTACACATTTTTCTTAAAAGATATTTATTGGTGAATTTCCATCTTTTTTTTCCCCTGAATAATACAATTGCTCTCTTCAGTATAAATTTTATATATAAGCATTGATGCCCATAAATTTTTCAGAGCACCTGTTCTTAACTGGAGGTGGAATTATTACCATGTGTGGTGGGGCCTCTGACCAGTGGGAGGTCGCAGTACTTTTTCCTGCCACTCTAGATGAACTGATTCTGTGGTGAGTCATACCAATGGGGAGAGTAGGAGTAGCTAATACAACCTGACTGCCTGGCTGAAATCTGTTTTTCTTAACCATACACCTGAGGTGTTTACTGAACAAAGAGTAAGTTATTTTAGTAAATAAATAATCTCTGGGGAAATACTTCGAGATTCTGAGAATATCCTATTTTTCATCAGTCTTCTACAAACTAGCTTTAGCATCCATTGATAATTCTTGCTTGAATTGATAATTACCATCAAGTTTGCAAAATGATGGTTTTTCTAATTCTATCAGTCTTTTTACATGTATTAATTGGCACTCTTCTATAAAGAAGATTTTATCATCTCCTTTAATTCTCTTTTTAAAATTTATTGTAGTATCAGTATAGATTCCAGATTCATTCGGTATTCAATATTCTCATCCATTTCTATCATTTCTCACTTTGATATTCAGTTGTCTCAAGTTTGCTGTTTTTTTAACCCAACAATCTATCTTAGAGATTACTTCAGTACTTTATGGAGATCTTTGTCATTGTCTTTATTGCTACATAATACCCCTTTCTGTGGATGTAACAAAGTTTAATCCTGCCAATATCTTGTGAATTGGTGTCTAATAACTTACCACAACAATGAATAGCACTGTAGATGTATTTTTCTATGAGGCGTGTCATCAGAGTAAATACCTAGGGATTTCTGGGTCAGTGTATGAATAGGCTTGTTAGGTTTAGCAATTATTCTCCATAGGGATTACATCATTCTGGATTGCCATTAGTAATATATGAGTATGCTTGTTTTTCCAGAGTCTCATCAACAATGTATATTGTCAAACTTCTATATTTTTGCCACTCAATTGACATATTTCAACGTAATTTTAATTTGCATTTATTTTATTGTGAATGAAATCAATAATCTTTTCATATGTTTAAAGATTTTATATTTGTCTTATTCCAAACCACCAGTGTATATAGTTTTGTTCATTTTTCTAGTGGGTTTTTTCCTTCAAACTTTAAAAATATTTTTATATTGGCTATTAGCCTTTTTTGTTGTTGTTCTAGAACATAGACACTTTTTTTTACTTTTTTATTGTGGTAAAATATATATAACAAAACTCTTTTAACCATTTTTTAATTTTTAAGCTTTTCATTGAAATATAACAATATAGAAAATATATAAACAGTACAACTTATAAGTACACTGCTCAATCAGATTTCATAAACTGAGTACAAGTACACTCTTGTACCCAGTATCTGGGTCAAGAGCAGAATATTCCAACATTCCAGAAAAGAAAAGAAACATGTTAAAAATAAAAGATTTCTATTAAAAAAAAACTAGACATAGTAATTCAGATAGGGGTAAGAGACACAATCCCTTTATCCCTTTATACGCATGTAACATATTTATATGTAATTCCATATATACACATAAACGCACTCTATAATGTACAATGTCCAAAAATGGGTTCACATAAGATTTTCTAAGCGGTATTTATTTTTTAAAAAGTTACGTGGTAATAATTTGGAGACAGATGATTAAGACTAGTCAAACAGGTTTATCATTTAAGAAGATTTTCACAAATTCAGACTTCAGGGCCTATTGCCTGACCATCTCAAGTCAGGAAAGGAGTGAGGAGAAGCCTTCTTACCCATTTTAGGTACATTTTTAAAATTATGATAAAATATACATAACAAAATTTACCATTTTAACCACGTTTATGGGTACAATTCAGTGGCATTAACATTCAGAATGTTGAGCAACCATCATTACCATTCATTTTCAGAATTTGTTCATCCCAAGCAGAAGCTATGTACCCGTTAATCAATAGCCAACCCCTACCCTTCCTTCTCCCCACCTGTCTCTGGTAAACACTGTTCTCCTTTCTATATGATCTTGCCTATGCTAGTACCTCATATAAGTGGTATCATAATTGATCTTTTGTGTCTGGCTTATGTCACTAAGCATAGGTTTTCAAGGTTTATCCTGTTGTAGCATTTATCAGAATTTCATCCCTTTTTAAGGCTAAATAATATTCCATTGTATGTATTGTACCACATTTGTTTATCCATTCACGATAGATATTTGAGTTGTTTCCGCCTTTTGCTATTCAAGTAATGCTGCTGTGAACTTTGGCTTATAAGTATCTGCTTTTTAAACATTTGCGCAAATCCATCCTCAAGTATTTTTGTTCTATAAATAAACTTTTCGAGGCATTTCACAATTTAGAGGTCAAATAGAAATTAATAATAACATACATTTTTAAATAGTTCAATGTTTTATTATCAGCATTCATATTTTTTCAGGCTGAAGATTCAGGGATGAAATAATGGGCAAAAAACTGAAATATAATTAACACTACACAGGCATATCGTAAGTATACCGTAATATTTTGCTAATTATTGGTTTAGAAAAATATAAAACCAAGAAGTACATAAATTACTTTGTTTTTCATCTTTCTGAATGTACTTTTACGTTAAATACACAGCAAGTGCTTATACTTATTTAAAGGTAATCCTTTTTTTATCAGCCAAAACATGCTTATCCTTAGTTAATCAGAATTCATTTCAAAATACAAAACTTCTTAAATATAAGCATGGCATGTAGGGCTTTAGACCCATACTCTTACTGGATTGGCTGCTTGATGATTGTTCTCCTTCTTTTGTAATTTCAATCTCAATTTTGGCTTTGATTTTTCTCTCAATCTATTTGGAGACCTTCTGCATACTGCAAGTATTGTTTATGTTTCCTCTTTACCAAATGTCTCCAAAAACTTTTCTTTTGACAGTAAGCAACAACCGTATCAACATGTGTTTTGTATTTTGCAGCCAATTCCAGTGCCCTTTTCAGTTGTAGAGATTAATATTGATCTGGATTGCTTGATAATGAGGCCAGCCTGAAGAAGTGCTATTTCAGCCTCCTGTATGTTTCCACTAAACCTTAGTATGTGGGCCATTTTTTGACTCTTTAAATGGAAGACTTTTTATAGAATTGATGTACTGAAACTTATCAATTTCGCCAATTGCTGCATAGCCTATTTCTGTCATAGTAATATTTTGATTAGCAACTGCCATAGCAGCTAGACAAGCTCACATTGTTTGCTCCTCAACAAAGCAGCAAAGTCTTACATCATCTTCCCATTTTGAACTGCCTCCATATTCAGGGAGAATAACAGGATATGGTGATACACTGATGTGAACCAGAGGGCCGTTAACTCTTGTTATAGTTACCTGATTTCCAACAAAACTCACAATTTGGGAATTTTTACTGAATTCGTTTGTATCCCTTTCACGTAATGTTTTAGGCAAAGTGTCACTGTCCACATAAACCATATTGGAATAATACCACACTGTAAATTGAGTATCTTGAAGCCTGCAAAGGACATTGCATGTATCACTCCAGGCCAAAGTATGCACCATTGTTCCAAGTTTGAGAATTTTTTCTTCCTTCCCAAATCGTTTCACAGAAGTGATATAGATATCTCTATTTTTATCAATGAAAGTGACTTTTCTATCATTGGTAAGTCCTTTTTGATCCAGAGCAATTTTCAAGATTGCATCCTTACGAGGAAGAAGCTTTCCATCATCTAATAGTTTTCCAGTTGATACCTTGAAGAAAAAGATTATTTTTTCATCAGCTTTGTCTCATTGCTATGGTATCATTACTCAGAGACACAGTCTGTGCATTCAGAATATGTGTTCTCACTGCAGGAAATTTTGGAGATGAAATAAAGGGCCCTTCATATGAATATAAATCGATACTACTAACATCTACAAGAAGAAAATGTCTTTCTGCCTGCAGGATAAAACTAACAGTTCCTTCTTTGAGATCAAATATAATTGGTGTATTCCAGTTCTTTGTGGAGACCACATAACATTGAAGAGACATTGAAACAACTAAGTGTGCAGAGTTCAAAGATACTTTAGTGGCCATGATGGAATTCCAATAAGTTCACTGCATCATTAAGAATGTTACGAACCTGTATGGTCCTTCTTTTAGTTAATATTACTTGAAACTTTTTCCACTCCCAGTGTTTTTCCACCACAGGTGCAAAAACAACATGCCCAATTCCACACACTCCAGCAGTCTGAGTGCCGTCAGTTGACCACGCAATATTAAATATGCTACCAGTGTTTTTCTAAAGCATGTGATCACCCAGTTTTATTACGTAAGTGTAAAGTATGAAATAATCCAATAGCAAACAATTCTCCATCTGGAGCCCAGGCAACTAAAGTAATAGGATGCTCATGAGATTGTGAATTGTACAGTGGGTGGCTGTAACTATCCCATGCCTTATATTTACAGTCTTCACCAGCAGATAAGATTATTGACTGAGTTCCAATCTATTTTTAAAATGATGCCATCATAAGCCTTCTGTAAAACTTTAGCATTTGATCGAAGAGGTTTCTTTTTGTGAGACAGAGTCTCACTCTGTCTCCCAGGCAAGAGTGCAGTGGCGTGACCTCGGCTCACTGCAACCTCCGCCTCCCAGGTTCAAGCAATTCTCCTGCCTCAGCCTCCCAAGTAGCTGCGATTACAGGCGCCCGCCACCACGCCCGGCTATTTTTTTGTATTTTTAGTAGAGACAGGGGTTTCACCATGTTGGCCAGGCTAGTTTTGAACTCCTGACCTCAGGTGATCCACCCACCTCAGCCTCCCAAAGTTCTGGTATTACAGGCGTGAGCCACTGTGTCGGCCACTGAAGAGGTTTAATGATTAGCTGCTTGCCTGCTGTATAAAGAACATTTTCTGAATCAGGACCCCACACTACTGAATACCATTCCTCAGAAGGCACTCCTCCTTTTTCTGTACTTGATAAGTATATTTTCTGGGAATATTCTCTGGGAGTAGTCAGGAGCTGACCTGGGCTTGCTGAGCTAAAGTTGATCTAAGCATCCAAGTCTTTGACCAAATTTTTATTTGTCCACCTTCTCCAATTGTAACTAATGCTGTTGCTTCATCATTCTATCTTCCTGCAAGTATTCTCCAGAGTGAGCTGCTACACTTTTTTCCACTCTTTCTAACTTGGAAATCAAATTAAATTTATCATCAGAACTTATGAGGACAAAGCTTTCTGCTTGAATTTGTCTCTTATACTCAAACTCTTTGGAAACCGGTGAAGATCTATAGGGTAAATATCATCAGGAAGCTTTACTATTTGAGTTGTTCCACTAGTGAACAAGTTCCTCTTCACTATCTGGTGATCATCACTATATGAATACAGCCCTTCAGCAGTAGTCCAGCCTACACAGCTTACTAATTCTTGATGCTTTGGTTCTCTTAAAAGAGATATCTTCAGTCTCATGACTCCACTTCCAGCAAAAATTTAAAATGCCACTTGATTGTATTTACTCAAGTTCCAGGAAAGCAGTGGCAATTGCTTTCATATAGCTGGTACCAGTTACCAAGAAGCCTCTCGATCTCCTGGTCACCATAGTGACTTCTTGACTATTAGTCTTTTAACTATGATGTATGTTGCAAACATTTTCTCCCAGATTTTTATACTCTTTTATTGTGATTTTCTTTTTTGCCTTATAGAAAATTCATTTTTATAGAGCCACATTTATCAATCTTTTATTGCATCTGTATTTTAGACATAGAAAGGTTTTCCCCACACTCAGGTTATAAAGGAATGGATCCAACTTTTTTTTCTAATATTTTTATAACTTCATGTATTTCATTTGTATTCTTGATGCATTTGGAGTTTATTCTGACATATGGTATAAGGAATGGATGCAATTTCATCATTTTCCAAATGATTATAGAGTGTCTTGACACTCATTATTTAAAAAGTGTACTTTTTTTATCTGGTGGATTGAGTTGACATTTATATAATATACAAACTTCTATTTGTATTTGGGTTTTTTTTCCTGGACTTCCTAATTTTTTCCCCACTGCTTAGTCTCTCTATTCAATGTACTATATCACAGTCTTTCAAATATAGAGACTTTAGTACATATTTCAGTATCTGGTAACACTAGCTGCTGATCAGATAGCTGTGGTTCTATGATGGATATGATTTTTCATTTTCTAACTTCATTCCGTATGTTTCTGTTATACAGACTTTATTTATTTATTTATTTATTTATTTATTTTAATCAGGTGAATTTATCTGCTGGCATTCGTGTTTTCCAGGGCCTGAAGAAAGTGGATTGAGCTCGTTTAAGGACTATACTCCATTCTTTCTTTCTTTTTTTTTTTATTATACTTTAAGTTTTTGGGTACATGTGCACATTGTGCAGGTTAGTTACATATGTATACATGTGCCATGCTGGTGCGCTGCACCCACTAACTCGTCATCTAGCATTAGGTATATCTCCCAATGCTATCCCTCCCCCCTCCCTCCACCCCACCACAGTCCCCAGAGTGTGATATTCCCCTTCCTGTGTCCATGTGATCTCATTGTTCAATTCCCACCTATGAGTGAGAATATGCGGTGTTTGGTTTTTTGTTCTTGCGATAGTTTACTGAGAATGATGATTTCCAATTTCATCCATGTCCCTACAAAGGACATGAACTCATCATTTTTTATGGCTACATAGTATTCCATGGTGTATATGTGCCACATTTTCTTAATCCAGTCTATCATTGTTGGACATTTGGGTTGGTTCCAAGTCTTTGCTATTGTGAATAATGCCGCAATAAACATACGTGTGCATGTGTCTTTATAGCAGCATGATTTATAGTCCTTTGGGTATATACCCAGTAATGGGATGGCTGGGTCAAATGGTATTTGTAGTTCTAGATCCCTGAGGAATCGCCACACTGACTTCCACAATGGTTGAACTAGTTTACAGTCCCACCAACAGTGTAAAAGTGTTCCTATTTCTCCACATCCTCTCCAGCACCTGTTGTTTCCTGACTTTTTAATGATTGCCATTCTAACTGGTGTGAGATGGTATCTCATTGTGGTTTTGATTTGCATTTCTCTGATGGCCAGACTTTAAATCTCACTTGCTGACTTTGAAAATTTTTGTTGGTATTTTACAGAGGTTGTAATAAACACATGGATTGAATGATAAATGACATGTTTATGGTGTTGAAGTGTTTTATCCACGAAGAAAGGATGGCTTTCCAGTTGTTAAAACCTATCTTAAGTTTTTAATATTCAACTCTTTATGTGCTTAAATTTGTTTTATAAGTTGTTTCCTTCCTGGGTTGTAAAGGTTGTGCTTTAATCATTTATGTATTTATTTAGTTAGTTAGTTTGCTTTCACTTGTCACCTCGAACAATGTCTTTAATATAGTTGTTAATTTGATTTTATAAGTATCCAGTGACAGAAATAGTACTCAGTGATGTGGTTACTATCCAGCTAAAAGGATATAGAAAAGTATTAGGTTGGTTGTAATGGCAAAAATCCACAATTACTTTGCACCAACTTAATAAATTTAGAAATCCAGTTGACTCTTAAATTTTCTTATTATTGTTATTATCTTTTAAGATGGAGTCTGACTCTGTTGCCCAGGCTGGAGTACAGTGGCAGTGGTGTGATCTCGACCCACTGCAACTTCTGCCATCCATGTTCAAATAATTCTCCTGGCTCAGCTTCCTGATAGAAGGGACTACAGGTGTGCACCACTACAGGTGTGCGCCACCACACCTGGCCAATTTATTTTTTATTTTTTATTTTTTATTTTTAGTAGACATCTGGTTTCACCATGTTGTTCAGGCTGGTCTCGAACTCCTGACCTCAAGTGATACACTCACCTCAGCCTCCGAAAGTGTTGGGATTACAGGCATAAGCCACCATGCCCAGCCTAAATTTTCTTATTCTTAACTCAGAATGTGTTCTAGAACTTTGAAACTGATTTTGCAAAAATACGAATGTAAATTCCACAGTTAACAAATAACCTGAGTGTCGCATTATTTATAAAGCTTTCTGTGACATGCTTCCCTGCCTACCTATATATTTTTTAATTTATGGTTTTTATTGGCTGTATATTAGATACATATATTTATGGGGTACATGGCATATTTTGATACAGACATACGATGTGTAACAATTGCATCAGGGTGAATGGGGTGTCCATCACCTCAATAATTTATCCTTTCTTTGTGTTACAAACAATCCAATTATACTCTTTTACTTATTTTTAAATGTACAATAAGTTAGTGTTGACTGTAGTCCCTTTGTTGTGCTATCAAATACTAGATCTTATTTATTCTAAGTTTATTTCTGGACCCATTAACCATCCCCACATCCCCTTTCCTACCCCCAACTACCCTTCCTAGCTTCTGGTAACCACCGTCTACTCTCTATCTCCATGCGTTCAATTGTTTGAATTTTTAGCTCCCATAAATAAATGAGAATATGTGAAGTTTGTTTTTCTGTGCCTGGCTTATTTCACTTAACATAGTGACTTTCAGTTCTATTCATGTTGTTGCAAATGACAGGATCTCATTCTTTTTTATAGCTGAATAGTGCTCCCACTTTTCTTCATCCATTCGTCTGATGATAGACACTTAGGTTGCTTCCAAATCTTGGCTATTGTGAATAGTGCTGCAGTAAACATGGGAGTGCAGATATCTCTTAAGTATACTGGTTTCCTTTCTTTGGGCATATACCTAGCAGGGGGATTGCTGGAGTATATCATAGCTCTATTTTTAGCTTTGAGGAACCTCCAAACTGTTCTCCATGATGGTTGCACTAATTTATGCCTACCTATCATTTGACTGTTCTTTCTCTGCATCTCCATGTACCACATAGATGGTTCTGTATTAGTATCCATCCCACTCTAGTGCTCTTGTCAATCTCTCCCTCTTAGACTGTAAGCTCATTGGAGGTATTGACTGTGACTGATTTGTCTATGCATCCTGCTATCATAATACCTATCTTAAGGCTGCCCTCGTTAAATTGTCACAGGATGATTTCCTGCTAACAGAATTTTGTGAATAGAATTAAATGTTATGAATCTAGAATTTTATACTGTAAAAACATGCTGATATACCATTGCAGAATCAAGAAGATAGGATCATTAAGCTGGATGTTCAGCATCTACTTGCCATTTATAATTTAAATATGGGAATGTGACCCAAATTTGAAGGATTTTCTTCACTCCTTAAGAACTTCCCACTTTCTCTACTGGTTTTATAATGTACTATGTTGACTATTTTCAACTATAAAGGCATATCACAGTATCAATTATTTGCATTAAACCTGTATTTTCTGTCTATACCCTGCCAAGTAAATGAGAGCCCAAATGACATTTTCACGAACATATTTATTTTTTGTTTTTATTTTTTTTTGTTTGTTTTCTCTTGCTGACCCTTAATGAAGGCTAGGCAAAAATGGAGTCGACTTTGATGCAGTCAATTTTAATTTTTGCTTAGTGCTCATGAAGTCTGCTGCCCAGTGAGTTGTATCATCTGCATTGTTGTAACATCTGAATCAACTGTGGCCTACACTGTTTGATCAGGATGACAAAATTGCTTTATTTATTCTTCTTTTACAGTTATAGCCTGCAGATAAATAGGCATTATTATAGGGGTCAAGCTTGATCATGCTGCTTGTTATATTACAAGATTTTCTCTGTGACTACAATGGCAAATTGATTAGATAAAACTTATTAACATGCAATGCCAAATAATTGATTTATTATACTAAAATACCTCTCATGCCTAAATCAGTTACAATAACTCATTTTTAGTATGGAAAAATCATGCTTATGCATTTTGGGGTTTCCCTGAACACTAAATTAGCTACTTAGGAATTTGTCCTTGCCAACTCAATTATCATATCATATCATTAGTCTTGTCTTCTTTTCTGTCATTTCTCTAGTAAAGTTACATCAGACTAATAATTCAAGTATACTGTGGTGAGTGCTTACCTTGAAAAAATATATTTCTTGAGATTCTATTTTTTATTTAAATATTCTTTTTATATGCACTGCTACAAAACAAGCAAGTGCTATTGTTGTACTGACAACAGAGATTTATTTAGCCCCTCCAGCTGATCAACTGAGGGATTTTAGTTTGTAGCCATGTCTAGACAAAATGCAAATGTGAGTATTTGATGCTTTTTCTTACCATCAGTATGCATTTGGAAAGTGTTAAGCATTACTTCTCCGGGTTGTTTCATAGAACTAATTATCAAGATTTCAAAGACATCTTTGCATAGATGGTGTTTTATTTTTTTGGAATAAATTTATCCCTACATTTGTTTTCTAGAAAGACATTGATAGAGTCATTCTCATAACAGGATGGGATGGAATTAAGGTAACACTAATAGGGAATGAAAGGTCATGAAACTAAAATATATGTTTTGCGTCCAATGGGTACATTTATCATTGACAGCTGGAAATTTCAGGACACCTGATGATGAAAGAAGAAAAATACTCAAAATGACTGCAAGAGAGTTGTGGGTACTCTCTTCACATCTACTGGATACCTTCCATTAGCTTCTGTGCTTCTCCGCATGATTTCTCTGATTACAAGAGCATGTAAGTCCCAATTGAGTACAAGCAAAAAAATGTCAAGAAATTAACATCCAGCTGAGGAACGCAGCTCCTCACCAGCAACGGAACAAAGCTGGACGGAGAATGACTTTGACGAGTTGAGAGAGGAAGGCTTCAGAAGCTCAAACTACTCCGAGCTAAAGGAGGAAGTTTGAACCAATGGCAAAGAAGTTAAAAACTTTGAAAAAAAATTAGACGAATGGATAACTAGAATAACCAATGCAGAGAAGTCCTTAAAGGACCTGATGGATCAGAAAACCATGGCACGAGACCTACGTGACGAATGCACAAGCCTCAGTAACCGATGCGATCAACTGGAAGAAAGGGTATCAGCAATGGAAGACGAAATGAATGAAATGAAGCATGAAGAGAAGTTTAGAGAAAAAAGAATAAAAAGAAATGCACAAAGCCTCCAAGAAATATGGGACTATGTGAAAAGACCAAATCTACATCTAATTGGTGTACCTGAAAGTGATGGGGAGAATGGAACCAAGTTGGAAAACATTCTGCAGGATATTATCCAGGAGAACTTCCCCAATCTAACAAGGCAGGCCAACATTCAAATTCAGGAAATACAGAGAACGCCACAAAGATACTCCTCGACAAGAGCAACTCCAAGACACATAATTGTCAGATTCACCAAAGTTGAAATGAAGGAAAAAATGTTAAGGGCAGCCAGAGAGAAAGGTCGGGTTACCCAGAAAGGGAAGCCCATCAGACTAACAGCTGATCTCTCGGCAGAAACTCTACAAGCCAGAAGAGAGTGGGGCCCAATATTAAACATTCTTAAAGAAAAGAATTTTCAACCCAGAGTTTCATATCCAGCCAAACTAAGCTTCATAAGTGAAGGAGAAATAAAATCCTTTACAGACAAGCAAATGCTGAGAGATTTCGTCACCACCAGGCCTGCCCTACAAGAGCTCCTGAAGGAAGCACTAAATATAGAAAGGAACAACTGGTACCAGCCACTGCCAAAACATGCCAAATTGTAAAGACCATCAAGGCTAGGAAGAAACTGCATCAACTAATGAGCAAAATAACCAGCTAACATCATAATGACAGGATCAAATTCACACATAACAATACTAATCTTAAATGTAAATGGGCTAAATGCTCCAATTCAAAGGCACAGACTGGCAAATTGATTAAAGAGTCAAGACCCATCGATGTGCTGTATTCAGGAAACCCATCTCACGTGCAGAGACACACATAGGCTCAAAATAAAGGGATGGAGGAAGATCTACCAAGCAAATGGAAAACAAAAAAAGGCAGGGATTGCAATCCTAGTCTCAGATAAAACAGACTTTAAACCAACAAAGATCAAAAGAGACAAAGAAGGCCATTACATAATGGTAAAGGGATCAATTCAACAAGAAGAGCTAACTATCCTAAATATATATGCACCCAATACAGGAGCACCCAGATTCATAAAGCAAGTCCTGAGTGACCTACAAAGAGACTTAGACTCCCACACAATAATAATGGGAGACTTTAACACCCCACTGTCAACATTAGACAGATCAACAAGACAGAAAGTTAACCAGGATATCCAGGAATTGAACTCAGCTCTGCACCAAGTGGACCTAATAGACATCTACAGAGCTCTCCACCCCAAATCAACAGAATATACATTCTTTTCAGCACCACACCACACCTATTCCAAAATTGACCACACAGTTGGAAGTAAAGCACTCCTCAGAAAATGTAAAAGAATAGAAATTATAACAAACTGTCTCTCAGACCACAGTGCAATCAAACTAGAGCTCAGGATTAAGAAACTCACTGAAAACCACTCAACTACATGGAAACTGAACAACCTGCTCCTGAATGACTACTGGGTACATAACGAAACGAAGGCAGAAATAAAGATGTTCTTTGAAACCAACAAGAACAAAGACACAACATACCAGAATCCCTGGGACTCATTCAGAGCAGTGTGTAGAGGGAAATTTATAGCATTAAATGCCCAGAAGAGAAAGCAGGAAAGATCTAAAATTGACACCCTAACATCAGAATTAAAAGAAGTAGAGAACCAAGAGCAAACACATTCAAAAGCTAGCAGAAGGCAAGAAATAACTAAGATCAGAGCAGAACTGAAGGAAATAGAGACACAAAAAACCCTTCAAAAAATCAATGAATCCAGGAGCTGTTTTTTTGAAAAGATCAACAAAACTGATAGACAACTAGCAAGACTAATAAAGAAGAAAAGAGAGAAGAATCAAATAGACACAATAAAAAATGACAAAGGGGATGTCACCACCGATCCCACAGAAATACAAACTACCGTCAGAGAATACTGTAAATACCTCTATGCAAATAAACTAGAAAAGCTAGAAGGAATGGATAAGTTCCTCGACACATACACTCTCCCAAGACTAAACCAGGAAGAAATTGAATTTCTGAATAGACCAAAAACAGGCTCTGAAATTGAGGCAATAATTAATAGCTTACCAACCAAAAAAGTCCAGGACCAGATGGACTCACAGCCGAATTCTACCAGAGGTACAAGGAGGAGCTGGTACCATTCCTTCTGAAACTATTCCAATCAATAGAAAAAGAGGGAATCCTCCCTAACTCATTTTATGAGGCCAGCATCATTCTGATACCAAAGCCGGGCAGAGACACAACCAAAATAGAGAATTTTAGACCAATATCCTTGATGAACTTTGATGCAAAAATCCTCAATAAAATACTGGCAAACAGAATCCAGCAGCACATCAAAAAGCTTATCCACCATGATCATGTGGGCTTCATCCCTGGGATGCAAGGCTGGTTCAACATATGCAAATCAATAAACGTAATCCAGCATATAAACAGAACCAAAGACAAAAACCACATGATTATCTCGATAGATGCAGAAAAGGCCTTTGACAAAATTCAACAACGCTTCATGCTAAAAACTCTCAATAAATTAGGTATTGACGGGACGTATCTCAAAATAATAAGAGCTATCTATGACAAACCCACAGCCAATATCATACTGAATGGACAAAAACTGGAAGCATTCCCTTTGAAAAGTGGCACAAGACAGGGATGCCCTCTCTTTACCCCTCCTATTCAACATAGTGTTGGAAGTTCTGGCCAGGGCAATCAGGCAGGAGAAAGAAATAAAGGGTGTTCAATTGGGAAAAGAAGAAGTCAAATTGTCCCTGTTTGCAGAGGACATGATTGTTTATCGAGAAAACCCCATTAGCCTCAGCCCAAAATCCCCTTAAGCTGATAAGCAGCTTCAGCAAAGCCTCAGGATACAAAATCAGTGTGCAAAAATCACAAGCATTTTTATACACCAATAACAGACAAACAGAGAGCCAAATCATGAGTGAACTCCCATTCACAATTGCTTCAAAGAGAATAAAATACCTAGGAATCCAACTTGCAAGGGATGAGAAGGACCTCTTCAAGGAGAACTACAAACCACTGCTCAATGAAATAAAAGAGGATACAAACAAATGGAAGAACATTCCATGCTCATGGGTAGGAAGAATCAATATCGTGAAAATGGCCATACTGTCCAAGGTAATTTACAGATTCAATGCCATCCCCATCAAGCTACCAATGACTTTCTTCACAGAATTGGAAAAAACTACTTTAAAGTTATCATATGGAACCAAAAAAGAGCCCACATTGCCAAGTCAATCCTAAGCCAAAAAAACAAAGCTGGAGGCATCACGTTACCTGACTTCAAACTATACTGCAAGGCTACAGTAATCAAAACAGCATGGTACTGGTACCAAAATAGAGATATAGACCAATGGAACAGAACAGAGCCCTCAGAAATAATGCCTCATATCTACAAGTATCTGATCTTTGACAAACCTGACAAAAACAAGCAATGGGGAAAGGATTCCCTATTTAATAAATGGTGCTGGGAAAACTGGCTAGCCATATGGAGAAAGCTGAAACTGGATCCCTTCCTTATACCTTATACAAAAATTAATTCAAGATGGATTAAAGACTTACATGTTAGACCTAAAGCCATGTAAACCCTAGAAGAAAACCTAGGCAATACCATTCAGGACATAGGCATGGGCAAGGACTTCATGTCTAAAACACCAAAAGCAATGGCAACAAAAGCCAAAATTGACAGATGGGATCTAGTTAAACTAAAGAGCTTCTGCACAGCAAAAGAAACCACCATCAGAGTGAACAGGCAACCTACAGAATGGGAGAGAATTTTTGCAACCTACTCACCTGATAGAGGGCTAATATCCAGAATCTACAATGAACTCAAACAAATTTAGAAGAAAAAAACAAACAACCCCATCAAAAAGTGGGCAAAGGATATGAACAGACACTTCTCAAAAGAAGACATTTATGCAGCCAACAGACACATGAAAAAATGCTCATCATCACTGGCCATCAGAGAAATGCAAATCAAAACCACAATGAGATACCATCTCACACCAGTTAGAATGGTGATCATTAAAAAGTCAGGAAACAACAGGTGCTGGAGAGGATGTGGAGAAATAAGAACACTTTTGCACTGTTGGTGGGACTGTAAACTAGTTCAACCATTGTGGAAGTCGGTGTGGTGATTCCTCAGGGATCTAGAACTAGAAATACCATTTGACCCAGCCATCCCATTACTGGGTATATACCCAAAGGATTATAAATCATGCTGCTATAAAGACACATGCACACGTATGTTTATTGCGGCACTATTCACAATAGCAAAGACTTGGAACCAACCCAAATGTCCAACAGTGATAGACTGGATTAAGAAAATGTGGCACATATACACCATGGAATACTATGCAGCCATAAAAAATGATGAGTTCATGTCCTTTGTAGGGACATGGATGAAGCTGGAAACCATCATTCTCAGCAAACTATCACAAGGACAAAAAACCAAACACCGCAGTTCTCACTCATAGGTGGGAATTGATCAAAGAGAACACATGGACACAGGAAGGGGAACATCACACACCGGGGACTGTTGTGGGGTAGGGGGAGAGGGGAGGGAGAGCATTAGGAGATATACCTAATGCTAAATGACGAGTTAATGGGTGCAGCACACCAACGTGGCACATGTATACATATGTAACAAACGTGCACGTTGTGCACATGTACCCTAAAACTTAAAGTATAATAATAATAAAAAAAAAAGGAATCTAAATTTAAAAAATAAAAAAGACAAAAAAAAAAGAAATTAACATCTTAGGAGCAACCTTTATGTAACAACTAGAAAGGATTGGTACTAGAAAGGACTAGAGTACTAGAAAGGTACTAAAAAGGACTAGGAAGTCTAGTCCAGTGTCTGATTCTTGGTGGACCTCACCTAAGACAGTGAATAATGTCTCTGCTCCCTCAGAATTTAGGTGGCTGGAAGAAAAATGGTACTCTATTTAGTAAATTTTAGTTGTGCAAACAAAAGAAACACCTCTTTGCTCTTGGAAGCTTGCCTCCTTTTTTCCCTGGACCAGAGTTATTTTTTTGCTAATTGGATCACTCTCTGTTGAAGTTGGGTTGGAGCACAAAGACCAACTTAAAGGCCTCTGAGGAAGTATACAGCCCCTATGTCCAAATCCAAACCTTGGAATCTTACCTCCCTTGTCAGCATAATGGTACAGCAAGCCCTTTTAGGCATGCTTAAGTAAGAGAGAGCAAAGGAAAGAAGACAGTGGAGAAAAGAGGGTGAGTTTCTCAACATGGTGCAAGAGAAAGTAGAAGGAGGGCTCTCATTCTATAAAACCTTTTCGTGAGCAGTGAGCTTCCTCACTGTATGCAGCCTGATAATGGCTCTAGAATGCCTTGGAGGCAGAAAGAATTAAGGAGAAAAGAAGGAAAAGGGAGAAGATTGAAAACCAGAAAGAGACTTTCTTTCCCCTTCATTCTTAGCATGGGTATGTCAGTTAAATCAGGGTCATGGATGTTTGTAAATTTAAAAAATGCCCCTCAGAATTTGGGCAGCCCGTATCAATCATATACCAAGAACTTAAATTATTCATTCATGCCAAGATGGGGAGTGACTCAAGATGACTTCATATATCTCTTAAGAATCTCCATCCTCAGTCGGGCGTGGTGGCTCACACCTGTAATCCCAGCAGTTTGGGAGGCCTAGGCAGGTGGATCACCTGAGGTCAGGAATTGGAAACCAGCCTGGCCAGCATGGTGAAACCCCACCTTTACTAAAAATACAAAATTAGCCAGGCGTGGTGGCAGGCACCTGTAATCCCAGCTACTCGGGAGGCTAAGGCAGGAGAATCGCTTGAACTTGGGAGGTGGAGGTTGCAGTGAGCCGAGATCGCCCATTGCACTGCACTCCAGCCTGGATAACAAGAGTGAAACTCAGTCTCAAAAAAAAAAAAAAAAAATCTCCATCCTCTGTGTGATTCTCCTAACATGGCAGAGGTCGTAGTTTCCTATAGAGGATGATCCCAGCACCACATTCTAAACTGACATGATTCTTCTTATCCTAGCCCTAAACTCTCTCAATTCCATTTTTCTTCTTCTTTTCACAAAACTCAACTTTCCAGGAAGCAAAATGAAACTGGTCCTAAACATGTGGTGCTTTTTTACATCATTATGTTGTTGAGTGTATAACTTCTACTTCAGGAATGCTTTTTACCTTCCATGTGGAAGTACAGTTTAGTGTAAAGCAGTGGTCCTTAGTTTGTTGTCCTTAGACCAGCAGTATGAGCATCAACAAGGGAGCTTGATAGTCATGCAAAATTTTAACCCCACCCAAGCATACTGCTGTTAGAAACTCTACTGGTAGAACCCAGGAATCTGTTGTTCAATAAGCCCTTCAGGTGATCCTGATCCTCCATAAATTTTGGGACCTACTCATGTAATAATTGACCGCTGCAAATACTGGGAACTGAGACATGAAAATCTCACTGTAGCTTGGTGTAAGTCTAGATATCCCAGTTATTCTACCCCATCCCCTTTCATTGAGAGACACAGTTGTAATTACGAATGCTCATTGGTCTTGATTTAGGAAGTTGGTGAGAGGGGAAAGAAAGGCTCATTAGTTCCCGTTAGGGATAGGCCTGGATAATTGTAGTGGGAATAGATGAAGAGAAAACCTGTGGTATTTGGTTTTTTTCCTTCCAGGATGAGAGAGGATGCCTTCCTATTTCAAAATATCTCCTCCACATTGACTGAAATTTCACGAATTAGAGCTAATAAGAAAACATTCCAGAATATGTTAAAGAGTATGTGGGAAGATGATTAGTCATAAACTTAATGTGAATTAGCTTTCATTCTAACCTGGCTGATATGCTTTAAGTAAATGAGAGTTTGATTTTAGGGAAGGGTAGTTCCAAAGCAAGACACACACGAAGCTGAGTAAGAGGTGTGTGGTGGGGAAGGGGGCGATAGGCAAGAATTTAGGATGTTAGAGTCCTTGGAGAGCTTGGACAGGGCACCAAGTGGGAGGAGAGAAGTACTGAAGGTATATGCCAAAGCCAATACCAACTGTTTCCTTCATTTCACATCCCTCCTAGGAGTCATCAGCTCTCGGTAAAGGATAGTGGTTATTTGATTTTTTTTTTAACATCCTCACTTACTTCTCCCTCACTCATTTTTATTCTCCTAGATTCAGAACATTGGAGTTTATGGAAGCAAACTGGTATTTTTCCAGCAATAGCATGGAAAATAAACTGCAAAGAAGATTCTGTCTTGAATGAATTCTAGGGACCAGTAAATGCTACAAGAATCACTTGACCTTTTAAAAAATGACTAGTCTTTGTGCTAAGTGTGAAAGCAATGCTATGCTTCCATTGAGTTCCACAAATCTTTTTGGTGCAGGAAAATGCTAATGGGATATAGCACAAAAGCTTCAAGGTGGGAGACACAGCTGCCTTAGAGAGTCTGTCATTGAGAAGGAGGGGAAAGGGCCATTAGACAAATCTGTGTGGAAATACAGGATTTTTGGAGGCACAAAGGACAATAGGAGTTTCATGGATAAAACACATACTGTTTTTTGACACCCAAGAATTTCTAAGATTTGGCCCACAACCAGGTGAAAACAGGAGATGGATTTATAGAGCTTTCTTATCCCTCTTTGTGTCTAGCTGCTCACCATCCTCCTACCTCAATTTTTCTTCTTCTTTTTTTTTTCAGATTTGTCAGGTCTGTCACATTTTGTGTCTAGCTTTTGGTTAAATTACTCTCACGAAAGATACTTAACCTATAAAGGTCAAGTGCAGAAAATTGTTCAGAGTCACTAACTTAAGGTCATATGGCTACCTAGTGGCAACAGAGAGATCTATGGCTCCATGATCTTGCCATAATTTCATTTGTTATTTCTGCCTGTAAATAGACCTACTGGCTCTGCATAAACATGGTTGATTTGTTGCTAAAAAGATTACAAAAATAATTGCAACCTCGAAGTTTGAGAACCTGTCTCTAGCTCACTTAAGGTCTTTCCTCACACAGTGAGGGCTGGCAAGTTGATGCCTCAGATTTCCACTGTGCTCCTTAGGATCAGCAGAGAATAAATTTGTATTGAGTCTGCACAGTTTCATTCAATATGCACGTGGAAGCAGTGAAACAAATGCAGTGTAGCTGATTTCCCAAGAGATGCTGCTAACGTGAACCAGAAGCTCATTCAGAATAATTAAATGGACATATTCCAAATATATATTTACTCACATCAGTCACTTCCCTCCCCAGTTTCCGGTGCTTCTTGTTCCTTTGCACTCAATCTATCAGCAGGAACCACTACCTATAATCTTGTTAAGAGCAGTTAAATAGGAATAACTGCAGGTACTGTTTAATTCACTTTCAGGAAACAGGCTTTAATTGAAGAGTTCCCATCACTTTCCATGTACTTCCCAAAATATTAGAGGTTTTAATTTGCTTTTACTGACCATCATCATGTAAGAAAGCTTTCATGGAAGAAAGTCTTATATGAAGTTCTCAAAATCAGAGAAAGATGAGAGTACTTGAGAAGTAAAATATGTAAATAAATTCACTCTGCAAGGAATTCTAGCTGATGAATATTACTTTTGTTATAGAAAACTTCCTATGTTTAAGATTCATTCACCCCAATGGTATCCTTGGAATTCTGAGCCAATATCTAGATCTCCAAATTAGATATGCAAACCAGACTGTCTTTCTCAGAGGTCTGGACTGCAGTAGGCATTTCAAATGATCTGACTACGCAGGAGCTCACTTTCTAGCTTGGATCAGAGAGATAAACACCAGGTAAAGTCAGAAAAGTCCTCAGGGGCCCACCTCTCTGTTGGTGGCCTGCCTTTTGAGCCCTAACAAGGGAGCCAGCTACAGGACTTCTGCTATTGTTTCCTTTGAGTTGCCAACAGCCTTAGTTTCCCTAAGTTCCCAATTCCACTCTCCGATATGCTTTTTCTGCATTATACGATCTCTGCTGCCAGCCCTCACTATTCACCGTTTCCTCACTGCACCCTTTTATATCTCCTGTTAGTTTTTGATAATGAACCATGCTAAGGTGACACAGAATATCGGGCCTGAGCCCTTTCTTTGATATCTGGTTTGTATTGGTAAGCCCCTGTAAGAAACATCCCCCAAATCTCAGTGGCTTATCATAACAAGGATTTATTTTTTGCCTACATCACAGCTCAATGCAGATTAGGAAGCTGTCTTCCAAGTAAGAATGCAAGATGCTGGGCTCTTTCTTTAGGGTGGCTTTGCCATCCTGGAATTCTTCACTTCCAGTTAGTGGGAGAAAGACCAGTACCTCACAAGAACTTTTGGGGTCCAGTCCGTTCCATTGGCAAGAGCTAGTTCCATGGCCCCAATCTAACTGCAAGTGAGACTGGGAAATACACTCTTTTTGTGCATCTTGGAAGAGGAACGGAGTTGGTGAACACCAACCTACTCTCTGCTATCCTCGTTGCTGAATGACTTACTGACTTCCAATGAAGGGAGCAATATTAAGGAATCACTGTACTGGCTAATGGAAAACAAAGCAAGCACAGTTTGAATTTAATTATTTTCTCTTCCATGATTACTTAACCATATCCCCCAATTTTACTATTTATTAGCATGAACACCTATGCAAAATTCTGAAGATCCAAATTACTTTAATTATGACTTTGATATTACTTCAGCAGTTTTAAACAAATAGAAAAAGTTCAAAACATTCTTAACCCAGTCAGCAGAGTCATCTCCAGAGAAGCTTCTGGGAATAGTTTATCTCACTTTTGTGGTGTCAATAAAAGATATGCATGGATCATCTGAATTAATAAGTAAAGAGTTATAGATTGATTAAGATGATAGCTAATGCTTTTCCTGTCTTCTAGCATGATGGCCAGCAGCCTAGCACATAATAAGAGCTAAGAAATACAAGCTGATTTCTTTTTCCCTTCTCTGATGAGTAATTTCTCTGGTGAACCTGAGAATGGTCTTTGAAATCCCTTGTTAGGAAGTTGAAGCTTATGTTTGTTAGAGTTAGTCCATTTTGTGTCTTCGCTGTTTTCAAACATTTTGTTTTTTCAGACTTGGAAATCCATGGTCAAATTCAATATCATCTGTGCACTTATGTGAAAACACAGAGAGGTGCTATAGGCCAAGGATTTCATTCAGCTCTCAACCCCACTGCAAGGTGGCCACAGGGCTCTAGAGAGCACTCCTCCGTTGAGGAAATGGAGACCCACTGAAGTGAGATTTGTGAGCCTCAGAGGTCACGTGTTATGCCTTCAGAAGATGATTTCTAGGCAGTTCATGAAGTTTCTAGGCAGTGATAGGCTATTTCCCTATTTTGAGTAGTGGAGACCAGAGATGAGGCCAGTGGCTACAGTATTTGGGCACTGAAAATTGAGGAAAGGGAAAAAGTGCTGTGATGTTAGTGCTAAGATGTCCATCTGGTTTTGTCCAGCATGATACTCCAGAAGGCAAAGTCTTGTCCCACAGAAATATCTAAATTTAATGCCTAGATTCCAGGGATCAGTGCTGAAGGGGAAAACAGAAAAATTGTTTTCTTTTTTTTTTAATTTAGGAAGAATAGATTTTGCCACACCAATGCAGGATGTTACCACACTCACTCCATCTAAGACATGGCTTGTTTTGACAGTCTTTTAGCTTATAGCCCTGGCTCATGCTGATATTTTTTAATGTAAATGAGTTTCTTAGATTATTAAGGCAATAATTCTTCCCTATACTCCTGTTTGGTTCGATTTGATGACTGACTGTTTTTTTAATCTTGGTTGAAGATTCCTGAAAGCGAAGTTGCCTCAAGTAATTACACTTACCTCAAGGAAAACTGTATTGTCGTCACATAAACATCATCAAATATTTAAATCCACGCCATATTTAAAATGTCTTTTAATCCTTTATTTTATCTCCTGAGAGAACAGTGTATCTTTTAGGTTGACTTTTAGGCCAACACACTCCACACCTAATTTTGGATTTTCTAGTTTCATATTTAATTAACATCTTATGTTATAAAAATGTTTAAATATTTGACTTGTTTCAATTGATTTAAGAAAATGTCCTTTCTCCCAGAGAAGGAGAATTCATTATTTCAGTCAATAAGTCATGCTGTGACAGGTAAAGCTTGTCTCTATGATAATGCATTTGAATACTGTTTTAGGAAATAGCTGTAAATGTTGCACTGTATGGACAAAATAGAAGCATAACTGCAGTTTTGCAGTTTACAGTTTCGATAGATATATATTTATGAGTACCTATTGTACAAAGCTGTAGGTCCATAATGAACTAAATATTTGTATCTCTCTGAAGATGCTAGGGGATATTCAGACTTACGTCATTAGCCCTCTGAGATTAGATAATTCCTAAGTCCTGACACCTCTACTTTTTCCTGATTAGAATGAAGATAACGATCCCTGTGTCCAATATGTGGGATGCTGTGAGACCTAGTGAGCTCAATACATGTGAAAATACATGTGTAAAAGTGTCAACAGTCTGACTCCTTTTTAAAATTAAGGAGTTAGAGTAATATTGCCAGGTAAAATACAGGATAACCAGTTAAATTATATTTCAGATAAACAACAAATAACTTACACTTGCTAAATCTGGGAATCTTAAATTGGGGTTATTGAGAAGCAGTCTCTGTCATTTTCCTAAGGAAAGAGAAATTTCCCATCCCTTCAATTTCATTACCTACATTGGTGACTGATTTTTCAGGAGGGCCTTTTGGGAGCTCCTGTAGTCAGTGTTAAGGAAAGCCCCAAAGTTTTGAATGTAGCAGCAACGTAACCTGAACAATTCTATAGCCACAACCATTTAAGAGATTTTGATAACTGATTCATAGACACTTTGAAACTGATGTTCAAGAAAAATCATCTAATTTGTTCCATTTAGAGATGAAGACTCAAACCCAAAGTTGTGAAGTGTTTGCCATTATAGAGGTAGCTAGAAGAACGGCTGCAGCTAGAACTTCCTTCTCCTGACTCCCAGGCCAATGTTCTTCCCACTCCACCACACTGGGTCTGGGGGCTAAATCCAAGCAGCCACCTGCTTTTGTAAATAAAGTTTAATTTGGAGCACAGACACATCCATTTGTTTACATATTGTCTATGGCTACTGTAACTGTACAATGGCAAAGTTGAGTGGTTGCCACAGAGACTGCAAGGTTGGCAAAGCGTGTATTTATTATCTGGTAGTTTACGAAAGAAGTCTGCCAAACACTGCTAAAGGAGAATGTGTTGATTGTCTTCACCTCATGATTATAAGTATATAACTGGCTTTGTTCTTCTAATTATCACAGAACCATACTAAATATATGTATTTTTTCAAAAAGCATAAGCTGCACAATACCATGGATGAACACATAGATTAACTGTAGTAGTCAGTTTCAGAAAAGTGGACTAGAAATTGTCAGAACTTTTCTTTTTCCTCTTAACACTTTTGATCCTATAATGAGGGCAAACTACAGGATTAGTGAGTAATATTGACAGGTCACCGTGCACAGGGCATTATATCTATTTTAGGCATTCTGAAATAAGTTATGGTGTTTGGATGCTGCCATCAAGATAAGTAGTAAGTCATATTAAAAAGTTCATTAGACTTACTTTGTATTACCTAGCACATCTTAAATAATTCTAGGAACACAATGTGATACTCAGTATATATTCATACAAATACAGATGCTTACACTTTAAGCTATCCTGAATATCTTCAGAGAGCAGAGTAAGAGACAGAAACAGATCTAAGATCTTGTCTTAGTCTTATTCCTCTCAATATGGCAATGACAAAGGTTATCACTAGAAGGAGTGCGTTCCTCTTCTGTCTGAAAGTGTTTAAGCAGCTCCAAGATGACCTTTGGGAGGTTGTAGAGAAAAGGGCTGGACTACTTGGCTAAATCCCTTTTTGTGCAAAGGTTCTATGATACCAGTCTATGACATTTTGGAAGCCTCGTGTACTGTCTCCTTTGTATCACAGTGACTGGAGTCTTCTCTCAGGCAGCCTATAAGGATAGACATTCATAATATCACAAGTGTGTTTGAATCCTGACCCACTGTCCATGTTTTCCTAACAAGACTGTTTTAGAAGTTTGTTATGTCTGCATAAAATAATCCTGAAAACCACATCCTTAACTAAATTGCTCTCATGTATATATTGAAAATTATTCATGGCTCTATGCTTGGCCAAGTTTGTGTCAAATGTTGTTTTTTATTTTATTTCTTTGAAGCTAAAGATAACTTGTCATGGGCCATGTACTTGGAGAGGTACTTCGATTGCTTAAAAGGAGAAGAAAGAATGTTCAGGTCAGCTCAGAAAAACATAATTTGTTTGAAATCATACAAGTTACACTGTAACGTTAGATAACGCCTTGAACTATGGTGAAGTAGATATACCTGACCTCCAGGGATTCTGCAGCAGTTACTGGATCTGATTTTCTGTAGATAGTGAAGAGCCATGTGAGGAGTAGTCCTCAATCTTCTGTAAGAACCTTTCTCTTTCCTTGGCCACAGAAGCAATGAAGAGAATAAGCAGTAAATGGCATTTATGCCATTCCACATGCTTTATACATTACTTCACTTAATCCACAGAATAAGTTGAGTATTGTTAACCTTCCGTTTTATAATGATCCTTAGACAGTTATGTAATAAGCTCAAGGTCATAGAGCTTGAAGCAAAGGAGCTGGTATTCTGATTTAGGTCTGTTGGATTCCGAAGCCCCTACTGGGGCGATTTTACCACAATGTCTCCCACCGGCAATGAAGAATCCAAGTAACACAGACTTTGGCTTTATGATTTAGCCAAAGCTATTTATAGCCTGTTTTTACATCAATTCAAATGTTTTCATTAAGCCCTTGCTGTGTTTGAGGCACTGAGCTAATTGTTACAGAAATTCAGAAATACTTCATCACCCTCAAGGACCCTCAAGGATCTTATAATCTAGTTAGGCATAAAAGACATGAAGATATGAAAAGATAACTGAAAATGGAAGGCAGCCCGTGCCAACAGCTGACTAAGTGGAATATGTAAGTGCTACAGGGGCTTCAAGGCAGGCAAGTTACCACCAGCTGCAAGTAAAAGCAGAAGGAATGGAATTTGAGTCTGAATGCAGTATAAGATGATGTTACAGCCCATCAGTCAGATGAGGATTGCAGTCTGTACATCACAGTTTGTCTACAGACCTGTTTTGTTAGCTTGCATAGGTTTTTTTTAATCCTAAAAAATTTACATATAAATATGGTTCTGTTTTGTATCAAATTTTTCAGGATACTTGGACCATGCATGTTCATGTGACAAAAGACAGGGCCCATGTTTTCCAGTTAGCTGTGGCCTCTGCTGTCCCGGAAGCTACAGTTTCTCGGCTTCCTTCATCTACATTTCTCATGTGGCCTTGTGGATATTTGATCAAGATAAGGAAAGTGAAATCCAGAGAGTGAAGTAAAGTTTATTAAGATCCCAACTCATTACTTACAAGCTGGATTTGACCCAAAAATTTCAAACTATTAGTCCAGTTTTATTTTAATAGACCACACTATCATTCATGGGATTTGGTTCATACTTTTTGGTAGAAGATATATAATTTATTATTCAACATCTATAGGGCCTGATGTGTTTGGAAAGGCAGTTTTTTTAACTTTATAAAGATAATACTATTCCTATATGAACTTTTATGAAAGAGTCTAGCAGAGTCTGGTGTAGCATCTGATAATTAATATTTTTAACGTGAAATGTATGAATGTTCACCCCAAGTGGCAGAAATATAGACTAGGCATAGCCACCAATTCAGATCAGATTTTTATATCAAATTTCCTTTTTTTAAAAAAAATTTGTAAACTTGTAGGATTTCAGAATTGCAGATAAATTGTGGATAGCTATAAATATCAATATTCTTGTGTCTGTTGCTCAGGATTTTTATCTATAAATGCAGATAGCAGTTCCTACTTCATTAAATATTTAATACTATATGTAAAAAACAGTGCCTAGAGCATAGTAAAATCTGTAGAAGTAATGGGTATTGTTACTATTTTCTATTATTGGTATTTTTGTGTAAAATATGCATTTCACAAATCAGATTATTGATATTTCTTCTGCAACCAACTCATAAATGTTAACTTTCAAGCATGCAGAGGTACCATACACAAAAAAATGAGACTCCATATGATCAGTTCTGAATGGCTGACTCCAATCCAGTGTAGGCAAACAATGGTCTATGGGGCACATGTGGCCTGCTACCTCTTTGTAGGAACAGCAAGATAAGAATGGTTCTTATATTTTGAAATGGTTGAAAAAAACAAAAAGAACACTATTTCATGACATATGAAAATTGCATACAATTTAAATATCAGTGTTCATACATAAAGCTTAATTGAAACAGTCATGCCCTTTTTCACGTTGTCTCTGGTTGCTGTAATGGCAGCGTTGAGTAGTTGCAACAGAGACTACATGTTCCTCAAAGCCTAAAGTATTTATAATCTTGTGCCTTTAAAGGAAAAGATTCCTGACCCCTGGCCTGACTTACTGCTGGTCACGATGTCTCTTGATATCTCTGGCTCCTCACTTGGTTGCCCTTCTGCTTCCTTGTCTGGCCTTCCCAATCAAACTATTTCACTCTACTTGGTTTCCTAAGATGACCTTAGATTTGCTTCTACTGCCATCTGGGACATCCCTCCTTCTCTGTTGCAGAATTTGATCTTCTCCATTCTTTTATTACTTTTCCCATAGACTTTGTGTCTCTTTGTTTTCCTAGTTCTGGGAGTGGAAAGCAGGACTCTGATCTATGGCTGACCTAGAATTAATGTGTGGAAGTACAGGGTAGTGAGCAGGGGTGCATTTCCTCTGGGATAATGCAGTTTGTAATTTCAGATGTTATTTCAAGCTTGTCTGAGATGCCAAACGCCCAGCCTAAAATAAGCCTTCATTTAGAAAAATCTGTATTTTCACACCATGGGGATTTTGCTTCTTAGTGTATCTATAGATAAAATTGGTAATAAACCCAAATCCAGGGCAACTGAATTTTCCATCAGAATGCCCAGCAAAAGGCCTGGTAGCTGAGGCTGTCCTTTGCACTCTTTTGCTTCTTCAATGGAGCCAATAGAGCATGAAGAGGGGAAAATTGCGCACATCACCCAAAGAGTTTGGAATACCCCATGTTACTATGATATGGGTCTTGACTTGCGTAGATAACACAAGACCTTTTTATCCCCCGTTTCTTTCAAGCCACTACGTTTTCTTTTTTCATACTTTAATGATTTTAAAGGGAAGTTCAGTATAAGGTAGGCAGAGATAAGATGGGAAAGGAATTTGAATTATCTGGGAACTCTTAGGAGAATTTTGTCCTCATTTGTCTTATGTAATACACACTTTTGAGTCCTCATAATGATCTGAATAAAAGAACATTTTACTACTTGTAGGTATAATTATATAACTGAGTAATGAATTTACTAACCAAACCTTGACGTTGCCAACAATTCAAACTGCCTTTCATCCACAGCCTCTTTCTTCTTCTTCTTTTTTTTTAAATTATAGTTTAAGTACTGAGGTACATATGCAGAACATGTAGGTTTGTTACGTAGGTATACACGTGCCATGGTGGTTTGCTGCACCCATTAACGCATCATCTACATTAGGTATGTCTCCTAACACTATCCCTCCCCTAGCCCTCCACCCCCCGACAGGCCCTGGTATGTGATGTTCCCCTCCCTGTGTCCATGGGTTCTCATAGTTCAACTCCCACTTATAAGTGAGAACATGTGGTGTTTTGTTTTCTGTTCTTGTGTTAGTTTGCTGAGAATGGTGGTTTCCAGCTTCGTCCATGTCCCTGTAAAGGACATGAACCCATCCTTTTTTATGTCTGCATAGTATTCTGTGGTGTATATGTGCCACATTTTCTTTATCTAGTTTATCATTGATGGGCATTTGGGTTGGTTCCAAGTCTTTGGTATTGTGAACAGTGCTGCAATACATATACATGTGCATGTGTCTTTATAGTTGAATGATTTATAATCCTTTGGTTATATACCCAGTAATGGGATTGCTGGGTCCAATGGTATTTCTGGTTCTAGATCCTTGAGGAATCGCCACACTGTCTTCCACAATGGTTAAACTAATTTACACTCCCATCAACAGTGTAAAAGTGTTACCATTTCTCCACATCCTCTCCAGCATCTGTTGTTTCCTGACTTTTGAATAATCGCCATTCTAACTGGCATGAGATAGCATCTCATTGTGGTTTTCATTTGCGTTGCTCTAATAACCAGTGATGATGAGCATTTTTTCATATGTTTATTGGCTGCATAAATGTCTTCTTTTGACAAGTATCTGTCCACATCCTTTGCCTACTTTTTGATGGGGTTGTTTTTTTCTTGTAAATTTGTTTAAGTTCTTTGTAGATTCTGGATATTAGCCCTTTGTCAGATGGATAGATTGCCAAAATTTTCTCCCATTCTGTAGGTTGCCTGTTAACTCTGATGATAGTTTCTTTTGCTGTGCAGAAGCTCTTTCATTTAATTAGATCCCATTTGTCAATTTTAGCTTTTGTTGCCGTTGTTTTTGGTGTTTTAGTCATGAAGTCTTTGCCCATGCCTATGTCCAGAATGGTATTGCCTAGGTTTTCTTCTAGGATTTTTATGGCTTTAGTTGTTACATTTAAGTCTTCAATCCATCTTGAGTTAATTTTTGTATAAGGTGTAAGGAAGGAGTCCGGTTTCAGTTTTCTGCATATGGCTAGCCAGTTTTCCCAACACCATTTATTGAAAAGAGAATCTTTCCCCATTGCTTGTTTTTGTCAGGTTTGCCAAAGATCCGATGGTTGTAGTTGTGTGGTATTATTTCTGAGGCCTCTGTTCTGTTCCATTGGTCTATATATCTGTTTTGGTACCACTACCATGCTGTTTTGGTTACTGTAGCCTTGTAGTATAGTTTGAAGTCAGTTAGCATGATGCCTCTAGCTTTGTTCTTTTTGTTTAGGATTTTCTTGGCTATGTGGGCTCTTTTTGGTTCCATATGAAATTTAAAGTAGTTTTTTCTAATTCTGTGAATAAAGTCAGTGGTAGCTTAATGGGGATAGCAGTGAGCCTACAGATTACTTTGGAAAGTATGGCCATTTTCACGATATTGATTCTTTGTATTCATTAGCATGAAATGTTTTTACATTTGTTTGTGTCCTCCTGTCTCATTTCATTGAGCAGTGGTTTGTAGTTCTCCTTGAAGAGGTCTTTCACATCCCTTGTAAGTTGTATTCCTAGGTATTTTATTCTCTTTGTAGCAATTATGAATGGGAGTCACTCATGGTTTGGCTGTTTGTCTATTATTGGTGTACAGGAATGCTTGTGATTTTTGCACATTGATTTCATATTGCAAGACTTGGCTGAAGTTGCTTATGACCTTATGGAGATTTGGGGGTGAGACAATGGGGTTTTCTATATATTCAATCATGTCATCTGCAAACAGAGACAATTTGACTTCCTCTCTTCCTATTTGAATACCCTTTATTTCTTTATCTTGCCTGATTGCCCTGGCCAGAACTTCCAATACTATGTTGAATAGAAAGATCCACAGCCTCTTTCTATTCTCAGTTCTTCAAGAATTGGTTACCTTAAAGCACTTTCTTAACTGGTGATGTAGGTTTTTAGTATCATCAATATCGTGTAGTTGGAGTCAGTCAGACCTGTGCTCCAACATTTACTATGGCCTGAGCTGCAATTTCTATATCTGTAAAATATCTTCTATCACTCAAAGAATAATAACACAGTCAAAGGAAAGGGTGTATGTCAATGATTCAGTTGGTGCCAATGTAATTGCAGTTTTTACTATCAAAAGTCACATCCAAGGCCGGGCGCGGTGGCTCATGCCTGTAATCCCAGCACTTTGAGAGGCCGAGGCGGGCGGATCACGAGGTCAGGAGATGGAGACCACCCTGGCTAACACGGCGAAACACCGTCTCTACTAAAAATACAAAAAATTAGCCAGGCCTGGCGGCAGGTGCCTGTAGTTCCAGCCACTCGGGAGGCTGAGTCAGGAGAATGGCGTGAACCTGAAGGCGGAGCTTGCAGTGAGCCGGAGCTTGCAGTGAGCCGGAGCTTGCAGTGAGCCGGAGCTTGCAGTGAGCCGGAGCTTGCAGTGAGCCGAGATGGCGCCACTGCACTCCAGCCCGGGCGACAGAGCGAGACTCTGTCTCAAAAAAAAAAAAAAAAAAAAAAAAAAAGGAGTGTCCAAAACTGCAATTGCTTTTGCAGCAACTGAATACTTTGTCCAGTATGTCAGACTTCTTGAGCTTTCCATAAGTGATGGTTGTTAATACTATTAGCAGTATTGAGCAGTGATTGTGGAATCTCAGTGTGGCCAACTGCATTGCAACTTATTGAAAATAACTCATGCATAATTTGTATATGTATTGCATTTATGAATATGTGTGTGCTCATATTTAGAAAACATTCCCTGTTTAACTATCATCTTCAGATATAATGCCAGAGAATAATTTTAAATATTAAATGAACATGCAAATCAAAATAGTTTTAAATCTGCAAGCTCAACAGGACTTTAGAGATTATCTAGATAATTGCCTTCATTTTACAGATGAGGTTACTTAGTAATTTGTTCAAAGTCACACAGCTAGTTGATTGCAGTGCACTTCAGAATAGGGTCTTCTAGAGTTCTAGGTCACCTCTTTCTGCTCCTTCACTTAGATTCTTTTTTTTTTTTTTTCACTTTGTCTCCCAGTATTCATATATATATATATTTTTTTTTATTATACTTTAAGTTTTAGGGTACATGTGCACATTGTGCAGGTTAGTTACATATGTATACATGTGCCATGCTGGTGCGCTGCACCCACTAACTCGTCATCTAGCATTAGGTATATCGCCCAATGCTATCCCTCCCCCCTCCCCCCACCCCACCACAGTCCCCAGAGTGTGATATTCCCCTTCCTGTGTCCATGTGATCTCATTGTTCATTTCCCACCTATGAGTGAGAATATGCGGTGTTTGGTTTTTTGTTCTTGCGATAGTTTACTGAGAATGATGGTTTCCAGTTTCATCCATGTCCCTACAAAGGACATGAACTCATCATTTTTTATGGCTGCATAGTATTCCATGGTGTAGATTCTTATACTGAATTTAATTTCCATTTAAATGCTCTCCACCATTTATAAATGTGGGAAACATTCAGGTTAATTATTTTTTAAAGTGTTTACAGTTCCCTGGAAAACACCACATTTATTGGGTAGTGGAAATAGAATAGGAGGTTGCTGGCAGAGTGATAGTTAGTCTCTATTACCACTTGATAACGAGTTGGTTTCTGCATAAGAAAACTAGAAATTGGAATTGTCATTACCCACCACCCAACACACAAATACACACCTTTACCTTCATTTCCATGTTCGGTTTTAGGTCAGATCCCTGTGGGAGTATTCTTTGCTGTTAAGTAGGAATAAAGGGGGAAAAATGGACATAGCTGAACAAATATTTCTATTTGCTTTCTTTCCACCAGAGTTGAACTTAACATTATCAGATTGATTTAGAGAAATTATTATAAAAATCCTCTTTGTAATAGTGGTCTTTATGAATTGTTATATTTTTCTAATCTGTGGAATGGTATTTTATCCACATATTTATGTATAAGAAAATGGTATCTGAGAGATGAGTAGCTTATCAAGGTCACATGGTTAATTATTGGTTAAACTGAGTCTTGGGTTTTGGTCTTTAGGCAACAAGTCCAGGGGCCTGTTATAGTGAAGGCTATGAGTCTCTTTCTTCCCTGTATTTATGGGTCTCAAAAAACCTTGGAAGCAAAGGGAATGAGAAAAGGGAATAGGCCATTTCTTACTGAATATCTTGCTTGGAAAACTCTAAAAATGCATTCTTAATACAGATTATTAAACATGTTTCTTATGGTGCATTTTGATACATTTTCTTATTTGCAAATTGTATTTCTTCAGCAAGATTTTCATTCTTAAAACATCTATTTCTTTTTTATTTTTCCTTTTCTTTTCTTTTCTTTTCTTTTTTTTTTTTTTTTTTTTGAGACAGAGTCTCTCTCTGTCTCCCAGGCTGGAGTGCTTTGGCATGATCTTGGCTTACTGCAACCTCTGCCTCCCAGGTTCAAGGGATTCTCCTGCCTCAGCCTCCCGAGTAGCTGGGACTACAGGCATGCACCACCACGCTCAGCTAATTTTTGCATTTTTAGTATAGACTGCATGTTGCCCAGGCTGCTCTCAAACTCTTAGTCTCATGTGATCTGCCCACCTAGGCCTCCCAAAGTGCTGGGATTACAGGCATGAGCCACCATGCCCGGCCAACTACTTCTCAAATTGGCACAAATAGATGCTGTTTTATTAGTCCCATAACATCTAATTAAATTTAATAGCAATAATAAAAACCAGTTTGCTAAATTAGAAATTGCCAACTAAAAAAATAAGCCTGTGTAATTTTCTTTTCCTGTCACCTTTAAAAAAATTTTATTACAGATTTAGGGGGTACTTGTGCAGATTTGTTACGTGAGTATATTGCAAAATGCTGGGGTTTGGGCTTCTAGTGAACCCATTACCCAAATAGTAAACGTAGTACCTAATACGTAGTTTTTCAATCTCTTCTTCCCTCCCAGCCTCCCCTACATTGGAGTCCCCAGTGTCTATTATTTCCATGTTTATGTCCATGTGTACTCATTGTTTAGCTCCCACTTATTAGTGAGCACGTGGTATTTTTTGTTTCAGAATTATTTCACTTGATATAATAGCCTCCAGCTCCATCCATGTTGCTGTAAAATACATGATGAATGAAGCTGGAGGCTATACATGTGGTTTTATAGCTGTGTGGCATTCTATAGTGTGTATACATATCATATTTTCTTATCCATTCATCCATTGATGGACACGTAGGTTGATTCCATAACTTTGCTACTGTGAGTAGTGCTGCAATAACCATAAGAGTCCGGCTATATTTTTTTATAGAATGATTTATTTTCCTTTAGGTAGATACCTAGCATTAGGATTGTTTAATCGAATTTTAGTTCCACTTTTAGTTATTTGAGAAATCTCTATACTCTTGTTCATAGAAGATGAGCTAATTTACGTTTCTGCCAATAGTGTATAAGTGTTCCCTTTCTCTGCCTCTTTGCCAACAATTTTTTTTTAAATAACAGCCATTATGACTGGTGTGAGATGGGTTTTCATTGTAGTTTTTATTTGCATTTCTCTGATGATTAGTGATGTCGAGCATTTTCTCATATGTTTGTTGGCTGCTTGTATGGATTCTTTTGAGAATTGTCTGTTCATGTCCTTTGTCCACCTTTTAATGGAGTTGTTTTTTCTTTCTGATTTCCTTAAGTTTCTCATAAATTCTGGATGTTAGTCCTCTGTTGAGTGTGTAGTTTGCAAATACTTTCTCCTATTCTGTAGGCTGCTTCCTCTGTTAATTGTTTCTTTTGCTGTGCAGGAGCTCTTTAAGTTCCATTTGTCTATTTTTGTTTCTGTCGCATTTACTTTTGAAGTCTTAATTATAAATTTTTTGCCTAGGCCAATATCCAGAAGAGTTTCTCCTAGATTTTATTCTAGAATTTTTATAGTTTCAGGTCTTACATTTAAGTCCTTCACCCATCTTGAGTTAATTTTTGTATATGGCGAGAGATGGGGATCTATTTTTAGTCTTCTGCATGTGTCTAGCCAGTTTTCCCAGCACTATTTATTGAATACGGTGTTCCTCTCTCTTTGTCTATTTTTGTTGACTTTGTAGAAGATCAGTTGGTTATAGGTGTGTGACTTTATTTCTGTGTTCTCTATTCTGTTCCATTGATCTATGTGTGTATTTCTGTACTTGTACGATGTTCCTTTGGTTACCATAGCTTTGTAGTATAGTTTGAAGTCAGGTAAGGTCATACCTCTGGCTTTGTTCTTTTTTGCGTAGGATTACTTTGGCTATTCTGGCATATTTTAGTTCCATATTAATTTTAATCATTTTTTTCTAATCCTGTGAAAATTGATGTTGGTAATTTCATAGGAATTTCACTGAATTTTTAGTTTTTTTTATGGACAGTATAGTCATTTTAATGATGTGAATTCTTCCTATTCATAAGCATGGGATGTTTTTGCACTTGTTTGTATCACTTATGATTTCTTTCATCATTGTTTTATGGTTCTGGTAACGGTCTTTTACCTCTTGGTTAGATGTATTCCTGGGTATTTTATTTTTTTGTGTGTGGCTATTATAAATGGGATTGAGTTTTTCATTTGGTTCTCAGCTTGAGCACTATTGGTGTATGAAATGCAATTGATTTTTGTGCATTAATTTTGTATCCTGAAAACTGCTGAAGTTCTTTATCAGGTCTAGGAGTCTTTTAAAAGAATCATTAAGGCTTTCTAGTTATAGAATCATGTCATCAGTAAATAGAAATAATTTGATTTCCTCTTTTCCTATTTAGATGCTTTTTCTTTCTTTCTCTTGCTTAATTATTCTGGCTAGGACTTCCGGTACTATGCTGAATAGAAATGGTTAGAGTAGACATCCTTGTCTCGTTCCAGGTTTTAGGAGGAAGTCTTTCAACTTTTCCCCATTCAGTATAATGTTAGGTGTGGGCTTGTCATATATGGCTTTGATTATTTTGAGGTACTTCCTTCAAGGCCTGGTTTGTCGAGCGGTTTTTTTTTTTTTTTATCATAAAGTGATGTTGGATTTTATTGAATTCTGTTTTGGCATCGATTGAGAGGATCGTATAGTTTTTGTTCTTAGTTCTGTTTATGTAGTGAATTACACTTATTGATTTACATATGTTGAATCATCCTTGCATCCATGGAATAAAATCCACTTGATTGTGATGAACTGACTTTTTGATAAGCTTCTTGATTTGATTTGCTAGTATTTTGTTGAAGATTTTGGGGTCTACGTTCATCAAGGATACTGACCTATAGTTTTCTATTTTTGTTGTGTCATTGTCACATTTTGGTATCAGGATGATACTGGCTTCACAGAATGATTTAAGGAGGAATCTCTCTTTCTCAGTTTTTTGGAAACATTTCCGAAAGATTGGTATCAGCTCTTCTTTGTACATCTGGTAGAATGTGGCTATGAATCCATCTGATCTTGGGTTTTTTTTAGTTGGTAGATTTTTTATTACCGATTCATTTCTATAACTTGTTATTAGTCTGTTCAGGATTTCAATTTCTTACTGTTTTAATCTTGGGAAGTCATATGTTTCCAGGAATTTATCCATTTCCTCTTGGTTTCTATTTTGTACACATAGAAATGTTCATAGTAGTCTTTATGGATCTTTTGTATTTTTGTGGTGTCGGGTGTGATGACACCTTTATCAATTCTGATTGTGCTTATTTGAATCTTCTCTCTTTTTCTTGGTTAATCTAGATATTGATATGTCAGTTTTGTTTATCCTTTCAAATAACCAACTTTTTGTTTTGTTGATCCTTTGTTTGTTTTTTGGGGTCACAATTCCATTTAATCTTTGTTGTTTCTTTGCTTTTGCTAACTTTGCATTTGGTTAGTTTTTGTTTTTCTAGTTCCTTTAGGTGCAGCATTAGGTTGTTAATTTGAGAACTTTCTTTCTTTTTGGTGTAGGCATTTAGCGCTATAAAATTTCCTCTTAACACTGTTTTGTTGTATCTCCATTGGTTTTGGTATGTTGTGTGTCTATTTTTGTTTGTTTCAAAATTTTAAAAACTTCTGCCTTAATTTAGTTGCTTATTCAAAAGCCATTCAGGAGCAAGTTGTTTAGTTTCCATATATTTGTGTGGTTTTGAGAGTTCCTCTTGGTATTAATTTTTAAATTTTGTTTTGTGGTCTGATAATATGCTTGATATGATTTTGATTTTAGAACTTAGTGAGATTTGCCTTATGACCATTTTAGAGGTTGTTTCATGCACAGATGATAAAATGTATATTCTTTGGTATTGAATTGAATGTTCTGTAGATGCCTATTAAGTCCATTTGGACAAGAGTCCAATTTAAGTCCTGAGTTACTTTATTAGCTTATGCTTTGATTATCTTTCTAGTGCTGTCAGTGGAGTGTTGAAGCCCTTCACTATTATTGTATGGCTGTCTGCCTCTTTTCTTAGATACAGTAGTATTTGTTTGTGAATCTTGGTACTCTGATACTGGGTTTGTATATACTTAGGATAGTTAAATTTTCTTGTTGAATTGAATCCTTTATCATTATATAATACTCTTTTATTTATTTTTACTGTTGTTTTAAAGTATGTTTCATCAGATACAAGAATAGCAATCCCTGCTTTTTTTTTTCCTTCGCTTTCCATTTGCATGAGAGATCTTTCTTCATCTCTTTACTTTGAGTCTGTGGGTATCATTACACATAATATGGGACTCTTGAAGGCAACAGCAGGTTGAGTATTGTTTTTTAATCCAATTTTCCACTCTATGTCTTTTAAATAGAGCATTTAAGCTACTTACTTTCAAGGTTAATATTGATATGTGAGGTTTTGTTCCTCTCCTAGCATTGTTAGCTAGTTGCTTTGTACAATTGTGTAGCTGCTTTATGGGATCTGTGAACTTTGTACTTACCTGTCCTTTTACGGTAGCAAGTATCATCCTTTCATTTCCATGTTTAGAAATCCTTTGATCATTTCTTATAGGGCTGGTCTGGTGGTTATGAATTCCCTTAGCATTTGCTTGCCTGGGAAAAGTTTTATTTCTTTTTCACTTATGGAGTTTAGTTTGTCAGGATATAAAATGCATGAATGTCATTTATTTTCCTTTAAGAAGGCTAAAAGTAGGCCCCTAATTTCTTCTGGTTTAGAAGACCGCTGTTAGCCTAATGGGATTTCCTTTATAGGTAATTTTGCCCTTTACTCTATGCCTTCAAGTTGTTTTCATTAGCATTGACCTTGGATAGCCTGATGATCATATATCTTGGTGATGGTCATCTTGTATAGTATCTCGCAGGTGTTCTCTGAATTTCTTGTATCTGGGTCTTGAGCTCTAGCAATATTAGGGCAATTTTCCTGAACTATTCTTTCAAATATGTTTTCCAAGTTGCCTACTTTTTCTTCTTCTCTATCATAATGCCGATTAGTCATAGATTTGGTTGCTTTACATAGCCCCATGTTTCTTATGTGCTTTGTTCATTAATTTTTTTTAAATTTTGTCTGACTGGGTTGCTTTGTGTTCATTTCAACTTTCTCTTGGATCTCATTGAGTTTCCTTGCAATCTATACTTTAAATTCTTTATCTGTCATTTTAGACTTTTGACTCTGGTTGGGATCCATTGCCAGAGAGCTAATGTAATCTTTTGGAGTTGTCAAAACACTGTCTTTTTGTACTGCTGGAGTTCTCCTCTTGATTTCTACTCATCTTAAGGAACCGTCGCTTCTTATTTTTGAGTTTTCTATCATTTTGATGGGACTGTTTTTAATTTTTTATCTTTTCCCTTGAGGGTATGACTATGGTATATGTTGTGTATAATCATCCGGTTTTGTTTCTGGGTGCTTTTGTGGGGGCCAAGGCTCTGAATGGGTTCCTTGGTTGTGGATAGGTTCTGTGTGATAGCTTTCTAAGATGCTGCTTGTTGTAGGGATATATTGGACATATGAGCCCATACACCATCTCCTGCTGTGCTCCGGGTGTGGAGGTCTCAGGGAGCACATCTTGTGTACTAGCAGTAAGACCCTCCGGAAGATTTTTAATTTGGTGGTGCAATTCAGGCTGCATTCCAGTAGGTGGCAATGAAGAGTAAGAGCCGGCTCATTCTCAGCTCAGGGGGAAGTGCCCACCCTGATGGGGAGAGACTGTGTTGGGGTGTTCTAGGTCCCTGGGGTAGGGAGTGGGAGTGAAGCCTTGTCCTGAGCAGCCAGGAACACGATTCCCTTCCCTATCATGGCCCTGTTGCAGGGCTCAAAACCTCCAGTTCATTTAGACTTTGTTCTTTGGCTCCCAGCTGCAGTGTGGCTGTGGACCTTTGGATGTGGCTATGGCCCTCTGGCAGCGACCACCAAACTGGACTCAGGGCACAGCCTCTTCCCTCAGTCTGGAGCAGACAACTGTATGGCTTGTCTGGCCTCCGTTGTCAGGGTGCTGCTGCTCTGTGTAGGGAGAGGGAGTTGGGCCCCAACCTTCATGCAAGTCCAAGCAGCACAGGCTCACTTTCTGCGCCAAGAAAAAGCACTTTCTCCAAGTGTACATGTGTCAGCCCCCAGTGGGGAGAACCTCTGCTGTATCCACAATAGTAGATGGGGTGGGGGTCGGGAAATAACGCCCTCTCTATCCCTCTTCCCAGCTGCTGGGTGCTGCCCCTTCCAGAGATTGGTGATGCGCCTTCATTTCCTTTGTCCCAAAAAGAGCTTTGATGGGCTGCACTCCCTCCTCCCTTGGGGCAGCCTACACCAAGGGTTAGATCTCTAGGGACCCCACAGCTCCCCAGGGACTTGATTGCTGTGCTTGTGAAAGTCTGAGGGGATTATAAGGTATGTTTGCTGGGGATCTGCTGGTGCATCGTCTTGGGGGCAGAGATTTCCCAGGCAGGACAGTGGCCAATGATAGGTACATAACCAGTATGGTACTCACCATCTCAGTTTGGGTCTGAGTGGGATGGGGGAACCTCTGCGCGAACTCGCTACCTGGTCCTCTGTCCTCATGAAGTTTCCAAATCGCCACGGACAGTGTTGTCCAGGGCTGTGAGTGCAGGGGGTCTTCCCAACAGTTTGGCAGGCAGCAGATTGCCACAGAGGTGAGGGGAGCAGAGAGGACTCCCACTACCCTTTCTTCGGGGCTCCACGTTGCTCTGGGGTCGGTCTCAGCCAGACTCTTGCTACTTTCCTTTTCTGCACCCCAGCTGTCCTGGCTCTCTTCCCTCAGTTTTCTCTTGAGAGCCCGTCCATTCACAGTAACTGTGATCCACGTCCCCTTTTTTCTTCAGTTCTGTACTCTTTCTACTCTCTTTCTATTGGTCAGTTGGATTTAAGTTCCTCGTGTATAACGGAGTGGGTGGGTTGGATTCTAGCAAAGTTCATTTTTTGCAGTTGTGTTTTGTGAGTATATGAGTTGTCTTTATAACTCAGAAATAATGGTCGTGAAGACATATCTACCTTGTTTCCTTCTTAAATAAATTTCACTTATTTCTGGCTTTATAAATTCCCAGCCTTGTGTTTGAATTATTTTCCACGTAATTTTCAAAAGTCAGGGGTCCTGGGTCTGAATGTGTCCCCTTTATGGCCATTGCCATTTTTTGGTATGTATCCTTTAATGGGTCATTTCACTTCTTTGAGCTTTAGTTTTCTCGTTAGTAAATGAGAGCTATTAATATTTACTTTAGTTGTATATTATAAATATTCAATAAGAAAGTATACATAAAAACATGCAGAATATTCAGGTCATATGCTAAGGGATCCACAAATATTACTGCTAGTTGAGTGACTTGAAAAAAATTATCTTCTCTGTCAGAAGAAATACTCTCTTCTCATATAGATGAGATCCTAATGCCATTTGGTCACTCTTTTTTGTCACTATGAATCAGGGCCCCTCAGCCTCAAGATCACAATTGCAAGAATTAAGAAAAATGATCTTTATTTTGCATTCAAAAGTAGTGGTGTGTTTCAATAATAGTGTATTATGATTATTTATAAGTAGTTTTGATATGTGGCAGGTACATCCTTATTTTAGATAATGTATAAAAATTTATTTTTATAGAATAAATGGTTCAATTTGTCCAAATTATTATGATAAGAAGACTTCTGAATGTTAATTATGACTTCTGCTAACAGTATTGGTAGAAGAGTAATTTGGAATAACCCTCCTTATGGAGGGAGATTAGAAAATCTAGGTAAATAATTTACAGATATCAGAGAACTAAGAAGCTAGTAGAGAGTTATAGGGCTAAGATCCTAGAGGAGACAAAAATATACAAAGATATGCTCAAAATTTAGGGCTACTTTCTCCTGGTACATTTACCGATTCTAGAAGTGTCAGCCGGAAGTTTAGTTGCACTTTTGACAGGCCCTTAAAGCAAAAGATACAAAACATTAGAGTCCAGAGTCTTACAAAGAAGGATCCCAAGTAATCCCTATACTCAACCTTTTAGTTTGGGGTTCCTCAGAATTTGCTCCAGGCCAGACTTCTAAGAAGCTATAGCTTTCAGTCATCTCAGTCATTGAATTTGCATAAAGGAGACTCTGTATTGTCAGTGCCCAGAAGCCTAGTAGAAACAAATAAATATCTTCTCTTGAAGAAGATACACCAACCTTTGCCTCGAAGTATTTATACTTTTTTCCAATAAAATTTTATTTATTTATTTATTATTTATAGAGATAGGGTCTCCTTTGTCACCCAGGCTGTTCTCAAATCCCTGCCCTCAAGTGATCCTCTTGCCTTGGCCTCCCAAAGTGCCTTTTAAAAAATCTTACCACACAATAAAAGAAAACTAGGCACAAGACAAGGGTCGGGGTGCTGGCTGATGCTTCATGACATTTGTGGGGGTGTGATCAATTTTAAGCTCTGTATTTTATTTTGTGCAATGCACTTTTCTGTCTGCGTATTTAAAAATGTTTAAAAAAACAAACAATTATGAAACGATTGTTGGAGCACCCTGGAGACATGTTTGGCCCCTCCTTTTATTTTAGTTGACATGTAATATACATATTTATGTGATACAGAGTGATATTTCAATACATGTGTACATGTGGAATGATCAAATTTGGATCATCTGGGTATTTATCACCTCAAACATAGCATGTCTTTGTGTTGTAAACACTCACAATCCTCTCTTTTAGCTTTTTGAGGATATACAATAAGTTAGTTAACCATATTCACCTTATAGTGCTGCAGAACATCAGACACATTTGGTCTATCTAGCTGTAACAGTGTGTCTGTTAACCAGTCTCTCCTCCTCCCTATACTTCTCAGCCTCTAATGCACACACTTCTATTCTCTATTTCCGTGTAGCCACTCCTATATTTTGCATTCCAGTTTTAAGAGACTCGGAGTGGAGAAAGATATGGGAATACTATAGGACATTCAAAAAAGTTTTTTTTCCTTTGCAAAAGGGATTTATTTCTAAGATCTCAGAAATTATGTTCCTTATCTCCTTAAGAGTCACATGGCATAACCAAAAATTTTTCAGCAAAATGATAAAATTGAGGCTGCTCAGTCTCTCAAAATAAAATGTTCATCAGAAGGCTTAGAAAGTAGGCAGGTTTGATACTCCTTTAACAAAGGAAGAACATAAATCCCTTCTCATTTGTGTTTGTTTTGTAATCTTAAGATGAAAGTTCAAAAGAGGGAGAGTGAAATGGCGAAAAACAGGAATTATAAATCTGTTGAAATGCAGCAATGTGCTACCATGGAAATTGTCTTATTTGTTTGTAACATTACCATTTATTTCACATGTACTATGTGTTGCTTATTTTCTTTCTTTTTTTTTTTTTTTTTTGAGATGGACTCTCACAGTCGCCCAGGCTGGAGTGCAGTGGCGAGATCTCAGCTCACTGCAGCCTCCGCCCTCCAAGTTCAATGGATTCTCCTGCCTCAGCCTCCAGAGAAGCTGGGATTACGGGCACCTGCCACTGACCCAGCTAATTTTTTGTATTTTTAGTAGAGACGGGGTTTCACCATCTTGGTCAGGCTGGTCTTGAACTCCTGACCTCATGATCCACCCACCTCAGCCTCCCAAAGTGCTGGGATTACAGACGTGAGCCACTGCACCTGGCCTTTTGCTTATTTTCCACCTCAGTACTTGTCAGTTACTGGAAGCACTATTTTCCTGTCTTCTAGCACTGGACATTGAACATACATGATTTAGATGTGTCATTCACCTCCTGTGATGTATTTTTCTTATTGTTTTCACTTGAAGCATTATTTTCAAATAATTTCCACTCTAGAAAGTAGAGTGCAGTTTTTTTAAAAAAAATAAATCAAAGAGTCTTAAAATTTAGAGAGCCCTTGGAAATCACTAGTTCATCATCAGTACAGGTATACTTTCTATCATATCAGTGGCAGATGGATTTCTAGCCTGTACTTAAACACTACTGGCATCAGGGAGCCCATTATCTGACAGGACAGCTCTGCATTTTTGCAAAACCTAACTACTGAGAAAGTTCTTTTCTGCATGAGGTTCAAATGTGGAACCCTGTATATTTCACTCATCTTTACCCACTTCTATCTTTATTATGATGTGATTATTTTTATTTCAATTTTCTCAGTAATCAGCATCTGCTAATTAGCATATGCATTGCCAAAGATTCCCTCATGTCCACAGATGGGCATATTACAGGCTTAAATTAGTGTGATGTGGGTGACTACCACAGGTAGATCTCCTATGCCAAAACTACTCCAGTTACCACTGAGAGGGGCCTAGAGAACAGTTGCTTTAGGCAGAGCCTTGTCTATGATGCAAAAGAGGATTGTTACTGATTAGCTCTTGTAACTACGAAGCTGGATTAAATATAGCTTTCTGTATTATGTTCTTCAAGCTCATTTTCAACAGTTACCAAAGTTTTTGTCTGTGCCAGAGACTTTCCTGATTGAGGAAATTATCAATAATTTCCACTTCTAACCAATTCTGGTTAACTTGGATATTGGGAGAAAAGGCACTTTAAGGCAACTTTTGCTATTGTTTAGAACAAAACTAGTCAACATGTAGACCAAAATGGAAAGAATGTAATTTTACTTACATTTGTCTGTTCTTATTGAAATGCCTACAAGTAACACCTATATAGCCTACAAATCCTGAATATTATATATATATATATCTTGATTTTAAAATGCCTTAAAATTCCTATTAAAATTGCCTCCTATATTTTTTGTATCAACTGAATAGTCCCTCTTTTTTCCTAATACATTGGCAAAAATGTAGAAGCAGCCATGGGCTTCCTTTTCCTTTTTTTTTTTTTTTTTTTTTTTTTTACCCCCTCATCCAATCAGCCAGTTCATCTCCTTTCATGGCCGTAATTTGTCAGGATTCAGGCCCCATGGATCACTCCCCCGACATCCTTGTGTATCCTCTTCCAGTTTGAGGCAAGTCAGTCTTGGCCTCTTAGGAAAAGTTGGGCAGAGAGGGGACATGCTATTTGGACCATGAAGGGAGAGAAATGTTTTTAATCCACATCGGTGACAATGTGATTATAGATGCACTTCCAGACAAGAGATGCTTTACATCGGATGGCGGTTCTGCTGATCCATAGGACATTTCATTGTTTTTCACCAAGTCATTATTGTTATTGTTGTTGGTACTTTTGAAATCAGAGGTTGATTACAGACAGGTTTATCTACTTCTGGACTGTAGCTCTGATCAGAGCATGTTACTTCCTTTCTCTACACTGTTCCCCTGAGGGTAAATTTGGTGTGGGAGTTAGGATTGCAGGTGAAGAAGAACATGAGTGCTCTCTGTCTGTTTCATTTCTAAGTCTATAGACAGTGGAGACAATGTGATGTACAGTTTGATGCAGCGTTCACTTTGGAAGTAATAAATGGGGATTTAAACATTTTCTGCCTTTTCTTGCATAGTTTACTGTTCTTTCTTCCAGTGATGCAGGATGTAGAATTTGAGGAGGAGGAAAACCTAATTTTACACTATTGAAACAGAAGAAATCTTGGATTGGTCCCTACCTGGCTTTGGGGTCAGATAACTTGGCGGGGGGGAACATCCACATGAAGTTCCAGAAACTTGATGCTGGCCTTGGCAATGTCATAGTCCTGTCACATACCACAGGCTCATGCCCTGAACATTCTTAGCGTCCCTTTTCCACCCTTCTCCTGTGCTTACCCCTCTGCCTCTTTCATGCCTCCTGCATGCTCCTGCTTTGATAGTCCAAATTCTTTTCCATGTGGTTCAGGAACCTGCCAGGTTATCTTCCCTGTGTGTGTAACATGGAGTTAATGGTATCTTCCTTGCTTGACTCTCATGAAAACTAAAAGCAAGGTATGCCTAGTACTAGTGCAGTGCCTAGAACAAAGAAAGCTCTCTGTAGTCAGCAATTCATTATTTGGAAGAATGTGTCTACAATTACCATTACTTCTTTTAGCTTAATGAGGAGGACTTGGGAGACTTAATCGGGGTTTCCTGGGTTTGCGCTTGAGATGGAACAGAATGGCCAGAGAAGCAAAATTTCAATTACTCGTGTGTAGATTTCAGATAAGAGCAGTATTCAGGCTGTATCCTCTTCAAGGTTAGAGGAGAAAACCTGTGAGTATGTGTCTGTCATCGTATGTGCATGTGTGTTCACTGGGGTAGAGAGTGCTGAGTGGAGGAGAAAAATATGGCCTTCCCATGTTATTTTCTATTTCCTAAATTTTCAATTAATCCAGTGAAAGCACTTATGGTTATTGCTTCCAATATCTTTTTTTTTTTTTTTTTCCCACAACATGCATCCCTTGCTGGTTGTGTGTTTGATGCACTTCACCTTTGGATTCAGAATGGGACATTCATTTTTACTCTCTGGAGAGAAATTTTAAAGATACACATGTAAAGTAACTCAGAAATTCAACTCATCATAAAGGTGTTACAAGGTGTCAATACAATTCCTGAATGTGAGGTTTGGTTCCATGTTCCCCTGCTGACTTGTGGGAGTGGGAGTGGAACAAGCGGTAGGACTTCCAATGTGCTGCTTCGGTCCTCAGTGGACTGTATGAGAGAGAATGCAGATTGCAGCAGAGCTCTGACCCATTTTACTGGGAAGGACTCTGGCACAAACAGCCTGGGGCTCACATGTGTTTCCTTTGCTGATGTACAGGAGAACTCTGACATTGCTTACATTTCTTTCTCCGAAGACATGCATCACCTGCAAATGTCAAATGATAATTTTGTGCTTGCCAAAGGGAATCAGCTTCCTGAAAATGGAACCACTTCAGGATTGCAAAAGGAGGATGTATTCTGTATAGACCTCCTCTTTGGGTCCTTTTAGACTCTGCTGGGGAATTTTTTCAGGTACTGTTTGAGAAAAAAGTATCAGTTATGACTCTGTTGTTACTATAGAAAACAAAAAAAAAAAGCTGGTAAAAAGGCTTAAGGATGAAGGGACAAGAAGTCTTCTCTATCTACTACTAAATGTCTAATTTAAAATAAGAGCAAATGCTTTGTAGTACAATGAAATAATCATGCTACTAAATACTTAGTATATTTGCTCATAATCCTCACAACCATCTTATGACATATTAACCCCAGCTTACCAAAGATAGATCAAGAAAAGTTAAGTGACTACTTACATTTAGAAAGTGGCAACGTCAAGATTCAAATCCATACATTCTGGCTCAAGTTTATGCTCTTAACCAATTATGTTGTATTTAGCCAATCACCAGGAAGTTATTCTGTACACTCCCAAACATTGTAATATTTCAAAATATCTGAAGGATAGGGGTTACTCATCCCTTTTTCCATCTGAATGTCAATATCCTATAGAGATGGTAGTTGTTACAGCATTTAATGGCTCTTTCTGGAGAGACTCTCAGCCTGAAAGCTCCCACGCCCCCATTGATGGGCTAAGTTGCCTGAGACTTTGGCAGGTGCATCAGTTCTGGGAAGCATTAATGTGGCTCTGTCCCTCTATGACTGAGAATGTGTGGTGTAACTGGCACATGTCAGTAGGTACTTGATGATCTTATGACTGAGAAGGACTAAGAAGAATTTGAGGCCTCTGTGCAGAGAGATGAGATGCTCTTGGTGCACACTTAGCCTCAATTCTGTAAGCTCTGAATGTCATCCCAAAAAGCCTGTAAGTCACATACCTTCCACAGAAGCTGGGCGGGGTGGGGGGAGGGGGGTTGCCTCAGTATCCAACCATGACCTTCCTCAGTGGGGTTCCCCTGCCTTCTGGCTGACACTGAACTGCTTTTTGAGGCTAGTTTGATCCTTCTGCCTCTGACCTTTTCAGTTTAAGACCTGTAATTGTCTCTCCTGCACTTAAAACCTCCTCTTTCGTTAAATGATCCTCTCTTGACATGTTCCTCAGCTCTGTTTAACTTGTGCTGTTTCAGCTAATAACCTCTATTTTGTTCTCACCTTGCAGAGCTTCAATTCCATTCTTTTCTTGACTCTTTTCCCCATTTATTCTCGCAGATGGATTTTATAGTCCTTTCTTAGGTTCAACATCATCATTTGAAATTTGTATTGAAGCTGCTTTAAATTCCTGTGTTGATTTAGGAAGAGTTGATTTGTTTATAATGATAAGTCCTTTCGTATCTACTATTGTATGGTTTTCTATTTATTTGAGATTTATTTTCCATCTTTGTAAATTTTTATATGCTTTAAATTTAGTTCCTATTTGTTGATGTGTTTATTTCTATAGATTTTATATTTTTATTCCTTCTTTGAATGGGAATATTTTATTGTATTTTCTAACAGGATATTGCTAGTATATAAAGCCACTATCAATGTCTGAATATTTATTTTATAACTAGTGTTCTTTCTAAAAATTTTGTTATCTCTTATAGTTTTTCAATTGATACTTTTTTTTAAGAGAAATCATTTTATTGAATTTTTGCTGCACAGGACTTCATGTTTTCCATTTGGCTTGATTCCTGCTTCCAGCATTTTCTCGTTGAGATTTATTCCTTAAGTCTTAGTGTTCTCATTGTTGGCAAACTTTGCTTATTATGCATCAACCATATTTCTTTTCTTAGTATTTTTTCAAGAACATGAAAACAGTTACTCACAAGTTTGATATCAATATTTACTTGTATTGGATTCAAATTTACTACACCTCTTAGACTTAGCCATTTGAACACGGATCCCCTCTCTTAGGAGCAGAGGATTGTTACTATCTTCTTAATTTTATTCTCCACATTTTGACCCTTCAAGGCTTCGGCTGTGTTCCACCTTCCTCACTGGTGGGATGTGAGATCCCAGAAGGCTCCTTAGCTGGGGCTGCACAGTGTAGAATTATATATGACCAAATAATTCAAAAATGACAAGGTATAGCATTATGGAGTCAAGTATTTAACATGATTTATTTTTACTGTGAGCTTCCATAATCTTTGAATTTTGAGTTTGTTTTTGGGCTGATAGGGTCACAAAGCATATTCATTACCCAAGTCTTTACAGAGGATCTGCTATAATTTAAAAAAATCATAACCATGATAGTGATAACAATACTAGCAACATTTTATGATTACTGTATCTTGTATTAAGGCTTTACATTCCATTTCTTCTCATAACACAGTGAGGTAAGTGTTATAATCCCTCTTTTAAATCATGTCTTGAAGAGGTTTACTAAGTTGCTCAAGGAAACACATTTAGTGTTGGAGCCAAGGTCTGAACCTGACAAAATCTGTCCCCTTAATCCCCAAGAACACTCTTAGTTGCTAGTGATGCAAATAGTTTGAAGAGAAATACTTAATATCTTTAATATGTTTAGAAGTCCATTGGGGAAGGTAGACATTCAAATAATGAACTCATAGTATCAAAACTATAAATATACTATAAATGGAGATATATGTGAGTTGTAATGGGAATATAGGGAGAATAATTCCCTATGACATTACTTATTTGTCTTTTAGTGTGGATTTTGATATTACCTCATTGGCCACCTCAACCAAAAATGGTTTTTAAACTTTCATTTATTGTATGACATAGATAGGGGAAATTTTTTTACTGCTTAGAGAATAAAAAGCTGACATATACCTGACACAAAATCTTCCTCTGAGAGAAAGGTGAATAATGATTAGAATCTGGAAGGAATCCCTTAGCTTTCAAGATTAAGGTATTCCAGTCCCCTTTAGCCTCCACTCATTCATGTCCTGTGATGCTAGGTTCCTTAGGGTCCTATCCTTATTTGTCATCTATTCTTGCTTATAAGTCCTACTTCAGCTTATATTTATGCTGCTATTATTCATCCCCAAGGATGTGTTCACAGGGTGCTAAAAAATGTAAATTACAAAAAAAAAAAAGCCAAAATCAATCTTGTCTATTTTGTTCCCCAATAAAACTTGAGTCAGCCAAATATGTTTAACGGGCTTAATCAATATTGCATAGATAAAATAACTGATGGAATTAACTTTTTGCTTTTCTCAGCATGCTTAGTTTTATGTTGACTTAAGTAGGTATGGCTGAACAGTTAAATTAGTTGTGTTTGTTGAACGTTAGTATTACTCCTTAAATTGTCCTTTGCTTTTATGTAAATGTATAATTTGATGATTAACAACTAATGAAAAGCCTGAATTATAATCTTTGTCAAACTGAATATTAATGTTGCTTTCTTGAGCAGTTTAATGAGAACATCTTTTATTTTTAAATGAATTTTTATGTTAAAATGTTCATATCAGTGGATAATTACCAAATGCACGTGGGTGCTGCAATGGTCTTGACTTAGCATGATCTGAGAGCCCTTGGAAAGTCACATTTGGGTTCTTCTACAATAATTTAGTGAGTTCTGGATCTGGTGTGACTGTTGCTTGCTGTTGAGCATATGTCTATATCAATAACACCTTTTCAATTCCGATGGAGAAAAGTCACATTCAGCTTTTTATCAATACATTCTATAACACCTGAAAATATGACAGCATGAGCCATGATTTATCCTCAAAATGGTCTTTTCTCAGTTCAAGGTCCCATGGCAAAAATAAGTAAGTAAATATATTAAAAATCTGAATTACTTCTGTGGCAGTTATGAGAGCGCACTCCTTGGACTGTGGGGAGCATAATTGACTTATAGCACCAACTGGTGTGCATTGAAACCTTTACTTCATTTCCAAGAAGGTGTGCATTGAAACCTTTACTTCATTTCCAAGAAGACAGGCTTCCCACGGGCTACACTCATCAATGACTGAGTGGAGGCAGCAATGCAAAGGCAGACCTGTTTCTTGGTGACATGGAGCTCCTGATAATAAACTTTGGCTTAAGGACTCCGAAGGCCTTACTGACCTCACCTAGAATTGCACTGCTGTCTGAGACGTCTCCGCTAAACTTTCCTTCCGTGTGTCCTTCACCCAGGGTACAAGTCAATTCTACATGGTAGTTTGACAGCACTCCCAGCCTCTCCTGACTCCCTTCTTATTTTCCCTTATGGATGTTACCTCTAATAAATCTCTGTGCAGCTGATCTCTCTCATCTTGATATCTGCTTCTTGGAGGACCTGTTTTAATACTAGCACCTTCAAAGCTAAGACAGTATTATGGGCTTAGTTTAAGGCTAACTGGTACTCATGAGTGTGCATTTTATATTGTGCTTTGAGCTAACTATGTAATTGTGTCTTTCAACAAGCTAGACTCAAAGTGTAGAACTTTAAAACAACTGTTTGTCTTCTACTGCCCCTTCAAAATTGTTTTTAGAATTTGTTCTTCCCACCATCTTAGATGACAACTTGAGCAGATCCCACTGACTTTTATTCTCAGATAGCAAAAATGTCCTTTGAACACTTCCCTAAAGTCTTAGTTCATCAATTAAAGCGCTCACTCCTATAAAATAAACAAAAATCTATTAAAGTTTTGTTACAATTCTCTCTCTCCCCCAGTTAAGGCCTGTGCAGCTATCTCTGAGTTTTGGCAAGTGTTATAGCTGAGCCATTCTCTTTGGGGTTGTTGGGGAAACCTGTCATCACAGGGGGTCTCTCACACCTGTTCCACTGATATGGCCAAGTACAAAGTGATTCAGACATTTTAACTGCAATTCTCCCTTATCCCTGAGGTATCTATCCTAATAGCTTCAGCATCTTTCTGGTGAGGTATCCAAACCCATTCTGGTGGCCTCTCTGTGCAACATCTAAGACAACCCCACACAGATTCTCACACAGGTATGGTCCACATTTCTTCCATGGAAAATAATGCACATCATTTGTCCAATGAACTCTGGGCATGCAGGCTCTCCCAACATGGAAGCCTCACTACAGAACACCATCCACCCCAGCAGGCAGACAGTTACAGTCTCTTTTTCTTTAGATTTCTCAGGCATCGTGCCTCTCAAACTCTAGGACATACAACATACAAATCAAATTCTGTATCAGTCCATTTCATGACATTCTCCCTAGGCTTAATGGTTGAAAAAGGATCTCCTATTTCCCATAGATCGGGTTGTAGTGGGGTAAGCAGGACCATCATTACACAGCATTCTCTCCAAAATTCCTCTAAACTCCAGGATCCTTCTTGGTTACTCCAACCTTACAAAAGCTGGAGTTGAATTTTCTGTTCCATGTCCATGTCACCAAACTAATGTTAAGCAACCTTCTCTACTTTTGTGGTCCCACTTTGCAGCATGAAAATAGTTGGCACCTATTCAGTAGATTGATATTCAGTTTGTGGTCTTAGTACCAGCAGCAGCTTCACCTGGTAGCTTGAAGAAATGCTGAATCTTAGGTCTCATCCCAGACCTACTGAATGGGAATCTGCGTTTTTACCTGGTGCCCAGGCGATTTATATTCACAGTCACTTTTGAGAAGCACTAGCTTAGAGTACTCGGACGAAACAGAAATAAGAAGTAACCCATTTTAACATTCTGTTACAACAGTATTATTCAACAAATTTATCGACCACTATTAGGTTCAAGACATATTCAAAAGGCTTACTTAGTGTCTCATAGAAAGGATTAGTATATATTAGTAGTTCCATGGGATTTTAGAGGGGAAAGATTATTTTATGACCAGAGATTCAGAAAGGGAATGATTTGACTGGAGTCTTGAAAGACACACAGCACGTGTCCATGTCGAATTGAGGAAACTGGTCATTTTATGTAAAGGGATTAGAGTAAGCAAAGGTGCAGACCTTAGCTATATTTGACTAGAAAGAGAGCATGTGAAGGCAACAATGGGGGCAATACCAAGGAAGATATGTAGGTATGTGTGAGCCTTGAATGCTGAATTGGAGTTTGAACTTCATTTAGAATGAAATGAGGGGGTCACTTTGGTGGGGTGTGGAGTGATTCTCCTTAGCTGCTGCTGTTGAGTGACAGCTTGAGACTTTCATTCAGATCTGAAGCTTAAAATATGGCTGGTGCAGAAAGCATCGGTCTGGAGATGAGGGCTGGTTTGTGCTAGGTCAGGGATTCCACGTTTCATCACATGGTCTTTTGATGCTGCTCATTTCTCTATTTGGAAAAAAAAAGTCTGTGATAGACCAAGAACTATGGCCTCAAGAACTCTCAGCAAATTTTAAGAGAGGAACATGCTGGATATAGTATTCTGGAGCCTGTTCTGGAGAAGTGCCAATTTTCTTTTCCCCTTAACAGCAAAACTTATCTAGTTGTCTGTATTTACTGTCTCTAATTCTCCAACTCTCACGCTTTCTTCAATATGGATTATGCCCCATTCTGATAGTGTCTCCTCCCCAGCTGCCAGAGTACCCTTTAGAAATAATCAGATTATAACAATTCCCTGTTTTTGCATGTAAACAACTTAGAATCCACACTAACTTTCTTACCATTGCCTGACATTTAGAATGGTCTGGCTCCGACCTTTCTCTCCAACCCTGTCTTGTACTCGTCTTCCTCCTTTAACTATACGGTAGACTTCCAGGCCAGCAGCAGAATAAAGCTTGAAGTAAGAGAGATCTAGGGAAAAATAAAAAGAAAAATTTGCCTATTTCTCTCTCTATATGTATGTATGTAAATATGTTTTTAATATTCAAAAGGATATATGATAAAAATAACAATTATAGCTATTTTAGGTGAGAGAGAGGATATCGACCTTAAATGGGAAACTTTTGTCTATACTATTTGAATGCAATTCTCTGCAATAAAAATATATTCCCATATATTTCTGAAGTATATGCCTGAAATTTCTGAAGTCAGAGACTTAACAAAAAGTCTCAGGATACAGCCTTTCCCTTCTCCAAATGCCTCAAATAAAGACAATTTGATCATACCTATTTAGTGTTCTCATAGTAGTGTGGTTATAGCTCTACTCTAACATTGCTTTGTCCTTCAAATATTTATGGAACACCCAGTCTTTTGTATTTGTCTAAGACAGTCACTGCTCCTTCTTTCAAGTTTACTTTGCATAATTGTTTTGGTGTCCATCTCTCCTTCAAAATTATTATCTATTTTACCACATGTACTATTTGTTAGTTGGCTTTGTCCATTTTAACAACTTGTCTCAGAGGTTTTTTTTCTGACAGGAGATATGGATCTACCTCAATCTCCCCAATGTGTAAGAAAATTAGGTGTTTTAATGGAGAACTTGAGACAGCTCTTTCTAAGGAGATTATGCGGTACTGATGAATTACAATGCCTGGTATTCTATGTAGCTTGATGAATATCAGGCACTTTTTAATTTATTTCTCCTTTAACTTGTAATGGAATCTGGGCCCCAAGTGAAATGAGTTATTTTCTAGAAAGAAAATATCAGAGGCACAGAAGTTTAAATAACTTAATTATCTTTGTAGCAACTTCTAGGAGTGGATCCAGAAGGAGTTGTGACCTCAAGTCCTCATGTAATTCATCTAGTAGTAATTCATCCATTTGTTCACCTGTCCATCTCTCTTGGTCTGCAAAGGATTTGAAATGGTTAACTGTGTGTAGTTATGTGACTGATATTCTTAGATGATTGATCGCTAAGAGGAATTCATCAAAATAATATTCAGATCATTGTTAGAATAACTTGCTTGTAAAATAAGTATTGTGATGGGAACAACACTCATTTATACATAGACTCTGGGGTTTTTAGAAAAGAGTAAGCCTTCCTCTTGAAGAGACATTTCATGTATGCGAAATGACTGTGAACGTTTCTTTGCTTTATCAGTTTAAATGTGCACTGACTGTTGGAAAAGAATACAATTAGGTGTGATTTTGCCAGTCCAGAGGTTAGTAACAAGTCATAGAAGATTCAGTAGTCTCAGCTGGACAGAGTGGCCAGGACAGGCCATTCTGGGGATGGGATAGCTGGGCTAAAGCACATCCTCCACTTTGGTGACTCCCTCTATAGCGTTTTTATTTTATTTTATTTTATTTTGAGATGGAGTCTTGCTGTGTTGCCCAGGCTGGAATGCTCTGTGGTGATGTTGGCTCACTGCAACCTCTGCCTGCTGGGTTCAAGCAATTCCACTGCCTCAGTCTCCTGAGTAGCTGGGATTACAGGCAAGTGCCACCACGCCTGGCTAATTTTTGTATTTTTAGTAGAGACGAGGTTTCACCATGTTGGCCAGGCTGGTCTCAAACTCCTGACCCCAGGTGATCCGCCCACCTTGGCCTCCCAAAGTGCTGGGATTATAGGCGTGAGCTACCCTATCCGGCCCCTCCATAGCTTCTTCTCCTTCCTCCCAACTTCCAGGAATTGTAAGAAGCACCAGATTCCCAATCCACTTTTACACACATGCCTAAATGTTCTTTCTAAGAATAAACATGTTGTTTCACTTCATGTTTTTTTTTCTTAGTAGATTATAAAAGAAACACCAGCATAAGATAAACAGGTCTGTATCATAATAAATTACATTTTTCTAAGTTATAATACAGCTGATAAATGTGTACTGTTGAACTTTTTACCATAGGTACACTTTAAAACATTTCACCAGTAAAACATTTTGACCAAGAAAGTCAGTGTTTTCTTTCTGATAGTTTGCAAATGATGATCTTTCTAATCGAGATTTCCATCTTCATCAAATGTCAGCGAATCTCTAAAGGACATTTTCATTCCCTAATATACTGCTAAGGAGGGTTGGCTGAGTTTGAAATAGGTGAGGATGGAAAGTCTGACCACAACTGCCTCTTTAAGTCAGAGCCGGTACATGGATTGTTAATTCTGCGGCTTGCAATGTGTTGCCTTATGTATTTTATCTACCAAATAATTCTCCTGAGAGAAAACTTATCAGAGGCTTAGCAGTCCCTTGGTTTTAATCAAATATGTCCAAAGATGTTGATATCACTTGATGAGCTAGTAAAGTTCTTTACTTGACAAAGGGCAGTTTTGTCAAGAGTAGAACCAAAAGTGATAGCAACTTCAGGGTGATCCCCAGCTTCTCTGTGCCTAAGAGTGACAGAGCTTTCCAGTGTTCAGTGTAAGAGGCTATAGCATTTAAGTTGGATGAAATGCTCCCCTTTCTATCTTTCTCCCATGGAAAAAGCCAGGTCAGGGTTAAATCTAATTTTCCTCTGGCTCCAAGACTCTGCTGCAAATCGTATTACTGAACTTTGCTTGGGAATATAGCAAACCCCAGTAAGTGGTCTCACTATAAATAGCTGGCCATGCATCTCAAGGTGACCCTCTCCAGCAACCCTGCTGTATTTCTTCAATACATTTGCTTCCTAATACCCCAAGATGGTCACTTAATTATCTTTTCCTTTTTCCTTTCCTCCTCACCATTCATGTTCACATTCTGATGAAATTTTTCAAACTGTAAAAGGAAACTGGAAGCATTCAGAGGAGAAGCCCATCATCATCTCACCATCACTGAATTCCTAAACCTAAGTGCATCTGTACTCGAATATTCCCCCTTTGATTAAAATGAAAGAAAATCTCTTGCACTTCATCTGCTTGCAAATTTAGAGTGCAACCCATCCACTCTAAGTTTTTCAAGCATTTTCTCCTATAAAGTAGAAGTGCGCTTCAATATATCCCACATTTAAAAAAATACTTGGCTGGGCACAGTGGCTCATGCCTGTAATCCCAGCACTTTGGGAGGCTGAGGCGGGTGGATCACTTGAAGTCAGGAGTTCGAAATCAGCCTGGCCAGCATGGTGAAACCCTGTCTCCACTAAATATATAATACAAAAATTAGCCAGGTGTGGTGGTGGGCACCTATAATCCCAGCTATTCAGGAGGCTGGGGTATGAGAATTACTTGAACCTGGGAGGCAGAGGTTGCAGTCAGCAAAGATCCTGCTACTGCTACCGCACTCCAGCATGGGCAAAAGAGTGATACTCTGTCTCAAAAAAAAAAAAAAAAAAAAAAAATTAAATTCTCCTTGCACTCCTCCAAGTACCTTATTTCTTTTCTCCCCTTCACAAAATGTAACAGTTTTCTCTATTTGTTGTCTCTACTTCTTCACTTCTTGTTCTCCTTTAAATTTACTTCTTTGAGAGTTTTTCCACCTATACCTTGGAATGCTTCCATCAAAGCCAAAAATAAAATCCACACTGTCAAATCTCATTTTCACAGCATAACTGGTTACTCTCTGCTTATTGACATGTTCTCCACTCATGGCTTCTTTGACACCACATTCATTTAGCTTTCCTCCTACCTCACGGGCCATTCCTTTTCAGAAGTGTCTCCAACTCCTGCATACAAATTCTAAATTTTGGGGCATTTCAGGCCTTTGACCTGGGCCCCTTTCTCTTCTCCATTTACACTCTCTATGTGATTCCATTCAGCCTTATACTTTTCTTTAAATTGCATTTTTATGCTGAGAATTTAGTTTGTATCTTTAGCCCAGATCTCCACTCTGAGCTTAGTACGTCTATATCCAGTTACCTACGTGAGAGGTGTTGCATACACTTCTCCAACTCAGTATCTCAAAAAAAAAAATAGCTGTTGAAACCAAAAAATTCATTAGCAATCCAATTAACATTATTTCAAAACCTTTCTTTCTACCTGCTCCATCACTGCCACCTAATCCATGCCATCATCTCTTTTGGTGACTGACCACATGGATTTTTTAAGCTTCTCCCTGCTTCATTCTTGCTCACTCCTCTTCTCACTCCCCAGCCCATTTTCACAAGCAGAAGGAATGAATTACAAATACATTGACTGAGGTATAATATATAATACACATATAGTAAAGTGCATAAATCTGAAGTGTACACCAAGTAATTAACATCCAGATCAATACCTGTTGTTAAGCCCATTTCAATTTTTTAATAATTTTTATTTCTAAGATTTCATTGGATTTGTTTAATTTAGATTTCTGTTTTATGGAGAAATTCTCCATCTTATTACATATTTCCTTCAATATATTTATGATGAGTTTTTTTTAAAGCCTGCCTTTGATAACTCTAATATCTGGATAACCTGTTAATCTGCTTCTATCATGGTTCCTTTTTTTTCTTGATTTTTAGTTATTTGGCTGGTAGCACAGAGACAGAATAAAATCCAAATTTCTTGATTCACAGGCTATTACTATTTTTACTGCCGCTCTGCTGCTATTTCTCTGCCTCTGTCTTTTATTGCCATATTGAGTTATTTTACAATAGAGATGTTTCCTTTTGTTCTCATCTCTCATAGTTCCTATTCCTTTCTCCATTGTTTATAGCTACACTTTCTAAATACTTTTAAAGGAAAAGAACCTAGTTTTTTACTAAATAAAATTGTATTTATAATTCCCAAAATAAACGAGGTAAAAGTGGAGTTACTTCAGGTCAAGTGTTGGAGAGACATGGAGTTCATTCTATTTGCTCCTCCTCATTATCCTCCCCCTTTTTTTTTTGACAAGGAATCTTGCTCCATTGCCCAGGCAGGAGTGCAGTGGCACTATCTCTGCTCACCGCAACCTCTGTGTCCCAAGTTCAAGCGATTCTCCTGCTTCAGCCTCCTGAGTAGCTGGGATTACAGGCAAGGCACGCACCACCGCACCCAGCTAGTTTTTGTATTTTTAGTAGAGATGGGGTTTCACCATATTGGTCAGGCTGGTCTCGAACTCCTGACCTCATGATCCGCTCGCCTTGGCCTCCCAAAGTGCTGGGATCACAGGTGTGAGCCACCGTGCCCGGCCATCCTCCCCATTCTTATACTTGGGTAACCTAGAGAGCCAAAGAACAGATTTCAAAAAACACTGGCATGTGAATCAGTTCAGATTATTAAACTGCTTGCCTTTGTTCAGTGCTCTTTGCATTACAGCATTCTTGCATATGTATTATCTCATTTGACGCCTGCCTACTAGATCCTGTGTGAAGTATCTAAGACGTGGAATTTGACCATAGTCATATTATAAGTGACTCACTTATAATATGAAAACTGAGACTCACACAGATTAGGCAAATTCCCATAAGTCATACAAATAAACAAATGAACCAAAGTATTATAGCTTGGAGTCTAGTAGGTTTTCTTTCATGTGCATGCATATAAACTTCTGCCAGATCCTTCTTAATACAGTGGACTGAGAGCTAGACACACAGTCTAGCCTGAGAATGTACTGGCATAAAGTATTTTTATTAAAATTCAGTTTTTCAACTTTCAAAGATGTCAAAGGGTGTTCAGAAGTACCTTGAGAACCTCCTGTCCTGCCTGAAGGATTTTCAAGTGCAAAGCAGACTTGCTGCTGTACGACATGCTTGTGTATGTCACACTCTGGATACACAGAGCTGTCACCTACACACATCTTTCCCTAAACTCTTAAGGCAGGTCTGCAGAACTGGGAATGTGCTGCTCCAGTAGAGGTGTTCTATCCGTGTTTTATAGGATGCAAGAAAAACAACAACTAAATTATAGTAAATACCTTTTCTGTATGTAGCTACTATTTTCTACTTTCTCAATGTGGAGCACTTTTAAAAAGCATATTCTTTTAAATGTTTAAATGTGTCTGAGTGTTCATTCTAGTGTTGATGAAATGCTGTCTTTCTTCCTCTGCGTCTCTCTTTAGCCATATTTCCCTGATATGCTCAGAAGATGCACCCCAGGGGTGTTCACCCAGTTCTGGTGACTCTTGTCTCATGGGGATAAAAAGAAGAACATTTGATTGGTCCTCCTGGACAGTAGCATTCTTTGCTAATGCTGTTGCCATAGTTCTGGTGTCACTGTCAAAAATAAGTGATCCCTTGGCCAGCTGCAGTACTTGCATCTTGCTGGAAGCCTGTTGGTGGCTGTCGTAGGTTAATACTTCTAGTCATGACAGTCATTTTTCTGGAAGGAAGGTAGATTTTGTCCTCTGTGACTGAAGTTCATTGTCTGGCAGTTGCTGAGGGTACAAATCGGGGAGAGAAAGCCCTCTTTCTGCAGTATTTTTCTCAGAAGTATTTGTTTCATTCCGATCACAGACTTGTGGTCCAATCATTATAACTGTGATACACAAACACACACACACTCTCTCACAGTACATACACATGCTCTCTTACACATAGACATACATCTCGCCATTCTTTTACACACATAGAAACACCTGTTCTCTCACACTTATTTTAAGGAGTTCGCCAGGGTAACTAAGCACAGCCTGTCTTCCTTACCTTATGTTCAGGCCTTTGGGAGCTGAGATCTTACATTCTTATACCCAAAGCACTTTCTGTTTCCTGGAACAGGATGAATAATATTTCTTCTAAGACAAATGCATAGCTGGTCATATGTACAAAGCAAATTATAGTTTACCAACCGTGTTCAAATTAACTTTTCTGAAAACACAATAGTATTACTTCACTTTTGTAGATTAAAAATATTTTTGTCAGTGCAAACCCAACACAATCCTTCTACTAAATTGTCTTAGCTGACTATCTTGTTTCCCTATCATTATTGATTGCCTTGTTCTTTCATTTAATTCATTTCTGTGACCCTGTCATTATTTTTTTTTCTACCTGTGCCATCACCATCAGACCTATCAGACAACTCTCAATACTGTTTTCCAAACACATAGATCTTTTTATTTTATTTATTTATTTTTTTATGAGACAGAGTCTCACTCTGTAGCTCAGGCTGGAGTGCAGTGGCGCCATCTTGGCTCACTGCAACTCCACAGTCCCGGGGTCAAATGATTCTCCTGCCTCAGCCTCCTGAGTAGCTGGAACTACAGGCATGTGCCACCATGCCCAGCTAATTTTTGTATTTTTAGTAGAGACAGGGTTTCACCGTGTTGGCCAGGATGGTCTCAATCTCTTGACCTCGTGATCTGCCCGCCTCGGCCTCCCAAAGTGCTGGGATTACAGGCGTGAGCCACCATGCCCGGCCACACGTAGACCTGTTAAGATATTGTGTCGAGTCCTTTTCTTTCTTTCATGGTCCTTGGGCCTCTCGCCTCAGCGAGCCCATGTTTGGACCCATTGCTCTGGATACTTGCTGTACCTGCTTCATTGCTCTTCCTGGGACTTCTGTTAGCACTCATTCTAGGAATTCCCTTCATTGTCCTTAAACGATGCCTGGATTCTATATCTTTTCCGGTTTATCTTTTTGTTTTCATGGAAGTCAGTAACTTCCAGAGAAATAATCAATAAGAAAACCACTTTTTCATCCTTTTTTTCCCTTGGAGAATATTCATGTTTGGAAATGTTTTTGTCTATGCTAACTTAAAAAAATATATTCTTAGATTTTTTTCCCCCTGGCCACACACAAATTTCTTGATTCTTTTTCTTTGGATTTCCTTTAAGATTTTCATGACTGACCTCTAATATTCTTATCTGTTTTATTTTCCTTCCCTTTTTTTGTATTCTAACTTCAAGTGATTTTCTGAACTCCTTTTCTCAGTACTTAATAGTTATATTTCAGCTATCAGATTTCTAACAGTCAAGAGTTCTTTCTTATTTTCTGATAGTTAAATTTTAGTAGTGTCTTATGATGCAGTATAATTTTTAGTTTCTCTAAATAATTATATTTACAGTTTTTTTTTTAAATTCTGCTTCTTAATTGTTTCATATGCTGATTGTGGTTCATCTGGGTTTTGATTTTCCAGTTTGATTGTATCCACCTTTCATATTAGTGGTTTGTCTTTCATTGTTTTGTAATCCTTATCTCTTGGTTCATATTGTAACAATAAGACACTGAGAAGGTGGCTGGTGCTCTGTATTCTCTGCTGGGCTTTGGTAACTGGAGAGTTACACTCTGGGGTATTAATGTGGCAAGGCTGAATTTGCATTGGTGTATATGTGTTTGTTTGAAAGTGCTGCCAATGTCACTTTCTGGAAATCTCATCTCTAAGGCTCTTCACTTTGTCTGGAGGAAAAGCCCCAGTTTTTCTACCTGAGGGATATACACCTGCTCCTATGGTTTCTGGGAGCAGGATGGACAAGAGAACTGATAGTTCAATAGTTCTTATACAGGATTTTATTTAACTTTTTAATTTTTATCTCAGTCTCACTTTTTGCCTAGAGTTTCTGGGTCTATAGCTTCTCAGAGTTAATTTCTCATGAGAATAAACCTTGGGTATTCTTCCCGAGGCAGTAACAGTCTAACTGCCCGTGATGGTGAACAGGACATGGGGGGGTCTCAGCAGTGTTTTCAGATGGTCAATTATTCTCTTGCTTTCAGCTCCTTTCTCTAGGCCCACAATTCTTCCCACCTGCTGCATCTCAATGTGGAGCCTGTCAGGGTTCTTCTGATAAGAATAAATGGAATAACTGCCCACATTAGACCCTTTCCCATTCTCTTTCCTTCATTCTGAAGGTTTTCATATATTTTTTATTATTATCCTTTGTGTAAAGTCACAACAGGCAGAAGAAATTCATGTGTTTGGCCAATTCGTGAAGTTTAAACAGAAGTCACATGTTGCATTTTAAGGTCTCAGGTGACTAAGGAATAGAAAGCTGTAAACACTATTAACTACACATGAAAAAAACATTTCTACTACGGTGATGAAAATATAGAGACAGAAAAACTACACAGACTATTGCAGAAATCATGAAAATCTGAACTATGTCCTAAGGTAGTAGGAATGAATAGAAGAATGTGAAAGTGAAGAGTATGTAAGTGGTGGTTTCAACCAGATTTCGTGACTGGCTGAATAGGACAGTAAACAGAATAATTGGAATAAACAAGTAGGATAAAAAGTATAAGATTATTTTATGGCTTTTGACTAGAGGACTAGCTAGAAGCCATCACCATCCTTTGAACAAAGGGAATGCAGGAGGAAGATTGGCAGAGTTGCAGTTCAGTTCTATTTTAAACTTACTAGAGTGGAAATGATCACTAGGTAGATACTTTCTTCTTGGAGTTTGAAAGACAGTGACTCCAATGAGTGCTGGAGTCTTCTTCAGTGAAGTAGTTGTAGTGAGTCCTGATAATTCTGTGTTGGTACAGCAGTCTCTCTAGATCCCTTAACTTATTAAGCAGATTTTAGTAATAAAGTAATTCATATTCAGAAGCATCTACCTTTATTTGAAATAAAGAATTGTAAGACCTCATGAGTTGTAAAAACTCATGTTTATAGAAATAGGAAATAATATATGTAGAACCAGCTCTGAAGCCTACAGTTTGGGATTGTCAAAGTGATAATTTCCTTTCTTATAAAAATGAATCATTACTGATGTTCAAGTCTTGAAGAGAATAAATATTAAAACAAGAACTTGAAATTCTCCAATGACCACTTAAAACTTCTCTTGTTCTTAAAAAACACATCAAGCAAAAATATTTTCAGGTTTGCTCTTAAAAAGTGATTCAGATTTGAGAGGTTACACAAAATGACTTGCAGTGAGTTTTCTCAGTAACACTTAAGTATCATTTCATACACATCCTTGTTCTCTTATTGCTCTTCTTTAGTTTCAGCAGAAAAAAAATTATCTCCCATCTTTTCTTTAAGTGAAGTTAATCCTTCATTTTCTGTTCCATGTGCCATCTCTTCTTATCATTTCCCCCACCAAATTTATTTCTCCTTCCTCAGTCATTCTATCCTTCCATCCCTCATCTGAAATAAACATTTAATAGATACCTACTATATGACTCAGTTTAAAACCGACCAAAATATCAAACCAGCCCATGTGATTAATGGCAACTAGACAATAGTGAACACTGAATTGAAGGTGGCAGTAGCAGCTGGTAGTGAGGCAAGGAAGAAAAGAAGTGCTTTTCTTGTTTCAGAGTTTTCAGACTAACAGCCACATGGCAGAATACTGGCTCAGGGGCACTCTTGCTCTTATATGTTCCCTGCTGTGTAGAATGAAAGATACTTTCAAAGTGAAGTTACATTCCTGAAAACATACATTATCCAAATTAGTTTGTTTCATAGGTTATTATACAGTAGGTATCATGTGACCATATTGAAATTAAATATATTTTTGTGTAGAACCATATCAGAAAGTTAGAAAATACATTATTACAACTCCTTAAAAGAAAATTGCGACTAATATTTTTGACTGTTTTATTTATTTCAAATCTTAATTCCATATTGCAATTATGCCTGAGCCTTTGTCTAAATTTTTAATTTTTAATACACCAATAATTGAGCTAAATACAGCTGAAAAAATGAGGGCTACCTAGGTATGAGGGGAAAGAAACATCTATAACAAAAAAATGTATTTTAAATGATAATCATTCAAATATTAACAAGCATTATAAGCATATAATTAAAAAGCATTTATAAGCCAGTGTGTTGGTTTAGTTTTTGATGCACTTGAAGTACTTTGATGCATTGCTTGATAAACATAAGGAGGTGCCCGGCATTGAGTTAGAATATAGAGTCTAATATAAAGATGATGACCTGGTTCCCATTTTTCAAGGAGCTTGCAGTCTACAGGAGAGGAAGTGAAGTAACGCAGTTTTTAAAGTTTATGATATTAATTCAGCTTTGGAACCCAGCTGAGAACAGGAGAAGAAATGGACTTCAATTGATGCTGCTTCTTTTATGCAGAATGAGAACTCACCTGTTAGTTTAAAGGGAATTATTATTGTGATATGTAACACAGAGTAGAGTCCTTTCTCAAGCTTTTGTACTAAATAGCATGATTCCCATTACTTTAGGGTGGTTTTGCTGTTTACTTTAGAGGAAGCATGAGAATAGATTAGGTCATCTCTCAAAGTCTCTTTATATTTATTCTATGATTATGTAAGAACTATAAAAACATCCTTTGGAAAGAAATTTTCCATTAAAACACATGAGTTGAGTCTTGAGAGGATTGAAATTTTGTCCTTTATTCTAAAAGTTATTGAAAACTGGTATGAGCAAAGGCAAAAGAGTGACGGTTTCTGTGACTTTGAGGCCACAGTTTGTAAAAGAGAAAAAAACATACTTTAGAGAGAAAAGTTTTCAAGTGTCTAACAATATACAAGGATTATCTGGGTTTTATTCTGTTTCGCAGGAATCAATGCTTTGGATCTGTAGACAGCATTTAGAGATAATGGTTGGATGATAGTTTTCTATTATTTCAATGGAAATGTAGTTTGCTAAATAATACTTTTTTTTTTTGAAACAGAGTCTCGCTCTGTCGCCCAGGCTGGAGTGCAGTGGCGCGATCTTGGCTCGCTGCAATCTCCGCCTCCAGGGTTCAAGCTATTCTCCTGCCTCAGCCTCCCCAGTAGCTGGGACTACAGGCGCCCGCCACCACGCCTGGCTAATTTTTTTGTATTTTTAGTAGAGACGGGGTTTCACCGTGTTAGCCAGGATGGTCTCAGTCTCCTGACCTCATGATCCGCCCGCTTTGGCCTCTCAAAGTGCTGGGATTACAGGCTTGAGCCACCGTGCCTGGCCTTTGCTAAATAATACTTTTTAAACATCTCAATAAAACGTGTAGGCCAAGAAAAAAAATAGCTTGTAAAATAATCATAGTATTATAGTAGATTTGAATTTCCAGTGTCAAATTATAGCAAGTTTTCTTAACTTTTATTTTTCCCATAGCACATAGATTTACCTCCAGTGCTAGATAAGGACCAATGACAATCAAATAAAAAGGCTTGTCCTATTCTGAGCTATAATGTGACTTTCTCTGCTTCATTCTTATTACTTTGTTTGGAAAATAGGGGAGATAAAAAGAGGTGGAGGCATACAGTAAGCCAAATTTCTCTCTCTTGGTTGATTTCATGATGACAAAAAGGAACCTGCTATGGGAGATATTACAGATTCAGGCAACTCTTCAGATATAAGCACTCAGAGGAGGAAGCATTCCTTGTAGTTGTTCCATCTTAGTGTGGTTTGCTTTTCTACATTTAGCCTGGCGGAATTCTGATGTATGGAGTGAGAGTCAGAATCTGGAACATAGGTGCAAACTTTCAGTCCTTTAATCTAGAGTGGGATTCCTGTACTCACTACCTGCCCAAGGGGAAAGTTTACTCACTTTCTCTCTATTATGCACCTCCTGTAATGACAGACGTTTCCTATTTGGGATCACAAATGTTTTTCATCTGTGCTGTCTTAGCCTCCAACTAGTGCTTTACAAAGCTGAAGGACAAAAATAGTTAGCAACCTCTCTGCTATCAGAAGTGAGCTTTTTACAAACTATATTTTATTTTCCTTTCTTTCCTTTCCTTTCCCTCTCCTCCCCTCCCCTCCCCTCCCCTCCCTTCCCCTCCCCTCCCCTCCCCTCCCTTTCCTTTCCTTTTTTTCTTTCTTTCCTTTTTTTTTTTTTTTTGACAGTCTTGCTCTGTCGCCCAGGCTAGAGTGCAGTAGTGTGATCTTGGCTCACCACAGCCTCCACCTCCCAGGTTCATGCCATTCTCCTGCCTCAGCCTCCCAAGTAGCTGAGATTACAGGCATGCACCACCACGCCCAGCTAATTTTTGTATTTTTAGTAGAGATGGAGTTTTGCCAAGTTAGCAAGGCTGGCCTGGAAGTCCTGATCTCAGGTGATCCATCCACCTCGGCCTCCCAAAGTACTGGGATTACAAGCATGAGCCACTGTACCTGGCCTACAAACTATATTTTCTAATACAATTGCTATTTTACTTCACAACTTTATTCAGAATAATCCACACCTCATAAACCCTATACACATGGTAATCCGGTAATCCTTAATATGAGGTAGGGTCATTATGAAACTGGATTGTGAGTTGCTGGGGTAGGGATGGAGATATTATAGGTGGATATCTCCCTCCTCCCAACATAATCTGTTCAGACAGACTCTGTGACAACCTTTTCTCCATGAAACTCACTCTGCTTGGTGGCTATCCCATCTGTCTTGGACATCAGCAAGGAAGAAGAGGCCTATTTTCAATATCATTTCCAGCTATTGTTGCAGGTCCTTCTGTTTAAAGTATAAATATTGGCCGGGTGTGGTGGCTCATGCCTGTAATCCCAGCACTTTGGAAGGCTGAAGCAGACAGATCACTTGAGGCCAGGAGTTTAAGAACAGCCTGGCCGATATAGTGGAACCCAGTCTCTACTAAAAATATAAAAAAATTAGCCAGGCCTGGTAGCACACACCTATAATCATAGCTACTCAGGAGGCTGAGGCATGAGAATTGCATGAACCCAGGAGGCAGAGGTTGCAGTGAGCCAAGATTGTGCCAACTGCACTCCAGCCTGGGTGACAGAGTGAGACGCTGCCTCAAAAAAAAAAAAAAGTATAAATATTAATAGATACTTCTTAACCTAATCTGGGAAGTCCCACAGAAGACAAACAGTACTTTTCAAATATTCTATACCATATAGCAATACCAATAGAGAAAAATATTATCATTCTGTTTGTTAGGTCAAATGAGATCTGAATGTAAAATCAAATTCTGTCTTCAGTGTATAACCTTGGAAATGAGATCGCTTTCTATGTTGAAAAGACTTGTGGAAAAATATTACAGGAATAAAACAATGCATTTTGTGGTTGTTGGTTTCAAAATGATTAAAAGAGGATTACACTTATTAAGAAAAAATAAGATTGCATGTTATTTGAACATTATAGCTCTAGCTATATGATGTCTTTTTGAGAAAATTAATTATTAGTTTTCCAAACCATTAAACCAGAGGCTGGAGTACAGATCAAAGTTGGTTTTTTTTGTGTGAATTTTCTTTGGTACCAAATATAATTTTTTCCCTTTCTAGTGACTTCCTTGAACAGAACTGATTGGCCTCATAAGTGACCCTTAATAGAAATCACCAAACAGAGGCAGAAATGGAAGCTTGATGACTTAGTCCTTCCTCTTGTAACTGCAGATAAGAGTAAACAATTGTTTTCCAAAAGTTTGCATATACCATTGCACTTCCTTTAATGAGAAATACTTGTTCACAGGGTTACAGCTAGATTAAATGATCCAAAAGTTAGCCCCATACCAGTCGATTACTCTTATTCTTCCAACTGTTAGAGCAGGGCATAATGCACACTACAAAATTTGAGAGAGAAAATACTTTTCCTTCTTCCCTGACTTTATACCAGAATTGCTATGTTGGTAAATTAAACATAATTATTCTTTCACTTCTGACTTTACTCTTGGAGAAACATCCTCCTGTTTATGTAGTACAATAAGATGGACAATAGACATCAAAGGCTCCCATATGTCTTCCTTAGTGGCTTCCCATAATGCTGAGAATTCTTCTGTAAACATCAAATCATTTAAACCTAGAACTATGTGACCTTGGTAGAAAATGACTTTAACTTACTTAACTTTTCATTTCCTCATAAAAATAAAGTTAATGCCAAAACTCAATTGTTCATCCTTCTTTTTTAGAGAGAAACTATTTTTGTAAATGAAGTCCTATTTGGAATCCCAATTATAAAGCAAATAACATCATAACTGTTCTACTTGATTGGAGGCAGTGGAGGCAGAATCCTAGATGTGAAGACCTTGCCTCAGCCCCTGAAGCCTCTCTGGGAAACCACAGGGCCTCTCAGAAAACAGTTTGAAAATCGATGGGCAATATGATCACCACAAGACCTTTTAGTTCTGAGACACTTTGATTCCAATAAGTAATTACTGAATGTTTCCATGTTATTTGCTCTATACTCTGGTATAGTTCATGGGAATCAACAGGAGAGGTCCCGCTCATCAAAGGATTGCATGATTTGGGTAAATGGAAAGCCTAAGAATTTTTTAGGGTAAGCAGGACCACTCCAAGGGGGCAGAGAGGAGTGCTGTGTTTGGTGGTGAACAGTGAGACATGAAGGGAGATACTGCCCTTCCCCAAAAGGTGGGGGAAGAATCATCAACCTTTCAAAGTTGGCATGCAAAGTCTTTGATATATAGAAATGGTGGCATGCAAAGTCTTTGATTTATAGAGAACCTTTTGCCACAGAGGTTGAGGCTAGGATGCAACAATGGTGGAAACTGCCATTACCACTTGGCCTTCCACCCAAGCCACTGTGTGATATAAAGCCTTCTGCTTAAAGCCAGGGGCACAGGTATAGTTAGGGAACCTGTGAAAATTTTCTTGTTAAAATTCTACTTTCTAAAAGAAGGAAGAAAGTTACTATCCCCAACATTTCCTCTTCACAACTTATGAAGCAACATCATTCATCTGGGATAATACCTGAGGTTCGTTGCCTCATGCCAAGGAAATCAAGGACATGAACACTTGTGGAGTGAGGTTAAGAGCCGAGGTTTAATATGCAAAGAAAGAGAAAAGAGAGTAGCTCTCTTTCCTGCAGAGAGAGAGGGGCTCCTGAGTGGGTCTTCCAGTCCCATCGTGAAGTGCATGGGTTTTTATAGACTGGATTGAGGAAGTGGTGTCTGATTTACATAGGGCCCAAAGATTGGCCCAGGCATGATGTTTACATAGTGCCTGAAGGAGCTGGCCACCCACCTTAATCTATTATGCAAATGAGGTTTCTACCTGGCCAGCGCCATGTTGTCTGCTTCTTACTGTACACATGGTTGATAAAAGGAAAGATGGAACTGTCATGTTGAATATGTCTAGCCCCCAGGTAGTCTTTTACTATTGTCACATCTGCCGACATTCACTCGTGCAAGCTTCCAGCTTGCTTATCTATGTTTGCAGCTCAATTTTACAGGCTGCTTTTTGTTAGAAAAGAAATAATTTTGGTGCTGCTTTTTATAAAAAGGGAAACCTTACTGAGGACTTTCTTACCCTCACTATCTGCCAAAATAATTTCTTTTTAACGCTCATGTCAGTTGGACCTCTCTGCTCAGAGCCAACCCAAGTTACAGGTTGAGGCCCATGGACAGTACTACCCCTAAACATTGCTTTCCCCTAATGCCAAAAGTCCACATTAAAATGAAAATACTTCTGAGAGAGTGAGTTATGCCTTGATCAAACATTATCTTGCATGTAATAGTAGGTGAAACCAGAGTATGAAGCAACAGGGTTGCAAATAGGTACAGTAAATAGTGTTTTTCAGGTTAAATGGATATGCAGATGTATCTTGATAAATTGTGTCATATTTTACTCTTTATCATGTTAGGCGAGATTTTTTTTTTCCACCTCTCCTCCACACTCAACCCAACCTACATCTTACCCCTTAAATTGCAAACTCGTTGGGAGAAGAGATTATTGCATGTAAAGTCTGTCAATAAATGTTGGTTAAGCAAAAGAGAGATAGAGAAAAGGAGGGAGGGAAGGAGAGAGAAAAGAAAGAATGCTACTGCATCCCCTCTGTGTAGCTTTATGGCATTCATGATCTACTAAACTCTGGGATTATTTTAGAGATAGTAGGAAGACAAGTAGTGGGAAAATCAGCATATTTTAACAGTTGGTTAAAGAAGAATATAAGCAGAAAAATCAGAGTGGCAACTGGAACAAAGAAGAAAGTCAGGTCAGATATCTGCAGCTGTAGTAGGAAAGAATGGAGTATTAGAAGCTGGTTAGGTCCGGGGAAGTCTTTCCGGGGGTAATCACACAAAGCAAGCTGTTAAGTTCTGCAGGTTGCTTGTTAAAACATTATAAGATGCTGTAATCCCAGCACTTTGGGAGGCCGAGGCGGGTGGATCATGAAGTCAGGAGATCAAGATCATCGTACCTAATACTGTGAAACCCCGTCTCTACTAAAAATACGAAAAATTAGCTGGGCGTGGTGGCACAAGCCTGTTGTCCCAGTTACTCGGGAGGCTGAGGCAGGAGAATTGCTTGAACCTGGAAGGCAGAGGTTGCAGTGAGCCGAGATCGCACCACTGCACTCCAGCCTGGGCAACAGAGTGAGACTCTCCCTCAAAAAAATAAAGAAAAATTTAAAAACCTTTAAGTTTACATAGTTTAAAAATAATCTGTAATAATTAAAAATGTACCTGTGTACGTTTTGCTGGAAGTGGCTCCTATAAAGGTTATCTTTAGCTTGTCTATTACAACAGTCTAGTAGATTCCTTCACACCTCTGAAAGGCTTACTTTGTGCATTTACTCAGGGTCTTCCACCTGAACATACAGCTCTGCCTCACCAGTGTGCACTCACACTATGACTGGCAGCTCCTTTTTTATCCCCAAACCACTGCCAAAAACACTAGTATGTAAATTTTGTAGAAAGCATGATGTTACCTCCTTAATGTATGCATCCTCTTTCTATAGATTATTTTCTGCAGTCTTAAGGACACCCTATGATCCCAATAGCCTGCCACTGGAATACTTTTCTTTTCATTGACACTTTTAATTAAAAGAATAAAGCACTAAGGATGAAATTGGAGTCTCCTTATTTGGCTCTCTTGTCCTATATCCTTCCTTCCTTAGGGGCAATCACTATAAAAAATTTAATGTCCATCCTTCCAGGTTATGTTGCATTATTTTACTATTCATAAATATAGTAGAAGTGGGGCTTTGTGATTTTAAATTTTTTATACAAATGATGCTATACCGGTTGATCTACAACTTGCTTTTTTCACTCCATTTTAGATTTTTGAAAACTACTCACATGGATGCCTATCAGTCTAATTCATTCATTTTAACATATTCTACTATATAAACATAGCAAAACTTATCCATTCCCTATCAATAGGCATTTATACCACATCATATTTTTTTTTGCTACTGCAAATAATGCAGTAAACATATTTCTACATATAACCTTTTACCTCTATGTAAGAGTTTATGTCGTGTACCTAGAGGAAGAATTTTGGGGCAAAGAGATTAGCAAGTTTAAAACTTATTAGATATTGCTATTTATTTCTTCAGAATCTTTGTATAAATTTTTATTATTGGCAGCATTACATGAATGTTTCCATGCATAAGAATGTGGTAGTCTCAGGTATTTAATTATTTTCCGTTCCAGTGGCTGTGAAATAATATATCACTACTATAGTGACTGCACAATCTTCATGGCTGAAGATTTGAGCATCTTTTCCTTTGTTTTTAATTCAGATTTCCACTTAATGAATTGGAATTTAAAATGCATTCCCCACTTTTCTACTGGATTGTTTTTCAAGTTCTTTTATTATAGATGCCAATCCTCCATTTGCTCTATGTTCTGGAAATATATACTGTTCTTTTATTTTTTAATTTTATGATATATTTTTACTTGTAATGTGCTTAAGTTGATCATTCTTATCCTTCATGACTTATGCTTTCAGAGTCCTAAAATATTTTTAGCTCACTGTTATACATATACTTACATATTTCCTACATTTTCAAATGAATTTTAGAAGACTACATTGATGTTTTAATGTACAAAAATGTATTTGGGTATATGCTTTGAGAAAGGAAGCTAATATTTTTTAAATTCTTTTTTCCATATGGAAACCAGTTGTGCCAACATTATCAATTGCATCCTTCACTGTGGTTTTGTGCTGCTGTTTCTTTATTTTATAATAAGTCAGTTCCCATGTACAGGCATATCTTGTTTTATTGTAGTTTGCTTTATTTTGCTTCACACTTCACAGGTACCATTTTATTTTTCTTTTTAAAATTGATACATAATCGAGGTACATATTTTGGGGGTACATGTAATAATTTGATATTCATATAATGTGTAAAGATCAAATCAGGGTAATTGGGACATCCATCATCTTAAATATTTTAAAAATAATTTTATTTTAATTTTTTCTTTAAAGTTGTATCTGCTTTCATTTGGTTAAAACTTAAAAGGCAGTATCAATCATAGTTTGCTCAAGGATGTGGAAATTCAAAGAATTCATTTTCAGAAATATTCATTGATTACTATATTCCTAGCCCTGGGGATACTGAGGACAGTAGGGATACTGAGATGAATGACATGATTTCCCTCAAGGCTCTCAATCTATTAGGAGATGAAGGCATGTGATTTATAAATTATGGTATGACTTTGATGACCTGGTAAGGCAGCAATAGACGCATAGAAGAAGGAGACAGTAACAGTATCAAGGACCGCTTTCCAAAGAAGATGCCACCTCATTGGGTTATTTTTATAGTCATTTTAAATTTTTTTAATTGAGATAAAATATACATATAAAATTTACCATCCACATCATTTTAATTATATAGTTCAGTGGTAATAAATACATTTATATTCTTTTTTCTCCTTGCCCGCCCCCTCACCTACCCTTCCCAGAATTTTATTGGTTTAATTGAAACATAATAGATGTACATATTTTCAAGGTACATGTGATAATCTAGCACTTTTCTTTAATGTGTATATATCAAACCAGTGTAATTAGAATATTCATCATCTTAATTATTTGTCTTTTCTTTATGCTACAAACATTTGAAATATCCCCTTCTAGCTATTTTGAAATATACAATAGATAATCATAAAGTATAGTCACACTTCTGTTCTATTGAACATGATGTCTTATTTTTTGTCTATCTAACTCTATATTTGTGCCCACTAATCAGCCTATCTTTATAACCTCTTCCCCCATACCCTTCCCAGCCTCTGGTAACCACCAATGTACTGGCTACCTTCAAGAGGTCCACTTTCTTAGCTCTCATAGATGAGTGAGAACATGCAATATTTGTCTTTCTGTGCTTAGCATATTTCAGTAATCATAATAACTTCCAGTTTCATCCATATTGTTGCAAATAACAATATTTTATTCATTTTCATGACTGAATAATTTTCCATTGTGTATATATGCCACGTTGTCTCTATGCATTCATCCACTGATGGGAACTTAGGTTGATTCCACATGTTGGCTATTGTAAATAGTGCTGCGATAAACATGAGAATGCAGACATTTCTTTAATATATTGATTTTCTTTCTTTTGAGTTTATATCTAGTAATGGAATTGCTGAACCATATGGTAGTTTTAAGTTTTTTGAGGAACCTCCGTATAGTTTTCCATAGTGGCTGTACTAATTCACATTCTTACCAGCAGTGTATGATGGTTCCCCTTTCTCCATATCCTTGCCAGCATCATTATTACTGATCTTTTTGATAAAAAACTGTTTTAGCTAGGGTAAGATGATATCACATTATGGTTTTGATATGCATTTCCCTGATGATTGGAGATGTTGAGTTTTTTTCATATACCATTTGTATGTCTTATTTTGATAAATGGCTATTCAGATATTTTGCCCATTTTTGCTTCCGATTAGTTTTTGTTGTTGTTGTTGTTGTTATTGAGTTATTTGAGCTCCTTATATATTCTGATTATTAATTCCTGGTCAGATGGATAGTTTGCAAATATTTTCTTCCATTCCGTGGGATATCTCTTCACTTTTTTGATTGTTTTCTTTGCTGTGCCAGGACCTTTTACCTTGATGTAACCCAATTTTTTTATTTTTGCTTTTGTTTTCTGTTCTTTTGAGGTCTTACACAAAAATCCTTTGCCCAGTCTGATGTTCTCAAGTGTTTTTCCAATATTATCTTCTAGTAGTTTTATAGTTTCAGGCCTTAGATTAAAGCCTTTATCCATTTTGATATGATTGTTGTATATGATGTGAGGTAGAGGTCTAGTTTCATTCTTCTGCATATGGTAATAGAGTTTTCTCAGAACTATTATGTTTCTCTCTCTCTCTCTCTCTCTCTCTCTCTCTCTCTCTCTCTCTCATTTTCTCTATCTCTAGCTCTCTCTCTATTTACAGACAGGGTCTCACTCTGTTGCCCAAGCTGGAGTGCATTGGGACAATCTTGACTCACTGCAGCCTCAACCTCTGGGCACAAGTGAGTCTCCTGCCTCTGCCTCCTGAGTACTTGGGGCTACCGGCACATGCCACTAGTGCAGCTATTTTTTGCATTTTTTTGTAGAGATGGGATTTTGCCATGTTGCCCAGGCTGGTCTCAAACTCCTGAGCTCAAGTGATTTCCCCGCCTTGGCCTCCCAAAGTGCTGAGGTTACAAACATGTACTACCACGCCTGGCCCCAAACCATATATTGAGAAGAGTGTCTTTTCCCTATTATATGTTCTTGGCATCTTTGTTGAAAATGTGTTGGCTGTAAATGTGCAGATTTACATCTGGCTTCTCTCTTCTGTTCCTTTGGTCTGTGTGTCTGTTTTTATGCCAATACCATGCTGATTTGGTTACTATAGTTTTATAGTATATTTTGAAGTTCAGATAATGTGATGCTTCAGCTTTTTCTTTATTTTCAGAAAAAAAAAAGATTGCTTTGGCCTTTTGAGTTCTTACGTGGTTCCATATAAATTTTAGAATTGTTTTTTCTATTTTTGTGAAAATAGTATTGGCATTTTCATAGTGAGTATATTTAATCTGTGGATTTCTTTGGGTACTATATTCATTTTAACAATATTACTTCTTCTAATTCATGAACATGGAATATCCACTTTCTTGTGTCCTCTTCAATTTTTTTTCATCAGTGTTTTTTAGTTTTTCTTGTATAGATATTTTACTTCTTTGGTTAAATTGATCCCTAAGTATTTTCTTCTTGTAGCTATTTTAATTGGATTGCTTTCTTGATTTTTTATTCAGATTGTTTGCTGTTGATATATAGAAATGATACTGATTTTTGCATGTTGATTTTCTAACCTGCAACTGTACTGAATTCGTTTATCCCTTCTTATAATTTTTTGGTGGAGTCTAGGTTTTTCTAATATAATATCATGTCATCTGTGAATAGGGATAATTCAACTCATTACCTTCCAGTTTGAATGTCCTTTGTTTTGCTGCCCTACTTACTCTGGCCAGGACTTCCAGTATTATATTGGATAAAAGTGGTAAAAGTGGGCATCATTGTCTTGTTCTAGGTTTTTGAGGAAACGCTTTTAATTTTTCCCTGTTCTGTATGTTAGCTATGTGTTTGTCATTTATGGCCTTTATTATTTTGAGGTATGTTTTTTCTATACTCTGTTTGTTGCGGTTTTTATCATGAAGGGACGTTAAATTTTATCAAATGCTTTTTCAGCATCTATTGAAATGATCTTACGGTTTTTTTTTTTTTGGTTCTGTTAATGTGATGTATCACATTGATTGACATGAGTATCTTGAACCATACTACTTGCATCCTAGGAATAAATCCCACTTGATCATGGTGAATGAGTTTGGAAGTATTCCCTCCTCTCCAGTTTTTTGTTTTTTTTTTTAAAGAATTTGTGTAGAATTGCTGTTAGTAGTTCTTAAATATTTAGTAGAATTCAGTGGTGAAGCCATCAGGTCCTGGGCTTTTCTTTGATCGGAGACTTTTTATTATAGCTTCTATCTTATTACTCAGTAAAGGAAAGCTGAAAGATATTGCGTTTTTTTACAAATCAAAGGTCTGTGGCAATCCTGCATTGAGCAAGTGGTTAGGCAACATTCTTTCAAGAACAGTCTCACTTCATGTCTCTGTATCACATTTGGTAATTCTTGAAATATTTTAATTTTTTTCATGATTATTATGTGTATTATAGTGATCTGTGATCAGTGACCTTTGATATTACTATTGTAATTGTTTTGGAACACCGCATACTGTGCCCATTTATAATGGTGAACTTAAAAAACGTTGTGTGTATTCTGAGTACTCCACATATAGGCCATTAGTTCTCTTTCTCTCTTTTTTGGCATCCTGATTTCTGCAGACACAACAATATTGAAATTAGGCCAATTAGTAACCCTACATTGGCCTCTGAGTGTTTAAGTGAGCTGAAGAGTCACACATCTCTCACTTTAAATTGAAAACTAGAAATGATTAAGCTTAGCGGGGAAGGCATGTCGAAAGTCAATAGGCTGAAAGGTAGGCCTGTTGTGCCTGTTAGCCAAGTTGTATAAGGAAAAGTTCTTGAAGGAAATTAAAAATACTACTTCAGTGAATACACAAATGATAAAAAAGCAAAACAACTTTATTGCTCATATAAAGAAAGTTTTAGTGATCTGGATAGATCATATCAGCCACAACATTCTCTTCCTTAAGCCAAAGCCTAATTCACAACAAGGCCCTAAGGCTCCACAATTCTATGAAGGGTAAGAGGAGTGAGGAAGCCACAGAAGAAAAGTTTGAAGTTGGAAGAGGTCAGTTCATGGAGTTAAAGGAAAAAGCTCTCTCCATAACATAAAAGTACAAGGCAAAGCAAAGAAACAAGTGCTTATGCAGAAGCTGCTGCAAGTTATCCAGAAGACCTAGTTAAGATAATTGATGAAGGTGACTACACTAAACAACAGATTTTCAATATAGACAAAACAGCCTTCTATTGGACGAAAACGACACCAGGACTTTTAAAGCTGGAGAACAGAAGTCAGTGCCTGGCTTCCAAGCTTCAAAGAACAAGCTGATTCTCTTATTAGGAGTTAATGCAGCTGGTGACTCTAAGCTGAAGCCAGTGCTCCATTTTGCATTCTGAAAATCCTAGAGCCTTTGGGAATTATGCTGAGTCTACTCTACTTGTGCTCTGTTAATGGAGCCACAAACCTGGATGATAGCACATTTATTTGCAACGTGGTTTACTGAATACTTACACTGCTCAGAAGAAAAAGAAAGATTGCTTTCAAAGTGTTACAGCTCATTTACAATGTACTTGGTCACTCAAGAGCTCTGAAGGAGATGTACAAAGAGATTAATGTGTTCACACCTACAAACACAACATCTATTCTGCAGCCCATGGATCAGGGAGTAATTTTGACTCTCAAGTCTCATTATTTAAGAAATACATTTTGTAAGGCTATAGCTGCCAAACATAGTGATTTATCAGATGAATCTAGGAAAAAGTCAATTGAAAACCTTCTGGAAAGGATTCGCCATTCTAGATGTCATTAAGGCCATTTGTGATTCATGGGAGGAGGTCAAAATACCAACATTAATAGGAGTTGGAAAAAGTTGATTCCAACCCTCATGGATGACTTTGAGGGGTTCAAGACTTCAGTGAAGGAAGTAACTACAGATGTGGTAGAACTAAAAAGAGAACTGGAATTAGATATGAAGCCTGAAAGTGGGAGTGAATTCCTGCAAACTCATGATTAAACTTCAGTGAGTGAGGAGTTGCTTCTTATGGATGAGCAAAGTAAATGGGTTTCTGAGATGGCATCTACTCCTGGTGAAGATGTTATTGAACATCGTTGAAATGACAAAGGATTTAGAATATTACTACGTAAATTTAGTTGATAAAGCAGCAGCAGCGTTTGAGAGGATGGAGTCCAATTTTGAAAGAATTCCTGCTGTGGGTGAAATGCTATCAAACAGTGTCACAAGGTACAGGCAAATCTTTCCCAGAAGGAAGAGTCAATGAATGTGCCAAGCTTCACTGTTGTCTTATTTCAATAAATTGCCACAGTCACCTCACACTTCAACAACCACCACCCTGATTAGTCAGCATTCATCACAATGGAGGCAATAACCTTCATCAGCAAAAAGATTACAATTTGCGGAAGGCTCAGACGATTGTTAGTATTTTTAGCAATAAAGTATTTTTAATTAAGGCATGCACATTATTTTTTAGACCTAATGCTATTAAACTAGGAAACCAAAAAAAGTGTGTGACTCACTTCATTCCAATATTTGCTTTATTATGGTGGTCTGGAACTAAGTCTGCTATGTTTCTGTGGTATGCCTGTGTGTGTGTGTTTTGTGGCCCTCTGTTTTGTTGCAATAATTATTTTTTAAATGTGTTGTATGACAATATCATAGTTTCTCAATTATCACAGCTTTTTAATTTCCCTTGATATTTAATAGGGCAATGATGCTCTTCTTTTTCTTCTTTTTTCAGTGTTTGCTTGACTATTTTTGTAGAAGTCTTTCAAAAAAATCTTATCGTGTTATTGATTCTGAGTGTATTGTCTTTATATATTAATTTTTAGAAGACTGTATCTTTATATACTAAGCTTTTTACCTATAAAATTTTGTCAGTTTATTCATGTATTCTTTTATCTCTTTCAAAAATGCTTTATATTTTTCTCTGTAAAGGTATTGCACTGCTTTTGTCAGATTTATCTTATGGACATAATATAATCATTATGTTATTGTGAATGAATTATTTTTGTATTGTATTACCTATTTTTATCATTAAAATATGGGCATAGTGTTAAGTTTTTTATGTTGATCTTATATGGAGTGAACTTAACAAGTATTCTTATTGATTTTAATAGGCTGTCTATAGGTTGCTTTGGACTTTTTAATGTAGCCAGTAATATTTGCTAATATGGCAGCTAGTCTGTAAATTATGATTTTGTTGCAATCTTGTTCCATTTTTTTTTTCTTATTTCATTAGTTAGGGCTTTGGGGCACTTTGTTAAATTGTAGAAATGATAACAGTCCTATGTGTCTGATTTCTGATCTTACACTTAATAATTTCTAAATGGTGTACCATGTTTTTAATAAATACATTTCATCAGATCAAGGAAATTTCTGGAGATTTTCTTAGTTTCTTAAAATGCTTGTGCTTTGTTTTGGTTCTTTAGTTAGTTTTTGGTAGTTGTGAATAAATGTTTAATTTTATTAAAAATAGTTTACTGTATATAATGAGATAATTTTAGGTTTCTTTTTTCAATCCTTTAACATGGTGAATTGTACCAATAGATTTTTAAAATTGACTTATTTGAGGTATAATCTCTCTGTATGTATAACGCATCCATTGTATGTGTGCAGTTTGATACATTTTTGGCTACCGTACGAATCCTTGTAGCCAATTTCACAATCAAGATAGAAAAAAAAATTAATCACCACAGAATGTTCTGTCATGCCCCCTTGTAGTCAATTATCTTTGCTGTGAAGGCAACTGCTGATCTGATTTTCATCAAGATCAAGTTTTGCTTGATCTTGAATTTCAAATAATGGAATAATGCAGTGTGTACAATTTTGCATCTAGCTTCTTTCAGTTAGCACAATGGTGTTGAGAGCTATCCATATTTGTATGTGTATCAGCAATATATTTCTTGTTGTTTGGATAGAGCAAAATTTGTTTATACATTCATGTGTTGATTGACATTTATGTTATTTCCAGTATTTGGGTATTATTAATAAAGCTGCTATGAAATTTCACATTTAAGTATTCATGTGAACATGTATTTTAATTTTTCTTTCTAGTAGTGGAATACCTTGGTTATATGGCAAACGTATGTTTAAATTTTTAAGTAATAGCTACCCTGTTTCTAAAGTGATTGTAGTTTTTTACATTCTTCCCTGAAGTGTAGCAGAGTTTGTGTTGCTTCACATCTTATCAACTCTTATTATTGTCAGTCTTTTTAATTGCAGCTATTTTAAAGTATTTGTCATGGTATCTTATGGTTTCAAATTTCATTACCCCAAGACTAATGATATTGAGTATCTTTAGGTGTACTTTTCCCTATTCATATATTCTCTTGTACAGTCTCCATTCAACTCTTTTGTCCACTTGTAAATTGGTTTGTTATCTTGATATAGTATTCTAGATATAACTAGAGAGAGATGTAATGAATATCTATGTGTGTTTATATATACTTATATATACATTTATATGGATATATAAATGATATGGATAATATAAATTATTTTCATATGTATTTTTTTCTTAGTATATTTCTTAGTATGTTTTCTTAGTATTTCATTTTCTTAAAGATATCTTGCAAAGAGCATAACTTTAAATCTTGATTAAATCAAATTCAAAAGTAATAAATCAAAGTAATTTATTTTTCTTTTAACACTGATTTTTAAAACTGCTTATTTGAAAAAAATTATGGATTCATAGGAAGTTATAGAGATAGTAGAGAGGTGACAGTTATCCTTCACCAGTTTCTCCCAGCAGTTACATCTCATTACGTAGAGTACAATATCAAAAACAGGAATTTGGCATTGGTATAATGTGCAAGTATGGTTCTACGTCATTTTATCACACGTGTAAATTGTATAAGCACCATTGCAATCAAACTATAGACATGTTCCTTCACCACAAAGCTCTCTCCCTGGTTCTGTCTCTTTATAATCACTCGCACTATTCTCCTTAACCATTCAGAGCTCCTGGCAACTGCTAATGTGTTTTTTATCTTTATAATTTTGTCATTCCATGACTATTATATAAATGAAATTATAGAACTTCTGACCTTTGGAGACTGGCTTTTTTCACTTAGCATAATGCCCTGAGATCTATTCAAATTATTGCATGTATCAATAGTTCATTTATTTTTACTGCTGACTAGCGTCCTATGACATGGATGTGCCACAGTTTGTTTAACTATTGATCTGTTAATGAAAATTTTGGATATTTCCAGTTTGGGTTATTAAAATAAAGCTGCTATGATTAATCATATGTAGATTTTTGTGTAGACATATTTTCATTTCGCTAGGATAAATGCCTAAATGTGTAATGGCTTGTTGAATTATGAGTGTATGTTTAGCTTTATGACATCGTACACGAGACCCAGTTTCACAGCATCCTCTCCACCATTTGGTATTGTCACTGCTTTTTGTTTTATTTGTTCTATTAAATGTGTAGAGACATTTCACTATGGTTTTTATTTGCATTTTCTAAATAGCTACTAATATTGATTATCCTTTCATAAGCTTGTCATCCATATGTCCTCTTTAGTGAAATAACTGTCTGTATCTTTTGCCAGTTTCCATATTAGATTTTTTCTGTTGAATTTTGAGAGAATTCTTTACATATTACAGAAACTAGTCCTTTGGTGGATTTGTGATTTACAATTTTTTTCTTCCAGTTCATTGCTTGTCTTTTTATCCTCCTAACAAGGTCTTTCTAAGAACAATTTTTTAAATGTTGAAGTCCAAATAATTGATTCTTTCATATTATGCTATTGGTATCATTATTAAGAATTAATCCCCAAGCCCTATGTCTTGAAATTTTCTCCTAAGTTAACTAAGAGTTTTACATTTTTATATTTTACCTTTAAATCTATGGTTCATTTTGAGATAATTTTTGCAAAAAATGTGAAGTTTAGGTAAAGTTTCCTCTTTTTAAAATTTATTTTTATTTTTGCCTATGAATATCCAATTGCTCAAGCACTAGTTGTTGAAAAGTTTATCTTCCATTGAATTGCTTTTGAATCTTTGCCAAAAAAAATCAGTTGACCAGAAATGTGTGGGTCTTTTTCTGGGCTCTCTATTCGGTTTCATAAATCTAAATGCCATTCCATTTACCAGTACAACACAGTCTTGGTTGCTATAAATATAAAGTAATCTTAATTGAATAAAGTAATCCCTCCCATTTTATTCTTTTCTATCAGAGTTGTTTTTAGCTATTGTAGTTCCCTTATCTTTCCATATAAGTTTCGGAGAACTCTTGTCCTTAAATATAAAAATAATTCTAGGGCCGGGCACAGTGGCTCACATCTGTAATTCTAGCACTTTGAGAGGCCATGGCAGGTGGATCGTGAGGTCAGGCATTTGAGACCAGCCTGGTCAACATAGTGAAAACTTGTCTCTAATAAAAATACAAAAAATTAGCCTGGCATGGTGGTGGGTGCCTGTAATTCCAGCTACTCAGGAGGCTGAGGCAGGAGAATCACTTGAATCTGGGAGACGGAGGTTGCGGTGAACTGAGACTGCGCCACTGCACTCCAGCCCGGGCGACAGTGTGAGATTCCATCTAAAAAGATAATAATAATAATAATTCTAGGTTTTGGTAAAAATTGTGTTAAGCCTTTATATAAATTTGGGGATTATCTGTATCTTGCTATGGTAACTTTTCCAATTCACAAACGTGGTACATCTCTTCATCTATTGAGATAGTCTTTGAATAATTTCATCAGTGTAATAGGGAGTGTAATAGGGAAATTTAAGTCTCAAACAATATTTGTGTATTTGTTTATTTTTCCTTAGTGTCAGATTTTGCTTTATCTATTTTGCAGCTTTTTATTTGGTACATGTTCATTTTTGATTGCTTTGTCTTCTAAGTAGATTGACTTCTATATCATTATGTGCCTCTCTGATAGTTTTCTTTGCTTTGAAGTCTGCTTTATCTAATATTAGCACAGATACTATTGCTTTATTAGATTAATGTTTGTATGGTCTTTTTCCATTGATTACTTTCAACTGCCAATATCATGAATTAAAGTCTGTGGTAATTTTTATGCAAAAGAAAACTTATACACAATACAATACGTACAGTAACCTCTAGAAAAACAATACAAAGAAATATTCTAAAAACTAAAAAATGTTCAAGTAATCCAAAGCAATGCAAGAAAAAAGAAAATACAGAAATGAAAATCAGGGAGAACAAACAGATGACAAAAAATAAAAGGATAAACTTAAGCCTTAACATATCAATAATTACATTAAATGGTGTAAATGCACCAAATAAAAGTTACAGCATAATAAAGTGGATTAAAAAACATGCCTCAACTATATGCTCTCCATAAGGAACTTAATCCAAATGTAATGGTATTGGGAGTTTGAAAGTAAAGCATGGAAAAAGATAGGCCATACAAACATTAATCTAATAAAGCAACAGTAGCCATGCTAATATTAGATAAAGTAGACTTCAAAGCAAAGAAAACTAACAAAGAGGCACATTATATAATGATATAGAGGCCAATCTACTTAGAAGACATCGCAACAAAAATGAATATGCACCAAATAAAAAGCTGCAAAATAAATAAAGCAAAAGCTGACACAAAGGAAAAACAAACAAATCCACAAATATTGTTTGAGACTTAAACTCCCATACTACACTGATGAAATTAACTCAAGATGGATTAAAGACTTAAACCTAAGACCTAAAACCATAAAAATCCTAGAAGAAAATGTAGGCAATACCATTCAGGATATAAGCATGGGCAAAGACTTCAGGACTAAAACACCAAAAGCGATGGCAACAAAAGCCAAAATTGACAAATAGGATCTAATGAAACTAAAGAGCTTCTGCACAGAAAAAGAAACTATCTTCAGAGTGAACAGGCAATCTGCAAAATGGGAGAAAATTTTTGCAATCTATCCATCTGACAAAGGGCTAATACACAGAATCTACAAGGAACTTAAACAAATTTACAAGAAAAAAACAACCCCATCAAAGAGTGGGTGAAGGATATGAACAGACACTTCTCAAAAGAAGACATTTATGCGGCCAATAGTTATATGAAAAAAGCTCATAATCACTAGTCATTAGAGAAATGCAAATCAAAACCACAATGAGATACCATCTCACACCAGTTAGAATGGCGATCATTAAAAAGTCAGGAAACAATAGGTGGTGGAGAAGCTGTAGAGAAATAGGAGTGCTTTTACACTGTTGGTGGGAAAGTAAATTAATTCGGTCATTGTGGAAAACAGTGCGGCGATTCCTCAGTGATCTAGAACCAGAAATACCATTTGACCCAGCAATCCCATTACTGGGTATATACCCAAAGGATTATAAATCATTCTACGATAAAGACACATGCACACATATGTTTATTGTAGCACTGTTCATGATACCAAAGACTTGGAACCAACCCACATGCCCAACAATGATAGACTGGATAAAGAAAATGTGACACATATACACGATGGAATACTATGTAGCCATAAAAAAGGATGAGTTCATGACCTTTGCAGGGACATGGATGAAGTTGGAAACCATCATTCTCAGCAAACTAACACAGGAACAGAAAACCAAACACCGCATGTTCTCACTCATAAATGGGAGTTGAACAATGAGAACACATGGACACAGAGAGGGGAACATCACACACTGGGGAGTTGTTGGGGAGTGGGGGACTAGGGAAGGGATAGCATTAAGAGAAATAGCTAATGTACATGACGGGTTAATGGGTACAGCAAACCACCATGACACATGTATACCTATGTAACAAACCTGCACATTCTGCACATGTATCCCAGAACTTCAAGTGTGTGTGTGTGTATATATATATATAAAATATATATTAAATATATATTTCATATATATTTATGTATAATATAAAATAATATATTTAATATAATATATAATATTTAATATATATATATTTTTAAAAGCTTGAACCTTCCTCCTTGGGAACTGGAGCTGGGACAAGACAAGAATACTCACTCTCATCACTCCTGTTCAACATGTACTAGAAGTCCTAGCCAGAGCAGTCAGGCAAGAGGAGGAAATGAAAGGCATCTAAATAAAAAAAGAAGTCGAAATATCTCTCTCCTCTGAAGATACGATTCTATACCTAGGATATCCTAAAGACTCTTCCAAAAGACTCCTGGCACTGATAAATAACTTTAATAAAGTCTCAGGATATAAAATCAGTAAAAATGTCAGCAGCATTTCTATACACCAACAAGGTCCAGGTTGAGAGTGAAATCAAGAACACAATCCCATTTACAATAGCCACAAAGAAAATGAAGTACTCATAAATATAGCTAATGAAGGAGGTGAAAGATTTCTACAAGAACTACAAAACCTTGCTGAATAAATCGGAGACAACAGAAATAAATGGAAAAACATTCTATGCTCACAGATTGGAAGAATTAATATCATACGAATATTTATTTTTATATCCTTAACTTATTTGCTACAACTTTCTACTTCACAAAACTTTCTATTTTTTTCATTTGTTTCAGACATATTTAGAATTGTTTTAAAGTGTTTTGTTTTAGCGGCATTGGAATCCTTGTCCTGTCATCCTAACATCTGTGTGTGAACATTTGCATCTGTTGATTGTCTTTCCTCATTCCCTTTGATATCTCCCTGGGTCTTGCTATGACAAGTAAGTTTTGCTGGAAACCTGAACAGTTAGGGTGTTATGTTTAAGACTTTGGATCTTATTAAAATCTCGTGTTTTAGCAGGCATGGTTTGACATTTCTCTAGTGATTGAAAGGGAGTTCTGATTCATTTCTACCAGGTTGAGTTGGAAGTCCAGGTTCTTTAGCCTGCCCCCACGGACACCCAAGTGGAAAGGGCTTTATGTTACTTCTGGAAATGGCTGGGAGTTGAGACTTCCCACTGAGTCTCTGCTTACAGAACCCTAGTTGGGAGGGAAATTAGTACCTAATTGCTGCTTCCCATCACTGATATCAGGGGAGTAACCTCCTTAGTACTGAGAAGTGGTCAAAGTCCTGACTCTCAACTAGGCCTCTCAACTGGGTCATTCTCTTGCTTAAAAACAATCTGATTCCACATTCCTCCTCTAACACCATTCCAGTGAGGAAGAAAGGGGCACATCACTGCTGCTTCTTTTGGGTGGAAGTTCAGGCTTTGAGTCCCAAGATCAATAGCTAATCTACCGTCTTCTCTCCAATTTTCAGAGTTTATCATATTTTACATATAATGACCAGAATTGTTAGTTGCGTTTAGTGGGAGTAATAGGGAGAGTAGGTCTATTTTTCCTGGAAGTGGAAGTTCCACTAATGAATTTTACATTGTTAAAGCACGGTTTTATCACGGGGGTAAATACAGCTTGGCCAGATGCGTACATATGTACATACATCCACACTGCTAGATTAATTGCAAAATATTCTTTAGGATTTTACTCATCTGTGACACTGGTATGTAATCTTATCACATACTTTCTTTTCTGATTTCAGTATCAAGCTTATACTAGCCTTAGAAAATTAATTAGGTGCATATCTTTCTGTATCCTACTTCTATAGTCAAATGTATGCTATGTGGAAGTTATCCATTTTATAAATATTTGTTAAAATGTGTCTAATAGTTTAAAATATTAGATATTCTTTCATAGGGAGAATTTTCTACTGATTCAATTTCTTTAATAATTGATATTGTGCTAAGTTTTTCTATTATTTTTGAGTAAATTTTGGTAATTTATATTTTTAAGAAAATTTTTATTTTGATAGTTTAATAGTCTTAGAAAATTATCCATTTCCTTAAGTTTGACCATTAATTGGCATAAAGATGTATATATCATTCTCTCAGAACTTTTCAAAATCTTTACTGTACCTTTAACTATATCCTCTTACATAATAATAATATTGTTTATATGTACATTCTATTTTCTTAGTGCTGCTTAAGATTTATACTTCCATTACAACTTTAAAAAAGTCTTTATTTATACTCATTTTTCCATGTCATAAGTTTACGTTATTGTCTTTTTTTTTGTACTTTGAGTTTATAATGTGTTTTTTTTTTATCTTCTTGAGTTGCACTTAAACTGATCTATTTTACTTTTTTGTTATATTTTAAACAAAGTTTTAAGGTTATAACCTTTCTTCTGTTACATTAAATTTATCTCACAAATATATGTATGCATGTGATGTGTTTTAGTGCATTTAGTTTTAATTTTTATTAATGTTTTATCATTTCCATTATGATTTCTTTTCCTATAAAATAAGGCATGCTTAAAAGTTTTCAAATGTGGTTTTCATTTTTGTTTTTGTTGTATTTTGTTTTGTTATATTTGAATCACCATTGTTGATTTCTTATTTGATTGGTCTTTTTGATATTCTGTGGAATATGTTGAGGCTTCTTCGTGGCCAGGTAGATAATTAATTTTTTTTTTTTTTTTTTTTTGTGAGACGGAGTCTCAGTCTGTCTCCCAGGCTGGAGTGCAGTGGTGCAATCTCGGCTCACTGCAAGCTCCGCCTCCCGGGTTCACGCCATTCTCCTGCCTCAGCCTCCCGAGTAGCTGGGACTACAGGCGCCTGCCAACACGCCTGGCTAATTTTTTGTATTTTTAGTAGAGTCGAGGTTTCACCGTGTTAGCCAGGATGGTCTCTATCTCCTGACCTCGTGATCCACCCGCCTCGGCCTCCCAAAGTGCTAGGATTACAGGCGTGAGCCACTGCGCCCAGCCCATAATTAATTTTTAACAGTATTTTATGTGAAAAGAATAAATATATTTCTGTTTGGTATGAATTCTGAACCTACATCTGTATTTGGTATAGGCTTAAGATTCCTATCTTCATAGGCAAATCTTTTCCATTCACGTTCCTAGGTGGAAAGAAAATTTCCCTCTGTTTCTCCACTTCCGTAGTTAATTCTTATCTCATGCTTTTATATTTTATGAGTGTTTTTAATAATATTCTTTCTGGTTTTATTCAAATAGTTCTAGAAAGTTATAGCTTTTCTTGTTTACAGATTCTATTGTACCTGGGTTTACCACTACTGTAAAAGTTGCGTGACCAATGGTGTTATTTATCTTGGTTTTCAACTGTTAGCATCCCCTGTCCCTAGCACAATGCCTAGAACTTAGGGACACTTGGTGGATGGGAAATGAATCAATGAATGAAATGTTTCAATATTCCTGTGAGCAATTTTGATTTTTACTGCACTGAAGATTAGTTTTGAGTTGCTTCTTCATTTGTAATAATTGGGAGATTATGTTTGATTTTGAGCTTAGATATGTTTTAAAGTTTAACAAAATCATGTTACCTAGTATTTGTGTGTCTGCATGGAATTTTGGTATATGTGGACCAGAGGGAAGAATCCTTCCATGTGGTATCTTATTTTGCTTTATTGCCTGGCAGACTAGACTGGATTTTCAAAAACAGAAAATAAAATTTTGATTGTGTTATATGTCATTCTCTTGCTTGAAAATATTGTGTGATTCCACATTGCGATTAGGATATAATTTATATTCCTTAATACAGTAGTCTCCCTGATCTACTATTTACTTTCCATGGTTTCAGTCACCCATGGTCAACAGTGGTCCAAAAATATTCAATGGAAAATTCCAGAAGTTAATAATGAGTAAGTTTTAAGTTGTATCCCTTCTGAGATAGGTAATGAAATCTTATGAATTCTGCTTTGTCCTTCCCAGGACGTGAGTCATCCCTTTCTTCAGCATATTCATGCTGTATACACTATCCATAGTTAGGCACTTAGTAGTCATCTCCGTTATCACACCTAAACAATGTAGCATGTTTAGAGTTTGGTGCTATCCTTGGTTCTAGTCATGCACTGGGGATCTTGGAACATATCCCCGCAGGAATAAGGGCTGACTCCTATAAAATATGTAAGGACTTTTGTGTTAGAACCTTATTCACTCTCCTTTCATTTCTTGCAATTGTTTACTGTCGCACTCCCATGTCTCAGTCCCTAACACTCTATGCTCTTTCAAGCTTCAATGCCTTTTGAAATCCTTTTTACTCTGCCAGGAATACCTTCACACATCAACAAAACCCACTCCTCTCCCGAATGAGTCCTTCCCAAACCCAATGTTCTCCATGGCTGAAGAGTTAGAGGATCTCTTCTCTGTGCTTCCATATCACTTTGTTCATATCTTTAACATCCTTATGATACTGAACTGTCATTGCAATTCAGTTTTTTTCTTTTTCTTTTTTTTTTTTGACAGCGTCTTGCTCTGTCACCCAGGCTGGAGTGCAGTGGCACAATCTAGGCTCACTGCAAGCTCCGCCTCCCAGGTTTACTTATGCCGTTCTCCTCCCTCAGCCTCCTGAGTAGCTGGGACTACAGGCGGCTGCCACCACACCTGGCTAATTTTTTGTATTTTTAGTAGAGATGGGGTTTCACCATGTTAGCCAGGATGGTCTCGATCTCCTGACCTCGTGATCTGCCTGCCTCGGCCTCCCAAAGTGCTGGGATCACAGGCATGAGCCACCGTGCCTGACCAATTCAGTTTTTTTAGATTACTGTTGAGGCTGTAAATGAGTGATCAAAGGTATGTGAGTTATGAGTTAAATCAGCATTAATCTCCCAGCACTCATCCAGTTGCATCCAGAAGTATGTCTGAAACATACACCATCCACAGGTACTTCCTCTGACCTGGAAGCATGTGCTCCTTATTAATAATTCACAAGACAGTTTAAGGAATTCAATAAAAGGGAAGATAAAGTTATTTGCAGACTTATCTAGCATACAGTAGGTACTCTGTAAAGGCTAATGACAGCTCAGCAACCCTCTGATTTCATTAATGATTTTTCTTTGCACTGTTTTTGGCTCCCATGTGATGACTTTCAGGCATACTACACATGTATCAAAGTCGTATCTCTTTTAATATGGTGACAAATAGAGCAAACTGTTTCCAAAGAAGATAATGAATTATCACCAGTGGGAAATTTATACTGTGTTATCACTGAAGAACCTCAGAGCAAAGATGTTTAAGGGAATTCCTAAACTAGATAGGGTGGAACTCAATTTACATACAAACTTGGAGATCTCTCCTATTCAAATTTCCTTCAAAAAGTGTGTTATAATAGAGGTAAAACATTGAGGGAGAAAATACAACATTTTTACTTTTATCTTAGAAGATTGTAAATTGACTATATCTATCCATCTTAATCTTAAATGTAGGCATTAGGTATTATGAATATTTATTTTTCGTGGTAACTGGTGAATAAACATTCCTTGTTTTAGTGAAAATTCACTACACATACCAAAAGATATCATAGAATTTAGAGCTAGAAGATTTAGATAGATGCTGGTGAAATATTCTTATTTTACTTATATATGAAGGAAAACTGAGGGTTAGGGAGATGACATGTTTCCGTAGATTACGTTCAGATTTACTTCTTGGGGATGCTCACACAAGAACCTCTGATGGATCTAATACACAGGAGACACACATATATTATTGGTATTTCTATATACTGAGAATTTTGGTTTTATAGGTCACCATGCAGCATGGTTGAATAGAATAGTGCTGTTCGCCGAGTAAATATTTTATCAGTTTTTTTATTTTAAATTGTTTGTGGAATTTGAAGACATTAAAATTGTATAACCACTACAAACTTACTTTAATCCCATTTATAGGGGAAGTTTCACTATAAAGTAGATGGATGTACTGTGGTCTCGCATTAACGACATTAAATTGCTGAGCTGCAAAATGAACCTGTTGTGAGATGATATGTGCCTTCTAAGACTAGGAACATTGGGAGCAGCATTATAGGGAGTACCCAGCATGTAATTACAGACATTTTACCACAATTTTACTAAGCAGAACAACTGTATGTAGAATAAAAGGCAATTTATCAGCGAACAAAGACTGTGTGTATATGTGTGTGTATTTACTATATCTATCTATATACACAATATCTGTATATACATATATGATTATCTGCATATCTGTACATGTTTTATATATATATTACACTGCCCCTTGAATAATAGCCAAGATTTTTGCCTATTGTATACATTTTACATTTTATTCTTTCCCCAGCTTTATTAAGGCATAGTTGACAAATAAATTAGCTATTTCAAGGTGTTAAAATATAATGATTTGATATTCATATACATTGTGAAATGATTACCACAATAAAAGCAACTAATACATCCATCACTATACTGAGTTACGTGTGTGTGTGTGTGTGTGTGTGTGGTGAGGACACTTATGTACTATATTAACACATTTCGAGAAAACAATGTAGTATTATTGGCTATAGTTGTCATGGTGTGTATTAGATCCCCAGAATTTATTCATCTTATAACTGAAAGTTTGTACACTTTGACCAAAAACTATTTCCCCCACCCCCAGCCCTGGCAACTACTGTTCTACTCTCCACTTTTATGAGTTCAGTTTTTTTTTTTGTGAGATTTTACTTATAAGTGAAATAATATTTCTCTTTTCTTTTTCTGCCTTATTTCACCTAGTATATGTCCTCTAGATTAATCAATCTTGTCATGAATGGCAGGAGTTTTTTCTTTTTAATGGCTAAATAATCATCTGTGTGTGTGTGTGTGTGCGTTTGTGTGTGTATACACATATATACACATAACATTGTCTTCATCTGCTGACAAATAGGTTTTTTGTTTTTTGTTTTTTGTTTTGAGACGGGGTCTCGGAGTCTCGCTGTCTCGCTGTCTCCCAGACTGGAGTGCAGTGGCGCGATCTCAGCTCACTGCAAGCTCCGCCCCCAGGGTTCACGCCATTCTCCTGCCTTAGCCTCCCGAGTAGCTGAGACTACAGGCGCCAGCCACCACGCCTGGCTAATTTTTTTTTTGTATTTTTAGTAGAGACGGGGTTTCACCAAAATAGGTTGTTTTTATACCTTGGCTATAGTGAATAATTCTGCAGTGAATATGGCAGTGCAGGTATCTCTTCAACATGCTAATCTCATTTTATTTAAATTTATACCTATAAGTGAGATTGCTGGATTATTATAGTAGTTCTAGTTTTATGTTTTTGAGGAACCTCCATACTGCTTTACTTAATGGCTGTACCAATTTATGTTTCTGTCATCAATGTACAAGAGTTCCTTTTTGTGCATGCCATTACCAACACATTATCTCTTGTGTTTTAATTATAACCATTCTAACAGGTGTGAGGTGATATCTCATTTTGGTTTTGATTTGTATTTCTCTGCTGATGAATGATATTGAGCACCTTTTTAAATGTGTATTAGCCATTAATGTCTTTTTTGAAAAAAATACCTGTTTTAGACCCCTTGCCAATTTATTAATCAAAGAGTTTGTGATTTTGCTATGGAGTTATATATTTTGGATATTGACCCTTTATCAGACATATAGTTTGCAAATATTTTCTCCCATTTCACGGTTTCCTTTTCATTTTGCCGATTGTTTCCTTTGCTGTGCAAAAGCATGTTAATTTGATGAACCTGTTTATGTTTTATTTTGTTGCCTGCATTTCCAGTGTCATATCCAAGGAAATTATTGCTATCCCGGCCAATACGTTGCCAATGGTAAATTTTCCTTAAACTTTTATCTTGGAGCTTTATGGGTTCAGGTCCTACACTTAAGAATCCATTCCAAGTTAATTTTTATGTGGTATAAAATAAGGATCCAATTGTATTCTTTTACATGTGGATATCTCATTTTTCCAATACCATTTATTGAAGAGACAGTCCTTTCCCCATTGTGTATTCTTGGCACCTTCATCAAATATTAGTTTGCCATATGTCTGTGGTTTTATTTCTGAGCTCTCTCTTCTGTTCCATCAGTCTATGTGTGTATTTTTATGCTGGTACCATATTGTTTCAATTACTATAACCTTGTAATATAGCTTGAAATCGGGACAAATCATGCCCCAGCTTCGTTCTTTTCTTTAAAGATTGCTTTGGCTATTCAGGGCTTTTTTATGATTCCATATAAGTTTTAGAATTTTTTTTCTATTTCTGTAAAAAAGCCATTGGAATTCTGGTAGAGATTCCTTTGACTCTGTAAGCCTTTGAAAAAGCCATGGGAATTTTGGTAGAGATTCCTTTGAATCTGTAGGTCACTTAAAATGCAAGCTTTTTAAGGATATCAGTTTTTCCAGTGCAGGCACACTGAACATCTTTCCATTTATTTATGTTTTCTTCAATTATTTCATCGATGTCTTATAGTTTTCAGTGTAGTCTTATAGTTTCCAGTGTACAGATCTTTCACCTCCTTCGTTAAATTTATATGTAAGTATTTAACATTTTGATATAGTAAATTTTAATTTTTAAAAATTTCTTTTTCAAGATGGAGTCTCACTCTGTCACCAAAGCTGGAGTGTAGTGGGGTAATCACTGCTAACTGCAGCCTTGACCTCCCAGGCTCAGGTGATCTTCCCACATCAATCTCCTGAGTAGCTGGGGCTATAGGCATGTGCCACCATGCCCTGCAAATTTTTTTTTTGTATTGTTTGTAGAGACTGGTTTTGCCATGTTGCCCACTGTTTTAATATTTTTTCAGATAGTTTGTTATATTAGTGTATAGTTTTTTTATCATGACACTTTAGATTTGTTTATCAGTTTTAAGTTTTTTGGTGGAGTCTAGGGTTTTCCATATGTGAGTTATTGTCACCTGTAAACAGAAACGATTTACTTCTTCATTTTTTTATTTAGATGCCTTTTATTTATTTTTTTCTTGCCTTATTTCTCCAGTGAGAACTTCTAGTACTATGCTGGATAGAAACGATGAGAGTGGGAGCCCTTGTCTTGTTTCTGATCTTAGGGGAAAATCTTTCAGCTTTTCACTGTCGAGTATGATGTTAGCTATGGGCTTATTGTGTATGGCTTTTATTATGTACAGGTGCATTCCCTCGATATCTGATTTGCTAAGAGTTTTTATCATGAAAAGATGTTGAATTTTGTCAAGAGCTTTTTCTGCATCTATTCAGATCATTATATAATTTTCATCCTTCATTCTTTTATTTTTGTGTATCACTTTTTTTTTTTTAACTTTAAGACAGGGTCTTGCTCTGTCACCCAGGAGTGCAGTGGTACCATCTAGGCTCACTGCAGCCTCAATATTCTCAATCAGTCCTCCCATCTCAGCCTCCCCAGTAGCTGGGAGTAGAGGTGTACACCACCATGCTTGGCTAATTTTTGTATTTTTAGTAGAGATAGTGTCTTGCCCCAGCTAGTCTTGCCCAGGCTAGTCTTGAACTCCTGGGCCGTAGTGATCTGCCCACTTGGGCCTGCCAAAGTGGATTACAGGCATGAGCCACTGCACTCAGCCGTGTATGCCATTTATTGATTTGCATTCCTTGAAACATCCTTGCATCCTAGGGATAAATTCCATTTGATCATGGTGTATGATCCTTTTACTGTGCCATTGAATTTGGTTTGTTAGCATTTTGTTGAAGACTTTTTTGCATCTATGTTCATCAGGAATAGTGGCCTGTAATTTTCTTGTAGAATCCTTGTCTGGCTTTGGTGTGAGTAATGCTGGCCCATAAAGTGAGCTGTAAGTATTATCTCCTCTTCAATTTTTTGAAGAGTTTGAGAAATACTGGTGTTAAATCTTGGCACACAATGAAGCTATCTTGTAATGGGCTTTTCTTTGTTGAGAGATAATTGATGACTACTTCCATGTTGTTACTCATTATTGGTCTGCTCAGACTTTATCTTTCTTTATGATTCAGTATTGGTAGGTTGTATGTTCTAGTAATTTATCCATTTCTTCCAGGTTATTCAATTTGATGGCATGTAATTATTCAAAGTGGTCTCTTAAGATCCTTTGTAGTTTTGTGCTACCAGTTGTAATGTTGCTCTTCCATTTATAATTTTATTTATTTGATCCATTTCCCTTATTTTCTTGGTGAGTCTAGCTAAGAGTTTGACAATTTTGTTTATATTTTCAAAAAAACCCTCTTAGTTTCATCTATCTTTTCCATTGTCATTGTAGTCTCTATTTCATTTATTTCTTCTGTAATCTTTATTATTTCCTTAGTTCTGCTGACATTGGGCTTAGTTTGTTTGGTTTTGTATCTAGTTCTTTGAAGTAAAAATTTAGGTTGTTTATTTGAGATCTTTTTTTAAATGTGGGTATTTATCACTGTATCCCTCTTAGAAGTGCTTTTGCTACATCCTGTAAGTTTTGGTATATTGTGTTTCTATTTTTGTTTGTCTCTAAATATTTATTAATTTCACCTTTGACCCATTGGTTCTTCAGGAGTGTGTTGTTTTATTTCCACATATTTGTGGATGTTCTAAAATTCTTCCTGTTATTGATTTCTACTTTCAAATATTGTGGTCAGAAAAGACACTTGATATGATTTCAATGTTTAAATTTGTTAAGATGTGTTTTGTGGCTTGAAGACTTTTCCAAAATGTACACTCTAGAGGAATATATATTCTGTTGCTGTTGGGTAGAATATTGTGTCATTTTAAAATATTTTCAACAATATGATTATTAAATAACAGAATCTTGGAAAATATAAGAGAATATGAATGAATATATTAACCTATTACTGAAGTTTAATAACATTATGGGGATGTTTTTCTCAAGTCTATTTCTATATATAACTGTTTTTGTTTTTACATAGTCACCTTATAACCTGAAGTAACCTCAAACATGAGGTTACTTCCTAATTTTTATTTTATACATCAGGAACATTTTCTATATTTTTATTTAGCCTCTAAATGCATTGATTTTAATGGTCACAGATTATTGCATCAAAGTCATAGAACATAATTTTCAACCCATAGTTCTATATTTAATCATGTATGCTTTTGCAATTTTTTGGTAGTAAATAATGAAACAGTGCCAATCTTAACATATTTTTTAGTATTTAAATTGTATGTTTGCTGGGGTTGCCATAACATAATATCGAAAATTGAGTGACTTAGAGTAGCCGAAATTTATTCTGAGTTCTGGAGGCTGGACGTTCACTATCAAGGTGTTGGCAGGGCCATACTCCCTCTGAAGGAACTAGGGGAGAATCTTCTGAGGCCTCTCCCCAAGTTTCTGGGAATTGCTTGGCTTGTGGAAGCATCACTAATCTTTACTTGATATTATTGTGTGTGCATATATCTCCAAATTTCCCCTAATTTTTTTTTTTTTTTTTTTTTTTTTGAGACGGAGTCTCGCTTTGTCGCCAGGCTGGAGTGCAGTGGTGCGATCTCGACTCACTGCAACCTCCGCCTCCTGTGTTCAAGCGATTCTTGTGCCTCAGCCTCCCGAATAGCTGGGATTACAAGCACGCACCACCATGCCCAGCTAATTTTTGTATTTTTAGTAGAGACGGGGTTTCACCGTGTCAGCCAGGCTGGTCTCAGACTCCTGACCTCATGATCTGCCCGCCTCAGCCTCCCAAAGTCCTGGGATTACAGGTGTGAGCAACCGCATCCGGCCCAAATTTCCCCTTTTTATAAGAACACCAATCACAGTGGATTATGAGTCCACCCTGCTCTAGTATGGCATGTTTTAACTAGTTCCGTCTGCAGTGGTCCTATTTCTAAACAAGGCCACATTGTGATGTACCAGACGTTAGGACTTCAACATTTAAATTGGCAGAGGTAGGACACAATTCAACCCATAACAAAAATAATTTCCTTAGCACCAGTTTCCAAAAGTGGAATTTTCCTGTCAAAACAGTGTATTGATAGACATGTTTTGAAAGTTATTTTTTAACTTGTATTATTACAATTTTCATGCTCATCAACTATGCATGATAGTGTTTGATTAATAATATTCTCAACAGCCTTGGGAATTATTTTTAATATCATTAAAATCAGTATCTTTAATCTTCATTAATTTTGTACTCTTTAGTTGTAGTTTTAGTAAAATAGATAATTTGTATGCATATTTACCATTGTTGCATTTTAATTTGTCAATTATCTAGTAAGTCTAAATTTAAAAATCTCTTTCCATAGGTTTAATAAATATTCCTTTCTCTTTTTACTTGTCTTTCTTCCTTTAACTATTCTATATTTAAATCTTTAATGTATGTGGAACTTGGTGGCATATGTATGAGATGAGGATACAAATGAATATTATAGATACTTAACCTATTGTCCAAGCACCATTTACTGACTAGTGCTTCTCTTTGTCTTTAATAAAAAATGTTTTCTTAGTCATTAAATTCTTGAGTATAAGGGTTTCTTAATTATATTTTGTGTTTCACTTTTAATCTATTATTTTGCCAGGACCATACTGTTTTAGCTGTTATAAATTATTAATATTTTTATAGATTCATCTCATAGTGCTTCTTTTACAAAATTTTAGATATTTTTACTTGTTTATTAATCCAGTTACACTTAAAATTGGTAAAATTTCAAGTTACAGCAATCTGCCATTAGGATTTTGACTGTGAAATCTACAAATCTGTTAGATTATAATTCATCTTCACTATATAGAAAAATGAAATAATATTTTCCATTATTCAGATTTTTAGCTATTCCATGAAGTGGTGTAGCTTATTAAAATTGTCCATTCCAATATTTAAGAAATGGTTATTAGTCATCTCCTATATTTCAGGAATGTGGTAAAAGTAAAAAAAACAGAGAGAGAGATTAAAAAACAGACTACCATCAAGGAGCTCAAATTCTGAAAGGATTGCAGATAAGGAAACTGGCAAAGGATGAAGATTAGCAAAGAGGAATGCACAGTGCACAATACTGAACCCAGGATGACAGCAGGGAGAAGTGTCACAAGTTTCCAGAAAGAGAGGTTGTGCTTCAGCTAGGTTTGGGACATAACAGGCAGTCAGCTCCATGAGGATGGAGAACAGTTGTTTCACAGGGAGGAAACAGCAATGCAAAGGCACATAGATTTCAAAGAACATGGCACAGAAATGGAACTTCAAGAATGTAATTGTGACTGAAGTTTATGATGTGAATGAGATATAATGAGTGATGAGATCGCATTTCACATGGATTTTATGTTCTTTCATGAGGGCACTGTGTGTCATTGGTGGGTTTTAAGAAGGAGAGTGACATAATTTTATCTTTTTTAGAAAGATTTCAGGGAAGAATACAGCAGGGAGACAAGAAAACAGTCAAAGTGAACAAAAAAGGTTCACTGGCCATAAATATGTGTTCAGTGAATGAATGAAACATTGAAAGAACTGATGTATTACCAGATTTAACAGCTGAAAAGTAATTGATGACCTTGTTAAGATTACCTGTATTTAGTGGGATGGTTGAGATGGAAGACAGATATCAACAGGAGATAATGAATATAAAGTACTCATTCAAAATATTGCAGATTTGAAATCAGATCTTATTTCATTGTTTTCCAAACTAGTTGCTAGTGTATAAGAAATAACATTATTATTTTGCTTATGGGTTGACTATATAGTTACTCTGTTGACTCTTTTATTTGCTGTAATAGTTTTCCATGTGATTTTGCATGTTTTGATTACTAGATATAAAATTATAATTCTTGTAAAAATAACTTTCTATTTTGACTTCTAATAATTATATAGTTTGTTTTGGTTTGTTTTAATATATAGGCCAGAATTTTCAGAAAGAAGTGAAAATTATGCTTTGGACAGTTTCGTTTGCTTTTAATGGTGATGGAAATGCCCTACTATTTCACACATAAATTGCTGACTGTAATACTATATGTAATACTTTTTTAACATATTACACTTAAAGAAGACCCATTACAATCCCATTTTAAGGAGGTTTTGAACAACTAGAAGGTTTTGATTTTTTATCAGATGACTTTTGCTCCCTATGAAAATTAAGATATATATTTTCTGGCCAATTGATATGTCATATTAGATTAGTCATATCATTATTTTAAATGATGCTTTGGGTACAATTTTCTTGAATATGGTATATTATTCTTCTGCGGTAATGCTAAATTTTATTTATTTTATATAGTATTTTAAAATAATTATGGCCATAAATAAGATTTATCTTTTATTACTTTACAATACATTTTACCCTGTTTTGCATCTGAAGATACAACCCTGAAATACTGAAAAATCTGCACCAAAATATTTACTTATGATAGTTAAGCAGCCTATACTTAATGAGTCAAGAGAAGTAATGCATTTCAGATTTTCATCTGTAAGGGTCATCATTGAGCTACATGACCTTGGACAAATTTTAATCTTTCCATTGCTCATTTATATAAACAAGGGATTTGAACTAAGTAAACTCCAGTGTCACTCCAGCTCTAGCATTTTGCCAACTTGTATCCATAGAGAAGTTTCTCCAGTTTTATGCTAATAAGCAAAGATGAATTAATGAGTTTCAGAGCAATAGTACTGTGTAAGGTAGTAGTAGACTCTATCCTATGACCAGGCAAATTTAAACCTGTGTTTAAAAAATGATGATGCAGTAGTCCATTCTCCATCTCCTTGTGTCCATGAGTAGCTGGACCTGGAAAATGTTGGCCCTATGATTTATCTTGCATTGCATCTGAAAACTGTAGACCAAGCACCCTTCACTGTTCTGTTCAGCTCACCTGAAACATTAGATGTAAAGAGCACCAGATGGGAGATCAGGAGCCCTGGATTTGTGTCCCTCTTCTGCCATTTACTAGCTTTGTGATCTTAATCAAGTCACTTAACCTCTTTAGGCATCAGTTTTCTTATGTGTAAGATGGAATCAACTTAATCTTTTAGCTCGTAAACTCTATGATATGAGAAGCCATAAATATATAAACTCTTAATAAAACAACTTTAATCTACAGAGTCATCTGAGGTTTACTTTCCCAAATACTGATCTCAATTAATTCTATCAACAATGTTGCGAGGCAGTTAGTCAAAGTATTTGTGATTGTATTTCAGAGTTGGATCTAGGCTCTTGACTCCAAAGAGTTTGGTAGCTTATCCAATGTGTCTAGTAAGTGGCAGAGCCTCAGCTGGAGCCCAGGACTTCTGATTCTTCAACTATGTTCTTTTCTTAATATAACACATTGTCTTTCATTAAATCCTGTAATCACTTTTATACTTTTCAAGCATTCTATTACATTTCTCTGCACTTTAAATTGTGAGAACCAACTATCCTTGTACCCTTGGGCTCAACCTTGAAACTCTGTTTATTTATAATTTTAAACAATGTAACATATTAACACTCTGTTCATGTATATGTTTAAACAATTTCTTGAAAAGTACTCCATCTAACATTTATCCCTTCTTTTCCTGATTCTCTTTCAGATAGCAGTTCTGTGGATGAAAAGGTTTTAAATCATACTTATTCTTCCCTCCTGAGGAATCTTGTCTTTTGTACATGTTTGTTTGTGACATATTAGATCTGTTTGATTCCTCTGTTTTAGTTTTGAAATGTGCATGTTATCCCAGCTTTCCATTATTTGGTTGTCCTTTAAGTGTGCCTCTGATATGTTGCACTTATGGAGAGGTCACACCTTGCCAGCTGCGCTTACCTTAGCTATACTTGCCAACCTAGGGGTCTGCTACTGTCAAACACAGCATCTTTTCTTAAGTCTGGCTAATCATGACCTTTCTGACTGATTCATGATCTTCACTGTGCATATCAAGTTTTAAGGGCAAATAGTACTTGGAATATGACATATTTTCCGGGACTCTGCCAGTGCATTTGTTTAAATGCTGACAGCTAATTTCAAAACCTCTACTCATAAAAACACAGTAGCTTTGACTTGGAGCTGACCCTGCTTAGCATCTGTCATACTAGGTGTTACGTGTGTAGTGCAGCTGACCTGTGTCCCGATTTCGTGTACATAAAACTGTAGTATGCTAAAAGCCTGTTTGTTTTGTTTTTCTCTTACTCTTCATTTAAGGCTCGAATAGTAAGTGGCAATGATTTGGATGCTTCCAAATTTTCTGCACTCCAGGTGTGTGGTGGGTAAGTACCTTCATACCTTTCTAATTTATTCCATTCATAGATGGCACTTGGCTGTGTTCTCAACATATATGCTTTGAGTGCAAGATGCTGCATGATTAGCTAGCCTCATTGTTACTTCATTTTACAATAAAGTTGACATTATAGTGTTTTCTTAAAAAAATGTAATACATGTTAACTATAAAACAATTCTAAAAATATGAATATGTATATGATTATATATATAAGTCAAAATCAACTAACCAGTTTAACTGTTAACATTATCATTACATACCCAAATAGAATCACAAAATTTTATACAAATGAATTCATATTGATACAATTAATGCTCTCTTTCAATGTGCTTGTTTGCACTTAATGATATATGTACATGAACATTTTTCCTGTCAACAACTCAATGAATATAATCTATACTATTATTTTTCATAGTTGCATAGTATTACACTTAACATAAGTATCAAAGTATTTAAAATTTAATCACAAAAATAATGTATGAAATTTATTTTCTATGTAAAAAATTCAAGCAGCCTCGTCTTTAATGTTAAAAGTTACGCACTGGTATCAGTGTGGCATGAATGTTCATAGGCATTTTTCTACGTGTTTGCAATACGTATCTGTGTTCATATAAAATAAGTAGTTTTGCATCGTGGTTTTTTTTTTTGCATTTTAACATAAAACAGTCCACTCTGTGTAAATAAATAAGCATGAATTTAATGCTGACTTTGTATCTAGTGCTGTTAAAATTGTCCTATACATAATGACTCACTTAATCTTTACAATGGCCGTATGAGGTAAGTACTATTTTGACTCTAATTTTACAAATGAAGAAACCAATCCACAAAGCACTTAAGAGATGTTTCCTTCAGACAGCTAGTGAGTGACAAAGTCAGTATTCAAGCTCAGTTAATCCAATTCCAGAGCCTGTAATCTCAATTTACATGCCACATTGCCTCTGCAACTTGCCGTTTTCTCTTTTTCCATTTAACAACAAATGCTTTGCCAAATTTTCTACTTTATTATTTTGAAGTGATGCAAATATTTGAAAACATTCATACAACATGTTTTATTCTTCTATTGGTGGGTTTTCAAAATTATTTCTAATTCATAATTGCAAATTATGACATAATTATAGATACTATGGTAAATATATCACAATAGATTTTAAAAGTGTAATTTGTGGATCAATGCTTATACACAGTTTATATATTCATATATACCTCTTTATATATGAATATAGAGAGATATCTATATAATTAATTATCTATCTATCTATATAGATTTTTGTTTTAAAACCAAGACCGGGTTTTGCCATATTGTTCAGGCTGGTCTTGATCTCCTGAGCTCAGGTGATCCACACACCTTGGCCTCCCAAAGTGCTGGAATTACATACATGAGCCACCGTGCCTGGCAAATAATTTAAATATATATACATATATATGTATAGTGTATTAGATGTTTTATAAATGTTGAAATTTGAATACATTTATGTACAGTATAAATAGAAGCAAAATTTAGAGGCATGTTTTAGTTTTTTTATCTAGGCAAAAAGTTTCACAGTTCTGTTTTGTAATACACTCATTTTTTGAAAATCAGTTTGTTATTAAATACATCCACATGTTACTTATTTTAAATAAAATATTTGTAAGATTTAAAGTTTTAAATGTAAAGCTCCTACAAATTAATATATATGTATCGTTTTTATTTTGATGTTTCCAAATAGAAGTGATTAAGATGTTATTTCTGTTACATCTCTAACTTTAATGTCCTTGAAATATATGAAGAATTACTCTCGTTCATATTCTAATGTTATAGTAATTTAAATAAGTTATAAAAGCAGCTGTGGTGAAAGATCATTATGAATTATTCAGAGATATTAAGGTAGTGAATAGACTCTCTACTACAACACCATGAATACTGTGTCTTTAAGTTGACCAGCAATAATAATTTGACAACTAAATACAATGATTGTCTTAGGAAATAATTAAGTTGAATTCTAAGTTAGTTATGAAAATTGTTGGGACATCGTGTCATGCACCTGGAGGTTTATCTGAGTTTATGATGTTATAGATTCTGCACCTCCCTTCGCCTACAGCATCTATCACTTTGTAAAAATTTGATTTGCTAACTCATGTCTGAATATGGACGTGATCCTTGTCAGAGCAACAGAGTTAATCTACATCCATGCTTTTGTTAAGCACATGCAGTATAAATGTCTGGCTAAAATAGTTCCTCTTTGCATTTCGAATAGATCTTTCCACATTGTTACGTTTTCTGAAAATGCCTCTTTCAACGACTTTCTAAGGGATTTTGGAACTGTGATATATGGGAAGGGGGTGATAATTTTCAGTCATCAAGAGAATTTGTCATTGCCTGAATGCTTATTTTCTCTTAAAGAACCTGAAGGGTACGTTTACATATGAGCCTTCAATCACAACCTCTTTCAGAAAGATGTGCTTATTTTACTTTTTCTATAAATATTTTAGAATATATTTTTAAAATAAAATGAAATACTATTTAAATATCACAACTTCTATTATCCTAAAAAACTATGACTGGGGCAGACTTTTGAAATACGGAGTCATTGCTTTTCTATTACAATGCTGCTAAATCTTTCACTTTTCTACCTTCGCCATCCCCAATCAGTTGAGAGCCAAACGACATTCATCCTTCCCTTAGTTTACTCAAGTGTCAATGACAGCATAATCTCTACACACTAAAACCAAATTAATAAACTATATACACTGAAACCAGATAATGAAATTAATAATTCTGCTTTCTGATTTCTGCTTAGCTCTCTGTACATTTCCTGTAAGTGTTGCCAGAAAAGACATGGCAAATGTCATTCTGTTTTTCCTATCTGTCACAATAAAAGTTCAGACAGGCTCTGGGGAAAAACTGGAAGAGGGACAGAGAAGAGGTGACAGAAAAATAAAAGGAGCAAGAGAAAGTAGGAAAGATACATGTTTTGGTGAAATCAATGAATTTAACATTTATACCCTTTAGTGGTTTTATAAGATTTTGTTAACTTTTATCATCTATGTAAGCAAAGAGTCATACAGAAAGCACACAGCAACTCAATATGAAAAGTACAAGAGGTTTAGTGGACAGAAATGTCTCAAAGATAAAATGGAGAGGTAGCAGAAGTAGGTGAGAAGAGCCTTTGGACCATGACACAGTTCTTAGGTTTGCAAAAGTATATGGAGCAGGAAGGTGAATTGAGTATGAAAAGCCTGAAATTGACTATAATGAGGCTAAAAGAAAGTCATTCAGACAAATGCAGAGGAAAGTTTGCTTATTAGATGAGTCTTTCATTGGGTACAAGTAGCCAGCTCTATTATCTCCACCAAGTTTAGCCATTGGTTGGGAGCAGCTTGGGGAGGGTGTAGCCTTGGGGTGAATGCTGCACCCGGTGAATGACACACTGGAGGTGTGTCAGCTGGAGGCTTTTACCCAACTATCCTGCAGCAGATTCTCTCTAAGGGATATCTGAGTGATACATGCCCATGGCAGCTACCGAGCATCAATTTGATGAAACTACCTTTTTTTTTTTTTTTTTGAGATGGAGTCTTGCTCTGTTGCCCAGACTGGAGTGCAGTGGCACAATCTCGGCTCACTGCAAGCTCTGCCTCCCGGGTTCATGCCATTCCCCTGCCTCAGCCTCCTGAGTAGCTGGGACTACAGGCGCCCTCCACCACGCCCGGCCATTTTTTTGTATTTTTAGTAGAGACGGGGTTTCACCATGTTAGCCAGGATGGTCTCGATCTCCTGACCTCGTGATCTGCCTGCCTCGGCCTCCCAAAGTGCTGGGATTACAGGCATGAGCCACTGCGCCCAGCCTGATGAAACTACTTTTATTCAATGATAGTGAACAAAGTCACATGAGTACCTTCTCCAAATGTGAAACACATTTTTAATTAGAATAACACTCCTTTGGTGCTTTGATTATATATGACTTAAGTTTACCTTTCCCTTGACATTTGTAATTAGAACTCCACTGGTTGAATTATAAGAAGCATCACAAGGGGTGTGTGTGTGTGTGTGTATTCTGAAAGTACCACAAGTCTATAAAACAGTGGTTGAATTATAAGAAGCATTGCAAGGTGTGTGCGTGTGTGTGTGTGTGTGTGTGTATGTGTGTGTCTATTCTCTAAGCACCAGACTTGCATGCACCACAATTTGGGCAAGTCTATAAAGCAATGGTGGGATTAGGGAAAAACAGTTTGAGGAGGATATTATCATCTTTATTTTCTTTCTTCACTAGTCATTGAAGTTCTTCTCTGCAGTACAGTTCTCATAGCACTAAGTTCCTTGAGCCGATGTGAAATTCCTCTGTCCATGATTCTGAACTAGGCTGGTAACTTCTGTTCAACCTCTACCAGAATGATTGAACCTTATCAGGAAAGAGGCAGTGGTTGCAGAAGTGAAATAATGCAGAGACAGAGAAAAATGAAGAGACACTGTTGAAGGAAAGGGCACTGAGATATTGTTAAATTAAAACAGAAGCTTCTATTTTGACCTCATTTTCAAACAGGTACATTTACCAAAAAATATTAATAAGAAACGTATGCTGAGATTTCCAAGGTTGTTCAATTATCACCAGGAACAACTATCTTGGTAAATGTGAACAAGCCAGTTTTCATCCAAAGTCCTGCACAATTCCATTGTTTTTCTTAAATTTACCTTAATTAAAATACCCATTTTTGTTACCGTTGTAGAACTCAATGTCAGTTAGGTTCAACAAAGGAATAAAGCTGGTTTAACATATTTTTAATTTTCTGTCACAGTACTGACATTGCTTTTTTATTTGTCTATAAAGTTGAGATTGCCTACTATCCTCACACTCTCTTCCTCTTTCATAGTCTTGACTTCCATGTTTAGCCAGGGCCTAAAATCTTCCACTTAGCATAGAAGATAAAGTTGTTCCTACTCTCCAGGGGCTCTTCACCTAACTTTTCTCATTGCAGCAGTCTTATCTCTCATAGCTGAGAACTTTTAATTTCAGTTCTTCCTATCAAGTCCACTAATTTGATTCTTCCCTGTTCCCTCAGATAACTTCCCTATTTCTCAAGGGTCAGAAATTCTCCTAAGCCTAGACATGGGCTGTTTCGACTGCCCTTTCTTCTGAGTCAGTGGTTTACCCTACGGCACCATCCTTGCATGCTCTGAATCAGGTTTGCCAAATATTAAGAAAATGACAGCCCCCACATAACACAGTGCTTTAATCATGGAGGAAGGAGCCGTTGTCTTTTATATGGTTTGGTTGTGTCACCTAAATCTCATCTCAAATTGTAATCCCCATGTGTCAAGGAGGGACCTGGTGGGAGGTGATTGGATCATGGGGGGCAGTTTCCCCCAGGCTGTTCTCCTGCTAGGGAGTTCTCATGAGATCCGAGGCTTTAAAAGTGTTTGGCAATTCCCCCTGTCCCTGGCTCTCTGTCTCCTGCTGCCATGTAAGAGACGCCTTTCTTCCCCTTTGGCTTCTACCAGGATTTTACATTTCCTGAGGTCTCCCCAGACATGCAAAACTGTGAGTCAGTTAAACCTCTTTTCTTTATAAATTACCCAGTCTCATGTTGTGTTTTTATAGCAGTGTGAAAATGGACTAATATGGTCTTTGACCTTTTAGTTAGTTATTTTTAGGGAACAGTTTCCTTTCCCTCCAGAGAACTTGGTATAGAAGGAGTTCACTATAGAGTTAGGTAAGAGTGAAATAGAGATTTCTACTTATTATAAGGGTTAACAGATGTAAACAGGGCCCACTTTCATAATTCATTACTGTATAGCCAGTGACTCATCATGCCCATATTTTTTCAACTTATTTGTATTCACATTACCACTGATCTAGTTTTAGTCCTCAGTACCTTTTACTTAGGCAATTGCAAACTGATCTTCTGAGACTGATCTTCTAACCAATCTTCCTTTGTTAATTTCTTCTTCCACATTAAATCTAATCTCTACACTGTTAAAGATCAATGTCTTTAAAGGACGGGCCTTTCTACCTAAATATTTTTAATGACTCTTGTTTTTCTTGAATGTAAAGGACAGTTGGCCCTCTGTATCTGTGGGTTCTACATCTGTGGATTCAAACAGCTGTTGATTGAGAATATGCTAAACAATAATAATAAATAGCAATGCAACAATAAGAAACACAAATAGAAATACAAGATCACAACTGTTAATGTAGCATTTACATTGTATTTGGTCATGTAAGTAACCTAGAGATAATTTAAAGTATATGGGATGACGTGCACAGGAAATACACAAATACTGTGCCATTTTATATAAGGCAGTTGAGTATCTGCAGATTTTGGTCTCTGACAGGGGATCCTGGAACTAATCTCCTATGGATACCAAAGGATAACTTTATAGCTCTTTTCACATGGCTTTGAATATATTTCTTGATTCCTATTTCTCTCTCTTTTTACTATGGTAAAGTATTATCACTGTTTTTAGTGTTTCTATTTTTTTGGTATCAGTTCTGTAGCTTATATTAGTTTGATAAGTTGCATAGATTTAACAAGATTCTTATCCTCCAACTTGATTTCAAATTCCTAAGGAGTTTAAAATAAGTTGATTTGCTTAAATTATTACAGGAGAAACAACCCTTGACATCTCTTGGCCAGTGTTGGGCACAATCATGCCACAAGGCAGTTACAGCTGCTCGAAAGGAGCCTCATGTGAGACTTCAGGGAGTACGCCTAATCACAGACTCTTGATTGTATCATGCCTGTTAGTCCTCAGCACACTGTCTGCAGTCCTCACGCAGAGCAAGCACATAATGTCCTATGCACAAAGGCTTAATCTAGACAGAGAGTTTCTTAATTAGGAAAACTGTTAACCACAAGGCCGCCAACTTTCTAAAACCCATGAATCAAGAAGTGGTTGCTGAGCCATTAGCTTCCTGTGGTCAAGAAGACTGCCTATCTAATTTTGGCCTACCTCCAGCTCTCTCTAGTCTCAGGAGCACTTGATATCTTCTCTACTTAGAAAGTCATAAGATCATTAGGTTAGCTTTTGATATTAACTACAAAGACCAGACATCAGGGTGACTACTTCAATGTGTGGATCTATGAGACCTCACAACCCCAGACCCATTTAGTGGGAAATATACTTTGGTACAGCATCTATGAAATTAAGATAAAATTTACTATCTATATTCCCAACCAGGCTTAGTTAAACCATAGTTTTCTTGGGGTAGATTATAAATAGTTTCTTTTAGGCATATTTTATTCCTAAATTTATGGTGGCAAAATAATCATAAAACTGACTCAGAAGATTAAGAAAATGGAGCTGTCATCCTGAAGCTGCTAATAGCTCATAGTTCACCAAGTTGTAGATTGGCACCTTTTTGATCATCTCTCTTTCTGGCTTGGGTTTATAGCTTAACATTCTTTCTTACTGAGTGGTAGACCATAAACCCAGGAAAAAATATTTGACTATTACCCACGGTTGATCAGGGATACTGTATAAGACTCCCCCATCTTCGGGTAATATTAGAAAATAGGTCCATCCATCCTCACACATATATAAGAAACCTGATGTCTATTGTAATAGAGGCCATCTTCTGAGCTTTAGGAGGCTGACCATAAAAAAGTTATTCCCCCAAATCACATTTTTTACTTCCATTATTTAATAGTATTTAAGAACATGAAACCTCAGGATAATCCTAGTACATGTAAGCCAGGAGAACCTCCAATTTTACTCATTATATGAAAACTACTCTTTTATTCCTTTTTTTTCTGAGATGGAGTCTCACTCTCACTGAAGCAGGAGTGCAGTGGCCTGATCTCGGCTGACTGCAACCTCCGCCTCCTGGGCTAAAGTGATTCTCTCGCCTCAGCCTCCCGAGTAGATGGGATTACAGGCGCGTGCCATCATGCCTGGCTAATTTTTTTGTATTTTAGTAGAGATGGGGTTTCACCAAGTTGCCCAGGGTGGTTTTGAACTCCTGAGCTCAGGCAATCTGCCACCCTGGGCCTCCCAAAGTGCTGGGATGATACGAGTGAGCCACAGCACCCAGCATTTACATTCCAGATCAAGATCCCTTTCAAGCCACGATGCACACAATGGTTCTACTTTGGGGAAGGAAATCAGAGCTGCCATCAACTCTGACAACTTTCCTTTAGCCAGTTCCTGGCGCTGGAGCGTTCCATAATGGATCTACACAGCTCTGGTTGGCTTCTTAGAAAGGGCCTGCTTTTCCTTTCATCTTTAGGTGACTGCCGATAAAAACACACTCAATAGGAAATTTACCTTTCCCTGATTTCTGTGAGCCACTAACTCGACCTCATAATATTTGAGACGTACTTTAAAAGAACCCCAAATCACGCACTTCCAAAGGACTAGCATTTGGTAAGACCGTCTGCATATTAGCGATATAAGTTTCATCACACACCCAACTCCCAAAGGCAGTCTTTTCTCAATTAGAAAACTAAGGCCATCAACATAAGCTTAAGCATAGTACTACTTCTATCCCCTCACCCTCATGAACTCATTCACAATTTTTTTTCTCACTCCAGGGTCTAAATCTCAAGCCAGTGCTGGTACTCACTTCTGGCTTTGAGTATCACAGGAGTGCCAACTTAATATGGCAGCTAGCGGGGCCAATCCAGCCTCAGAAAAATGAAATTGCTAGTTAAGAAACCTGAAGACAGTATATTTGTTGATGAGAAAAAAGTATTGTATTGAAACACATTTCCTTCTCTGTGTTCAATTTGCTTATTCAACATTTATATATTAGTATACATTTCAGCTCTTTATATATCAGATTCTTAATCTTGACCCCTAAGTCTCTAGGGCTTAAATTTATGAGGAAATTAATGAATCTTAGCTACATCAGAGTCAAGCTTAATCTTCTAATGCCTTCCAGATATTCTTGAGTTTGAAGAGTAGCAAATTAAAACCACTGATACATCCTTTATGAAGGCAGTGTTTGAGTCGTCAGTCTTAAAGTGGTGCAAGTTTAGTAACTACAGAAAATATCATGTTACATTGAGCAGAATAATCACTTGTGTTAGAAAATTACCAGCTATTAGCTGGGAAACACTGAAAATAACCCCACTAAATAAGATGGAAAGTGTAAGAAATGCCATGGTTTCTACACCTACTGGTTCTTTCCAAGCTGTAATTGATAATGGCTGTTGGGCACATCTAATATATATAAAAGTCTTAGAGAGAAAAAAAAAAGAGGAACACTGAGGGTGATAATTGTATTTTCCAATGAAGCATATATAGAGTATGTTTTTAGGTATCTTTTAATGAATGAATACCTTATTCCATGAAGGTAGATGACATAGATTCCCTCTTACAGACAGACTATATAGTAGTCAGAGAGAACAATAAAATAATCACTGCTAAAAATGTGTGCTGCTGCTGCTATAAGCTTGTAAATAATTACTCACTTCTTATTTAAAGCAACAAGTTTGCTTAATCCATATACTTTCTTAAATATGAAACAACTTGCTCAAAGAACTGCACTGTAATCCATATTTTCAGATATGACAAAATCTATCTAAGACTAGCAGATTAAGAGTTCTTAGTTTTTAGTCTGTCTTAACATTTAGAAAGAATATAAAATAAAATAATTAAGCAACACTTTAGATGTCATTTAAAAATGGTATATCTCAAATTCATAATTATTATGATATAAGTAATACTTTTTGAAATATTGTAATATAACAGACCCATATCTGAGCATTCTTTAGCATTACTTCCTTTAATTCTTGTAGCAACTTTTGGAGGTAGGTATGATAATTATTATTCATATTTTACAGATGAGATAATTCAGAAATCCAGACACTAAGCAAATATCAAGATCAGTGACAGTATCAGAGCTGAGATTTGAACTAGATCTAGCTGACTCCAGAATTTGATTGCTTTGCTTTTATGCGAAATTGATACAATTTTACACATCAATAATGCTCATTTCTGGATCTGTTCTATTAAATATTGTACTGTACACTTACATTATATTTTAAATTTAACATTACATTATGTATTGGTCTGAAAAGATTTCTAAGTATATGTACCAAATAAATGTAGATATATTTCTAGATTTCAAAAGTATATTTGCAAAGGAATTTCAGGATATATCCTAGAAAAATATGGCCTAGATAAACTAGTAATAGGTTGAATGACTGGACCCAAGGTGTGATAATTCATGATTGATATTGTACTCAGGGGTGGCTCTTATTGAAATGCCTCAGGAATTGCCTTTACATAGATTTCTAAAAATTGGTATATAATAGAGGTACATATTTTAGGGGTACCTGTGGTATTTTGATTTATTCATATAACATGTAATAATTAAACCAGGGTAATTGAAATACTCATTACCTTAAACATTTTTCTTTATGCCTGGAATATTCAAATTATTCTGTACTAGCTATTTTGAAATATATAATAAATTATATATTGTTGTAGTCACTCAACTGATTTATTGAGCACTAGGTCTTATTTCCCCTATCTAACTATATTTTTGTACCTATTAACCTCTCTTCTTCCCCACCTCCTCTGTATTCTTCCTGGCCTCTGTTATTCACCAATCTACTTTCTATTGGTATTTTGATACATGTTGCATTGAATCTGTAGATTGCTTTGGGTAATATGGACATTTTAGCAATATTACATTTTCCAATCCATGAATATGGACTTAGATTGTTTTTAACTGGAAAAGATAAAAATATAAAATACATACTTATACAATTTAAGGGTGACATATACCTGGGAAAATAATTAGTATATTAATAATGGAATTAATGTCTAAAAGATCTTAGCATATTACAACAATGAGCTGAAACTAACAAGATGGAGTATAAATCGTATATTAACCAAGATAACCTAGGTTATGATACAGTAATTAACAACTACCAAATTTCAGTATATTAATTAAATAAAATGTTATTTCTCATCCATGCAACATTTCCGTTTTTTCCCCTTATTTCTCAGAATTTAAGCATGCAACATATAGATATGAGGAGGAGGGTGCACTTTGATCTTCATAGTTGTTCAGGGAACCATGCTGACAGAGGCTTTGCCTTCATACACGCTGAATCTAGAAAAGAGAAGGTTCAAGTGAGAATTCATGTTAGAGGTCTTCAAGTATTCAAAAGATTAGGTTATAAAAGGGACTATATTGTCCTGAGCTTCTCATTGGACAGAACGTGGATCATTGAAGAAATTGTGTATAGGCAGGCTTCTGACCAATATAAGAAGATATTTCCAATAATAAGAACTGTCTTTGTAAATACTAAGTTTCCTACTGCTAGAGACTTTTAAATAAATTAGGTGCTCAGTTGTTAGAAATATTGCAAAAGAAATTTAAATATCAGATGCTTGATTATTTAAAACCTGTTCCAATCTTAATGTCCTATCCTTATATTCTATCATAATATAGTACCTGTATCAGTTAGACATTGCCATGTAACAAACCACTCCAAAACTCAGTGGCTTAAACAATGATTCCTTGGGTCTTGTCTACATTCACTCATGCATGTGTGGTCAGCCCAACAGAGGCCATTGCTCACATTTCTGGAGGCTCTTTGGCTATTCTGGAGCGGGGGCATTTGGGCTGTTATTCATCATCCAGCTGGCCAAACCAAACTTGATTATATGATGGTGACAGGATTCTAAAGAATAAGTGGAAGCATGCAAGGCCATTTGAATCCAAAACTGGAACTGACACCTATCACTTTTGCCACATTCTATTGTGAAAACACGTCATAAGTCCCACTGAGATTCAAGGAATGTGGAAATGAGGCTCTGTTTTCTTTATAAGAGGAGCGAGTGACTGAGGCCATTTTTGACAATAGAGTATAATCATGTATATTCACAATTAAATATTCTTCAAATTATATATTTTCCACAATTTAGAGAAAATAGAATATCATTTCTTATATTTACTTCCACTTATTTGTATTTTAAATAATGGAAAAATAGATATTGCCATGAAAACATCAGAATCTCATTTTCAGTAGTACCTAATTATTCTGTTACAATATGGGATAAAGAGTAATGTACTTTCCAGATGGGTGAATAAAAGTGTTCTGTACATTTAAGAGAAGCTGCATTTCTGATTTGGAGTTCTCAGTGCAGACTTTATGGAGAAGGTGGAATTAAATTGGGCTTAAATGTTTGGATTCAATTTTGACACATGGATATGGAAAATAAAATGCAGACCAGAAAGCAGTACAAAACATGAGTTGCATCATAGGCAAGAAAGTGGACAGTAGTATGTCCGATCATGTGGAGGAAAGAAGTGGAAAATATGTTGGGAAATGTAAGTTGAAAGTTTGAATGCCTGACCAAAGATACTAAATATATTAACCTTTGAATAACATATTTCTGTAATTTGAAATACCTACATCTTGTGAAAAATGACTCAGTTATTCTGGTCAAACAATAACTACAGGGTGATGGTGAAAATGACGGGGAAGAAACTGATGGATTTAAATTCACAAGATTGTATGATTTTCATTAACTAGAGCAGAATCATCTGCCAAAGTCTTAATTTTTAGAAAGACATTAGTCTCCAGAAGCAGGTGCACTCAGGCATAGCAGGCATCTTTTTTGCTTTGAGAATTTTTACACAACTCTGTCAACCATGATAAGCATCACTGTAACGCCTACTCATTATCTTGAGGCTTAGACTCTAAGGTGCCAGGTAGGAAAGGCCAAACCAGGGGATTTGTAGAAGCCATCACTGCTGAGAATCATCTGTATAAATCTTTTTATACAAGATGACATCATCTGCCCTATAATCTTCACATATAAAGACCTCTTCAGGAAACAATACTTGAAACAGTTATTCCAGAGTCACAGAGTGACAGCTACAGAATCTTATAATTTAGAAGGTTCCCCACGTTTAACAATAAGTTGCATTTATTTGTATCAAGTGTGGGAGGCACAAAGCTGTAGTGCAAGTGTCAAGGAAAACACGGATTACATGTAACAGGGTATCCTTTCCAGGCTAGAGCTGAGACTCAGATTTGTCCAGTGTGACATCTGCAAAATCTCTTTGCAATGTGTATGTTTGCTTTCATTGGTTTACACAGAGTCTGAGAGTAGAGAAGCTGGACGGTGCCTGCAACTGTGGTTCAAAACTAGACATATTTGATGAAAGACTGTGTCAGTAGCAGTGAAATTGATGGGCAACATAATTTTTGAAAGGCACCTAGGTTTCCTGTGAGAAGTCTTATCATAAAGAAAAAAAAGAGCTGAGGATGGCAATTCAGACTCAGCAGTTAGAACTAGACATCAGAGGAAAGAAGTTCTCATTACTCTGTGTGTGGGTGGGTGTGGCCAACCTGGTTGTATAAGTAACTTTTAAGGAGAGAGAAAAGGACTGTATGTGAACTTGAGCTGTTTCTCTGGGATCAGGGCAAAACTGCTGAGTTCCCCTCTCACCAATTGAGTACAAGCCAGCCATAGGTTACAAATTAGAATTAACACTAAGTGAAGGTGAATAATGTCTTTGCTTTTTCCATTTAGCCAATGGGACTTGAGAAGGGAACATTCCCACATTGCTTCTGAGGAAAAGACACATGATAATGTGATACACTGACAAATACAAAGAACTTCGAATTAGAAGGCCTAGTTTTAAATCTTGACTCTATTGCTTAGTAGCTCTGTTAGTCTGGGCAAGTCATTTAACCTGTGAGTCTTAATGCTCCATTTGAAAACTGTGGATTATACTCATAATCACATTATAATCGCAAGATCATTTAGTATGTTTTACCTTTCTTTTCAAATCTAGCACACATAGAAAATAATAGTTTAATAATACATTATTAAAAGGTAAATCCTTGCTCATGGTGATCAGAGGTAGGGTTTCTTGGAACTGGGGAGTTTCTTAGGTTGCAGTAGTTTTAGTGCTAGAACCAGGAAAGCCTTGAGCAAACCAAGATAAGCTGGCCACTTTATGAGTTTTGAGACACTCTAGCTACCCCAACGGGCTACTCAAAGGGTTCTTCTGAGAAGATCAGCATAGCTGTAAAACATGTATAGTTCACTAGAAGCTCTCATTTAGAGAATTAAATGTCAAAACAGCATGGTACTGGTATCAAAACAGAGATATAGACCAATGGAACAGAACAGAGCCCTCAGAAATAATACCACACATCTACAAACATCTGATCTTTGACAAACCTGACAAAAACAAGAAATGGGGAAAGGATTCCCTATTTAATAAATGGTGCTGGGAAAACTGGCTAGCCATATGTAGAAAGAGAATTAAATATATTTCTATCTACTCCTAATGGTCTTCTGCCTAAGAAAATGTACAGATTCAAGCTTGGAAAAATAGTAATTGCCTACTCCAGCCCTCTACTTGGCATATATCTTTAGCCATAATTGTTTACCTCTTGAAAACAAGAAAATCATATCTCAAGGAACTCATCTCCAGAACGACAAAGAGACAAGGAAGAGAGAAGCCTCAGGATAGAATGGTGAGTTCTTTCTAGAACTGAATTGAGTTGTGAGAAGGAGCAACTTTTAGAACAGAAATTTGTTTTGTTGCCTATTTGAGCAAATAAGTAGACCTCATCAGAGATTCTTCCCTTTCTAAAAACTTTGATGTTTGAATGAATACCTGGCAGATGCTGCCAAACTTCTTTCCTTTCCATGCATGGTGCAGTGTCATTTACTCTTTTTTTTAATTTTTTTTTTGAAATGGAGTCTCACTCTTGTCGCCCAGGCTGGAGTACAGTGGCCCAATCTCTGCTCATTGCAAGCTCCACCTCCCGGGTTCTCACCATTCTCCACCTCAGTAGCCTGGGGCTACAGGCGCCCGCCACCATGCCCAGCTAATTTTTTGTATTTTTAGTAGAGACGGGATTTCACTATGTTAGCTAGGATGGTCTTGATCTCCTGACCTCGTGATCCACACGCCTCAGCCTCCCAAAGTACTGGGATTACAGGTGTGAGCCACTGCGCTTGGCCTACTCTTTTTAATATTAGCTTTTTTTCTTTTTATTTTTTTTAAACTTTTTAGAAATAGGATCTTGCTGTCACTCAGGCTGGAGTACAGTGGCACAATCATGGTTCACTGCAGCTTCAACTTCTCATACTTAAGTGATCCTCCTACCTCAGCCTCCCAAATAGCCGAGACCACAGGCGCATGCTACCACACCCAGCTAATTTAAAAAAAAAATTATGTAAAGATGAGGTCTCACTATGCTGCCCAGGCTGTTCTCAAACTCATGACCTCAAGTAATCCTCCCGCCTGGCCCCGAAGTGCTGGGAATACAGGCATGAGCCATCACACCCAGCCAATATTAGCTTTGTTATCTCCTCAGCTGAGACCAGCCTTTTTTCTTCCTATTATTGCAAACTGGGACATGGGCAGGATTTTATTTTGCTATCTTTGGCAGGGGGGCCCACTTTTCATTGGAGTTAGAGCTAGATACAGATCTTGGCACTGCTTAGAAACTTGACACTTTCTGTACCACACCATTAAACATCTCCCTGCTGGCAATGTGTCTTACTTATTATACTTTAGCTATTTCATGCTCACTATTGAGCAGGCTACAATAGAACTGTCGAGTAAACATGCTGATTCAATAATTTCGAAGTTTCACTAGCATTCAAATTCTTCGTAGACCGCAGACCAGGCAGAATGAACACAGTAAATATCTTACACAGACTAAATACCAAAGGATGTGAGTGGAGAGGAAAACTAAAGGAAGAAGACTATACCATTTCATTCAAAACCAAGTCAACACTTTATTAAGTGTGCACCAAGTACAAAAGCACTGTTTGTCCTTTGAGTCTTTTTTGATTAGAGGATGCAGATGCCTAAGGCACTGTTTCCTTGTGCATGTTGTATTTAGCTATGAAGATAGTTAAAAGGATCAGACAGACAAGGGACCACAGGAACTGCAAAGAAAAAACAGGTGTCCCTGTGGCTAAAATGTGTCTTAATAATCTAGAGTTTAAGGGCCTACTTCTGGCATGAAGAAACACTTGGACATTGGAACTAGTGGGTCAAGTTTGGTAGATGTATAAGGCTCATGGGGATAATACTGGCACAAAAGGATTTTGAAGATAGGTGAGTGCCAGATTGGAAGGGCCTTAAACATCAGCTAAGAAACATGAGGGTTGTGCCTATATTTTCTAACCTGCTTTTGTAACTTCAAATACCTGCAGGATATTCTGGTTTACCATTATGCAGTAGTGCACTAGAGAGAGGATTAGAATTGTGAGAAGGCAGGGGAAGAGTAATACATACCTTCCTCTTCCCTTAGTTACTATTAAATTATCTGCCTATCCTGTCCTTCCTTGGGCAAAACATCAATTGTATGCAATTAGAAGTCAGCAAAGGCATTCAAGCCATGAGTTTAAAAATTAAACCTTTGTTGTGTGAAGATTGAGGTAGAAGGAATATATGATACATCACGGAAAACTAGACAATTGGAAGACTTTTGGAATACTATTGACAAAAAAGGACATAGAAGCTACTCTGTCAGAATAAATAATGATGCTAGCTTTAAGCATGTTTTGCTTGGGAAAAATATGAAACGGATAGTTAAATGGAAGTGTTAGGTAGACTGTTAGTGAGGATCTAGGTCATGGGAGAAAGTTTAGGATTGATACAGTGATTTGAGATTCAGATCTACAGAAGTGATAGCTAGATGAAAATGACAAAGAGAGCATAGAAGCCTAGACTGAATGATTAAGAAAGAAGGATGTTATTACACCCTCCTAACAATGCATACTAGATTCATTTATATCAAGCAACAGAAAGCTATGACACATGCTTGTTTCATAGAAACTATGATAAGTTGTTGATCACTCCAGGATATCCTTTACTTACTTATGTTCTGAAAAAACTAAATTACAAAGATCCAGAGTCACTTAAACTCTTTTTTGATTTAGAAATAGAATTCATGATCTTCAAATCTGGTATAAGACTCTGATGTCTGGAATAAAGTTCTTGCTAAATAGCTGTTCAAAAGTATAGCTGTGGAAAAGCTTCCTAATTTCTCTAAAATGATTTTTATATGCATAAGTAAATAATTACAATTTTCAACTCATTCAGTTGCTATCAGTATTAAATGAATTGACATGTGAACATTTAACACAATTTATGACACATAGAAAGCAAATATTTTTTACATGTTGGTCATTAGTAATTGTTTCTGGTTTGTAAATATGTTCTAATATCTATATCTCTAATATATTTCTGATAATTAGTTTAAATTTTTATGATAAAGCTATTTTAATGAGAATGTAAGTAATATACTCTTTCAAATGTGAAAAATCTTTAATTTGCACATTTCTTTTGAAGGTTGATATCTTAGCCTAAAAGGGGTTGGGAAAGCTGTTGTGAGTAACAGGACAACCTCATAATTAAACAAAAGAGCTCAGTTGATCTACAATGAGTGGATTGTTGTAAAAGAAATATTACCTTTTTTATTTTTAATTTTTTTAACTATTTAGAAATAGGATCTTGCTCTGTCATGCAGGCTGGAGTACAGTGGCACAGTCATGGCTCACTGCAGCTTCAATTTCTCATGCTCAAGTTATCCTCCGACCTCAGCCTCCCAAATAGCCGAGACCACAGGTGCATGCTATTTGTTCTATATGTAGTCTCAAAGTTTATAAGTTGAATAATAAACAGGGACATAAGGCCAATTTGGACACAGAGAGTGGAGATCTTGTGCTTTTATGTTAGTCATAAAGCCATTTCTTTCTGCCAGGTACATGGACATCGTTTGACAGTGGTACAAGTCCGCTATTTGACAGTGGTAGGCCAATGATTTTGTCTAGTGAAATAGTAGCTGGCCAATTTAAATATTTATTAATTTAATTATATTTTAATATACTGAGAGCATTAATAACAACTGCCAGAATTTCTCTTATATTGGGAATAAATATCAATATTTATTTCTATAAGTTCAGAGTTGTTCTTGTTTTGGTGTTTTTAGGTTTTGTTTTATATTAGATACAGTAAGCCTTTTGTCAGTTATCATTAAAATTTTGACTTTTTCAGCTGGGCATGGTGGCTCACACCTGTAATCCCAGCACTTTGGGAGGCCAGGGTGGGCATATTACCTGAGGTCAGGAGTTCCAGAACAGCCTGACCAACACAGAGAAACCCTGTCTCTCATAAGAATACAAAAAAAATTAGCCAGGCATGCACATCTGTAGTCCCAGCTACTCGGGAGGCTGAGGCAGGAGAATGGTTTGAACCTGGGAGGCAGAAGTTGCAGTGAGCCGAGATTGCGCCACTGCACCCCAGTCTGGGCTACAGAGAGGGACTCCATTTAAAAAAAAATGGCTTTTTCCAAGCAATTACACAGTCTGTGTCACAGAGGGATTTGTGATTTTGCTGAAGCACAAATTTATGTTGGTCATCCAGCATTCTTATTTTTTGGCTGCTTTGCTCTCTAGTCATTAGGAAATTACATATAATAGAGTCATATTGTTGTTACTCATAAATTCATGTGCATGTGTGTACGTGGCTGATGTCTATTGTTTAGGATTTGTTTTGCTTTTTCTTACAGCAGATGATCTATAACTGCAAAAGGGTTAAGGTGAACTCAGGCAAGTGACTAGATATAATCCCCAGTAATTTGACTAAAAGGCAGGGACTGGTCCATTTCCTTGTCTGGTTCACTCTACTGCTGGTTACCTGTGATTGCAGAATTTAGAGACCTGATTCCTTTGGCTTGTGACACTATGCAATCATGGATAGACAGACCAGAAGGCATTCAAAGAGAATACCTGGGCAGCTCTTGCAATCAGACAGAGAACATATGAAATATTGTGGCCTCATACTAAAAGATTTCCTGGTAAGGAAATTTCAAAATCTCTCTCCCCATCAAATACAGTCTGATATTTTGTCACTTTCACTATCTGAATAAGATTCTTTCCATCAAAACCAGAGTCCTGCTTTTACATTAATTTAGCCTATTATGTCCTCTATCCATTGAGACCAGCTCCAGGAAATAGACAGTTCCTTGGCTATTAGTGAGAAAGATTTCCTGGAACTTTCTCCATCTCCTTCCATTGCATACAATACAAACTACTTTATACTTTAGTTAATATGACTTTTAGTTTCCATTTAATTCATTAATTCTCTAAGATCTTACAGAAATGTATTTTTTTAAAATCTCATGTTGGTTTAAAATAGTTCCCTGAATAATCCCTTGTTAAAACTCAACAAGATTAAGCATGAGGGTGAAATCAAGAGATAAACAGATATTGAATAATGCAACATCACTGAGTTTAATTTTGTTTTTTTAAACTATGTTCCCTGAATAGGTGAGACAAGGTAACTGTAGATAAAGTTGTGCCGCGTTTTAGGATTTTCTTTTCTTCTGTCTCACTCCTTGTGGTAGACAGCATAATGGCCCTGCAAAGATGTCCGCATCCTAATTCCTGGAACCTGTGAATATGTTACCTTACGTGGCAAAAGGCACTTTGCAGATATGATTGAATTCAGGATCTTGAGATAGATTACCCTGGATTATCTGAGTGGACCCAATATAATTACAAAGGTCCTAATGACAGAGGTGTCAGTTTCAGAGAAGATGTGATGATGAATGGGAAGCAGAGACTGGAGTGATACACAAAGGGGCTACTAGCCAAAGACTGCAGGTAGCCTCAACCTCTGGAGCAGGAAAAGACAAGGAAAAAAAATCTCCTACAAAGCTGCCAGATGGCGCAGAGCCTTGCAGAGACCTTAATTATAGGATTTCTGGCCAGAATTGTAAGATGGTAAACTTCTTTTGTTATAAGCCATTAAATTTGTGATAATTTGTTACAGCAGCAATGGTAAACTAATATATTCTCCATCAATTTTTTAAATGTGTCTAAATCATTTTTAAACTTTACCACCAGAGTGCTTTGCATCTTTTGGAACACCCACTGTACTTCTTTTTCATTACCTTCTTCTACCTAGGATGTTTGTTTTATAACTAGAGCCTGTTGTGCAAATTCACTGCCATTACTTCCTGAGAATTGGGATTGCTTTTATCATCAATCTAACAGAAGTCATTTACCCAGTATCTGCTAGGTGCTTTATGCTGTGCTAGGTATTATTTTAATGTATCCTCTTCTCTAAGAGATCACCATCTTTTTTGTAATCATGAGTTGAAGAATAATTTTGGAGAGTGAAGTTACTTGGAATCAGAAGAAATAATTATAGTGTTTTCAATTAACTGATGTAGAAAAAAATTTCTAGCTGAAGAATTATAGTTCTCAGAATGTAAATCATAAGCCTGCCTGATTGTGAATTTATGGGATGAATAAGACTAGAGAGGTAATATGCAGTATGAATAATATGGCTGTAATAGCATTTGGTATGGTGGGAGTTTGCTAAGAGAGTGGATTGTAGATGCTCTTACAGAAAAAAAGGGTAACTCTGCAAAATGATGCTTGTGTTATTTTGCTTGACTATAGTAACCATTTCATTATGTGTAAGTATATTAAAACAGCTTGTTGTATACGTTAAATATGTTCAGTTAAAGAAAGGAAAAAGGAGAGCTAGCTAGCTAAAGGTAATTACATGTAAATAGTTGGAATTTATGTGTCGTTTAATTTAAATTATGTATAATATATACACATGTAATTTAAATAACCTAACTTGAATACACTTTAAAATATGTTTATGCTCCATCTTTTTAAAAAATTGTAGTAGCTATGTAGACATAAAATTTGGCTTAAATGTAATAAATTGTATATAACGTTTTCCTAATTATACTGTATATCATTTGGTATACCAATGTAAACCAAGTTAAAAACACTGTCTTCATCTTAGACAGTGTGGCTTGGCCAAATATTTGTGTGGATGCTATAAATAAGTAAAAAAATCTAAATAAATAAGTAAATAAAACATCAGTAGGACAGTGCTAAAATTAAAACAACAGAACATGAGCCTTACATCTAGGTGAGAACAGGTATTGCAAGTGGTTACAGCATCTGCTCTGTCAGTTCAGCCGGGTTTCTAGAGCCATCAGCCTCTGGCAGGGTTGCTTTCACTAAACAATTATGGAATGTAAATTTGCAGCTCAGTGTCAAATGTTCTGGATTGATGTAAACGATTTGGGTTTAATTTTTCTCAGAACCATCTGGTTGGCACTGAAGGACTAGCAAAAAGGACAGTTCTATGGCTTCTAAACATTAAAAAATCACAGACAGCTCTAGTATTGGAATAATTTCATCATGATATTTTATAATTTGAAATTTTAGCTAATGAAGTAACAGTTGGTTTATCTATAGGTTTTGATATGTCTCATTATATTGTAAAATAACTTTTATTAAAATATGCAAAATATAAAAACAAAATCACTTGTAAAATCCTATATCCAGAGGTAAGTAGAGTGGACAGTTTGTGTATGTGTGTTATTTTAAAATCAATACTCATTTTAAAATTTCAAAGACTCTTGAGAGTGAAGTAAGTTTAAAAAGTCACCTTCCCTTTGCTTCTAGTGTCCCCTTTCCCACTTCCAACAGTGAACCACTGTTTACAATTTTTTGAATGCTCTCCCAGAAATACTTTAAAGAAATATCTGTGTGTTTGTGTGTGTATATATGTGATTTTCATAAATATGAAATCATGTTGAGTACAATATTTATAGCTCTATCTTCACCTAAAGATGTTAATAATAAATCATTACTATATGTATATATTTCAATAAATTCTGTAACAATATGGAAAAAATGAACTGTTATAAGCGCTATGTGTCAGGTACTAGTATTTTTTATCCCATTATTTCATTGAATTCTCACAACTATATTAAGTGGTTCCCATTGCTGCAATTTACAGATGAGGAAATTGAGGGATAAAGATGAAGTCTAAGGCCACACAGTGAGTAAATGACAGAGCTAGGTTCTGATTCCAGCCCTGTGTTACTTCAGAACTTAGGTATTGTAGTTCTTACATCAACAAATAAGTTATCATCTTTATATACTATAGTAAAACATTCAAATAGAATAATATAACATAATTTATTTAATCAGCATTTTGACATCAGGTTTTAGGTTACTTCATTTTTATTATTGTATGTAATGTGTTTTCAAAATTATTGCTCTGAATTATTTAAAATATAATTACTGATTTAGTAAATTGTCCTCAACATACATTTTATTTTTAAAAATTTTGGTTCATTTTATAATTCTCTCTGCTTCCCTCTCTCTTTTTCTGTTTTCCTTTTTTTCTCCCTCCCTCCCTCTCTTTTTCTCCCTTTCTTGCCAATCTGAAAGGTCAAAATGCATCTCATTTTTAAAATTTGTATTATTTTTAACAGGTGAATTCAAAATGTTTTCTTATTTCTTGCCATTTGCATTTGTTATTTTGTGATTGTTCGTCTATTGTTCTCATTACATTTATCTTCTGTGATAAATTATCTTTATTAAGGTTTGTAGGAGTTATTTATGTATTAAGGGTATTTTTGGCTTATGTATCAAAGTCATCTTTCCAGTTTATCACATTTTGAATGTTATTATAGCATTATTGATCTTGAACAGATTTTTATTTTACTAAATCTATCCATATTCTCTTGATTTCTGCCTTTAGATAATGCTTACAAAACTATTCCCAACAGAAAAATTATGAGAATATTTGCTTCCAGTCTTCTTAGAGCAAACATTCGTATATTTAGCCTGTATTAATTTATTTGAATGTATGATAGGAGACATGAAAAAATATTACTTATTCAATTATTTATTACCCAATCATATCTTAAAAATATTATTTCTCCAAATTTTTAACATTTTTATTATTATGTACAAAATTATATATATTTGTAACCAAATTGTGTTTAGTTATTTCTGAACTATTCATTTTCTGTAAATTTTCAGTCCAATTTTACAGCTTTTTAAAACAAGTATAGGCAATTAGGCAAGAAAAATGGCACAAAGATTGGAAAGGAAGAAACAGAGCTGTCTTTATTTGCAGACAGAATGATGATTTGTATGGAAAACCTTAAGAATTCTGCAAAACAATTACTTGAACTAATAGTGATGTTAGTAAAATAGGTTTCAAGGTTAATATATCAAAATCAATTTTTTTATCAGCAAACAATTATAAAATGAAATTTTAAGAATTTCATATAATTGTATCACAACACATAACATATGTAGGAATAAATTTTAAATGTGGTACAAGTTCTGCAGCCTAAAAAACAGAAACATTTATGAGGGAAGTTAAAGATGACTTAAATAAACAAATTTGCTATGTTAGTGGATTAGAAGTTGCAATATTGATAAAATCTCAGTTTTCTCCCATCTAATCGTTGGATTCAGTGCAATCCTACTCAATCTCAGCATTATTTTTCACAAGAATTGACAATCTGGTTCTAAAATTTACATGGAAATATAAAGAACTTGAATATTCAAAGTAATCTTTAGAAAGATGAACAAAGTTTGAGGATATATACTACCTGACTCCAAGATATATTATAAAGCTACAATAATCAAACAGTGGTAAACTGGTATGAGAGTGAAAGATATGAAAGCAATAGAAATACACCCACATAAATGTGGGCATTTGATTTTTGACATAAATGATAAAGCAACCCAATAGGAAAAGAGACGGGGCCGGGTGCGATGGCTCATGCCTGTAATCCCAGCACGTTGGGAGGCCGAGGCAGGCGGATCACGAGGTCAGGAGATCGAGACCATCCTGGCTGACATGGTGAAACCCCGTCTCTACTGAAAATACAAAAAATTAGCCGGGCGTGATGGTGGGCGCCTGTAGTCCCAGCTACTCGGGAGGCTGAGGCAGGAGAATGGCGTGAACCCGGGAGGCGGAGCTTGCAGTGAGCCGAGATCGCGCCACTGCACTCCAGCCTGGGTGACAGAGCGACACTCGTCTCAAAAAAAAAAAAAAAAAAAGAAAAGAAAAATAAGAGAAGATACTCTTGAACAGATGGTGCTAGAATGAGTGAAATGAGTGAAAGAATGAGTATCCAAATAGGAAAAAAAAAAAAAAAAAAAAAAGAAACAAAACCAAATCTCAACCTCTCACACCATCCACATACAAAAAAATTCAAAATCTATCATATTTTTAAGCGTAAAAGTTAAAACTAACAAACCTTAAGAGGAAAACAAAGGACTGGTATGCAGGGTATATAAAAAAAATCCTACAACTCCATTAAAAAAGTTAAACAATCCAATAAATTATGGACCAAAGGTTTCAACAGTCACATCAAAAGAACATATAGGAGTGGCCAATAAGCATATGGAAAAATGCACATCACTAGTTTTTAGAAATATGAAAATCAAAGGCACCAGGAGACACTACTATGCACCTACCAAAATGTTAAAAACTAAAACAACATCTAATTTTGGCAAAGATGTGGAACAACCAAAACTCTCCTATGGAGAAAGGGAGAACTATCCTTTGGAAAGTGGGATGGTTATACGAATAGATACGTGATAGAGCAAGTATAGTAAAATAATTATAGTAGAATCTAGGTGGTGAGTATAGGGTATGCCTTTAAGCATTTGTTCAATTTTGCTGAATGTTTGAGATTTTTAACAATAAAACATTAGAAAATTATAGCTTTAAAATATACTTGACTATAAAGTCAGTTCCCATGTTGTCTTTAAAAAGTTGCTGGCTACTTTCGCTGGTTTACATTGCTATTCTAAAAAAATATCACTTTGAGATTTGTTTGGACTTCGGTTTACTCAGATTAGTGTGACAATTTCATCGAGTTTCAACAGTTGAAATATAGTTATGCAATGTGTAATTTTATGTTTACATTCATTGTTAAATTTGTTGCTAGATATTAAATATTTCTGGTTCCTTGTAAGATTGGGATCTCGCTCATTTTTATTGTAATTGGTTCTTTCTAATACAGATGCTCTTTTAAGAGTTTTCAGCGTTCAACTTTTATATGCTACTAAGCAAAAGTGAATCATTCTGTTTATTAATATTTAATAGAAAGGGTTTTTGGCCACGGTCATTTTATTCTTGGACAGCTCAGATATGTCTTGCTTCCTGTTCTTGATTATTTTTGAGGTAGTTTATGAATAGTATAACACAACGCGTCTGTTAAATTCAACAGCGGTGTGAGGGTCAAAAAATTAAGAATTTTAAATAGAGTTCTAGGATTATATTGGAAATAAAAGTAGAAAAAATCAGCGAAAACTAAAAATAAAATACAATTATTACACATGCATATGATACATTTTTAACAAACTGAACATTAAAGAGGGCATAAATGAATCTTGCAACTCATAACAAGTGCTGTGTCTATGCAATTAGCAATAATCACCAAGAATCAATAAAAGTGATTAATAAAATGGAAAAATGCTAAGGGTGTGTCTGAAAACATATTTCAATTTGATCACCTATCAACCTAATGTTAACTCAGTTGGACAAGTGTAATAGATCCCTGCTGATAAAGTTTTTGTCACATGTTGGATAGGCTAAATGGCAAGGAAACATTTTACAGGGAACTCAGTTATTGAAGAAGTAGAACCAGGCAGAGACCATCAAAGGAAGCAGGCATTTGCTTAAAAGTTTTTCAAATTAGACGAAAATTTTCCCTTTTAAAAAGCCCAAAAGAATGTTGGAATTACTATAGCTGTTTAAACAGCTTTAATGGACCATTTCCCAAGCCTATTTGATAGAAATGCATCTGATGGCTATACGTTTACATTTCTCTTAGTCATTTTGAATTTTTGCATTTATGAAATTATGAACACCTTTCCAGAATCCAACCTCTTCCTAAATATCGGATTTTCTCCATGTAGAGAGACTATTTTCTTTTCTTTTTAGTATTTTGCCCATTACTAACCATCTACTAAGCTCTCTTGTCAATTCCTACAGTAATTAATTGCCTACTCGAGTTTCCAGGAGGCGTTCTTTGTAAATAATGGCACCTTATGACACTTCTTAGAATTGAAATTCAATGTATTTAACATGACCCAGAAGGCCTGGGCTGCCTCTCCAGCCTCATTTCATGCCTCTCTTTCCTTCCTTTGCTGCACTGCCCACCATTCTGACCTGTTTTCTTTCCTTGAATATGAGGATTGCCCTTTCCAGCCCTAGGGCTTTAAGCTTTCTGTTCTTGCTGTTTGGAGAGCCCTTTGGGACACATCACCTCTCCTCAACAACTCCTGTCCGTACTTTACATCTCTGCTAAGGGGACCTTCTTCCAAGAAACTTTCCCTGGCTCTATAGTTTATATTAGTTCCCCCACCACCCACCTGTTCTGTCTCAGAGCAGCTGGTTCTTTTTCTTCAGGGAACATTTCGCAGTTTATGAATCTATCTTTTATGTGATAATGCATTTGATATCTATCTCCTCTCCCACAAGGTTGTAAGCTTCATATCAGCAAGGACAATATCCTTTTTCTTTTTTTTTTTTTTTTAAACATCGCTATATTCTTAAACCTATCATGTACAGGGTATATAAGAGAAAGAGAAATTTCATAAATATTATTTAAACATTGAATGCTATCAAAATGGGTTCCTGTTTCTTGCAGATAAGACCTTACTCTCACATATTTGTTTAGAAGAAAAAAAGAAAAGCTTGTCTCTATTGTGATACTTACGTCTGATAGTGACTTTATAGATTTCCATTTGAGAAGCATTTGTATATGAGAAATATACAACGTGTTAATAAAATAGAGATTCTAATGATGAAATTCTCAAAAATAAAACTACAGGGCAGTAAGGGGAAAAAGATGAAAAAAACAGAATCATTTAGCGTATAGCACACAGGTGATTATCAACTCCTAGCTCCACATTTGGGAAGACAAGATCTAATACATAAAAATATGAAGGGAGTATAAATATATAAAAAGAGATGATCTATATATTCTGGGGAATTTCAAACAACGTCATTATCATTACGTGTGGTACTGAGAGACTGTCAAGTTTTCCCTTTTTAAAATTAAAAACATTAGTAAGTGTTTTTTTATTTCCTTTTTTTTCCTTAAAATATCTTATTTTTCTGAGGAAGAGACAGCCATTTCATTTGAACAGGTTAAAGGATTTTATCTGTTATACTATACATCCTGTACTTTAAGCTATTTGAATGTTAGATTAGAGATGGCGCTCAGAAGGTACGATACTCTGCTAGAGAGAACGTGGCAATGAAGGTGCCACAGGTGATTCCTTTTTGTAAGTATGTTTTGGCTGTAAAGACCCAGAAATCCTCATTCTTTCGCAGATACCTAAAAAGTAAACTGGCCTAGCTATATTTTTTAAAAGTCTGAAGAATGTCTGCCTAAAGGTATAAGCCATTGTTTCTGTGAGAGTCTGCGCAAGACTCAGATGGCATCCCTAAAATGGAATTGAGGGGGTTTGTTTACAAAAGGACTATTCACAAAGTCCACGTGTACAAAAATCACAAGGATGGGCATATACATTATATGCAGTAAAACAAGCCCTTTTTAGTGTGCCAATTAATGAGTTTTGTCAAATGTACACATGCTTATATAACCAGCTGCCCAATAGAAATTCAGAACATTTCCATTATTGCTAAACATTCCCTTATGTCTCTCTATAATCAATCCCAAACCCTAGGTTGCGAGCACTCACTGATCAACTTGCAATTACTATAGATTAGTTTTGTCTGTTCTTGGCAACCAATGCAAAAATGGACAAACAGGATCAGATCAACTTAAAAAGCTTCTGCATACCAAAGGAAACAATCAGCAAAGTGAAGAGACAATCCACAGAATGGGAGAAAATATTTGCAAACTACCCATCTGACAAGGGATTAATAGCCAGAATATACAAGGGACTCAAACAACACTATAGGAAACAATCTAATAATCCGATTAAAAAAATGGGAAAAATATCTGAATAGACATCTCTTAAAAGAAGACAAACAAATGGCAAACAGGTATATGAAAAAGTGCTCAATGTCATTGATCACCAGGGAAATGCAAATCAAAACTACAATGTAATATCATCGCACCCCAGTTAAAAGGACTTTTAACCAAAAGACAGACAATAACAAATGCTGGTGAGAATGTGGAAAAAAGGGAATCCTCGTATACTGTTGGTGGGATTGTAAATTAGTACAACCACTTTGGAGAACAGTATGGAGGTTCCTCAAAAATCTAGAAATAGAGCCACCGTATGATCCAGCAATCCCACTGCTAGGTATATACCCAAAAGAAAGAAAATTGGTATTTCAAAGAGATATCTGTATTCCCATGTTTATTGCGGTATTATTCACCATAGCTAAGATTTGGAAGCAACCTAAGTGTCCCATCAACATTTGAATGGATAAAGAAAATGTGGTATGTATACATAGTGGAGTATTATTGAGCCATGAAAAAGAATGAGATCCTGTCATTTGCAGTTACCATGGATGCCAGTGGAGGTCGTTATGGTAAATGAAATAAACCAGGCACAGAAAGACTAAGTTTACATGTTCTCACTTATTTGTGGGAGCTAAAAATTAAAACAATTGTACTCATGGAGATAAGAGTAGAATGATGGTTACCAGAGGCTGGGAAGGGTAGTGGTGGGGGAGTGGGAATGGTTAATGAATACAAAAATAGAGTTAGATAGAAGGAATAAGATGTAGTATTTGACAGCACAATGAGGTGACTGCAGTCAATAATGTATTATACATTTTAAAATAATTAAAAGAGTATAATTGGATTGTTTGTAACACAAAGAAAGCATACATTCTTCAGGTGAAGGATACCCCATTGACTCTTATGTGATTATTATGTATTGCATGCCTGTGTTAAAATATACCATGTACCCCATAAATATACACACCTACTAGGTACACACAATTTTTTAAATTGCCTGTTCTTGAATTTTATATGAATGAGGTAATACAGTAAGGATTCTTTGGCTCTAGCTCCTTTAGCTCAGCATAACGTGGTTGAATGTATTAGTAATTTGTGCCTTTTTCTTGATGAGTAGTATACCGTTGTATAAATTATACCACAGGTTATCAGTCCTCTGCTGAAATATACCTGGAATGTTTCCATATTATTTTTCATAAAGCTTCTATAAATATTTTTATATGATGCTTAATTTATGATGAAGTCAAATATATATATTAATTTATGACAAAGTCAAATACACACACAGATATATATATATATATATATATATATATATATATATATATATATATATATATATATATCTTTACTCTATAGGTCATTTTGGGTCTTGTCTAAGAAGTATATCCCTACCCCATGGTTGTGAAGGTTTTATTCTATGGTGAGCTTTAGAATCTTTATAATTTCAGCTTTTATATTGAGACTTGTGATCCATTATAGTTAATTTTTGTGTACATCGTAAAGGTAGGAAATAAGATTTACTTTTGCTTATATGAACATACAGCTGTTCCAGAATCATTGGTTGAAATACTAGCATCTCCCTCATGAAATTATCTTGGCACTTCTGTTGAGAATGAGCTGACCTAATATGGATGAGCCAATTTCTGAACTCTCTATCCTGTTCACTAATCTTTGTGATGATGCTGATATCACATAATCATAACTTCTATAACTTGATAATAAGCCTTGAAAATCAGAGTGTATTTCTCCAATTTTGTTATCTTTTTACAAGGTTATATTGTAGCCATTCCAAATACCTTGAAGTCCCATATAAATTTTTACAAGGTCTACTAAAAACAACCTGCTGGGATTATGATTGACAATGCATTAAACCTGTTGATTAATTGAGGGTTACATTGTCACCTTAAAAATACTGAGTGTTCTAATCAAAGAACATGTAATGTGTCTCCATTTATTTAGGTTTTCTTCAATTTCTCTCTGTGCTTTTTTTGCGTGATTTACATTGTACAGTTACTGCACGTTTATTAAATTTATCTCAAAGTATTTTATAGTTTTGGATGCTGTTAAAATTTATATCTTTAAAATTTCATTTTTCAGTTTTTTTGTTTCTCATAAGGAGAGATTAAATTTATTTTGTAATATTGATCTTGTATTCTGCAACTTTGCCAGATCACTAATTTTCATAACATTGTTGCAGATTGCTTAGGAGTTTCTATGTATATGCCCTTGTTATCCACAAATACAGTTTCATTACTTCCTTTCCAAAGTGTATGGGTTTTACTGTTTCTTTTCTTGCCTTAATGAACTGACTAGGCTCTCCAGTAAAGTGATAAATAGAAGTGATGACAATGGACATCCTTGCTTTGTTCTTAATTTTAAGCAGAAGCATTCAGGCTTTTAGCATTCGTGAACTATGTTAGCAGTAGGTGTCTCAGAGTTGCCCTTTATTAAGTTCAGTTCTCTACCTAACAGTTTTTTTTAATCATAAATGTGTGTTGAATTTGTCAAATGCCATTTATATATCCATTGAGATTATCAGGTGGGTTTCCCCTTTGTTTATATAGGGAATTAAATTGATTGGTTATCCAATTGTTGCATCAATATTGTATTCTTATGATAAACTTCAATAGGTCATGATATATTTCCCTTTTTATCTGTTTGAATTTGCTAAATGCAACTTGTTAATATTCTGTGAAGGATATTTTTGTTTTTATGCTCATGAGGGCAATTGGTCGCTAGTTCTCTTTTCTATTAGTATCTTTGTTTGGGTTTAGTATAAAGGTCCTGCTGTCCTCATTAAATAAATAAAGAGGTATTCTTTCTTCCTCTATTTTTCTGAAACATTGTTTTCTCCTTAAGTGAGATTATTTTCTTGTTAAGTGATTGCAAAACAAAAATAGTTTTCTTTTATACAAATTACATCTTCTTCAGGAATACGGGTTTTCTTCCAGTAGTGAGCTGGCTTATTTGCGTGATCAACTTTCATTTATTTGTGGAGAGATTTTTCATAGCAAATCTTGTTTTTAATTTTTAATGATAATTGTGCTGTTTTAACTCCTATTCATAAAATTTGGCAAATGGTTTAGTTTAGGTATGATTTAATCACTGTATTCTCAACTATAACTTAATGTAGCATCAAGAAATTAAAAACAAGTTGATTAAAACCAGCTTACCCTTAGAACATACCAAGTTCTTTGAACAGTATAATTAAATATGATTCTATCTTAATCATAAATTGTTAAACAAGCAAAGCAAAACGAAGCCTGGACCATATAATAACTCCAACAGCCCCATCCCCACACACTTCAGAATCAGTTATTTCCTCTAAAGTAACAGCATTTTATAATAATCATTTCAAAAGCCCTCGTTTCCTTTTCCAGCTGTGAACAATTTGGGTCATGTACTGATTAAAGCAGGTAAGAATGGAGATACTCCTCTTGATTTCAATTTAATTAAGATGCCAGTTATCCAAAGTTCACAATCTTTGAATTTAAACTCAATCGGAAGGAACCTCACATGAGATTAAATTTTGCTTTTGTAAATCCTTTTGCTGAGCTCAAGCCTATTGACCCCACATGTTTCTCCTTGCACTCGCCTAAGCATGCTATCCCAGTGGTAGTGAGAAGCAGAATAACCTGCGCCTTTATCTTTCTCAACTCCTTAATTCCCCAGCCTTTGGCTACATTCATGACTCCAACAGGGGCATATTTCCTTTCCACCACTTTTGTTCTCCCTGCAGCAGAAACTAACTTACCATGGAAAAGAAAGCCCTAAATCTTATCTCTCCATCAGCTTTTCTTTATGTAGGATTCCAAGCAAACAAAATATTATTTTCTTAATACCCAGACCGATGTTTGATACTTTAAACCCTGGCCAAGGAAAGACTAAAGAGGAAATAAAGTTTCAAAACAAGCACAAGAGGAGCAGAAGCCATGGTGTCCAATCTGTCTCCAGTAGCACCACGTTATTTGCCCACCATAACTATAAAACAGTAAACCAAGGTGAGTCTTCCCTGGTACCAAATGAATCCTCTTTCCAGTAGGAAAAGAGACACTTTGTTCCCAAAAACACTGTTGTTGTGGCCCTAGAATTTTTTTTTTTTTTTTTTTTTTGAGACGGAGTCTCGCACTGTAGCCCAGGCTGGAGCGTAGTGGCGCGATCTCGGCTCACTGCAAGCTCCGCCTCCCGGGTTCACGCCATTCTCCTGCCTCAGCCTCCCGAGTAGCTGGGACTACAGGCACCCACCACCACGCCCAGCTAATTTTTGTATTTTTAATAGAGACGGGGTTTCACAGCTCCACAGAGAAATACACAGAAACTGGTAGTAAGTTTAGAAACTTTTATAGGGATTTGGCATTGCTCTGCCATTCAGACTCATGAGGAGTGGACTTATTGAAAGTGTTATGGGTCATGTGGTGGCACACTGCATATTTATAAGCAGTGGTTATAAAACTGGTTATGAGGTTTTAAAACCACATACTGGTCTATACTAAATAGAAATTTTTTTGAAAAATTGCTTTTCAGCATAGTGTGAGAAGCACTAGTATAAAACATATATTTAGTGTCTAAAATAATGCATCTGTCATATATAGGATATCTCCTTCCTCATCTCTCACACTTAGTGTAGATGTCTACTCTTTTTTTGTTGCTTGTGGTTTTTTAACATGCTTCTGCATTTCAACTTTATGAAATTTGTTTTAAAACATCCTGAAAAGAATCTGGAAGCACAGTGGGTTCAACATTCTTTTTAACCACAATCTTCAAGATCGTAGTTTTTTTTTTCTCTGCTAAATTTTATTAAGGCTGCTTCCAGTGGTGTATAAGAAAGTGTCTCCCACTTTTTAGTAGCATCTCTAAATCATATTGTGGACCAGTGGCTTCTAGAAGATAGGAGCCAATTACAGTGAAAGTACTGAGATTATTATGTTCTATTAAAGAAACAATATAACTTTTAACTTAGGTTGTCTGTTCTGTTCTGTCTTTATTCCTCAATCTTTCTACTTTTTGAGATCTGGCTTACCTTGGCCCTGTAATCTACAGTTACCTTTTATAATGTCTCCATTAGCCCCTGTCTAACCCTTATGATAATATTTCTACATATATTACACAAAAAATGAAGTAGAAACAATGTTGAATGACTGAAATCCTTTATCAAAAAGTTCTTAAGTAGCAAATTATGATTATAATAATTCATATCCACCTTAAAACCAGGGAGCATGAAACATAATTGAGCCAATAGACTCAATACTTTTTATGAAAGTCTGACATTGAAGAATAAATTTAATAATATCAAATAGTAACTTAAAAGCACAAATTTGACATGGGTTTAATATTTGAAGACTAAGATATTAAAATCTAATGTTAAAGTTTTGGTTCACTATGTAGTTATAATTTCTGCCTTGCTCTATGGAACAAAAAGATGAATTGTTTATAGAAGATGTCTTATAATGCTATAAAAGAAACATAAATGCTACTGATAAAGACTCATCACATTAAGGTGAAAATAGATTAATATTCTTTATCATGGGAACACCAGTAGCATTGAGATTGATGTTATCAAACTATCTTCAAACTGGCAGACCGCATATGTGATTGGGTTCCCTGACCTCCCAAATGAATACTTTTCTCTTATTATATAGTCTAGAAATCTGAAAACCTAAAGTGTTTCAAAGGCATTCTGAAAAAAAGATTTTAAAAAATAAAGCAGCAGTATCAAACAGCAGGGACATATAATTTTAGGACTATACCATGCGCATGTGTAGCAGGTAACACACTTAAAGAGAATTGATCCTATGCAGGTACAATTTTATCAAATACTACCATAACTAAACAATAGTGATGGTAATAGTTACCAGAGGTACTGTATGTATAGACTGAGATAATGACTGCATTGATTCGTTGGGTTCTCTGAAGAGGTTCTTTACAAGTTAAGACTATTTTTTAAACACACATACACACAAATTAGCTAAGGCAATTTGCATACTCTGGAAAAGTACTACATGTAGCTCACTCTATGAATACACATATGCATGTAATCTTCAAGTAAAATACAGGTAGGCATTATATCTCCAGCACAAGTCAGTAGTCTCTCTTCACTAAGAGGTTAAAGAGAGGCCATAAACCAGTGGAAAGGAATACCAGAATAAAACAAGCAAAGCTTTATTTTTCTCTTTGCTTCTTTGATTCAGTGTGTATTGTCTTCTGTGAGTCTGTTTCCTGATAATTTAAAATGAATTTTTATGTAGGCATGATATGTATAATTTCAGGTATTGTGAATTGTTAAACTTCCAATCAGTGTACTCAGTCTCCTGTTGTTATATAATATATAGCTACTACTACCTATCTATAGTTGTTACTCTGTATCCATCATCTTCCTGAGTTAGTAAAATAGAACAGCCATGTTATTTCCGTCCCAATAACATGATTTTCTATAACAGATAAAATCCTGTGATATGTTGTATGTAGGCAGTATTATTAAACATTTTTTCTCATTTTTTTCTCTCTCTTTCTATTGCCTTTTCCTTTAGTAGTTTGCTGCCTATGATCACACAGGAATTTATTACTCAGAATTTTTAAAATGTGCATTTTTATTGATTTTTTATAAAAATAAAAACACTATACCCTACTTTCCTCTATCTTTCCCTTTAACTTCTATCATATTTTTCTTTTAAGCAGGAGAATTATTCTCTATTTTTCAGCTACAGTAAATCAAGTGTTTGATCATCAAGCATGGTTTTCAATCTATACAATCCTGTATTTAGGGTCTCATTGGCTGTAAGTTGATGATGTAAAACCATTTGAAACAGATCTGTTTGTTTGAAGTGGGGTGTAGGGAACCCCTGTAAAAAGAGGGATTCCTCCCTCCCCATATCTTCTCTCCACATGATCTTTCTCTGCCCAATGCAGAATAGCCTTAATGAGTTTCCACGGTAATTCTTGGTTTTCTTATGAATAGCTTAAAAATCGATGGATATTTAAGATGTAATCCATCAATTTTTAAGCTATTCATGAAGTATCTCAAATTAAAAAACAAAGAAAATATCAGCAGATACACAGAAGAGTAACTCCTAGCATCTTAAGTGAACTGTGTTTAATAAGTAGTTCCTAGAAACAGCTGTGGAAACGAAAAGGATTAAATAAACAAATTCCAAGAGGGATAAGCCTTTCCAAGGTGCAAAACGGATGCCTGTTGTTTTCGTCCCTGGAAATAATTACCATTTCTCAGTATGAATTAAGGGTCAGGCTTTGCTCACACAAAGGATAAAGTAAAATAACAAAATTTCTGTGCAGAACTTGCACAATATTTAAGAAACTCAAGGAGCCCAGAATTCTGTTTGCCCCCTCACCTATTTGCCAAATCTGGGGGTCATGCTGAAGGCCTGGGAGCTTTACAGAGAAGTCTGACCTGTTCCCATACCTTCACAGAATTAAGGAAATAAAATCCCGCTTGAGGAACAGGCCTGCCTCAAACACATAGTTTATCATCTTCTCATGATATCTACCAAATTTGGAAATAGCATGGAATGGAAGGGCAAACAGAAAAACCCAAGACCTACAAAGGCTGACTGAATTTTCATAGTTATTTAGAGATCAGGAAGTATAAATCTACCAGTTTCCGAAGAGGAAGCTTGGAACATGCCTGAATAACATGAATGAAGCACCAACCCAGCCAATTATTCACTATAATCCATGATTGAGTAGAAGTGATTAACACCCCTCACATGTACCCTACCCATCTTACAGAATTCAACAGGAACCCTAGAAAAAAGGTAAGCTCAACCAGATCCTTTATGTTTCCTTAATATATGATATGCACATACAATAAAAAATTATTGAAAATGTGAATAAGCAAGAAAATGTGGCTGATAATCAAAAGAAACAAAATAAGCAGACTAACAATCCAATAATGGATTTAGTCTGTATCTACAGACTGTAAAATTGCTATTATTAATATATCAAAGGGCAGAAGTATACATGCACTAAATGTAGGAATACATGGAGAGTTTCACTAAAGAGTTGAAATACGTGAAACAGGTTGATATTCTAGAGCTGCAAAATACAATATATACTATTAAGTCCTTATTGGATGGGTTTCACAAGAGAAGGGACATAGAGAAGATACTATAAATATAATTAGAGATAGTTCAATACATCTAAAGGAAGCTCTGAAAGAAAGAATACTAATTAAAGAAAAAGAAAATATCAGTATATGAGCTACAGCGAGAAATTCAAATATATGTGCAATTGGAGTGCCAAAATGGAGAGCAAAGACAACAGGAAATCAATATTTAAAAACCAAATCAATATTTAAAAATCAAAATAACCAAAAATGTTCCAAAAGTAATAAATGGCATCAAGTTACGAATTCAAAAGTCTAACAGCACCCAAGCAGGATAAATAAGAAATGATCACAACAAAGATCACTGCAGTCAAATTATTAAATATCAAAGAAAAGGAAAAAATATTTAAAAGCAATGGTATGTTCTTTTCAAAAGAGAAGCAATAAAACATAAGGTTAATTTTCCAATAGTAACTGTGAAAGACAAGAGAAAATAAAATGATATCTTTAAGTGCTAAAATAAAAACTAGAATTTTATTGACTTTATTTTACTTTCAGGGGGTATACGTGCAGGTTCGTTACCTGGGTATATTATGTGATGCTGAGGTTTGGGGTATGAATGATTCCATCACCCAAGTACTGAACATAGCACCTGATAGTTTTTAAACCTTTGCCTCTTCTCTTCTCCGCTCTGATAGTCCCCGGTTTCTATTGTTACATCTTTATGTCCATGAGTACCCAATGTTCAGTTCCCATTTTTAAGTGATTACATGACATATTTTGTTCTCTATTCCTGGACTATTTTGCTTAGGATAATGGCCTCCAGCTGCATCCATGCTGCTACAAAGGACATGATTTCATTCTTTTTCATGGCTACACAGTATTCCATGGCAATATGTACTAAATTTTGTTTATCCAATCCACCGTGGATGGGCACCTAGGCTGATTCCATGTTGTTGATATTGTGAATAGTGTGATGAACATGAGAGTGCATTTGTATTTTTGGTAGAAAGATTTGTTTTCTTTTGGTTATATACCCAGTAATGGCATTGCTGGGTCAAATGGCAGTTCTGCTTTTAGCTATTTCAGAAATTGCCAAACTGCTTTCCACAGTGACCAAACTAATTTACATTCCCACTAAGTGTATAAGTGATCCCTTTTCTCTGCATCCTCACCAGCATCTGTTGTTTTTGACTTTTTAATAGCCATTCTGATTGGTGTGAAATGGTATCTCATTGTAGTTTTGACTTGCCTTTCTTTGACGATTAGTGATGATGAATTTTTTTTCATATATTTGTTGGACACTGGTATGTCTTTTGAGAATGGTCTGCTCGTATCTTTGGTCCATTTTGATGGCATTATTCATTTTTTTGCTTGTTGATTTGTTTAAGCATCTTATAGACTCCTGATATTAGACATTTGTTGGATGTGTAGTTTGAAAATATGTTTTCCTATTTTCTAGGTTGTCTGCTTACTCTGTTGATAGTTTCTTTGGCTGTGCAGACTCTCTTTAGTTTAATTGGGTCCTACTTGCCAACTTTTGTTTATGTTGTAAAATTGCTTTTGAGGACTTAGTCATAAATTCTTTCCCAAGGCTGATATCTAGAATGGTGTTTTCTATGTTTTCTTCTAGGATTTAAGAATCCTAGTTTGAAGTCTTGCATTTAAATCTTTAATCCATCTTCAGTTAGGTTTTGTATATGGTAAAAGGTAGGGATACACTTTTATTCTTCTGCATATGGCTACCTAGTTATGCAAGTATCATTATTGAATAGGGAGTCCTTCATCCATTGCTTATTTTTGTAGACTTTGTTGAAGATCAGATGGCTGAAGATGTGCTGCTTTATTTCTGGGTTCTCTCTTCTGTTCCATTGGTCTATATGTCTGTTTTTGTACAAGTACCAAGCTGCTTTGGTAGTTGTGGCTTTATAGTATAGTTTGAAGGCAGGTAGTATAATGGCTGTGGCTCTGTTTTTTGTTTGTTTGTTTTGTTTTGTTTTGTTTTTTGTTTGTTTTTGTTTTTTCTTCTTAGGCTTGCTTTGGCTATTGGGACCCTTTTTTGGTTCCATGTGAATTTTAGAGTAGTTTTTTCTAGGTCTATGAAAAATGACATTGATAGTTCAATAGGAATAGCATTGAATCTGTAGATTGCTTTGGGCAGTATGACCACTTTAATCATATTGATTCTTCCAATGTATAGAGCATGGTATGTTTTCCCATTTGTTTGTTTCACCTATAATTTCTTTTAGTAGCATTTTGTAGTTCTCCACTTACAGATGGTTTACCTTTTTGGTTTAAAAAAATTTTTTTATGGCTATTTTAAATGGTATTGCACTCTTGATTTGGCTCTCAGCTTGAATGTTTTAGTGTTGTATAGAAATGCTACTATTTTTTGTATTTTGACTTTGTATCCTGAAACTGTACTAAAGTCACTTGTTAGTTCCAAAAGCCTTTTGGCAGAATATTTAGAGGTTTCTAGATATATGATCATATTTTCCATGAAGAGAGATAGTTTGAGTTCTTCTTTGCCTATTTTATTGCCTTTTATTTTTTCTCTTGCCTGATTACTCTGACCAGGACTTCTAGTACTATGTTGAATAGGAGTGGTTAGAGTGAGCATCCTTGTCTTGTTTTAGTTGTCAATGGGAATGCTTCCAGTTTTTGCCCATTCAGTATGATGTTGCCTCCGTGTTTATCATAGATAACTCTTATTATTTTGTGGCATGTTCCTTCGATGCCTAGTTTCTTAAGTTTTTTATACTGAAGGGATGTTGGATTTTATTGAGAGCTTTTTTCTGCATCTATTGAGACGATCATATGATTTTCATTTTTAATTCTGTTTATGTGATGAATCACATTTATCGATATGTGTATGTTGAACCAACCTTGCATCCCAGGAATGAAACCTACTTCATCATGGTGAATTAACTTTTTGATATGCTGTTAAATTCAGTTTGTTAGTATTTTGTTGAGGGATATTGGTCTCTAGTTTCCTGTTTTGGTTGTGTCTTTGCCAGGTTTTGGTATCAGGGTGATGCTGGCTTCATAGAATGAGTCAGAAAGGAATCCGTCCTCCTCAGTTTTTTGGAATAGTTTCAGTTGAATTGGTACCAGCTCTTCTTTGTACAACTGGTAGAATTCAGCTGCAAATCTATCTCAACCTGGGTGTTTTCTTTTTTTTAACAACCCACGATTTATCCTCCAGGAAAATATCCTCTAAAAAACCCTGAAATAATTCATCAGCATATCTTTACTACAAGACATATTAAAACATTGTTGAAATTGAAGGAAAATAATTCCAAGAAGCATGGAACTTTAGGAAAGATAGAAAAGTACCAGAAAGAGAAAATATCTAGGTGGTTATAAAGGAATATTGATTGTTAAAAAGAAATGATATACAGCCTATAACATATGCAGCAATAAAATAAATGAAAACAGTAATGGCATAAAGTATTGAGTTAAATATTATGTTTCATTCATTGTTCAGGAAGCTAAAGTACTAATTTCATTTGACTTTAGTAAGCGAGTATTCATGTTTTAATATCTAGAATAACCACTATAATAAAATAGATGATTCAAGCTAGTAGAGGAGAAAAATAAAATAACAAAATAAAAACATTTTACAAACCCGAAAGAAGTTAAAAAAGGTGAAATAGGGGGACAAAAGCAGAGATGGGAAAATGAATATCAAGTAGTAATACATATTGCTTCCATTTATTATTGTAATATAAAGTTGATAAATACATTCTTTAAGTTTAAAAGTCAGTTGAGTTTAAGAAAAACATTAAATAAATAAATGGTGCTGATTGTACATAGGTGACAGAAATTTGGAAAATGCTGGCACAATAACTACTACAGGGAAGCAGAAGAGAATGTTTTCTGAATTTAGGCAAACTAGATGCAGTTCTGACTATGCTATTACTTATCTAAATAACCAGCAAATAGCAACTTGTCTTTGCAAAGCAAAAGATTATTTTTCAAAAACTTTCATATATATATGATTTTGATTCCTCAATCACTTTTTATTGAAATGATTACTATTTGCCATGTGTGACTATTTACATGTGTAGGTTATTAAGGGCCAATATATATTTTTGTTTGTGTTAAAATGTCCAAAAGAAATTTACTCACATAGGGCATTTATAGAACTGAAGGACCATGGATTATCGAAACGATTTTGGAGAATATGAGTGATGGACCATAGCCATTCATGCAATAACTATTTATTGATTATGTAATATATGTTAGTCTTTGTGCTAGGCTCAGACATTGTGAGACAGAAAAAAAAAAAAAAAAACATGGGACCAGTCATTGCAGACAGTATTAAGTAATAGAATAAGGCTAAGTCTCAAACTGAGCAGTGGCACAGGGAGAGGAACAATTTGTTTTACTAGTGTGAGATCCTGAAATCTTCACAAAAGACCAGACACATTAGCTATGCCTTAAATATTTAATAGCTCGCTTACTTGGGGAAAGGACATTCAACCAGTTTTGAAAAAAAAAATTGCAAATAGATTCACACTTTTAAAAAGTACAAAAATTACTTGAAATGGATGATTTAATTTGTTTAGCATTATAATTTCTGAAATGCAGACTGTACATTCCCTTCACATGAATTGTTACATCTGATTTAGTATGTTTTTAGATTGGTTTTGTTTTGAGGCAACTGATGCTAATAAGAAACTTAACAAGAAAGAAAGCCAAGGCATTTTCCTTTGTTAAAGTTTTAAATGTTTCTCTATTAGATTCATTATCCATTTGCTTTGTAGTTTATTTTTATTTATTTATTTATTTTATTATTATTATACTTTAAGTTTCAGGGTACGTGTGCACAACGTGCGGGTTTTGTTACATATGTATACATGTGCCATGTTGGTGTGCTGCACCCATTAACTCGTCATTTAGCATTAGGTATATCTCCTAATGCTATCCCTCCCCGCTTCCCCCACCCCACAACAGTCCCCGGTGTGTGATGTTCCCCTTCCTGTGTCCATGTGTTCTCTTCGATCAATTCCCACCTATGAGTGAGAACATGCAGTGTTTGGTTTTTTGTCCTTGCGATAGTTTGCTGAGAATGATGGTTTCCAGCTTCATCCATGTCCCTACAAAGGACATGAACTCATCATTTTTTATGGCTGCATAGTATTCCATGGTGTATATGTGCCACATTTTCTTAATCCAGTCCATCATCGTTGGACATTTGGGTTGGTTCCAAGTCTTTGCTATTGTGAATAGTGCCGCAATAAACATACATGTGCATGTGTCTTTATAGCAGCATGATTTATAATCCTTTGGGTATATACCCAGTAATGGGATGGCTGGGTCAAATGGTATTTCTAGTTCTAGATCCCTGAGCAATTGCCACACCGACTTCCACAATGGTTGAACTAGTTTACAGTCCCACCAATGGTGTAAAAGTGTTCCTATTTCTCCACATCCTCTCCAGCACCTGTTGTTTCCTGACTTTTTAATGATCACCATTCTAACTGGTGTGAGATGGTATCTCACTGTGGTTTTGATTTGCATTTCTCTGATGGCCAGTGATGATGAGCATTTTTTCATGTGTTTTTTGGTGGCATAAATGTCTTCTTTTGAGAAGTGTCCATTCATATCCTTCGCTCACTTTTTGACGGGGTTGTTTGTTTTTTTTCTTGTAAATTTGTTTGAGTTCATTGTAGATTCTGGATATTAGCCCTTTGTCAGATGAGTAGGTTGCAAAAATTTTTCTCCCATTCTGTAGGTTGCCTGTTCACTCTGATGGTGGTTTCTTTTGCTGTGCAGAAGCTCTTTAGTTTAATTAGATCCCATCTGTCAACTTTGGCTTTTGTTGCCATTGCTTTTGGTGTTTTAGACATGAAGTCCTTGCCCATGCCTATGTCCTGAATGGTATTGCCTAGGTTTTCTTCTAGGGTTTTTATGGTTTTAGGTCTAACATTTAAGTCTTTAATCCATCTTGAATTAATTTTTGTAGAAGGTGTAAGGAAGGAATCGAGTTTCAGCTTTCTCCATATGGCTAGCCAGTTTTCCCAGCACCATTTATTAAATAGGGAATCCTTTCCCCATTGCTTGTTTTTGTCAGGTTTGTCAAAGATCAGATAGTTGTAGATATGTGGCATTATTTCTGAGGGCTCTGTTCTGTTCCATTGATCTATATCTCTGTTTTTGTACCAGTACCATGCTGTTTTGGTTACTGTAGCCTTGTAGTAGAGTTTGAAGTCAGGTAGCGTGATGCCTCCAGCTTTGTTCTTTTGGCTTAGGATTGACTGGGCAATGCGGGATCTTTTTGGTTCCATATGAACTTTAAAGTAGTTTTTTCGAATTCTGTGAAGAAAGTCACTGGTAGCTTGATGGGGATGGCATTGAATCTATAAATTACCTTGGGCAGTATGGCCATTTTCACGATATTGATTCTTCCTACCCATGAGCATGGAATGTTCTTCCATTTGTTTGTATCCTCTTTTATCTCATTGAGCAGTGGTTTGTAGTTCTCCTTGAAGAGGTCCTTCACATCCCTTGTAAGTTGGATTCCTAGGTATTTTATTCTCTTTGAAGCAATTGTGAATGGGAGTTCACTCATGATTTGGCTCTCTGTTTGTCTGTTATTGGTGTATAAGAATGCTTGTGATTTTTGCACATTGATTTTGTATCCTGAGACTTTGCTGAAGTTGCTTATCAGCTTAAGGAGATTTTGGGCTGAGACAATGGGGTTTTCTAGATATACAATCATGTCATCTGCAAACAGGGACAATTTGACTTCCTCTTTTCCAAATTGAATGCCCTTTATTTCTTCTCCTGCCTGATTTCCCTGGCCAGAACTTCCAACACTATGTTGAATAGGAGTGGTGAGAGAGGGCATCCCTGTCTTGTGCCAGTTTTCAAAGGGAATGTAGTTTAAATTTCCTTTGCTGAAAGTCAATGAAGAAAATAAATTCTGGTATATACTTGACACTTTAAAAATTATATCTTAAGCCACAAAATAACTGTATGTAATCAATTGGTATATCAAAATAAAATATTTTCTACTTAATTATATACTTCAGGATTCTAAAAACAAATTTATCTTTTAATTTCACATCATACAGTATAATTTTTCCTCCAAGTGAAGAATGTATGTTATTATTTTAATATTATAACAGAAAAAAATCCACCCACACTGTGGGAAATATTTAATTATGAATTGTAGTAAGAATGGATCAATACCCACTCCATGTAAGAACAAGTTAATATTTCTGAGCTTCTAGAGAAAACCTTAATCATGCAGTGGAGAAGTAAGTGTGTCCCTTTGGCTTACATATTACTTAATGCTCACTGCCCTTAATTACCACATTATCATGTCCACTGACACATACAAAGAACATAATATATATGTATATATATATTTTGTTTTTTGAGACAGAGTCTTGCTCTGTCACCGAGGCTGGAGTGCAGTGGCACAAACTTGGCTCACTGCAACCTCTACCTCCCAGGTTCAAGCGATTCTCCTGCCTCTGCCTCCCAAGTACCTGGGATTACTGGCACATGTCACCATGCCTGGCTAATTTTTGTATTTTAGTAGAGACAGGGTTTCACCATGTTGGCCAGGCTGGTTTTGAACTCCTGACCTCAGGTGATCTGCCCTCCTTGGCATCAATTTTACACATAAAAGTTGGTATGAGCTCACACGTATGCATTTCCTGAGAGTAATTCTTTAAATTAGATCAAAATTATAATGTTTAATAAAATATAATATCTCCTGAATCTCTCCTCTTCATCACTACTGCCTTACCCTGACTTGGACTTTTACCATGCTGTCTTAATTGGCATTTCTACATCCATTCTTGCTCCACAAGAAGATGTTCTCCATACCATAGCCAGAGTGGGCTATTTCAAAATGTAATTATGATCAGGTGATCCTACTACTCAGACTTCTTTAATAACTTTCCATTGCTCATAAAGATCAAAACCATTAATAAAAAGGCCTGACCCTTCTCAATAACTCTTTAGTTTTGCTCTTTGAATTCCAGTCACACTAGGTTTCAGTTTCTAAAATATGAATAGGTTTCTCTACAGCTGGCCCATTGTCTCTGATACCCCTCTGCTCAGAGTAGCCTTTCTACCTCCCTTTGCATAGCTAACTCCTCTTCACTGAATCTCTCAGTCAGCCTGTCCTCAGAAAAAGCCTTTCCTGACCTCGGTGACAACATGATTTTTTTCTATAAAAATTTCTTCTGGCATCATATCTTTATAGCACTCAAGCAGCTGTATTTATACCTTTTAATACTTTGATTAATAATGTCTTATCTGTTCACTAAATAATAAGGCCTACCAGGATTCACACTGTATGTTTTGTTTTTTTGTTTTGTTTTGTTTTGAGACAGAGTTTTGCTCTGTTGCCCAGGCTGGAGTACAGTGGCACAATTTTGGCTCACTGCAACCTCCACCTCCCGGGTGCAAGTGATTCTCCTGCCTCAGTCTCCCAAGTAGCTGGGATTGCAGGCGCCCACCACCCCACCACCATGCACGGATAATTTTTATATTTTTTGTAGAGATGGAGTTTCATCATGTTGGTGAGGCTGGTCTGGAACTCCTAACCTCAAGTGAACCACCCACTTTGGCCTCCCAAAGTGCTGGGATTACAGCCATGAGCCTTCGAGCCCGGCCACACTGTATGTTTTTACTCACCACCTGCTCCTCAGTATCTAGAAGAGTGAACTTGGTACATAACGGGATTGAATACATTCTTATTTCATATTCTTACATTATTTAAACTAAGTAGAAAACCATAACATTTGAAGTTAATTCCAACAGCGTAAAAAGGTACACACTGACCTTGTTTTGGATAAACCCAAAATGTATTAAATAATTTTCTAGTTGTGATTATAAAGAGGTAAACTACTTGTGGAACACATATGCTGGCAACAGGCAAATAATAATTATATAAAGAATTTTATTTTTATTTTCTATATGTATAATTTTAATTGAATAATTACATACAAAGATTTTATGATAATGATAATTGGGTACAACAAACTACATTTATTTTAAATTCATTAGCGAAGTGGGACGCTGCTAAACAGTTTTCAAATATTACCTTATTTTGTCCCGATAAGAGCAATCGCAAATGATTTTCAAAGCCGGATTGCTTTACTTCAGAGCCTAAGTTCTTAATAAGTACACTATTGCCTTGCTGTGGCAATTTTATGTATGCTGTATATTAGCCCTTATTTGTTAAGCATCTGTTATGTGTCAGACACTCTAAAAGTACATGATCTCACTGATCCTCACAGCTGGATAGGTACGTATCATGATCCCTATTTATTAGATACCCTATTTGAGGAATTGCATTTATTGGAAATTTAAAATTGATGATTACAAATAGGGGCAATCACTAATGCTTAGATATAATTATGTTTTCCAAATCAGAGCTTATCTTAGGAAGAAATGCAATCTTACTCTTCCATTGTTACCGTTTCCAAATTTTCTAGAAACAATGCGTATGCTTACATAATACCGTTTTGGTAAAACCACATTAAAAATAAGGACTGTTGTTGCTTTGAATGCTGGTTTTTAGGTGAATGATATTCTCCTACAAAAGTCAACTACTGGTAGATAATTCAGAGATTTATGCACCAAAAATAATAAAATAGCAAGGATAACTCATTGCCTATTATGAGTACTAGACATCTGTATTCATATGAGACTAGATGAAAAGCTCATTTTCTTTGTCCCACAGGTCAGCGTCTGGAATAAAATTAAAATGTGTAAAAGTGGTTCATAAAATTCTGTCTCCCAGATAAATATTCCCTGGGCAAAAGGGAGAAATGAATTGGAGGATATGGGTGTTAAGTTTGCCTGCACATATTCTACTCAGAATTTCTTTTCTTATAAAGTGGGCCCTCTGATGGTACGATTTTTTTTAAATTCAATTTATTTTAATAGTTCTTCCAAGAAAAACAACAGCGTCATGACACCAGTTGCCTGCTGAATCTTTTATAGCTATTAGGAAAATGAGCTCCACAAGTAATAACTACTTCAATAGAAGTTCTTAGGAAACTTGGAGCATATTAGAGTGTGGAGCTGTGTCTGCAGAGGCAGATGAAAGAGACAGCTGAAGCAATTATGTAGATATTTCGGGAAAATGGAAACAAGATAATTAAGATAATTTGATTAAAAATTGAATTTTTTAATGCAACACAAATGGAAACAAGATAATTAAGATAATTTGGTTAAAAATGAATTTTTTTAATGTAAGAAGTTGCCTGGTCATGAGACAGTGTTAGTTGTGGCAAAGCTTATAGGGCCATGTTCAGATCAAGTTTCCATAAAGGAGAGAAATACATGCCACAAACAGCTGCTTGATTGCGGCGGCATCTTGATTCTTTGATGCCACTTAATACCCATTTTGGTAAAGATTCTATTTTGGAAAAATGTCCTACTGTAAAAAAATAGAAGTGATTTAGGTAATTCAGGAAAAAACTTAGAAACATATTATGTAACATGTTAGGTCAACAGTCCTAATTTTAGCTTAATGTTTTGCATTTATAAAAGGTTTTAGAGACTAAACTGATTCTACAAAATTGTCCAGTGAGGGAATGCCTTACTCTTAGTACAGGTTTCTAAGGTAATGGATAAGGTCACACCTTCTAGTGTTTTGGTCCCTGCAGATGGCTTAACCAACCCTACAAGTTGGTTAATACTCTTACCTCCATTAGGGTGATAAGGAAACTGAGCTAAGCTAGCAAGCACAACCAATTAAGTGGCAAAGCCAAGACTAAAAAACTCAGACATACAAGCTTTTCTTTTTCTTTTTTTATTTTTTTTGCTTAAAAAAGTTTAACAAGACAGGTAATTCCTTTGGACAATAAAAATTCAAAAAGCAAAAAGACTACATAGCAATAAGCAAATCTCCCTCTTTCCTGTACTTCTCGCCACCCATCCCTTTTCCTTAGGGAGAGCTCACTTTACCCATTTAATTTTGTATCTTTTTAGTGATGTTCTATGTACATCAAGCATTTTTATATAGGTCTTTATGTATGTAAATAAACAAATGATAGATTATGCGCCATTCTTCACCCTTTTTTCAGTTTTTAACATAACATATAGGTCTTTACCTACAAATATAGAGTCACTTCATATTTTCTAGAAGATATATTGTATTCCATTGTATAATGTATCACAATATCCATGAGGGACAGTAAGTTGTTTCCCATCATATTTTATTACTAAATATACTGCAAAAATTATTATTTTTTATGTGTCCCATTTAGTAATTTTGTTTTAGGTGTGTATTTATATATAATAGATAAACTTTGCTTTTAAACGTAACATTTTATTGTTTGAACCATTTACACTTATTGATATAACAGGCCTAGTTCTATCATTTTTGTTTGTTCTTTTTATAATCTGTTTTGTTCTCTAGTCCATCTATAATTTATTTTAGTAATTTAGAAAGTTGATCTTTTTCATTTATAATATATTTATTCATCTCATTTTTGAGACATTATGTATGCACTTTCCGTAATAAGCAATGATAAAATTAGTTTAGTCCATATTAGTTTAGTTCCTCAATTTTTTAGTTTAGTTCCTTAACTTTTTAAGCATTTTTAAATTATGCTTTAAGTTCTGGGATACATGTGCTGAACATGCAGGTTTGTTACATAGGTATACACGTGCCATGGTGGTTTGCTGCACCCATCAACCCGTCATCTACATGAGGTATTTCTCCTAATGCTATCGCTCCCCTAGCCCCCCACCCCATGATAGGCCCTGGTGTGTGATGTTCCCCTCTGTGTGTCCATGTGTTCTCTTTGTTCAATTCCCACTTATGAGTGAGAACATGCAGTGTTTGGTTTTCTGTTGCTGTGTTAGTTTGCTGAGAATGATAGTTTCCAGCTTCATCCATGTCCCTGTAAAGGACATGAACTCATCCTTTTTTATGGCTGCATAGTATTCCAGGGTGTATATGTGCCACATTTTCTTTATCCAGTCTATCATTGATGGGCATTTGAGTTCGTTCCAAGTCTTTGCTATTGTGAACAGTGCTGCAATAAACATACGTGTGCATGAGTCTTTATCATAGAATGATTTATAATCCTTTGGGTATATACCCAGTAAATGGGATTGCTGGGTCAAATGGTGTTTCTGCTTCTAGATTTTTGAGGAATCGCCATACTGTCTTCCACAATGATTGAACTGATTTACACTCCCACCAACAGTGTAAAAGCGTTCCTATTTCACCACATCCTCTCCAGCATCTGTTGTTTCCTGACTTTTTAATGATCACCATTCTAACTGGCATGAGATGGTGTCTCATTGTGGTTTTGATTTGCATTTCTCTAATGACCAGTGGTGATGAGCTTTTTTTTCATATGTTTTTTGGCTGCATAAATGTCTTCTTTTGAGAAGTGTCTGTTCATATCCTTCACCCTCTTTTTGTTGGGGTTATTTTTTTCTTGTAAATTTGTTTAAGCTCCTTGTAGATTCTAGATATTAGCCCTTTGTCAGATGGATAGATTGCAAAAATTTTCTTCCATTCTGTAGGTTGCCTATCCACTCTGATGAAGCTGTGGAGGAGCTCTTTAGTTTAATTAGATCCCATTTGTCAATTTTGGCTTTTGTTGCCATTGCTTTTTGTGTTTTATTCATGGAGTCTTTGCCCATGCCTATGTCCTGAATGATACTGTAAAGGCAATTTCTTTATTCCTGAATTAGTTTTTGAGTGCAAGATAATGTGTTTGTCACAATTTATATTTCTTCCAGAAAAACTTTTTATATTTAGGGAATATTCTTTCTTGTCATTTGTTTTTTCATCTCTTCTTTGTTTTTGTAGTCTTTGTGACTATCATGTATTAGTTTCCTATTGTTGTTGTTGTTCTGTCATTTTTTTAAAGGAGATGGGTTTTTCTTGTGTCATCTAATAAAGGAGCATTGCAGGCAAGGATAGATTCTCCATGCTTCAAAGTAGTGCATTTGGACACAGGGTGATATATCCATGAATCCTTTTAGCCTTTATGTCTTTCCAGACAACTGTGATTGGCAGCTGCCAGACTCTTCACAATACAGCCCCTTTCCTCCACCCTGGTTCTCTAACATCTTACTCATCACATTACTGTATCTGGATAGTTCCTTTGTTTGTTGGTTCTTCCTTGATTTATTTTACTGTCATACCATGTTCAGGACATATCTTTTTCATCATTCCAAATAATTATTGGTTTTATAAATCAGAATGGGATCTGTAATTTCAATTACAGAGTTCTGTTAGTTTCACTTGAGATCTGTAGCTGTAGCACTACTCGGCTTCCCACTGGGCCTTCAGTCTTCAATGTATTTGCCAGTCCTTTCTCATATATTGTGTTTTGAATTACAGACAATAGTTTTTATCTAAGACAAGTTTGGTTTTATCTAATACAGGTTTCTCTCTCTTTCTTTCTCTTTCTCTGTGCCACACACACACACACACACACAAACACAAACAATAAGATGAAAGGAAAAAGAAAGAAGTGAGATTTATTTTTATTCATTTTTTAAATGGAAACTCAAGTAACTCAAAGCTCACACTTGAACTTACTGTACATTACCAATGCCCCACTATTATTTTCCTAAGAATCTAGCATCTTAGATTCATTTTCATCACAACTGAGGCTTCAGGTATTCACAAAGTTGTTTTCTTCTACTTTATAAAGTACTAAGTGAGATGATATTTACTATGTTGTAAATGAGAAACAAGGTGAAAGATTTGGGCTTTAAGACAATTTTTTAAAGTTCTGTTAAGAGTCGTTACATATCTCCTTATGAATCATAAATTCACCCTCAATTACTACTGGTCACTTATGACCATGTGATATGCTTGGAGACTTCCTGAATCCCTGCTCTAAAAAGCTTGAGTGTATACACAACACATGTTTTCTATCTTTATTCAGTATGTCTTGACATCTCCTCATTTAGGAAATAGCTTCTTTCTTTCAAAAGTTTATCCTTTTTATTTTTTGCCCTAAAGGCAATCACCTTTTACTACTTCCTTATTCTCTTTTTCTCCTTCCCCTGTATCTTAGAAGCTTCCATCTCTGTTGAGCCTCCGATCAGCTTTTCAATGTTCCCTCTGGTCCCACCTACCAAAAAGTCTGCACTCACACCCCCAGCCCTTCAGTCAACTCTGCCATTCTGTTTTACTCTTTTCAAATAAACTAATTGAATAGCTAGGCAACTTAATGTTATTGTTTCTATTTTACTGATAAGAGATTGAGGTGATAAGATGTTAAGTGATCTAGACTTGTACTATAAGGCCATCTCTTAAGAGAAAATCATCTCCCTACAAAGATTTCCCTGTTACCTGCATAGCACTGATTGCCAAATGTACAAATATGGATTTGATTTATCACACTGCTAGAGAGTGCCAGGGTAGCTTTTATGGAATAATTTTCAAAGTGACATCTGAATTAACACCTAGGTAATGAGATCTGGAGCTACGAAGGTTCTACTGAAGAGAACAGAGGTAGGAATGAGCTTGGCCAACTAGAGGAACTGAAGGAAGGCCAGTGTAGTCCAAATGCAGTGAACCAAGGGAAGAGTAGGTAAAGATGAATTTATAAAGATGCAAAGGCCATATCTCTGAGGGCCAAGTGGGCCTTCATACAGGATGTGGACCTCCTTTTAAATTTAGTAGGAAGCAAGGTTTGCAGAGATCACTCTGGCTGCTCCGTGTAGACCAGTTTGGAGACTATACAATGACCCAAGTTAGACGGGGTGATAGTTTAGACTAGAGCAGTGATATGTACTATAGATGATCATATTTTGAAGGTACTTCAAGGTTCTTAGGCAAATGCTGTTTTATCAATATCTCTTGTTTTCCCTGATGTATGCTCTTAAATTGCACCCTTAGCTGAAGGAGTGATTTCTTGTGTGTGGTAACAATAACATCCTCCGTTTGTAGAATATTTTTTATTCTTCAAAGTTCTTGGACATTATTTGTGGCAAGGACAATACTGATCCATATTTTAGTCATAAAATATTTAAATATTAAAAGACAGTGTTAAATGAAGTTTTAAGGTTGACACCCAACCTATCAAATTTAAGAATTTGATAATATAGTTTGAGTCTGTGGATTAAAACAACATGATATAAAACTCTCCATTGAATAAACGTTGCTTCAAAGCTACTTTATGAAATTTAAGTGCGAGATCTGGGTAAAAGGACATGAGCTGCATTGACTGCTGAAGTAGGACTCAGGAGTGGAGTGGGTATGAAGTTGAAATGGAGGGGGATACCACTAGGAGTATAAGAAAGGACATTATCTGAGCCACAGATCAGCCAGACAGACAGGTCTACACAGACACAGCTGAAGGCCTCTGAGTGGGCTTCTGATATTAGGTACAAAAATTTAAAATATTTATTTTTGAAAGCAGCATTAAACACTAAACATGTTTTTGTGAGAAAAAAATAAGACAAAAATCCTCAGTGAAACTCAAACAGGAAAGGATCAAAGAATTCATAATTTAGACTCTATTTCCATTTAGTTTGTCATCTTTTCTCAAAAATTACATTTACCTCCTGGCATTCCACGAATAGAATATTGAGTTGGGTTAGCTTTTCAGGATCGGAAGTTTTGTGTGGAAGTGTCTGCAGTTTTTTTGGTTCTTCCCCATGATCTCTGATACTGCACATACAAAAATGGAATTTCAATCCCCATGATCTCTGATACTGCACATACAAAAATGGAATTTCAATCCTGGTTATTCTCCAGCTGTACCATAAACAACTCTGGTAGCAGAGGAAAAAAGCCTACACTCTAAGAAGGAGCCAGGTTTATGCCCTACACCCCTGTTTACATCATTGGCTGGCAGATAAAATGTATGCTGAGAGAACAGTCGTTAATTTAACAATTCAAACACTGCCATTCCAAGACATTTTTGCACTGTAGCTTTGCTATGGAACAAAGGCATAATGAATAACATTTGTTTTGGAAAGAGCTGTGGGGATGCGAATTCTTCCTTTATTCATTCAGTAAATAGTATTGTGTGGTCAACCCTGTACTGTTTGGATAGCGAGGTGGTAGAGTAGCAGGACAGAAGCAGCGCCTTTTGCACCATAGATAGACAATGAATACAGCATTAATGTCATGAAGTTCCCAGGTACAAGGTAAGCCACGCTTTATATAACCTAAACTTCTCTGAATATTGAGGATCCCCTAATACTTGCTCTTTCGTCTCTATACTCTTACAGATCATCTCTCATTACCATTTTATTTGTACTTTCTCTTCAGCAATGTTTAGCAAAGTGGTTTTGTTGTAAGTGGTATAATATGACATTGCAGAGAAGTGCAGCCAGGAGAGAGTGCTAATGGTTGCAATGAAGACATCTTATTGCAGTTGGTTAAAATTGTTCAAATTACCTGTTACTTGATAATATACCAAAGCTGGTATATTAATTTAAATTAATTAAAATCATCTGCCCAGCTTACTTTACCACAACTGTGTCTTATTCTGTCTTTTTACTGACACCTTGAATATGTGCAAGTTCTCCCCCTTTCTCATAGAACCAAGTATCTGTGACCATCTTTATCTCATGCCAAACTTATGAACACTGAAACAGTTCCCTGTAGTCATCCAAGCAGATTATGTTTTACCATGTGGGAAAGCTCTTTTATGAATAGGAGATGAGGTTTATTTTTCTCCCTACTAAAAGTATAACACACTCTTATTTTCTAAACAAAATATAATCTCCTTAAGTATATAGGTGAATTTGCAAGAAAATAAGGGAACTTTTTACAGGTCAAGCAACTAGTGAAAGTGGAAATGCAGAGAGACAAGCAAACAGCTGTCAACTGTTCTGGGGCAAATGCTGATCTCACAAGCCCAGATCTTCAGCTTTAGCAGCATGCAGGCTACTGGAGAAAAAAAAAAAAATCCTGCAACCTCCAGAAATGAGACTTTATAGTAGAGATCCCTGCAAAAAGTGGGACTTTTGGATCTATTCCACATTCAATTTTCCATATAATAGAAAAAGAGAAAACATTCTCCAAGTTATTTTATGAAACTGGTGTAACCTTAGTACCCAAATCAGATAAGGACAGTACGAAGCAGGAAAGTTGCAGACCATGTTCACTCATGAGTTTAAATAAAAAATTAATAAATGGAATATTAACATCCAACAATTGTATAAAAGACAATATATCATGACCAAGTTAAGTTAAATCCAGGCTTTCAAGTTTAACTTGACTTGCAGTCAGTGAGTAATGTACCAATCTACAGTAGCTGATTAAAGGAGAAAAATTATGTGATCATTTCAATAGATGAAAAGTCATTCAAGACTAAAAGTCCTTCATAATTTTTGAGAAAGAAATTCCAGTAAATTATATGGAAAATATCTTAACCCGATGAACTTATATAATAAAAACCTAAAGGAACAGTCATGCTTAACAGTAAAAAACTGAAATATTTACTTTAATTCCAGGGATGAGAAAATGTATCTATTATATCATCACCTCTGCTCAGTATTGTTTTGGAGATTCTAAGGAGCACCATAAAGCACACCAACATGGCACATGTATACATATGTAACAAACCTGTACGTTGTGCCCATGTACCCTAAAACTTAAAGTATAATAATAATTAAAAAGAAAAATTAAAGGTATAACATTTGGAAAATAGAAAACAAAACTTTCATTATTAGCAGATGATATGTTCTACATAGAAAATGCAAAAGAAACTTCAAACAAATTATTAGTTTTAATAAGTACATTTGGCTGGGCACAGTGGCTCACGCCTGTAATCCCAGCACTTTGGGAAGCCAAGGCAGGAAGATCACCTGAGGTCAGGAGATCGAGACCAGCCTGGCCAACATGGCAAAACCCCATCTCTACTAAAAATACAAAAATTAGCTGGGCACCTGTAATCCCAGCTAAGTGGGAGGCTAAGACAGGAATCACTTGAACCCAGGAGGCGGAGGTTGCAGTGAGCCAAGATCACACCACTGCACTACAGCCTGGGTGACAGAGTGAGACTCCATCTCAAAAAAAAAAAAAGAAAAATTAATAAGCACATTTAGAAAGACGCTGGATAGGTTTAATATACAAAACTCAATTGCATGATTACATTTTAAGCACATCTCTGTAAGGAGGCTTTGAGAATAATTGAGTTGTGGATGCAAACTTTTTCACATTTAAAACTTTGCCTGAAGTGCATCTTCTGGCTGTAAAAGGAACCTTTAAAAATAAAGCATCTGGGGGACATCAGATTAAGATGGAGGATAGGAGGCAGGACTGGCTTGCAGCTCCTGCTCAGACAGAGAGAGCAATATGTGAATACTCACATCATGAACTTTTGCTCCAAGAACTAGTGCAGGAACATACTAGGAAAGTCGAGAGAGTTCACAGACCCTCTGAAGGAACTGGATCACTGCTGCAGGCTCCCTGAGACACCAAAAATCTGTGTCTTTTTGCATTATCAACAAGGAGGCTCATGGTCTGAGGCAAGTCCTCAGCCCTGGTCACCAGCTGCCTGGAAATAGACTCGGTGCTGTTGGAGGGGTATGATGGGAGTGAGACAGGCCTTTAGGACTGCAGGCTGTGTGGGAGTGGGGTGAGGCTTGTGACTGCCAGCTTTTCCTCACTTCCCTGGAAACCTATATGGCTTAGCAGAAGCAGCCATAATCTCCCTGGGAATGTAACTCCATTGAACTGGGAACCACACCCCTATCCCACACAGCACATTCATCAAGCCCTGCCGAAGGAGGGGCTGAGCTCAGACATGCCTATCCCTACCTCCACCTGGTAGTCTTTCTCTACCTGCCCTGGTAGCCAAAGACAAAGCTCATGATCTCTTGGCCCTGCCCACCACCTGAGAAACCTGAATACTTAACCAGATGCCCCTAGGGGAAGTTTGCATCCTCCCTGTAGAACCACAGCTGATGTACTCTTGAAAACACCACCTCCTGGCTAGAGGCCAATCAATACAAAACCAGCATACTAAACAAAAACACAACCAAGGATCCTCACAGTGTCCACTTCACTCCCCTGCTACCTCCAGTGGAGCAGATGCTGGTATCAACAGCTGCAAGAGCTGAAAATGGATCATATCACAGGACACTTTGCTGACACTCCCCAGTACCAACCCAGAGCCTGGCAGCTCCACTGGGTGGGTAGACGCAGAATAACAAAAACAATCACTATAGTTTGGCTCTCAGGAAGCCCCTCTCCTAGGGGAAGTAGGAGAGCACCACATCAAGGGAGCACTCCGTGGGACAAAAGATCTGAACAGCAGCCTTTGAATCCCAGATCTTCCCTCTGACATAGTCCACCCAAATGAGAAGGAACTGGAAAAACAAGTGTGGTAATATGACAAAACAAGTTTCTTTAACACCCCCAAAAGATCATAAGCAGTTCACCTGTAATGGATCCAAATCAAGAAAAAAATCTCTGAATTGCCAGAAAAAGAATTCAGAAGGTTAATTGTGAAGAGAAAGGTGAAGTCTAACTTAAATCAAAAATGTGATACAGGATATAAAATGAAAAATCTTTAGTGAAACAAAAAGCATAAATAAAAAACAATTACAGCTTCTGGAAATCAAGAACACACTCAGAGGAATGCAAAATACACTGGAAACTCTCAGCAATAGAATCAAACAAGCAGAAGAAAGAACTTCAGAGCTCGAAGACAGGCTTTCCGAGTTAACCCAATCCATCAAAGACAAAGAAAAAAGATTTTTAAGAAATGAACAAAGCTTCCAAGAAGTTCAGGACTATGTTAAAAGTCCAAACCTAAGAATAATTGGTGTTTCCACAGAAAAAGAGAAATCTACAAGTTTGGAAAACATTTTTGAGGGAATAATTGAGGAAACCTTCCCCAGCCTTGCTAGAGAGCCACACATCCAAATATAAGAAGCTTCAATAAACCTGGGAAATTCATTGTAAAATGATTATCCCCTAGGCACATAGTCATCAGGTTATCTGAAGTCTAGACAAAGGAAAGAATCTTAAGAGTTGTGACGTAAAGCATCAGGTAACCTATAAAGGAAAATCTGTCATATTAACAGCAGATTTCTCAGCAGAGATCCTACAAGCTAGAAGAGATTGGAGTCCTATTTTTGACCTCCTTAAAAAAAACAATTATAAGCCAAGAATTGTGTATTCAGCAAAGCTAGGCTTCACAAATGAAAGAAAGATACAGTCTCTTCCAGACAAACAAATGCTGACAGAATTTGCCACTACCAAGACAGCACTACAAAGACTGTTAGAGGAGCTCTAAATCTTGAGATAAATCTTCTAAATAAACCAAAATAGAACCTACTTAAAGCACAAATCTCACAGGACCTATATAACAACACAATGAAAACAAAAACCAAGGTATTCAGTCAACAAATACTATGATGAATAGAATAGTATCACACATCTCAATAGTAACATTGAATGTAAATGGCCTAAATGTTCTACTTAAAAGATACAGAATGGCTGAATAGATGAAAATTTACTAAGTTTTTGCTATTTTCAGGAGACTGATAACAAATAAGGACTCATATAAACTTAAAGGGGTGGAAAAAGATATTCCATGCAAATGGACACCAAAAGTGACTAGGAGTAGCTATTCTTATATCAGACAAAACAAACTTTAAAGCAATAGCGGTTAAAAAAGACAAAGAGAGACATTATATGATGATAAAAGGACTAATCCAACAGGAAAATATCACAATTGTGAATATATGTGCACCTAACACTAGAACTCCCAAATTTATAAAACAATTACTTCTAGACCTAAGAAAGGAGAGAGACAGCAACATATTAGTAGGGGTCTTTAATACTCCACTGACAGCATTAGATGAGTCATCAAGACGGAAACTCAGCAAAGAAACAATGGACTTAAACTATACCCTACAACAAATGGTCTTAATAGATACTTGCAGAACTTTCTACCTAACAACTGCAGAATACACATTTTATTCATCAGCACATGGAACATTCTCCTGGATAGACCATATGACAGGCCACAGAACAAGTCTCAGTACATTTAAAACCATTGAAATTGTGTCAAGTACTCTCTCAGAACCCAGTGGAATAAAATAAAAAGAAAGGAACCCTCAAAACCGTGCAAATACGTGGAAATGAAATAACCTGCTCCTGAATGATCATTGGGTCAACAATGAAATCAAGATGGGAATTAAAAAATTCTTTGAACTGAACAGTAATAGTGACACAACCTATCAAAACCTCTGGGATACAGCAAAAGTGGTGCTAAGAGGAAAGTTCATATCATTAAATGCCAACATCAAGAGTCTGAAAGAGCACTCAGACAATCTAAGGTCACACCTCATGGAACTGGAGAAACAAGAGCAATCCAAACCCAAGCCCAGCAGAAGAAAATACATAACAAAGATCAGAGCAGAACTAAATGAAACTGAAACAAACAAACAAAAAATACAAAAGATAAATGAAACAAAAAGTTTGTTCTTTGAAAAGGTAAAATTGATTAACTGTTAGTGAGATTAACCAAGAAAAGAGAGAAGATCCAAATAGGCTCAGTTAGAAACGAAACGTGAGATATTATAACTGATACCACAGAAATACAAGATATTCAAGGCTACAATGAACACCTTTATGCACATAAACTAGAAAACCTAAAGGAGATGGATAAATTCCTGGAAATATACAACCCTCCTAGATTGAACCAGGAAGATATAGAATCTCTGAACAGACCAATAACAAGCAGCAAGATTAAAATGGTAATAAAAAAGTTGCCAACAACAAAAATGTCCAGACCAGAGAAATTAATAGCTGAATTCTATCAGACATCCAAAGAAGAATTGAAACCAATCCTATTGACACTATTCCAAAAGATGGAGAAAGAGGGAATCCTCCCTAAATCATTCTATGAAGCCAGTATCACTCTAGTACCAAAACCAGGACAGGACATATCAAAAAAAGAAAACTACAGACCAATACTCCTGATGAATATAGATGCAAAAATCGTCAACAAAATAATAGGGAATAAAATCTAACAGCATATCAAAAAGATAATCCACCAAGATCAAGTGGGTTTCATACCAGGAATGCAGGGATGGTTTAACATACTTAAGTCAATAAATATGATACGCCACATAAACAGAATTGAAAACAAAAGTCACATGATTATCTCAATAGACACAGAAAAAGCATTCGATGAAATCTAGGATCATTTTATGATTAAAATCCTCAGCAAAATTGTTATAGAAGGGACATATGTTAAGGTAATAAATCCATCTAGGACAAACCCACAGCCAACATTATACTAAATGGGGAAAAGTTGAAAGCATTTCCCCTGAGAACTGGAACAAGTCAAGAATGCTCACCCTCACTACTTCTATTCAATATAGTACTGAAAGTCCTAGCCAGAGAAATCAGACAAGAGAAGGAACTAAGGGGCATCCGAATTGGTAAAGAGGAATTCAAACTGTTACTATTTGCTGATGATGTGATTGTATACCTAGAAAACCCTAAAGACTCATCCAAAAAGCTTCTAGAACTGGTAAATGAATTCGGTGAAGTTTCAGGATATAAAATCAATGTACACAAATTGGTAGCTCTGCTATACACCAGCAATGAGCAAGCTGAGAATCAAATCAAGAACTCAACCCCTTTCACAGTAGCTGCAAAAAAAAATTAAATAAATTGTTAAGAATATACCTAACCAAGAAGGTGAAAGACCTCTGCAAGAAAAACTACAAAACCCTGCTGAAAGAAACCTTAGATGACACCAACAAATGGAAACACATCTCATGCTCATAGATGGATAGAATCAATATTGTGAAAAGGACCATACTGCCAAAAGCAATCTACAAATTCGATACAATTCCTATCAAAATGCTACCATCATTCATCACATAACTAGAAAAAACCATTGTAAGACTCATATGGAACCAAAAAAGAGACCTCATAGCCAAAGCAAGACAAAGCAAGAAGAACAAATATGGAGGCATCACATTACCCAAATTCAAACTATACTATAAGCCATAGTCACCAAAATAGCATAGTACTGGTATAAAAATTGGCACTAGACCAATGGAACAGAATAGAGAACCCAGAAATAAACCCAAATACTTAGAGCCAACTGATCTTCAACAAAGCAAACAAAAACATAAAGTGAGGGAAATCATCCCATTCAACAAATGGTACTGGGATAATTGGCAAGCCACATGTAGAAGAATGAAACTGGGTCCTTATCTCTCACCCTATATGAGAATGAACTGAAGATGGATCAAAGACTTAAATCTAAGACCTGAAACCATAAAGATTCTAGAAGATAACATTGGAAAAGCCCTTCTAGACATTAGCCTAGGCAAAGATTTCATGACCAAGAATCCAAAGGCAAATGCAATGAAAACAAAGATAAATAGATGGGACTTAATTAAACTAAAAAGCATCGGCACAGCAAAAGAAATAAACAGCAGAGTTAACAGACCATCAACAGAATGGGAGAAAATCTTTACAATCAATACATCCGACAAAGGACTAATATCCAGAGTTTACAGGAACTCGAACAATTCAGCAAGGAAAAAAATTTCTATCAAAAAATGGGCTAAGGACATAAATATACAATTCTCAAAGGAAGATATAAAAATGGCAAAAATAAAAAAGGCCAACAAGCATATGGAAAGATGCCCAACATCACTAACTGTCAGAGAAATGCAAATCAAAACCATAATGCAATACCATCTCACTGCTGCAAGAATGGCCATAATAAAAATATCAAAAAATAATAGATGTTGGTGGGGATGCAGTGAAAAGGGAACATTTTTACACTGTTGGTGGGAATGTAAACTAGTACAACCACTATGGAAAACAGTGTGAAGACTCCTTAAAGAACTAAAAGTAGATCTACTGTTGATCCAGCAATCCCACTACTAAGTGTCTATTCAGAAGAAAAGAAGTCACTATACCAAAAAGATACTTGTACACGCGTTTATAGCAGCACAATTTGCAATTGCAAAAATATAGAATCAGTCCAAATGCCCAACAATCATGAGTGGATAAAGAAAATGTAGTGTGTGTGTATATGTGTGTGTGTATATATATATATATATATACACACACACACACACATATATATGTATATATATATACACCTATATATATTTTATGACTGAGTAGTATTTCATTGTGTGTATTCGATATATTTTATGACTGAGTTGTATTCCATTGTGTGTATTTTATAAAATGGAATACTACTCAGTCATAATATATACATTTTCTTTATCCACTCGTGATTGATTGGCATTTATACATATATGTATATATACACACATATATACACATATACATATATATGTATATATACACATATATATGTATATATACACACACATATAGATATACACATGTGTATATGTCTGTGTATATATACGTGTATGTATATACACATACATATACACGTATATATACATATATACACAGACATATACACATGTGTATATGTATATGTGTGTGTATATACATATATGTATATGTGTATATATACACACACACACAATGGAATGCTACTCAGTCATAAAAAGGAACAAAATAATGGCATTTGCAACAACCTGGTTGGAATTGGAGACTATTACTCTAAGTGAAGTAACTCAGGAATGGAAAACCAAACATTGTATGTTCTCAGTCATATGTGGGAGCTAACCTATGAGGACACAAAGCCATAAGAATCATACACTGAACTTTGGGGACTCGGGAAAGGTTGGGGGTGTCAAGGGATAAAATACTACACATTGGGTACAGTGTACGCTGCTTGGGTGATGGGTGCACCAAAATCTCAGAAATCACGAAAGAACTTATTCATGTAACCAAACACCACTTGTTCCCAAAAACCTATTGACATAAAAAGATTAAAAATTGAAAAAAAAAAAAAAACCAAAACCACCTCAATTCCGTTTTTACATACTGTCAATAAAGATAAATATAATTCAATAAAAAAGAATTTGCGATATTAACAGTAGTATAAGGGCTGTAGGCATAAACTAGATTGTGGTTGATATTTATGCCATTTATGGAAAAAAATTAAAGATTAAACAAATGGAGATATTTACCATGTTTATAGATAGGATAACCAGATATAAAGTATCAAATTCTCTCTCAATTTGTCTACACGTTTAATGTGATTACAATTAAAATCTCAACAAATTGTTTTTATTCACTCAAGAAAGTTGTAAAACTTTTCTGCAAAACAAAGCAAAAATAGCTAAAATCTTAAGAAAAAGAACAAGGTAGAAGTACTTACTTTACCAGATAAGTAACTTATTTTTAAGCTAATGATTAAGACAGAGTCATGTTGAGGAAAGCAAAAGAATTATTATCACAAAATTCAGGATAGTAGTTAACTTTGGAGGAGAGGGAAAAAGAGAATATTTGGGAAAGTCGACAGTATTGGAAATCTTTTTTGAACTGAGTAGAAAATACATGAGTGATTTTTATTATTGCCATGCATATGTGACCTACATCATTACATATAAGTCATTTAATCATAAAACAGTTTCAATGTCATGTTAAAAATCATTTTAATTCTAAAATATGTTTTATTCTTTTAATATGTACCATCAGACTTCCGTAATCCCATAATTGGGAGATATTATAAGTAATGGTTTCCTAATCCTGACTGATAATCAGAGAACTGAAAGAGTTTTAAAAATATAGATTTTATGACTCCCTAACGGTCTGTTAAATCAGAATCTTGCTAAATCATATCTTGGGTCAGGGAATATGGTGAAAGAAAAAATGATTGGTAGTGTAGTACTCTGTTTTAAAAATCAAACATCCACTCCTCTCCCATTTGTTATTGTTTCTGTTTAATTCTCCTGGTGAGTCTAATGATCAACTAGTTAAGAGAACCACTGATTTTCTAGTTTCTCTTGTCCCCCAATGTAAGATTTTTCTTTCTGTGCTATCCTAAAAGACAATTTGTCTCAGCTTATGTATTTCTATAGGCGACAAGCTCATTAAGCAATTCTTCAACTAATATCAGGTTCTTATTGTTCAAAAGTGTTAATGGTAAAGAAAAATGAGCGAGATACTTTTTGTATAACTCTTAGCATCCCGCCTCATACCTGCCACACAGTAAAGGCTCTATAAATATTGGCTATTTTCATGTTTATTATAACCATAGTAATCGATGATGGGTCAAATCCTAGCTCTCTGTTATTTCCACCATTTAGCCCCAGTTCTGCTGTCTGGAGCAACAGAAAACAGGCCCCTTTTTTCTACCATGGGACTTGATGTTTAAAAGCATTGTCCTGTCATCTTTTAAGCTTCTCTACTTTTTGCAGAATTTATGAAGTTCTTATAAGTGTTCGAAGTATAAATTGAAAGGCAAACACCTCACTTTTCACAGCACACATCTCAGAGTTTATTGTAGGACACAACAGTAGTGTGTCTACAAAACTGGTTACCTGTGAGTTAATAAGGAAGTAATCCAGTCAGCTGAAATTACAGCTGGGCTTCTGAGATTTTAGGACTGCCATGGGATTACATTCAGCACATCTAAGCACACATTTCTCTAGCTGAACTAATAAGTTGTTACTTTGAAGAGATTAGGGTATAATTTAGTTTTAATCAAGGATTTCCTCTCTTTAAAAATAATATAATGAAATCAGTAATTTTATAGTATTAATGCATAAGAGATTGTGGATTTGTAGTAAATATTTAATCCTATAAAGAAATTGTTATTCCTGATGTTATGCACATCACAAAAACTCAGAAATTACCTTCCTAAAAATATTTATAGATGATTATTTTTGTTTTTCTTTTTGTCCTGTAACAGTTTCTCTCCCTTCTCTTTGCACTAGTCACTTACAACCCATTATCGCCTGCTTAACTGATCTTCTTAAGGTTCCTATCCCTCATCCTCCAATCAAGTCAAGTGATAATTTATAAAAATAAAAGTTTTGATAACAGAAAAGGTTTGGAGATTTTTTCCCATTGGAATTATTCTGAAATCAGCTCCACCTTCTTGAAGTAGTTCAGGGAGACTTAGCATTTCTTAAAGAAAATGGTTGACAACCGGAATATTAATTGTTTTGTTTTGACTTTTAAATGGCTAATGGTTATTACAGAATGAACCATTAATCAATGCACATACTATATAAGGATTCTATCACCTTGCTTCTGCTTCCTTAGACAAAACAGATCATCCTCACAGCTGGGCAGTAAACTAGGATCAGGTGAAGGAAATATCTGAAGGATATAGCTCTATCTAAACCAGACAGTAAATTGTATTAAAGATATTTGTGGCACTAGTCAGCAAGTACATTGTGAAAATGGGAGCCTCATCGCACTTCTAATAGATATACTAAGAGTGAATGTAAAGAGTCAACTCAGTGTGGTCAAGCAATCTTAGTCTAGAAAATTATAGCGAAGTGAAACTGTACGTCAACAGCTCTTGGCTTATGAAATTGCTCTGGCAAGAACACAATTCATGAATGTCAGATGTCTATAACTTTGGCTTGTGTTTAGATCGCCAAAAGAAAGCACTGTGCTGAGGTTGTTAAAATATAACCCATTCCTAATGGAAGATAAAACCCAAGGTACCCTAAGTAGCAAAAATACCGTGGGCCCTAAATAAAAGTTTGGATCTCACAGTAGCAGAGAGGAAGCATCCTCATGCAATGCATTGTACCAAGGTAAGGTAGCAGTGGCACTTTATTGATGATGATGATGATGATGATGGTGATGATGATGATGATGATGATAATTACAAGGATTTGAATGTTGGTTGTTCCGAACAAAACTCATGTTGAAATTTGATTCCTGATGTGGCAGTGTTGGGAGGTGGGATCCGGTGAGGGGTGTTTGCCATCATAAATAGATTAATGCTCTCCCTCAAGGTGAGGGAGTTCTTGCTTTCCTGAGAATGGATTAGTTTCAGAAAAAAGCTGGTTGTTAAAAATATTATAATTTTCTTATTTTCTTTCTCTCATGTCCTCAGTTGTCATGTGATCTCTTTGCACTCCTTTTTCATGTTCTGCCATGAGCAGGAGGAGCATGAGGCCCTCACCACACATAGCTGCCCAATGTTGAACTTAGGGGAGGGAGAGGAGGAGAAGAAACTGTGAAAGTAGAAATAAGCCTACTGGCATTTTACAATTAAGTTTTTGAGGGAATGGAATAATTCATCTACGTTAATTATCCAGATAACTGAAGTACCCATTAAAGATACATATAATGGGGATAATTTGGAGATAATTTTGATTAGATATTTTTCTAAAAATTTGTACATCTCTGACTTCTTAAACAATATTCAGAACACAATATATGTCTTTTCTTAAAATGACTCAATGCCTGTCATGAATATCATTCACTACTGTAGTGATCAAGAGAAGCACTCTGAAACCAGACTGGTTGGGTTCAAATGTAAGCTTTATATGTGTCAGTTGTGTGATTTTGGAACAAAATACTTAACATCTCTGTGTTTTAGTATGCTAATGTAGAAAATAAGCATAATAGTAGTTCCATTTCATAAGATTTATTGTATGGCTTTGTCTCAGGCTATTTTTAGTATAAAAGAATACTTAAACTGGAAAATTATTTTAAAGAAAGAGGTTTAATTGGCTTACAATTCTGAAAGCTGTACAAGAAGCATGGCACCAACACTTGCTCAGCTTCTGGTGAGGGCTTTGGGAAGTTTACAATCACAGTAGAAGGTGATGGGGAGCCAGCATGACACATGGTGAGAGCAGGAAAAAGATAGAAAGAGGAAAGAGGTGCCACATACTCTTAAACAACCAGCTCACATGAACTCAGAGCAAGAACTCACTTATCACCAAGGGGATGGTGCATTCATGAGGGATGACCCCCGCCCTGTGATACTAACACCTCCCACAAGGCCCCACCTCCAACACTGGAGATTACGTTTCACCATGAGATTTTGAGGGGTCCAATAGCCAAACCATAGCATGATTCAGTGAATTAATGTGCGTATGTAGCTATAACAGTACCTGCCAAATAATAAGGGCTGCATAAATGATTATTATTGAACATGTCAAAGTTGTTTACTCATTTATTCATTCCCGTAGGATTTATTGAGCAGCTACTATGTGCTAGGTGTTATTCAAGGCATTTGGTAATAAAGGCCCCTGCCCTCACAGAGCCTGAATTCTAAGTAGAAATGATAGATAATAAAATAAACCTAAGTACATTATGTGTATGATGTGTGTATGATGGTCATAAGAACTATGAAAATAAGAACTAAACCAGAATAAAGGGAATTGGAAGTGCTGAGGCAGGGTAAATTTTGGCAGGGAAGGAGCAGTATTAAATAGAATGGTAAGGTTATATAAGTCTCATTGAAAAGATGAGTTTTTAAAAATCTTATGTATCACATACAATAAATAGCCATAAACTATAGTACTTTTGAGGTAAAATAACTTTTTAGTTCTCTCACTTATATATTATTTTGCCCCCAATACATTTATGCTTATCCCATTTGTCAACACAGGCAAGCCAAAATGACGCAAGAACCCTTCCTCTGTGTGACGCAAGTCTCCAAAAGAGAAACATTAACTCCTTTATGCAAAGCAAGTCCATGGCTAACAAACCATGTCACCTAAACTTTGACTGCCTTGCCCTAGACTTTATCATGGCTCAGTGCTCCTGTCCTGAAAGGAAGTCTCTCTTGGGTACTACAAACTAGTCTTTTAGGCCCTCTGCTCCTCCTCCCACTCTACTGTGAATGTTCAGCTATATGGAGATTTAAGCACCTGAGGAGGGAGGATTTCAGAGTAGAACTGGAAGCACGATGGGGTAAATGTCTTAGAAACCCAAAGAAGGGAAAAGGGCTCTTGTATTTGAAGTTCTGTATTAACTTTATTTGATATTTGCGAGGAGAGTATAAGCAACTTGCAACCACGATTCTATACTCCAGTTATAAACTAACCCAAATGGTCTAGGGATTCAGGCATAGAGTGAAGTGTATCCTGAACTGACCCTTTACATTTTAGTGTTTTCTTTTTGGTTTTTTGTTTTTTTTTGAGACAGGGTCTCACTCTGTCACTCAGGGCTGGAGTACAGCTGCACAATCACGGCTCACTGCAGACTGGAACACCCAGGCTCAGATGATCCTCCCTCCTCAATCTCCTGAATAGCTGGACTACAGGCACAGGCCACCATCTCTAGCTAACTTTCTGTGTTTTTTTGTAGAGACAGGATTTTGCCATATTGCCAAGGCTGGTCTTGAACTCCTGGGCTCAAACAGTCGGCCCACCCTGGCCTCCCAAAGTGCTGAGATTACAGGTGTGAGCCACCACACCAGGCCTACATTTTATATAAATGTTTTATGTGTACAAATATCTAGAAGGTTCTACCTCTTAATATCGGCTAAACAACGATTACACATTTTGATTTTAATGTCAACATGATCCAACAAACTAGTGCAACTTCTTTAGAATTGGGATAGTCAATTTATCTATTAGGTTGAAATAAATAAGATAAAATGAGATAATACAGGCAAAAAGTATCTGGTAGATGTTAACATATTTTATTTAAGGTGTGTGTAAGACACTGTTTCATAACTACTGAATATTTTTGAATCAATTTTCTCTAACTATATTAACTTTGAACAAATTATTTAACTGCTGTGAAACACAATTTCCTCCTCTATATGTTAGAAATAATTCCTACTTGAAAAGTTATTGTCAGAGTTACAAAGAATACTCATGAAGAATCTCGTATGCTACCTGACATATAGTTGTTGTTCCAGAAATGAAATAAATATTTATTATATTATGCAAAGAAAACTTACTATATATAAAATATATATATATATAGTTAACTGCATTAATATATATATATATATATGGTCTAACAAAACCAGTGTTAATTTTTCTTGTTTGTTATTTAGAGTTATTTCTATATTAGCTCTCTAAATCAGTTACTTTGTCACTAATTAGATGATTAATGTTCCCATATAACAAGCATGGTCATAAATGAGGATTGTGTGGCACAAAATATTTATTTTTGTACTGAAATGCAATGCTATGTCAAAATTACTTCATGATGAGAGATTCAAGCATTTATTATAAAAATCTCTTCCTTTTTGAACCATTGGATATAGTTTTATATATTTTGGTTATATGAAATTCAATTATTTATAATTCCATGCATTTATGCGTCATCACATGTCTCTTTATATGTTTATATGTCTCTTTAAGGTCAAGAATAAACTTATTTTATGTTCTCTACTTTAAGAACTATGAATTTCTGATATTTTACCCTACTTAAAAGCTGACTAGTTAGTCTGCCACAGTTGCATGGATGCTGGCAGAAAATACCATAATCCTGATACAAAGGTCAGAGACAAAGGATTTTGTTATTCATGGCAAAGCAGACAGCATTGGCTTCTTGTTTGCAATGGTTTCCCTTGTCCCAGTTCCCACAGGATGACTTGGAGGTGGGCCTTTGTGGATGCAGGACACGCGGTGGACTTAAGCAAGTCAAGCCAAACTTTGCTTCACGGGGAGACATTATATTTATTACACTGATCAGCAAACAAATCTGTACTCTATTCCACAGGAGTAGATGCTACAAAAGGCAGTCAGAGCCTCTACTAGCAAGACGTAAAGAAATGCAGGGCATTCATGAAGAATTGTCTGGCAGCACTCTATAGCACTTAGTAGGCTAGGTATCATAGTAGAAACTCAGTGAATGCTGAAGTAAATTAATTTGACCAGGGAATCATTTCAAAGGAGCACTGAATTGAAGTCATCACTGTAAATTACGCAGCTATTTATGTGAACTTCTATGCTGGCTTCCCTTTCAACTGAAGTTCTAAGAAAGATACTGATTTTAAAGAACTCAAATATTTCTATAAATGTTATGTAGAATGATGCTAAGGGTCCATGGCAATCAAAGATAGAGATAAAGGGGAATGAAAATTCAATTAGTGAAGTGACAAATTATAGGAGTTCCTTACTGGGATATTAGCAAGAGTTATGATTAGTTGTGTGCTGGTAAATGTTTAATACTTGTAGGTTTTATTCAAGTAGGAAAAAAAAGTCCTACTTGGTAGCATTTGCCTTTTTTCCTAGTATCAAGTTATCCTACTATGACCAGTTTCAAGCTATCAATGTGATTATCTCTGAATGCGGAGTTAGGGAAATATGTCTACAGTTTGCTCTTCATCTAGAACCGTGGGCTAGCTCCAGTGCACCACTGGTTGTGGTGTACAAAGTGGAAGTAATAACACCAAAAGTTCACTCCCCAACAAAGCTCCATCCTTTGTCCCAGTGTTCCCCATCAATATGAACAGTGTCAGGTGCAGTGCTAGTGGGATTTCATGGGATATCCATATTTGGCAGATCTAACATTCATTGCTTAGTCTACAGAAGAATCAAAGGAAATGAGCTTGTATGACAACTCTCAACCCTGTGAGCAGGACTGAGGTCAGGATGCAGCGTTATTTTTCAACCCTTCCAATGCTATCATTATTGATGCCAAAGTCTTCTCCTCCCTCTTACATTGTCCCTGGGTTGTAAGGTAAGAAACAGGAGATTCCGTTTTGCTGGCTTATTCACTCCCACGACCCATTTATTTTATATGGGGTCCTAATTGTCAGTAGCTCAGATGCTTTAGCTTACACAAGGAGGCTAAGTGACCAAGTTATGAACACTAACATATTTTGGGACCAGCACTTGCTGACTGGTACAACATTGCTACCTTTGTTCCATTATCATAGTGCTTGAAGTTTACAAACAAACTTGACATGTTCTCTTTACCTCATTTCCCAAGGTGAAATAATCACAAAATGGTAAGTAGCTAAGCTTTCATCATGCCAAACTGCTGAGGAGAGATCCATGGGAGAGGTGTTATGGACAAACACCAAGCAGGCATGCGCCCAAAGGAAAAATTCAGGTAGATGTTTGTATCATTTTTATGTTACTATTTTCAGAAACATGCCTGATTTTAAGTGACTCTACTTACATTCTACTGTTCAGATGATTCTTATCTAAGTCCAGAGAATCATATACAGTCACTGGAAACAGCTCCCACATCAATGTATATTGAAAAATGACTGTTAAATTATGTACACAATACCGTGCTCCTTGTGGGATCTGGGAAGAATAAAAAAATATGTACACAATACCGTGCTCCTTGTGGGATCTGGGAAGAATAAACAAAGTCTTCTTTTGCTTCTCCAGCCAGCACAACCAAATATCCCAAATCTACATAGTTTTTCTCCCTTCTTCTCCCTCAACCTCAATTAGATCTATGTCTGTTTGTTTGTTTTAACTACTGGATTTAAAAAGTGCTTCCAGAATACAGTACTAGTTTGACAGTCGCTAGCAGAGTTGATTACACATTAAACTAAACATAGATGGATATGTCCTCTTTCAGACAGCTAAAATTACCTTTTGGTTGGGTGTCTGTTTTGGAAAGCTCAATTTCAGTTCCAGCAACTGTACACCTGAAAATGCAAGGCATACCCATTAGGAACAAACAGTACTTTTTCTCTATTTAAACCCTGATGGCCTTGAGGAGGCAAACTGCCACTATGCTAAGCACAGTAAGAACAACATTTTGGATTAGAGACATAATGAATCTATTTGTTTTTCAATTTTTAGAGAATCATACCGGTTAGAATAATAACCTTTGCTTCAAACCCCGAGGCAGAAAAGAAAACTTGGACAATCTTCTAATTTCTAATTACTCAAGACCTTCAAATGTGTGTCTATATGCTTGTTTTTGCTTTAGTAAGAAGTGTTTTAAAAGATGAATATTCCACAATGTTTACATATATTGAAGCATTAGGTTATACCCTATAAATATATATAATTATTATTTGCCACTTTAAAACTTTTAAAAATGAAAAGAATTCTTTCATTCATTAATTTCATTACTTATTTATTAAGTATTTAATATGTGTAAAATCCTATACTAAATACTAGAGAGGAAAAGTATATTTTATATAGTTCCTATTTTGGAAGGGTTTTTAATCTAGTGAAAGTCAAACATGTGCAGACAGCTTTAGCACAATTTTTAATGTGTATTATAAAAGGAATAAATGTAGTGCAATGGTAGCATGGTGAAATGGGTTCTCAACTAATTGATAGTTACTTAGGAACATGCAGTTAAGTCTTGTTAACTTTGTAAGCTTCTAATCATTTGCACAATCCTGGGAAATTACCCCTCTGGGTACATTCATGGGTTGCAGGCAAATTATTTTTACATGGAGAACATACATTTATTCTTGACCTTAAAGACGCAAGTTGTTGAAGAGATGTGTGATGATGTGTAAGTGCATGTAAGCATAAAGCACTGAATTGCATGTAACCAAAAATAGATAAAGCTATATCAAGCAGTTCAAAAGGGGAAAGATTTCTTATTTTGTAGCAGATAGGTAGATTGGGGAAGACATTTTGCAACTTGCCAACCTAACAGGTAGTATTGCTGGAAACTTTCAGAGGTGAGGGAATTTTCTCTAATCCAATGGCACCAGAAGTTTACCAGCCAAAGGCATTGAGATCACATATCCAAGGAGGCAAAGGCACAGACGGAGCTACCAAGGGAGAGAAATAACACATTGCAAATTGATGGTCAGAGAAACTTTTAAAAATTGACACTACAAATTATTATATCTTATCCTTGCCTGTGTGGATCAATTGGAATCCCTCCAATACCCATTCCCTAATTGGCAGTTCATTAAAACAGTACCTGATGTACAGTTGTTGCTTTTTTAAAAATTATATTTTAATTATACCCTAAAAATTCCATAATTTCTTTTAAAATAATGAGACAACAACGGAATAACAAACAACCAGAGCTTGGCTCTAGTTGTCTGTGAATAGGCTACTTCCTGATGAGATACACAGCCCAGGAGTTTTCTTTATTCTTTTCTTTCGCTAGTCTTTAAAATGAGCAGGACCTGAAAGGGCATTCTTGGTACTGTCTATCAAAGCTAAACTACTCGGTGAGATGTGTCTTTAGTCTGAGCTAAAGTCTGAGTTATGTTTTTCGTTGCAGTCAGCTTTGAACTGTGAAACTATATAAGAGGATGCAAGAAACATTGTCTAATAATAAGAGGGGTGGGCTGTGAAAGTCTGACAACCACTTAATAGTGTTAGTAGTCTCTGCTGTCAGGTACTGCTAATTTTCATTAGTGATAGAAGAGGGATTATTAAACATTTTAGGGTTTATATATGCAGCATACTTCTAAAGGATAGTGTGATTAAAAGGAATAAAGCGTTTCAGCTTTAAGAAATGTAGTTTCTTTGCTGTTGGAGATTTGATTCTACTTAATGACTTTAAAGTAAGCTATTAAGAAGTTGGTCTTTCATTAATTATGAATGATCATACTTTTAAAAACTATGTGTAAATGGCTGCTGAGATTTTCCTGAGATTACTACAAAAATTAGCTTCAAATCAAGGAACATTAATGCACACGATTTCATATTTACTACAGCTTTGAACCACAGAAGTGTGACTTAGATGTTTAAAAGCTAACACCCTAAATTGAGACCCTAAATAGCATGAATTTTAATTAAAGGGATTTTTTTTCAAAAAAATAGTGGATGCTATTATTATGAGAAAGTTTTGGGGCTGCATTTTTTGTTTTCTGTTCTGTAGCATGTAATAATGTCTGAGGCTAATTTAGGTACACAGAACATTATGGAGGGAGTAAGGTTTTTGGTATAGGTAATTGCAAGCTCTAGAAAAGTCTGTATTTTCTATTTGACAAACAATGTGTAAAGAAAATGAGTCCTAGAAGGTACATATTGTAATTGAGTTGTTAAAAGTTAATCCCTGACACTGACATTGTTCCCAAGCCTACCATTGAGAAAACCTTCAGGAGACTGTTGAAAGCTGCATTTAGGCTTTTTTACTTCCTCAACTCATTATACCAAAAACCTAGGACCATTTGGTTATTTGTTTTTCTCTGAAAAATATTTTTCATTACTGGAAATACAATTTGAAATTCCCTCTCTCATCAGGATAGTGTATCATTCATGTCGTCTCCCACTCTTTGAAAACTTTAAAAAATGGCATTAGCTTTAAAAAATAATGTAAAGGTGAATAATGAGGTAGTCACCACTTCTGAAACCATGTTTCAAAGGAACAAAGGTTTGAAAGAAAGCCTGCCTAAAGTGTTAAGGAGCATTATTGAGCTTTAATAGGTCAAATGCACAAGAAAAGAGAAAGTAATTTAGTAGAATACAAAGCCTCTCCTTGACAGTGAGGCCATCTTATCTTTAAAATATTATGGCAGTTTGAATTGGGACTTTTACCAGAGTTCATGAAGTGGCATGGAGGGATTGAGAAAAATAGTGGTGAAATTACCTCAGTCAAGACTCTCATTAAGAAGCCCATTAAGGAATCCAGGATTATTTCAACAATCTTTGAGACCACTTCTCTGTCTCCTTTATTTGTCCTCCAATCCATCATGAAAAGCACTGCCAGACTAGTCTTCTTAAAACATCATTTTAATCATGTCCGTTTCATGGCTAAATACCTACAGAAGATAGATGCAGCCATTTTGTCCAACATAAATTGAAACTGGGATAAGCTGGAGATGGGGAAAGTGGTTATTAGAAAGTCAACAAAAAGAGTTCCAGGCATAACACAATAAAATTCACAACAAATGTACATGGTGATCCAAATATAAAGATGCAAATGAGAGAGGATGTGAGGATGAGAGACAGTGAGTGTGTACATGAAGGAAAGTGGACAAGATTGGATATCTCTTGGATACTAGAGGCAAAGGAGGGGTAAAGGACAGGACTGCAGCGAAAGCCTGGAGCCCCGATTATGTCTAGCTTGCTGCCAATAATCTGGGTATCTTGCACAAGCATTTATTTTCTTCGCAGCTCATTTTCCACATCCTTAAAATACAAAAATATTGGAATATAGCATTTTTTAGGTTGCTTCAATTCTATAACTCAGATTAGCTGTTATTTAGTATTTTAAACCTCTTTGTGAAATTGATGGTAATACACAAAACAGAGACGAGGAAACAGCTAAAAAATGTCAGGGAAAATAATTGGTTCTGGAATGGATATATTGTCTTGAAATTGCTGGCATGTTTGTGAAACTATGTGAAAACTTTTAAAAAATCGTTTATTGACAGCCAGTGTGTTCCAGGCACTCAGCAGAACAGACATACTCCTTCCCTACTTCAATGGAGTCACTTCCTATACAAATTTACTAGAGAGAAAGCAAGAGAGGGCAAATATGACACAGAGAGAAATAAAGGAAAACATTTAAAAATGATGGGCAATTCAACATGCCACTTAGTTCAGTATTTTATTAATACATGCCCAGAGTGAGCGAGATGAAAGACATTAATATTCTATGCCCTATTTAAGTTTCATTTTTCCCTTGCCTCACAAGCGTGAACATTGTTGTTCCGCTGAGGGTAATTTTATATATTTTTCATGCAACCATGATCTCTGAACTTAAGCCAGTTACATCATCTTATGTTCAACCAAGGGATGAGTGATCATGACAACACAAGAACTATAGCCATACTGGTCTTACTGTGAGATGGCATGTTGGTTTCTAATGTGGTTCCCTCCAAAGAGATCATCAGGTTACTTTAGAGTACTATGTGTTGTTTCCAATAAAGAAAATCATTCTGCTTTACAGCAACAGTTAAGGTATCTAGGAGTTAATGGAGAGAAGATGTGAGAGTCTGGAACAATTAGTACTGAGGAGGAGCTTTATTCTTTGAAGTTTATTTCCATTTTGAGATGGGGCTTAGAAAGATATTTGAGAGGATCAAAGTAGTGTTTTTCAGATATTAGGGTTCATAGAAAAATGAACTTGGTGGAGTCATCTGTGAGACTCTTGTCTGATGTGAAATTAAATAACTGGGACTAGGATTGTGGATAAGGGCAAGGCAAGGAAGTAGCTCAACCAGGATGTGGCATCATCAGAGCTAAGGTGCCAACCAAGGATCAGTAGAGGAAAGAAAGTCTGGAACAAAGCGTAGTCAGAAGAGGAAATTAACAGAGCCAAAAATACAATAGGGGGTATGATCAGAACTTTGTCGACCTGCCCTTCTATTCTTTTAACTCTCTATGCAGATAGGTACCTACAAGTTCATGTCTGCCAGAGGCTCTTTCATTAATCTGTTCCTTAGTTTGGATGATTGTAAATACCACAGGGCAGCAGGTGGGCCAGCACACATTCAATCAACTTTAATTTTGTTTCTGTCTACACAAGTCTCTGATCAAATAATTGCTACCAGTAATACATAATCTACTTATCTGTATTATCTCCATCAGTGCTCCCAAAGATGCTTTAAGGCAAGTAATTTTTTTCATTTTCCGCAGTAGATAGATTCATAGAGGATAAAAAATACTTACTGGCCTAGGAAATTTCAGGCTCTTATCTTCTTCCCTATGACTTAAGTTCTTGCTGACTAACCCTCTTTAGTGTGAGGTCTCTGACTTCTGCCAGGTCCGTAGGCTTCCATCTTGCTCTTTCCAGGCATCATTTCTGGGACAAAAATCTAAATTTTAAAACAGAACCATGGACTACTTAATGTCACATCCCTCTAATGTCAAGACCTATTCACCTGAACCTCAACTTTTCATTCATCCTTGCTACATGCCAGAACTAGTTCTAGGAAAGTAGAGATGAGTAATATCATTTTATTGATTTTTAAAAAATTTGTATTATAGTGGAGACATTCCCTGTGAACAAACAAAATGCAGTTTTATAGGGGATATGACAGAAGACTTAAAACAATTGTTCTCAGACATTTTTCTGCTCCAGTTCAACCAAAAAGTAGGACATCCTCCTGTCAGTAACAAGTGTTTACCTTTCAACCCACACATGTGCTGGCAACACATTTGAGGGAAAACAGACATAATTTTCTCCTCCTCTTTCTCCCCTCATTCCCCATCTGTTTCCACTGAGAAATCCTGAAGTTAAGGGTTACAGAGATAGGGAAGAGGGTTACCTGGGGATAGGGAGGAGATACTTATGGATCAGTGAGTGTGATATTACTGTCTTACTTGAATGGTAAGTAGGTGTTAGCATTTGCTACTCAGTGAGGAGGCCAGTACCAGTAGAGGGAATGGTGGAGTAAAAACAGAGAAGTGTGGAATAGTATGATGCCTCCCAAAAACCTACAAGGAGTTCAGGATGGCTGGAACAATGAAGCTCAAAGACAGAAGTTGAAAGAGATGAGCTATGAGGGGGCAATTAAGCCTCACTGGGATGTAAAGGGGTTTGTTCTATATCCTGTAAGCAATCAGGGATACTGAATATAAAAATGACATGCTTAGATTTTGTGTTATGGAAAAATCACTCTGTTGGCAATCCAAAAAATGGGCTGGAGAAAAGCTGGGCCATTAGGTCAGAATGCAAGAAGTGGAATAGGGCACTATTGATGAGGAGCTTCAGGAGGGGGACAGATGGCAAAACATCCTATTGTAACAATTCTACAACATACATTTTTAATACATTATAAAAAATAGAAATGCATCTTAATGGGACGTAAAGGACCTCTTCAAGGAGAACTACAAACCACTGCTCAATGAAATAAAAGAGGATACAAACAAATGGAAGAACATTCCATGCTCATGGGTAGGAAGAATCAATATCGTGAAAATGGCCATACTGCCCAAGGTAATTTATAGATTCAATGCCATCCCCATCAAGCTACCAATGACTTTCTTCACAGAATTTGAAAAAACTACTTTAAAGTTCATATGGAACCAAAAAAGAGACCGCATTGCCAAGTCAATCCTAAGCCAAAAGAACAAAGCTGGAGGCATCACGCTACCTGACTTCAAACTATACTACAAGGCTACAGTAACCAAAACAGCATGGTACTGGTACCAAAACAGAGATATAGATCAATGGAACAGAACAGAGCCCTCAGAAATAATGCCACATATCTACAACTATCTGATCTTTGACAAACCTGACAAAAACAAGCAATGGGGAAAGGATTCCCTATTTAATAAATGGTGCTGGGAAAACTGGCCAGCCATATGTAGAAAGCTGAAACTGGATCCCTTTCTTACACCTTCTACAAAAATTAATTCAAGATGGATTAAAGACTTAAATGTTAGACCTAAAACCATAAAAACCCTAGAAGCAAACCTAGGCATTACCATTCAGGACATAGGCATGGGCAAGGACTTCATGTCTAAAACACCAAAAGCAATGGCAACAAAAGCCAAAATTGACAAATGGGATCTAATTAAACTAAAGAGCTTCTGCACAGCAAAAGAAACTACCATCAGAGTGAACAGGCAACCTACAAAATGGGAGAAAATTTTCGCAACCTACTCATCTGTCAAAGGGCTAATATCCAGAATCTACAATGAACTCAAACAAATTTACAAGAAAAAAACAACCCCATCAAAAAGTGGGCAAAGGATATGAACAGACACTTCTCAAAAGAAGACATTTATGCAGCCAAAAGACACATGAAAAAATGCTCATCATCACTGGCCATCAGAGAAATGCAAATCAAAACCACAGTGAGATACCAACTCACACCAGTTAGAATGGCAATCATTAAAAAGTCAGGAAACAACAGGTGCTGGAGAGGATGTGGAGAAATAGGAACACTTTTACACCGTTGGTGGGACTGTAAACTAGTTCAACCATTGTGGAAGTCAGTGTGGCGATTCCTCAGGGATCTAGAACTACAAATACCATTTGACCCAGCCATCCCATTACTGGGTATATACCCAAAGGACTATAAATCATGCTGCTATAAAGACACATGCACATGTATGTTTACTGCGGCACTATTCACAATAGCAAAGACTTGGAACCAACCCAAATGTCTAACAATGATAGACTGGATTAAGAAAATGTGGCACATATACACCATGGAATACTATGCAGCCATAAAAAATGATGAGTTCATGTCCTTTGTAGGGACATGGATGAAATTGGAAATCATCATTCTCAGTAAACTATGGCAAGGACAAGGAACCAAACAGCGCATGTTCTCACTCATAGATGGGAATTGAACAATGAGAACACATGGACACAGGAAGGGGAACATCACACTCTGGGGACTGTTGTGGGGTAGGGGGAGGGGGGAGGGATAGCATTAGGAGATACACCTAATGCTAAATGACGAGTTAATGGGTGCAGCACACCAGCATGGCACATGTATACATATGTAACTAACCTGCACATTGTGTACATGTACCCTAAAACTTAAAGTATAATAATAATAAAAATAAAAAAAATTAAAAAAATGCATCTTAATAACTGATGGTTTATTAAAAATATTGGTAGCCAAGCAAATGTTGTGAGTTTCATTGCCTGCACACTTGTAAATGTAGTTAAAAGTACACTGGGAAAGAATCACTTTTTGACTGTTTTAGTGGTGGCATTGCTAAACAACTGCAATGTCTTATTGTTTCATTAAAAAAATAAGGATAATTAGGGGAAGGGTAGGAGGCTTGTTTGCCTGTTTTGGTGCTTTTGGTAAGATTGAGAACCTATCAACATCAAAACCTGTAGCATAGTGGTTTGCTACTTGGGATGAAAAAGACAATAATGGTGTATTATTTTATGTAATACTAAACCACAGATGCTCTTGCTGGCTTAGAGGACAATATTTTGGAAAACGTCCCACACGTTGACAATTCTGATGAAGTCTAATTCCAAAGATTTAGACTCTGAATCAGAAGTTTAAGAAATAAGTTAACAATTTATTTTGTGTATATTTTCCCTTCATGTATTGACAAAAATGGTAGATAAATAACAAAAGTCTATGTCATACATAGATTTTTCGTGTCAGTTTATGAGGGACCTAAATTTAAATTCTAATTGCTAAGAAGGCATAGTGTCATAATTTAATTATTTTTTTCACAATGTTGTATAAAATAATGAAGAGAGATGGTGTTATAGCTCTGATGAAATATGAAATCAAAAAATCGTTAGGATAAATTGTATGTGGAAAGTGAATCACCAATTGTACAAACATAAATATTCATTCAGTGTTGACAATAATTGAAAAGAGAAGGGAGGATAACACACTCTGAATGGCTAATATTTAGCAGGTGGAAATTATATGGAGTCTATAATAGTCATCAGGAAAATTATATTATATATATAAAATACATAACGTTAGGCAAAAATGCAAATAGGTTTTCATAGGTTATCATCAAATAACTAACTAAATAAAAAGAGTTGTTTGTAAAAGTCTAACAGAATAAAGTTGTATTAAAGAAGAGGGATTTAGAATGATTGGTTATCTTATACCTTGCTTTAATGTTCCATAATGCTAAAAAAAATAAGATTAATCACATAGCCCTATCGAACAATTGTTTTGGCAACACAGAAATAAACAGAAACACTGCATTTTCTCAGACCCACAGTCTTCAATTAATTCAAGAACTCCTTCAGATACAGAGTATACAAATTTTCTGATTTGTAATAGAAAATAGCCAGTCTGTGAATATTAGCTAAATAACTATCAACTGTCCTCTTGTGGAATGGCAAACTGTTGTCCCAAAATCAGAAAGATTTTTATTTGAAAAATTTGCTTGATAGTTTTTTGGGAATTTTTGTTTTATTTTAAATTTTAAATTTTTGTGAGTACATAGTAGGTATAGATATTCACAAGATACATGACATATTTTGATACAGGCATACAATGCATAATAATCACATCAGGGTAAATGGGATATCCATCAACTCAAGAATGTATGCTTTCTTTGTGTTACAAACAATTCGATCATACTATATTAGTTATTTTTAAATGTACAATAAATTATTGTTGACTGTAGTAATATGAAATACAAGATTTTATCCATTCTATCCATTATATTTTTGTACCCATTAACCATTCCCCCAACCCTCCTCCACCCACCCCTACCCTTCCCAGCCTCTGATAACCATCATTCTATTCCCTGTCTCCATGAGTACAATTGTTTTGATTTTTAGCTCCTACCAGTAAGTGAGCGTATGCAGTTTGTCTTTCTGTGCCTGGTTTATTTCACATAAAAGAATGACCTCCAGTTCCATCTATGTTGTTGCAAATGACAAGATCTCATTTGTTTTTATGGCTGAATAGTACTTCATTGTGTATAGGTACACATTTTCTTTATTCATCTGATGATGGACATTTAGGTTGCTCCTAAGTCTTGGCTATTGTGAACAGTGCTGCAATAAACATGAGAGAGCAGGTATCTCTTCAGTATACTGATTTCCTTTCCTTTGGGTATATACCTAGCAGTGAGATTGCTGGGTCATATGGTAGTTCTATTTTCAGTTTTTGAGGAACCTCCAAACTGATCTCCATAGTGCTTGTGCTAATTTACAATCCCACCATCAGTGAACAAGGATTCCCTTCTCTCTATATCCTTGCCAGCATTCATTTTGCCTGGTATTTGGATAAAAGCCATTTTTTACTGGGTTGAGGTGATATCACATTGTAATTTTGATTTGCATTTCTCTGATAAACAGTGATGTTTGAGCACATTTTCATATACCTTCTTGCCATTTGTATGTCTTCATTGAGAAATGTCTATTCAGATATTTTGCCCATTTTTAATCAGATTATTAGATTTTTTTCTATAGAGTTGTTTGGGCTCCCTATGTGTATTCTGGTTATTAATCTCTTGTCGCATGGATAGATTGCAAATATTTTCTCCCATTATGTGGGTTGTCTCTTCACGTTGTTGATTGTTTCCTTTGCTGTGCAGAAGCTTTTAAAGTTGATGTGATCCCATTTGTCCATTTTTGCTTTGGTTGCCTGTACTTATGGGATATTACTCAAGAAATCTTTGCCCAGACCAATGTCCTTGAGAGTTTCCCACATTTTCTTCTAGTAGTTTTATAGCTTCTGGTCTTAGATTTAAGTCTTTAATCCATTTTTATTTGATTTTCGTATACGGTGAGGGATAGGAGTCTAGTTTTATTCTTCTGTTTATGGATATCTAGTTTTTCTAGCACCATTTATTGAAGAGGACTATCATTTCCCAATGTGTTTTTTGGCACATTTGTTGAAAATGAATTCACTGTTGATATATGGATTTGTTTCTGGGTTCTCTATTCTGTTTCATTGGTCTGTGTGTCTGTTTTTAGGCCAGTGCCATGCTATTTTGGTTACTGTAGCTCTGTAGAATAATTGGAAGTCAGATAAGGTGATTCTTTAAGTTTTGTGTTTTTTTGTTGTTTGTATGTTTTGTTTTTGTTTTTGTTTTTGTTTTTGCTCAGGATAGCTTTGCTTATCCTGAGTCTTTTGCAATTCCATTTAAATTTTAGGATTTTTTATTCTTTTTCTGTGAAGAAGGGCATTAGTATTTTGATAGGGATTGTATTAAATCTGTAGATTGCTTTGGGTAGGTAGTATGGGCATTTTAACAATATTAGTTCCTCCAGTCTATGAACATGGAATATTTTTCTGTTTTTTGGTGTTCTCTTCAATTTCTTGCATCAATGTTTTGTAGTTTTCATTATAAAGATCTTTCACTTATTTGATTAAGTTAATTTGTAGGGTTTTATTTTATTTGTAACTATTGTAAATGAGGTTACTTTCTTGATTTTGTTTTCATATTGTTTGCTGATGGCATATAAAAATGCTACTGATTTTTGTATGTTGATTTTGTATCCTGCAACTTTACTAAATTTGTTGATCAATTCTAACAGTTTTTTGGTGGAGGCTTTCGGTTTTTCCAAATATAAGATCATATCATGTGCAAACGAAGATAATTTGACTTCTTCCTTTCCAGTTTAGTTGCACTTTATATCTTTTGTCTGATTACTCCAGCTAGGACTTCCAGTACTACGTTGAATAACCGTGGTGACAGTGGGCATCCTTGTGGTGTTACTGATCTTAAAGGAAAGGTTTTCAGTTTTTCCCCATTCAGTATGTTACTAGCTGTGTGTCTGTTGTATTTTTGGCACTTTTAATGTGTTAAGGTATGTTCTTTCTGGGAATTTGAAGGCTTTTATAGTGAAGGAATATTGAATGTCATCAAATGCTTTTTCGATATCAGTTGAAATGGTCATATGGTTTTTGTCCTTTATTCTGTTGATGTGATGTATCACACTGACTGATTTGGGTATGATGAACCATCCTTGTGTTCCTGAGATAAATCATCTTCGGTTATGATCAATGATCTTTTCAATATGTTGTTGAATTCGGTTTGCTAGTATTTTGTTAAGGATATTTGCATCAAATTAGTGTTCATCAGGGATATTGGCCTGTGGCTTTCTTACTTTCTTTTTTTGTTCATGTGTCTTTGGCTTTGGTATCAGGGTAATACTGGTGTTATAGAATGAGTCTAGAAGTATTCACTTCTCCTACATTATTTCTCAGAGTAGTTAGAATAAGATTGGTATTAGTTCTTTTTAAAATGTTTTCCAAAATTTAACAATGAAGTCATCAGGTCCCAGGCTTTTCTATGCTCAGAGGCACTTTATTGCAGCTTCAATCTCACTACTTGTTATTGGTCTGTTCAGGTCTTGAATCTCTTCCTGGTTTAATTTTTGTAGGTTTTATGTGTTTAGTAATTTATTAATTTCTTCTAGGTTTTCCAATTTATTGGCATATAGTTGCTCATAGTAGCCTCCAATGATCCTTTGAATATCTGTAGTATTGTTTGCAATATTTCCCTTTTCACCTCTGGTTTTACTTGTGTCTTCTTTTTTTTTTTTTCTTATTTAGCTTGGCTAAAGGTTGTAAGTTTTGTTTATCTTTTCAATAGCTTTTTTTCATTGATCTTTTGTATTATTTGTTGAAGATTAGATGGTTGTAGATGTGCAGTCTTATTTCTGAGTTCTCTGTCTTTTTTTTTTTAACTAGTACCATGCTGTTTTAGTTACTATAGCCTTGTAGTATAGTTGGAAGCTGGTTAGCATGATGCCTCCAGCTTTGTTCTTTTCGCTTAGGATAGTCTTGGCTATTTGGGCTCTTTTTTGGTTCCATATAAACTTTAAAATAGCTTTTGCTAATTCTGTGAAGAATGTCAAAGATAGTTTAATGAAAATCGAATTGAATATATAAATTACTTTGGGCAGTATGCCCATTTTCACAATATTCATTCTTTCTATCCATGAGCATGGAATGTTGTTCCATTTGTTTGTGTCCTCTCTGATTTCCTTGAGTGGTGGTTTGTAGTTCTCCTTGAAGAGGCCCTTCACTCCTTGTTAGCTGTATTCCTGGGTATTTTATTCTCTTCGTAGCAAATGTGAATGAGAGTTCACTCATGAATTGGTTCTCTGCTTGTCTGTCATTGGTGTAAAGGAATGCTTGTGATTTTTGCACGCTGATTTTGCATCCTGAGAATTTGCTGAAGTTGCTTATCAGCTTAAGAAGCTTTTGGGCTGACAAGATGGGTTTTTTAGATACAGGATTATGTCATCTGCCAACAAAGGCAGTTTGACTTCTTGTCTTCCCATTTGAATACCTTTATTTCTTTCTCTTGCCTGATTGCCCTGGCCAGAACTTCCAATACTATGTTGAATAGGAGTGGTAAGAGAGGGCATCCTTGTCTTGTGCCAGTTTTCAAAGCAAATGCTTCCAGCTTTTGCCCATTCAGTATAATTTTGGCTGTGGGTTTGTCATAAATGGCTCTTATTATTTTGAGGTATGTTCCTTCAATACCTAGTTTATTGAGAGTTTTTAACATGAAGAGATGTTGAATTTGATTGAAGGCCTTTTTGCATCTGTTGAGATAAGCACATGGTTTTTGTTTTTAGTTCTGTTTATTTGGTAAATTACATTTATTGATTTGTGTATGTTAAACCAACTTTGCATTTCAGGATGAAGCCAAGTTGATTGTCATGGGTAAGCTTTTTGTGTGCTGCTGGATTCAGTGCCAGCATTTTATTGAGGATTTTTGCATCAACGCTCATCAGAGATATTGACCTGAAGTTTTCATTTTTTGTCATTTCTCTTCTAGGTTCTGGTATCAGGATGAGAGTGGCCTCATAAAATGAGTTAGGGATGAGTCCATCCTTTTCAATTGCCTGGAGTAGTTTCAGAAGAAATGGTACCACCTCTTTTCTGTACCTCTGGTAGAATTCAGCTGTAAATCCATCTGATCCTGGGCTTTTATTGATTTGTAGTGTCACAGGGTCCTTGGAGTGTCAATTTGCTAGCTGGAAACCTCTGTTGCCACCAGGACCTTCTGCTTGAGTATTGCTTATGACCACTTACCTTGTTCCATCCACTTGCCCCAGCCAACTGTGCTTGGCTTACGCCACTGGCCCAGATCCTACACCAGCCAAGGACAAGCCAGGTGCAGAGTGGCAAGGGGTGTGTTGGAGAGCAAGCCTGGGGTCCAGCCACGGTGTAAAACCAAGCTGAGGCTGGCCGCTGAGGCAGGGCAGGCAGCTCCAGGCACCAGCACACATGTTGGCTCTGTGAGAAGGTGCAGCTGGACCAGATGTACTCCATGTGGCTTGCGCTGTAGGCACCTGTGTCTGGACAGAGGGATCATGGTGGTGCCTGGAAGCTTGGAGACATCAGAAACTGCAGAACTCCTTAAAGTGTGTCAGACCCCTGGCTCAGGGAGTCCCCAGGTCTGGGATCCTGGAGGGCAGCAGCTCTTCTCCTTCTCATTACCCACAGCGTGGCAAGCAGGGAAGGGTAGGGGGCATGTTTCAGCCCTGTTTATGTTACAACTCTTTTAGTCTCACCATTCAGTGGGTCCTGAGTCCTTATACTTTGTCCAGGAAGAATGAGGCACGCAAACAGCTGGAGGGTGAGCAGAGAAGAGCTTCGTGGAATGGCAGAATTGTTTTCAGGAGACCCAAAGTGGGTAGCTCCTTTCCTCAGGCAGATCGTTCTTATTTCTGTTTAAGTCTGGCTGAGTTCAGGTTTTTATGGGCTCAGAAGGGAGGAAGTGTGTGCTGATCGGTCCATGGATGGCCACGGGCGGGCCTGGAAAAAGCACCATAAGTTCTCACTCCTGGCTGTGGACTCCACCCAGAACTGGCAGCCCAGTCCCCAGGCTTCAAGCCATCCCTCGCTTGAAGGTGGGGTTTCACCACAGACCCAACCCTTTCCACCATGGAGCCTGCCTGCTGCCATCAACGTACCATTCATGGCACCCAGGCTGCTTGTGCCAAGGGGCACCTGCCAGCCCATGCTGAGCCACCTGCAGCACCCCCTCCCTCCCTTCCTGAGCTCTTTGGTGCCTAAATCTTCAGAGGGAGACCGAGGGGGCAGGGGGGTAGTGTGTCAGGACTTCCCTGAGTGCACACACACCAGCCAAGTCATGACAGCATTCCAGGCTTGGCTTCAGCCTTGTTCCAAAAGTGGCCCCAGGGAGTGAGATCAGGCACTTCCAAACCTGTGGGGACAAGGGGGCTTCCCGGGCCCCCAAGAGCTCAGGGATGCCCATGTCCAGCACCACAGCTAGGTGAGTACAGCTGTGTCCAGACTACCACTGGTAATGTGCTGGGTCAGTCTTGAAGCCGGTATAGTACTGGGTCTTGCCCAAGGCCTGTCAACCACTGACTGGCTACCACCTATGTTCACTTAAGGCCCTGACGCTCCACAATAAGCAGGTGGTAAGGCCAGCCAGGCTTGTGTCCTTCCCTTCAGGATAGTGAGTTCGCTCTCATTGCTGGTGGGTCCAGAGATGCCATCCAGGAGCTGGAGTCTGAAGTCAGAAACTTTAGGAATCTACCTGGTGCTCTATTCTCCTGCAGCTGAGCTGGTACCTCAACCGTGCTACAAAGTCCTACTCACTTTCCATCTCCTTTCCATATAAGAAGACGTGTCTCTCCCCATAGTCACCACTGCCCTAGGCCCATAGTGAGTACTGCCTGGCTACAGTCAGCGTTCATTCAAGGCCCAAGACCTCTTTCGTCAGCTTGTGGTGAATACTGCCAAGCCTGGAGTTCTTTTTTCAAAGCAATGTGCTCCCATCTGGCCCAGGGAAGGTCCAGAAATGCTGTCCAAAAGCCAAGGCATGGAATCAGGGACCCCAAGAACTCTGGGTGCTGTACCCCACTGTGGCCAAGCTGGTACCTAAGCTGCAAGACAAAATCTCCTTCACCCTTTTCTCTCCGTTTCTCAAGCAGAATGGGTCTCTCCCCATTGCCATCACAGCTGGGAATGTGCTTGGTTACACCAAAGCCAGCATGTCTCTGAGTCTCACCCAAGGCCCATGGCGAGTACTACCTGGCTACGGCTCCTGATTATTCAGGGACCTAGGGTATTTTAGTCAGCAGGTAATGAATCCTGCCAGGACTGGATTCTTCCCTTCAAGGCAGCAGGTTCCCTTCTGGCCTAGGGTGTGCCTAGAACTGTTGTCTAAGAGCCATGGCCTGGAATGGGAGTCTCAGAACTCTGATTCCTTATTCTGCTATGGCTGTGCTGGGTTCCAAGTTGCAAGACAAAGTCCTCTTGCTCTTCCCTCTCCCCTCCTTTCCTCAAGAAAAGGGAAAGTGTCTATCCCAGACCTGTGAGCTGTGCTGCCTGGGGTTGGGGAAATGGGTGGTACAAAGTCTCCCTGAGCCACCTAGATGGTGTATCTCTAGTTCATTTGCCCAAGTCCACTGGCTCTAAGCATAGCACAGCACGAGGATTTTCAGTCCTTGTACCTAGACTGCCTTTCAAGTTTATTTAGGACCCAACAGCATTGTAGCCTTTTAGTGGTGAGGCTTGTCAGAACTCAGGATCCAACTGCTGGGATGGGCTAGTCCCCACTTGCTAGGGCTGGTGTAAATGCTCCTTCTGTGGGCACTGGCTGAGTTCTGCCTGTTGTTGCTTTCTGCTGTGACAGGACAGCATTGAGTTCCAATGTTCCAACGCAAAGTCCTGCAATTACTGCATTCTCTCTCCCTCAAGCACTCAGATTCTCTTTCCATGCCATGTGGTCACTGCCAAGGGATCAGTGAGGGGTGGCATCAGTAATTATACGGTGTCATTCCGATTCTCTCCAGTGCCTCTTTTAGTGATATGAAGTTAAAACCAAGTATTATAATTGCTCACCTGATTTTTGGTTCTTATGAAGGTGTTTTTTGGTGGATGCTTGTTCAATTTGGTGTTCCTGTGGAGAAGATGATTGCTAGAGGCTTCTATTCAGCCATGTTGCTCCACTTCCTTGAAAGCTGACAGTCTTTTTATTTTTAATCACCTTACCATTTGTTTATTATTATTTTTAAATGATTGGAATAATTGTACGTATTTATCATGTACAGCTTTATATTTTGAAGTTCATTTACATTGTGAAATGGCAAAATCTAGCTGATTAACATATGTGTTACCTCACATAGTTATATTTATGGGGTGAGTACACTTAACATCCACTCCATTAGCATTTTTCCAGAATACAGTATATTGTTATGAACTATATTCACCCTATTTACAATAGATCTCTTAAACTCATTCCTCCTGTGTAACTAATTTTCTGTATCTTTTGACCAATATCTCCCTAACCTCCCCTTCCCTGCCATCCACCTCTTGTAACTACCACTCTATTCCCTAGTTCTGAGATCAACATTTTTAGGTTGCACATGTCATCAAGATCATGTGGTATTTGTGTTTCTATGGATGGCTTATTTCACTTAACATAATGTCCTTCAGGTTCATCCATTGTCACAAATTGTAGGGTTTTTTTTTAAGACTGACTAGTATTCTATTGTGTATATATGCCACATTTTCTTTATCCATTAATCCACTGATAGACACTTAGGTTGATTTCATACCCTGGCTATATTGTGAATAATGTGGCAATAAATATAGGAGTGAACATATTTTTTCACTGTTGGTAGGAGTAATGAATTATATGGTAGTTCTGTTTTTTACTTATTTGAGGAATCTACACCTCATTTTCCACAATGGCTGTATTAATTTACATTCCCAACAACAATGTGCAAAGGTCCCTTTTTCTCCATAGCATCACCAACACTTGTTATCTTTTATTATTTTCATGATAACTCTTGTATCACTTGTGAGGTGATATTTCATTGTGGTTTAATTTTGCATTTCAGTAATAATTAGTTGTATTGTGTATTTTTTTATATCCTGCTTGATAGTTTTCACGTGATATTTTCATGGTGTCTTCTCAAATTTCTTTTGCAATCTGTATATATTCAATATGTTATCAGTCAATTTTGAGTGAAAATAATAATTAATCTCTACTTAATCAGTAAAATCAACTTTTATTTTCTTTATCTAAATATGAAGTGTCTTAAAATTACAGAACATATGTAATTTGTATACTCTATTTTGCATTTATTTTATAACAAGACAATTAACTGAACCTGAGTCAAGGCACATAGCAATATACTGTACATCTCAGATTTTATTAAATTCAGTAAACTCATTTTAATATCATTATGGAAAGAACTGAGAAACAAAAGAAAACCACTGAAAATATTTAAAGTATGTTGGCTAAGAGTGTATATTTTAAAGGTCTCGCTACAAAAAATAAGTGAGGTGACAAGTATGTTAATTAACTTGATTTAATCAGCCCACATTGCCTACCTATATCAAAACATCACATTGTACCCCATAAATGTGTATAGTTATGATGTTAATTAAAATATTAATAAAAACTTTGTAATAGAGCTGATATTGAATTTGAGCATGCTTGATTTAGACTTTAAAATAATATCCATTTTGTCATTTTATGCAGCCATTGACTTTCCAACTACTTCCATCGATGTCTTCAGTTTTTTATCCTGTCTGTAATGCCTATAGTCTAATAAGTCTTTATTCCTAAGAAGAACACTTGAATACTTGGGCAGGGGTCATTTGAGGAATACTGAGGCTATTTTGTACAATGAAACAGGGTTGTGATCTGAAGATAATACTTTCCTGAAATACATTGAAAAAATATCCAAATGATGGCAACATCCCTGGATCAACTGGTACATGTGTCTTATTTCTTCTTAGCAAAATGCTTATTGATTATTAAGAACATTAAGTCTGAGGTAAAATGATCCTGCAGTGGAAATCAATCTCTGCAATATATTAGTTTCATTAAATACAAAATAATATTAATTGTAGACCTCAGTTCATATGAGTTTTAGAGATATAGGATATCCCAATCAGATAAGCAGTGGAGCACGGTAAGTCATAAACTGTGGGCTCAAACCTTGGCACTGCCATTTCAGATCTTAATAATGACCTTGGGTATGATTTTGAAGGATTCTGTCTTCATTTTCTTATTTATAAAATGAGAGAAATAATTGTACCTATACCTCATAAGATTTAAAAAAATAAAATGAGTTAACATAAGTAAAGTGCTTAGAATAATAAGCACTCTGTAAATGTTGGGTACAAATATTAGCATTATATCTGTCACCTAATAAGCACCAAAAAAAATTAGTTATCCTTAGTGAGTTTTCTGTCTACAGTCAATGACATCTTAAAACAATCAACTATACCTAAAAGGGCTGAAATGAAACAGCTTCTTTTCTTATCAGACCTTACCTTTAGAGTTACTTGTCTGCTATGGTCTGTTCTGATAACTTCATCTGACTTCTTGTTCATCAAGTCTAGACAGTTTCTTCTGGATTTTAACTGTGGTGCATGAACTTAAGATCTTGCCTAGAAAGTAAATGATTTATTTATATATGAATATTTCTACTATTTACTAGTTTGTGTTACTTAATCTCTCCAAGATCGCTCCTGGTAAGAAGCCTCCCAATAAACATTACAAAAATAGTTTGCATTTATGTAGACCTTATCTATATTTATCAAGTGCTTCTCTATTCATGAGGTGAGGTCAGTAAGGTAGACTGTTTTCGAAGTCATGGTTTGTGATAAAATTTTATATTATTACTTGATGGATAGGCTTATCAAAGTTTCTTGTAGTAATGATGAAAATATAAAAGTATAAGGAAACATAACCTGAGAAGGCTATGTTTTGAGGCTATCTGTGAAGGTTGAGAAAGTGTTTTCATTGTCTTGCAATTTTCCAAATTATAAAATGTAAGTTCAGTGAAATTCAGTGGTAAACTCAAAAGAGGCAGAGATGAATTTTGGATACATGTCTGCTCACTTGGGCTTGTTATTCTGCAGTGCTCATATTTGTCCTAGGTCCTTGGATATCTCTGCTCTGATGAGATAAGCATAGGAGTGAAGTGTCAGGCCCAATAATGCACATGCTTATAACTGATTCCCAAATTTGTGGGTAAATAAGTTCGATTCAAGATTCTGGGTGTACTTTGAAAATTTGAATTAAGTTTCATGGAAAGGAAACCATAAAAGAAATAATGGTTACTGATAAAAGAAAATTCACAACTCATTTATATAACACTTTGCAGTTTATAAATCAGTTTCTCAACCATCATCTGAATTGAATGTGTTTCTTTACATAGCTATGAAAGTTGCATTATTTAGAAGTCAAAACATTTCAAAATACTTGAAGGTTTATAGTTAACATGATTAATAGGTACTGTAATGGGAAAATATTTATTCATGCATGTTTTAGTTCATTATTGATACTGTTCACAGAGGAGAGAAAGTAGAAACTACTTGGAATGATAGCCTAATATTGGAGCACATGAAACTGGAAGAATCCTTCTAGATACCCATTCACTTAGCCTTTTTCCATGTATTTGATGTTTTGAATGTGGAAGGGTCAAGTATGAATTGGCAGGGGGTGGGAAGGAATATGGAAAGATGACAGGAGGGAAGCAAGAAGTTACTGATGGAGTAGTGCTGTGTATTCTGAAGGTGGGGCTTAAGAAAAAAAGTTTATCATTCTTTTCCCTTTTCTACTCCACAGTCTCTTGACATTCAAAAGAGTATGTCACCAATGATTCTTTCTTGTGATGTACATTCTCAAACTTTGACTCACTGTGACTAGCACAGCCCTTAACCTAGAGAGTGTTAATTGTCATTATTCTGGGCAATGAGGGAAATCATATTAGCTATTTTATCATAGAATTAGTGGAGAAAGGGGTCTTTTAAATGTCACCTTTCTCCCTGAACACATTCTCTTCAGTTCTTTTCTTCTCTCTTTTCTTCCATCTTTCTTGACCTCTGCTTCACACGTATTCTATTTCTTTATGATCAAAATTAAGGGGGACATTTAGTTGAAGTGCACGACTCTGAAAATAATTTGCTCATCCTTGACATCTTTCTTACACATTTGCAATGGTTTTAATATTTCACGCTCACTGCATTTGATCCTCACTTCCAAATATATGTTATGGCATCATTACTATGCATTTATTAATTCATTTTATCTTTATTACTACTTTGTTTTCATTTCTATTGACATGAATTTTATGACACATTTAGTTACTTGTTAGTAGTACCATGTTAGTAGTAGTGGATAACTGAAGAAGTGTTGGAGTTAGGCTCATGACGACTAAGAAAAATCCATTAAGACTAAGTTTCCTTATATTAAGCTAAGCAGCAAGAACATAGAGGCCATCTCTCTGCTGACGGAAAACTGGACTATAAAATGCTATTAATCTGTCATTAGCCTTTGTAGCCTGTTGCAATGACAGAGATGCCTAGCTATTACCGAGGGGCATGAACTGTGTTGTTCATGGTGAATAAGCTGACCATGGGCAAGAGGTCAGCAAGGGGTTTTGTAGTTCAAGTAAGCATAAGGAGAAGCTATCATCAGTAATATTAGCATCTTGTTGGTTATATTAAATGACTGGATTTAATGCAATAAAAAGTCAAATTCAATGTATCAAACTCATTCCAGAGAAACAAATGTTAATACCTCTTAGAAAATTATTTTAATTGCAAAATAATACATGCCTATTTAAAAACTGAATATTATCAAGTTTATAACAGGGATTTTTCTCTTTCTCTCACCCATTTTCACTCCACAGAGGTAACTACAGTTATCAATTTCATAATTATTTTTCTAGATATTTTATGTGCGTTCATAAACATATATATATAAGTTTAGTACACTCCCATGTCAGTATATATATATATATATATGGGAGTGTACTAAACTTACTAATACGCAAACTTGCTTTTTTTCACTAAACATCTTATGGGTATTTTTTATGTATGCGCACATATATTTACCTGTTTCACTTTAATTATTCTTCCCATTGATTCATTTAATCAATATGCTATTGATGAACATGTAAATAACCTAGCTTTTATTGCTATTATTTAAAGATGCAATAAACATCGTTCTACAACTACTTATTTTAATTCTGTGCATTTACCTGTAGGATGAATTCAGATAAGGGGAACTTGCGGTATAAGGGTAATTACCAATATCTTAAATATGTCCATGACTCCTTGAGACATTATTCTGGAGTTTAATTTGTGAAGCAGAAGCACACAATAACTGGTATTTTTATAATGAAGGTAATTTATTTAGCACCATAGCCAGACCAAACTTGCACCAAAAATGGTTTGCTTCTGTTTCCTCCTGGAGGTAAGAAGTTCCACAGATCTTACATTTTGATTCTTTCCTCTGTGATACTAACAGGAAACAGTGTGTCCATCCAGGCCATGTATATCTTAAATTTTCAACTATCCAAGAAGATGAGTCGTCAGCAAATGTGGTAGCTACAGTCTTTTTTCCTCACTCAACAAAGTCCTAGAAGCTTGTATCTTTGCAGCTTTGTGAATCGTTTGAAAACTATGGTATCCAGGTCATCTTTTTCACAGACTTTATACCATGAACAGTGGATGTTTTTCTTACAAGAAGTCATTTTACCCATTGCAATTATTGGTTTTATTTTGTCTTTCAGGGCTGGAGGTGGACTTTATGGTATTGACAGCATGCCGGATCTTCGCAGAAAAAAAACTTTGCCTATTGTCCGAGATGTGGTAAGTTACAACTGTTTAATTCTCTTCGATTGCATGTGTGGTTTTTTTCCTTACTAAAATGTAATGTCCTTCTCATTCACTGTCTAGCCTGTAAATATTCCATGGAATAAAAATATATGAGGCCAGATGCTACCTGCTGTTATATTTATTATTATTTCTTTAAAATCTATTAGATGGAGGAGATAACTCAAACCTTTGATAGCTTTTGATATAAGTGGAAATTACAATTAAGTGACTATGACCCTAATAATTGGAGCAAAAAGAAATCACACAGCATACCAAGCAAGTGAATAGGCTTTGATGTGTTTAGTGTTATGAATGACCAGAAGTTTAATTCACAATGCTTGAGGCTTTATTTAAACTTCTTCACCTTAATACAGTGGACCTGAATACTTTATACAGCAAGCAGATAACATTAATCAACTCTTCATTTTATTATATTAAAGTCAATTCTAGCTAAATTAATAAGCTCTTCTATTTAAAGAAAATCATGGTTCACTTTGGGAGGCCGAGGCGGGCGGATCATGAGGTCAGGAGATCAAGACCATCCTGGCTAACATGGTGAAACGCTGTCTCTACTAAAAATACAAAAAATTAACTGGAGTGGTTGTGGGCACCTGTAGTCCCAGCTACTCTGGAGGCTGAGGCAGGAGAATGGCGTGAACCCGGGAGGCGGAGCTTGCGTGAGCCGAGATTGCGCCACTGCACTCCAGCCTGCGTGACAGAGCGAGACTCCGTCTCAAAAATAAAAATAAAAATAATAAAAAAGAAGAGAAAACCATGGTTTTCAAGTTATTAACATCATTATTACTTCTGATCATGACTCTGAATAAATCTGTTTCCTATATTGAAATATGCTGCAGCCACCTTGATAAATGCAAAAAATTGACCATGGCCTACATTAGATTGTAAAAAAAAAAAAATCATCGTGAAAAAGTGTCTCTTCTATCATCCAAAATATCTTCACATTTTATGGGCATATTTTTAATATTATATGTGATATGAAAAATATATTTTCCCCCATAAAAAGTAAATTTTCTTTCAGCAACAACGTACATAACTTTTTACATCAGTAATTTTTAATTTTGCTAAGAAAGCCTTCATCTGAAGGCCACCACTTTGGTTTTAAAATATGATCCTGACTGAAAAGATCTTATACTGGAAAGTATAACATGTCAGTACATTTAGTTCAAATTTCTGTCTTCACTATGTGGAAATAATTGTAAAGTGTTAGGCTAATTTAACATTGTTATACTCTTTTCCTACCTTTCATGTATCTAATTATTTACATTTTGTTTCCTCTCACTTCTGGAATCTTCAGGCCATGGTAAGTGCTTTGCTATTTATTTAATTAATATTTTGCAGTCTTCTCAAACATACACTGCACTTACTCATGGGGTAAAAGAGGGCAAGAATGGAGAAATGAAAAGACAGACATACAAGAATAAGAAGTTTGTTCTGCAAGAATTTAACCTCTGGTTCAATTCTGAAAGAGAAAATTATGTATGCAACAGGTGCAAACACAGACCAAAATAGGATACAAGTATAGTTTTAGGGAATATATTTTTCAAAGATGAAACATTTTCTTGGGTAAACTCTTGGAGGTAAGTCTTCAAGGTAAATGTGGAGATGAGTGGAGAGTGACATTCTTACTCAGGTGTATGCTGAATTTTATTTGAGTTAATGACTTTGTAATGCTGAGGAGATATGTATATGACCAGATGGGTCTCAGGTGATCAAGAATGCATTATTCCACAATGACATCCCTTTGCTCCTAATGGGATAACAGTTTTACTGTTCCCATATGGAGGTTCTGATTTCCAACGTTCTCCATAGCACTGCTGAGTTTCTTGTATTTCATATATTTTGGGTAGGAGTAGATAGTGGTGGTTATGGTTCTATTTTATGTGGTGAGGAAACTAAAGGGACTTGACTCTTATTTAAGATCACTCAAGTTACCAGCATCGAGTGAAGAAAATGAATCTGGATATAACAATTCTCGGTAAATTAAATGAACACTTAGAAAAAATATCTTGAATAGATATGGAAGAATATTCTAGGGAACTATGAACAACTCAGGAACCATCTAATACTAATTATGATTCAGGGCCATCACCAAAGTCAGGCTGGCTCTCTACCAAAGGTTATGTATTCTGAATGAATATATCACAACCACCTTGAGGAATAAGAAAGTTTGAGAAGCCTCTTGCTAGCCTGAGGTGGTTGAGGGGGCTGGTCATCTTAAGACTGGTCATCTTGCCTTTCTGGGCCTCAGTTTCATCATCTATAAAATGTAGGGGTTGGGTTTGATGAGTTGTGGGATCGTTCCAGTTTTAATATTGTATAAGTCCATATTCTGGGTGAATCGGCTGATTACCAAAATGGCAGGTCCTTACTAACTAAAATATGAACAGTGATAGCCCATATTCTTGCATTTTCACCTTCTGCTGAGCAGTATATGCACGTCAACCTCCCTATGTATTAATAAGTCATAATTCTGTTTGTTTTAGACCCTGGCTGCCCGGAAATCTGGACTCTCCCTGGCTATGGTGATTAGGACATCCCTAAATAATGAGGAACTGGTAAGTACTAGATATTGCTCATAATATCTAACTAGATATTGCTCATAATCACAAGGGAGAAACTGTTCTGCTTGAGCTACTCATCTGTGATGTTTAGTCCAATGTTCCAGAAATAACTGGGAGCATGAGGAAAGCCTGACTCCAAACAAACTTCCTCAGGGACTCAGCCAATCATTGTCTTCTCCTCAAATACTTATAAACCTTCCTATCTTTACAAATGCTGTTCAATTCTAACATAGCTTCCCTGTTATTCTCCCTGTGGAAAAGTCCTACTGATTTTTTACATAGTTTAAGTTTTGCCTCTTTTACGAGGTTTTCCCCAAACATCTTCCATCTTCCTCCCCTTCCAGCTGAATGATTAATTTCCTCCTCAGGACTTTTATAGGTTTTTTTTTTTTTTTTTTGAGACAGAATCTCACTCTGTTGCAGGCTGCAGTGCAGTGGCACGATCTCGGCTCACTGCAACCTCCACCTCCTGGGTTCAAGCAATTCTCCTGCCTCAGCCTCCCTAGTAGCTGGGACTACAGGTGCTTGCCACCATGCCCAGCTAATTTTTGTATTTTTAGTAGAGATGGGGTTTCACCATGTTGGCCAGGATGGTCTCCATCTCTTGATCTCATGATCTGCCTGCCTTGGCCTCCCAAAGTGCTGGGATTACAGGTGTGAGCCACCACACCCGGCCCTTTTATAGCATTTATTCATAACCTCCATAGGGTCATATGATTACGAGTGAAGTTGGCTTGGTATGAGTCCCATCTGTGCCACTTAACTAGAATTATTATATCCCACAGGTTATGTTACTTCTTCAAGCCTGAGTTCTCTCATCTACAAAGAGAGGTGACAAGGAAACTGAGAGGATTAGGAAGTAGATACATGCTTAACATTCAGCATAGCTTAGGTTATAATAAGCAATACATACAAGCTTCTGTTTTATTATTTTTATTACAATTATTTTGATTATTTTGCATACACCTTTTCTTTTAAACTCTGATATCCTTGAGGGTGGCACTATAACTTGTTTGTTGTTCTTGTTGAATGATTCTACCACTATGGCTTAGCACACTGTCTGGCATGAGGTGGATGTTTGTAAATTCTGATTGAATGAAAGAACCACACTGATAAGAAGATACAAGTAGGCTGTAATTATTTAGGTCAGGGATTCTTAAATCCGGCTCACTGGAACTCTTGAGGGAGCTTTAAAACATACAGTGATGGGGTCTCATTCTCAGCCACTCTGATTTAATTGGCTTCAGGTGTAGTTTGGGTGAAAGCGATTTTTAAAAAAAATTCTTGTGTTTGGTGCCTGGCATGTTCTGTTCCGGTAAATGTGTCTTGCACATTCTGCTGGGGATTTACTTGAGACAGTTTATCTGTGTCCCTCCCTATGCCTGGAGACTAATATATCCTACCTCCCCAATTTTAGCAACTTTGTCATTCTTGTAGAATAAAAATTCTGCCACAAATATTATATTACCCATTTTAACTTTCTGTAACTTAACATTTAAACACCATTTTTATGTCTATATTTCTCATTCCCTTCCTTCTTCTTTCTGTCATTGTCATCTTTCATCCAAATGTCAATCTTTCCTGGGTTTTTCCATCAGCAAGCTCCCCTACCCAGTACATATCAGTAAAACAAAACATATTCGTTTGACTATGTGGAGGCTACAACAAGTTGATACATTTTCTATTGTGCCACAGGAGAAAAAATGTAATTGCATTCTCAGAGTATTATTCTTTCTTTCTCTCTTTCACTCTTTTTGTTTATTTATTTTTTGCAGACAGAGTCTGGCTCTGTCATCCAAGCTGGAGTGCAGTGGTAGGGTCATAGCTCACTGCAGCCTCAACCTTCAGAGCTCACATGATCCTCTGGCCTCTGCCTTCTGGGTAGTTGAGGCTAAAGGCATATGCCACCACACTCAGCTAATATTTCCTTTTTTTTTTAGAGACAGGGTCTCACTCTGTTGCCCAGGCTGGTCTCAAACTCCTGGGCTCAAGCAGTTCTTCCACCTCAGCCTCCCAAAGTGCTGGGATTAAAGGTGTGAGCCACCATGGCCCCCACCTCCTTATTCTTATCTGTTAGATTTATGATGCCATGTAATATTTTGAGTATAGTTTGGGCACAAGACAAAGCAGACATCCTCTGGTGTAGGAGAAAGCTGCATATTGCTTGCTGAATCTCAAAGCATCTAGTCTTCTTTTGAGTAAATAATAAAGTCTGAAGAATTTTATTGATAAACTCCTACACTGTACCTTTCTTATGTTTTAAAACATGGTATTTGATTTGAACTATGAATACCAATTCATTTGACAAGTTAACAGGAAAGCATAGAAATTAGTGGAATGCTAGTGTATTTTCTGAGTCCTGGACAGGGAACATATCCTCGCTTTAAGGTTAAATTAGCTATTGATCTGCTTTTCAACAACTTAAAAATATCACCTTTACTCCTTTAGTTTCAGAAGGCTTCAGTAAAAAAAAACTGTGTTGGTGTTGAATGGATGAACAGAATCCATCAGTTATGTCTCAGATTCGTAAAGCCCATTTCCCTGGGACTCATGCCTCAAAAAGTAAATGAACTATGACTTCTGTACAACAGGCATATTAAATGTCACTATTGACGAGCTGTCGCATTCAGTCATTACACAGGCAACTAACATAAATGCTGGAGCAAATAATTTGCACTTCTTGGTGCTGAAAATCTTTCTAGGCACACTTGATACAAAAGCATAAAATATTTGCTTTTATGTGAAGGGAAATGGCTTGGTGATGTGGAAAATATCAAATGGTACCACTTCTATTTTAATTAAAGAAATGTACACTTTGAAGCTCAGTCATCTTTTCCAAGGACAGAACAGACACTAATGCCTGATGCAGGATGACAGTGGGTCACCTAGCACTGCCTCCTTCACTAACGCTCTGCTGGCCATGGGTGAAGCATCGCCAGTGCCCCCATCCATCACCAACTCCACCTTACCCATGAGGCGCTATTAGGACTGATTGAGAATCTCAGCTTAATAAGCTGTTAAGGATTATGATTTCTGAAAATTTCCATCTAGCTTAGTAACATAGGGAGGACCAACCAATCTAGCATCTAAATACCATAGCAGTAGTCTCCCTAGCACTCCGCTATCCATCTCTGTTTTAGTTTCACAGACTGATAATTTCTTAGGTGTGAATCTGACAGTGGGGCAATCAAAGTATATCCATTCGGTAATTCAATACATGCTTATTGACTATCTGCTATGTGTCAGGTGTTGTTTCAGACTGGAAATAAAGTAGCGAACAACTCAGCCAAAAATCTCTACTTTCATGAGGCTTACCATACAGTGGGAGGGGGATTGAGATACTTAATTTTGTATCCACTCTTGCTGCAAGTCACATGGAAGCTTCTAGTAGGCAAGATCGTTTAAACCAAGATAGTCTCAGATGAGGTTTATGGGAAACCAGGTAGAGGGAGAAATGAAAATGACTAAGCATAAGAGGGATCCTAGAGCCCTGTTGGTTCTGTCTGGGTTGATGGGCATGTTAAGGCTGGCAGGCTTCTAGGAAGTGTTCATTCTCAGTAAGGGGAAGTTTGTCTAGGATTCAGACTTCGTGAAAGGGACTGAAAAGAACTAGATGTGGAGGTAATCAGGAGATCAAACCGGAGCCCTATTTCTAGTATGACACTAGAAAGATAACATGGAAGGAGAAAACTGCTCAGAACACCTCTCTGAGACTTCAACTTCAACCAGAGCTGTAGGCTTACAGCACACCCAGGTACTTCAGACCCCTGCTCAGGAACAGGAACACTTTCAGGCCACCTGGATAAGTTTTGAAGTGAAAGGGGCCTGAATTAGAATCTCAACTCCACCTCTCACTAGCTTTGACTACTTGTTTCTTCTCAATATTCTTCACCTTCCTGAGATAACTTTGCTTCATCAATAAAATGAAAGTAATAATAGTTACCTCACAGTTTGTGAGAATTAAAAGAAATAGCTTATGTAGAAAGCTCTTTGTTTAGTCAAACCCTTCCCATTCCCCCTTTTCTCTTTATACAGTGGCCGGCATGGCAGGTGGCCATCAGCGCAGTAGGGCAGGAACTTGTGATCGGGGCTGCAGAATACATGCTGAGTCTAATGCCTCCCTGCCCTCTTTGCACCTGAGGGTAATTTTCCTTTCCAGGAAGTACTGACATGGAAGCCAGCAATAATGACACCAAAGTAAAGATTATCTCTTGTCTGCAAGTATTGCTGTTGGTTCTGTTATTCTTCATAAGCACGGACTTTGACTTGAGATCCATGTTGGTCCAGTTCTACAATTTACCTTCTGTAGGGCCTAGGGCAAGTTATGGAAACTTTCATGTCCTTGATTTTCTTATATGTTTACTAATTATATCATATTTTTGCATCTACTTTGCATCATAAGGTAAAAATGACTATGTTTTTCTGTGTTCTTGAACAATTTTGGCATCATTATTAAACTAGCTTAATAAGATAAGTGAGGAAGATTTCCTTTTTTTCCTTCTCTGGGATGGTTTCTATAAAATAAGTTCTGTATCTTGAAGGACTGGCAAAACTTGTCCTCCAAAACCACCTGAATATGGTACTTATTTTGAGAGTAATTTTTTGACTGTTGAATCAACTTATTTAATATAGTGATTATGTTCCCTAAGCATTCATTCTTGAGTTAGTCTAGACAATTTATATTTTTTCAGCAAGTTGTCTTGTTTTTCTAAATTTTTGAATTTAATACCATCAAATTGTTTATATAATTATATCATGGTTTATACAAAAATGTGTGCCATTTTATCCTATTATTATTTATGTGTATTTTCTCTCTCTTTTGTAAAATTAAAACTGCAGGAAATTTCTCTGGCTTTGCTTTGTTGACTCCATATTATCTCCTTGTTTTCTATTTCATTTATTTATGCTCTTGTCATTTTTAGATTTTTTTATTCTTTGTTTTCACTCTGAAACTACTTTTCTAAGTTATAGAGTTGAACATATAGTTATTGATTTTAATGGTTCTTATTAACTATTGCATATACACAAAGTAATATTTACAACATAAGTGAATAATAGTAATAATAATAATCTAACCATGTATCCATTTTTGATGCATAAGTACATACTAAAAGTTAGTTAATTTTGTGATTAACAATTTTTCACCACACAATTTTCCATGGTTCCCTGACTGACTTTGATTGGTTACATAAAAGGACAGTTACATGGGATCTATTTATAGGAATGGTCAGCCCCCTCCTCACCTTTGTTTTATAAAATCCGAAACATTCTTCTCTTTTTTTTCCGTCAACTTTTATTTTGAGTTCTGGGATACATGTGCAGGATGTGCTTGTTACACAGGTAAATGTGTGCCATGGTGGTTTGCTGCCCAGATCAACCCATCACCTTGGTATTAAGCCCAGCATCTATTAGCTATTCTTCCTGATGCTCTCCCTCCTCCCACCCCCACCCCGACAGGCCCCATTGTGTGTTATTCCCCGCCGCATGTCCACGTGTTCTCATCCTTCAGCTCCCACTAATAAGTGAGAACATATGGGGCTTGGTTTTCTGTTCCTGTATTAGTTTGCTGAGGATGGTGGCTTCCAGCTCCATCCATGTCCCTACAAAGGACATGATCTAATTCCTTTTTTATGGCTGCATAGTATTTCATGGTGTATATGTAGCACATTTTCTTTATCCAGTCTATCATTGATGGACATTTGGGTTGATTCCATGTCTTTACTATTGTGAACAGTGCTGCAATGAACATCTGCATGCATGTATCTTTACAACAGAATGATTTACATTCCTTTGGGTATATACCCAGTAATGGGATTGCTGGGTCAAGTGGTATTTCTGCCTCTAGATCTTTGAGGAATCTGTCTTCTACTATGATTGAGCTAATTTAATTCCCACCAACAGTGTAAAGCATTCCTTTTTTTCTGCAACCATGCCAGCATCTGTTGTTTTTTGACTTTTTGATAATCACCATTCTGACTGGCATGAGAAAGCATCTAATTGTGGTTTTGATTTGCATTTCTCTAATGATCAGTGATGTTGAGCTTCTTTTCATGTTTTTTTGACTGCATGAATGTCTTCTTTTGAGAAATTTATGTTCAAGTCCTTTGCCCACTTTTTAATGAGATTGTTTATTTTTTTTCTTGTAAATTTGTTTAAGTTCCTTATAGATCTTGGATATTAGACCTTTGTCAGACAGATAGATTGCAAAAATTTTCTTCCATTCTGTAGGTTGCCTGTTCACTCTTATTTTAGTTTCTTTTGCTGCATAGAAGCTATTTAGTTAAATTATATCCCATTTGTCAATTTCTGCTTTTGTTGCAATTGCTTTTGGCGTTTTTGTCATGAAATCTTTGCCCATCACTGTGTCCTGAATGGTACTGCCTAGATTTTCTTCTAGAGTGTTTATAGTTTTGGGGTTTTATATTCAAGTCTTTAATCCATCTTGAGTTAATTTTTGTATATGATGTAAGCAAGTGGTCCACTTTCAGTTTTCTGCATATGGCTAGCCAGTTCTCTAGCACCATTTATTAAATAGGGAATCCTTTCCTCATTGCCTGTTTTTGTCAGGTTTTGTCAGATGGTTGAAGGTGCATGGTCTTGTTTCTTATTTCTCTATTCCATTTCATTAGTCTATGTGTCTGTTCTTATACCAGTACCGTGCTGTTTTGGCTACCGTAGCCTTGTACTATAGTTCGAAGGTGGGTAAGGTGATGCCTACAACTTTGTTATTTTTACTTAGGATTGTCTTGGTTATTCAGGCTCTTTTTGGTTCCATACAAATTTTTAAAAAGTTTCTTCTAATTCTGTGGAAAATATTCATGGTAGTTTAAAGGGAGTGGCATTGAATCTATAAATTACTTTGGGCAGTATGGCCATTTTCACAATATTGATTCTTCCTATCCATGAACATGGAATGTTTTTTGATTTGTTTGTTTCCTCTCTAATTTCCTTGAGCAGTAGTTTGTAGTTCTCCTTGAAGAGGTCTTTCACTTCTTTTGTTAGTTGTATCGCTAGGTATTTTATTCTTTTTGTAGCAATTGTGAATGGGAGTCTGTTCACAATTTGGCTCTCTGCCTACCTGTTGTTTGCGTATAGAGATGCTACTCATTTTTTGCACATTGATTTTGTATCCTCAGACTTTGCTGAATTTGCTTAAAAGCTTACTCTTTTGGACTGAGACATGGAATTTTCTAAATATAGGATTATGTCCTCTGCAAAAATAATTTGACTTCCTCTCTTCCTATTTGAATACACTTTATTTCTTTCTCTTGCCCAATTGCCCTAGCCGGAACTTTCAATACTATGTTGAATAGGAGTGGTAACAGAGGGCATCCTTGTCTTATGCTGGTTTTAGACTCATAAGAATGCAGTCTCCACCCCAAGCAGTAAATCTTAGACTTTCCACATTAAAATGGCTAAAGTTTCCCCCAGTGTAGAAATCCATAGTATTTTTAGTTTCATGTATTTATCAAATTAATTATCTCATACCACTCTCATCACTTGTATACATTTTTATTGAAAGTTTGAATTGGGAAAAAAGAACATTTATAGTGCATAAAATCTATCATATTTTGTTTTCAGATTATGTTCTGTGTCATAACAAAGGGCTTATGTTATATTGTGCTCTCCTTGAATTAAGGAATCATCTACGTTATTGTTCTGCCCTCTTTATTTGGACTCACCCCATAAGTTTCTTAGGACAATGTTAATTTATATCTGTTATAAAGCAATAGAAGTGAAAGAAAACTACTTACATTCTCACATAGATAGGATATAACTTTTAGTCTTTGTTTGTACTTTCTGCTACAAAAAAATCACCTGAATAATTTTAGCTCCTATAGTCAATCAGTTTTATAGGATGATTACTTAGATGAGCAAATCAGCACTGAAATTATGTCTGTTTTTATAGTCAGGATTTTATCCTAGCATTGCTCTGTCTTCATGTTTATAACAAATTTCAAAAAGATCATATTATACCTAATGTTTGGTCTGCAAAAATTCTGATGTTTTTGTCCAGAAAAAATAACACTTATACTTCACCGAAGAGTAGATATATTTTTTTCTGGAAAGCGTACATCAAGTATATGAAAAATGGCTCAAAACAAGAAGCATTTTTTTTTCTTGAAAGTATCAAAATGTGATATTTGGGGGTATAGGAAAGGTGTGGCTTACATAATATCACAAGGAGGATTATTTCCTCCACAGGATGAGGAGGGAAATAGAACTTCATAGGTTAGTCACTGGTTAAAACAGAAAGGAAAAAGGAGAGAAACAATGTGGCAAATGGAGGCAGACAAGCTTTGTTCATGTTATAATTATTAACAGTTGGTAGATTAGAATATTGATGGTCTGAAAACACTAGTCATTGCTCTTGGCAGGTAGCCTGATTCCTTTAAATCTCAGGCTCTTTTTAGTTTCTTCAGGTAGTAATCAATAGAAAAGGCAATTCATTTCCTTCCAGTGTCCTAATTGTTCCAAAAGTGACATATTAGTGCAACTTACTTTAAATTCAATTTTTGGAGAAGAAAGTTCTAACAAAATATTTCTCTAGGGTGTGAGCATCCTCCCCAGTGTAGTCTATATGTTGTGCTTGCCTACAAAGGCTTATCAGAATGTGAAAACATTCCTTACTCATTTCTACAGGTAAACAAGATGTCTATAACAGCAAAAAAAATTGCCTTCTTTTTTGGAATGACTTAAGCAATGTGAAAATAATGTTTTTTTTTTTTTCTAATTGCAAGAGTATTACGTCCTGTCTATACATAAAAAAGAATATGGGAAGGATATGTATCAAATAATGCCTAACTTTAAAAAGCTAAATTGAATATTTTTATTATTTATATCAGTGCCTTTGTGTTTTATAAATTATTTTTACAATGAGCATGCACTTTATTATAATCTTAAAATACATATTTTTTAGAAAATACATTTTTATTGTAGAAGATTTGCAAAGTTGTAGAAGATTTGTAAAGTTTAGAAACATTTAAAATAGACTAGCAGCTGATGAGAACACATGGACACCTAGAGGGGAACAACACACACTGTGGCCTATCGGAGGGTGGGGGTGGGAGGAGGGAAAGCAGCAGGGAGAATAGCTAATGGATGCTGGGCTTAATACCTGGGTGGTGGGATGATCTGTGCAACAAACCACCATGGCACATGTTTACTTATGTAACCTGCGCATCCTGCACATGTACCCTTGTACTTAAAATAAAATTTGGAAATTTAAAAAGTTAAATAGATAAGCAGCAAGTCACTCATTTTGCCAAATCCTGCTGTCCTTGGGTCCTAATTCTATTAATTAGGTTTTGCTTGTTCTAGGAATCTCCATGTGTCTGATTCCAAGTTGTTTACCTAGGCCAGAGACCCTCTCTTGATAACATACTCAGTTCCATCCTTCTCCTTCAGCTCTTATTTACAGCTGATTATTAATCTGCCTGCCCTTAGTGTTACTTTTCTGTTTAATGGCTTTTCATCCCTTCAATCTGATTCCTAATGGTAAACTATAGACTTTCATTTGCTTCCATCAATAGCAAATTTTGGGGTTTCCCCTTATTTTCCCCTGCCATGCTTTTATTTAATGCTTCTCGCTCTTTTCACCTTATTCCACACAAAAACCCACACTTTTTCCCTCTTATAGTCTTATTTCATCTTGCCTGATTTTGCTGCTGAGAAAACATCTTGCTCCAAGATGCATTATCCCCCTGAAATACAAGAATCCTCTATTATGAGATTATTTTTATATGCTTTTCCTACCTATTAATTTCATGTTCCTAAACTATCAACTCAACATATACTTTGCTGAAAAAAGAGTGTTTTCGTATGGCATTTATTTCAGAGTAATTTTCAGCTTTGATAAATACATGCCCATACCCCCGAAAGTCAAGAATGAAAAGGACTCATCATTTCCCTAAAATGATGAGATCTTATTAAAGGGGATATATACCCTCTAGTAGGTTGTCTAATGTTTTAATGTTTTTCTCTAACTTTAATAGCTCTTAAATATTGGGATTTGTTTCAGTGCCCCATTCAATTGCTTTTCAATGGGCTGTCTAGTAAATGTTTCATGTTTTTTTTTTTTATTTTTGGAAATTAGCTTTACTCTCCCTTTACATGAAATGAATTATGGCTCCTTAGCCAAACCAAACAAAACATTTTAATGAAATCTGCTCAGCTGTTTATTCAGAGCTTTTACTTGTTTTCCTGCAGTATGCTTAATTTTTTAGCAGAGTTACTTATTTTTATTACTCCTACTATAATCTATGGACTTAGAGTACTGACTATCACTTGACTTCAGTAAAAGGAAAGTGGACATAGGGAATTAGATCATATATATTAATCATTTACTTAATCTTGAAATATGTGAATAAGTTCATGTTCAAAAACAACCTTATTCCCAACTCTACTTTCTAAATTTATGTAAGGTACATTACTTACTTTTCTTCCTTTCATTAGCAGATTCTGTTTTATTCCCACTCAGTATTCCATGTAATTAGAATATTTTATTATTCTATTTTTATTATTTTATTGCCATTAAAACAAACGAGTTGCCTGATGCAATTGCAAGTATATAAATTAGTTCCCTTCCTAATTTTTCTTCTAGACCACAAATGCTACATTACGCACACAAACACACACACAGCCCCTCAGCCCAGTTAGAACGGGAGACTCTGTCTGTGGGTAGCTAATGAAAAATCTGTTATGCCAAGGATTATTTCATTTATTTTAATGATAGTGAAGATACTCACTATGCTAGATATTAAAGAGGAGGCAAAGGTGAATAATACATGCTTCTAATTCTCAAAGAACTCTTAACAGTTCTTTATAAGACATCTTTATTATGAAATGAAGCCAGGAGATTTACTTGCTTCAGACACTCTTTATTGAGCCAGGAGATTTACTTGCTTCAGACACTCTTTATTGAAAAGTGATGGATCCAGTTTTTCTATCTGAATAAACCCTAATATTAGGATCTTCCACTTGAGTGATGCCCGAATTTGACCATACTGCTGCTCTGTAGACTCACTTGAAGTATAAAGAGCTCTGGATTGTCCAGCCCCTTATCTAATAGCAAGGATGGATCTAGCCATTCAAAATTAGAAACATTTTTACTGAGGCTCCGTTCCCTGGTAGGGGACCTCCTAGTACCATTACCAAACATATTCTGGGAAAACACAGAGTGAGAGGAATGTAGTAATAAAGGGAAATATGCTGTTACCATACTGTGGAATTGAAAGTTAGTCATTTCAACACTGTGGGAAAATATTCTGAAATGAGATTTAAGGATAATTAATTCAAAATATAAATGCTTCCCTTCTAGTATGACTTACCAGCTAGACTCTTCCTACAGGGTTTATGTAAATATCCATTCATTATGCATCAGGCAGTTGTGTGAAATTATCTGTAAATGTAACCTCTAAGAGTGCTGGTCTTTCTCTCAGGAAGTCACCTGCTTTGTGGGATATGAGAAGCATAGAAAAGGACTCATTTAACCAATTCTCTTTTCTATTGGCCTGTGTTTATTGTTGTTGGTGGTTTGTTTTTTTTTTTACATCCAGCATCAATACTAATACTAAGTGCTTATTTGGTGTTTTGAAGCCTGTAGACTACTTCTGTTATCATTATATAATTTGATCTTCAAAGTAATACCATTTTAAGCAGAGCAGAGGAGGAGGGTGAGTCTTAGAGCCCTTACATTTCTCCGTAGATTACAAGATTCATAAGTGGCAGAACGTTTATTCATTAAAAGAAATGTACCTCTACTATGTTCCAGGGACAGTGATAAGCTGTTCAGGCACTAAGAAGAAAAACATGGAAGACAGTTCCTGCTTATAGAGGCCCCTTTTAAATATCATGTAGTTGGGCCTAGGAGAACTCAGATCTCCTACCTACTTGTTCAATAGATTTTTTTTCACCTCACTAATGACTTGTCATTAAAGAGTCCTTCCATATGCTATTAGAAATTATTTCCTTTTAAAATATAAATCACCATGGGAGAGTGCCTCATTTGACCTTATCTACTACTGATGCTTTCTTATGAATTAGGTGATAAGATCCTTCCCCGGTGATAGGTACTGAAAGCAAATTTCCTGCAGATTGAATTACAGAAGTATTCCTTGGGGCTGAGGAGGGGTGAAGTGTCAGGGAGGACAAGGGGGTCAGGAAATAACGGCCTGGGTAGAAAGTAAAAGAGGCGTTGGGTTTACAGCATAGCAGGGACTTAGACATTCTCAACTAATTAGACCTGTGTGCTGCTGGGAAAGAAGCTGCAGACAGTGAAGCCCAGTCCAGTCTGGAAGATTAGGGAGTTCTTTGTGTACAGATAACTGAATAGGGCCCTAAAACATTGAGAGAAGAATAGGTTAGCAGAGTTATTATGCTTACTGTCATCATGACTTGAATCAGTGATCCAGGGGCTCTCTCAAAATACCATTTTCAGAGAAAAGTGATAAAATGGTTTGTTTTATTTTGAAACAATTCAAATCCACTGACTTGGCGGTGCATTGGTAACTTCTCTCATGTTCACAGAAAATGCACGTCTTCAAGAAGACCTTGCAGGCACTGATCTACCCTATGTCTTCTACCATCCCACACAATTTTGAGGTCTGGACGGCTACCACACCCACCTACTGTTATGAGTGTGAAGGGCTCCTGTGGGGCATTGCAAGGCAAGGCATGAAGTGTCTGGAGTGTGGAGTGAAATGCCACGAAAAGTGTCAGGACCTGCTAAACGCTGACTGCTTGCAGAGTGAGTACTTGGTTTGGCTGAAAAAGTGGTATGCAGAGCCTGCCTTATTCCATCTGTTTCATGTTAGATCACTTCAACTCTTGCTGGTTGTCAAGAAATCCTACCCGCTCCCCTCCCACCACTTACACAAAGATACACATACTGTCCATCAAATCACAGTTGATGATGCATTCTTACAGTGTGGAGCTAGGTGCTATTAGAATCCTCAGGGTGAGTACCTGGAGTGAAATTGCACTCTCATCCAGCATAAACCTTCAAAGTGACTTCCTATCTATTTTCTTTTTTGTCTTTTCTTTCTTTCTTTCTTTTTTTTTTTTTTTTTTTTTTTTTGAGATGGAGTCTCACTCTGTCGCCCCAGCTGGGGTGCAGTGGCACGATCTCAACTCACTGCAAGCTCTGCCTCCTGGGTTCACGCCATTCTCCGGCCTCAGCCTCCCAAGTAGCTGGGACTACAGGCACATGCCACCAAGCCTGGCTAATTTTTTGTATTTTTAGTAGAGACGGGGTTTCATCCTGTTAGCCAGGATGGTCTCCATCTCCTGACCTCATGATCTGCCCACCTCAGCCTCCCAAAGTGTTGGGATTACATAGGCGTGAGCCACCGCGCCCGGCCCCTATCTATTTTCTTACTCATACATCATAATAGTTCCATGAGGTAAGTGGGAATATGTAAAATCAGGTTCCCCAAACAGGGATCAAGATATGCTTCTGCATTTACAGCAACTGGAATTCTTTTTTCGAGCCTATCTGGTGCCTGCCTGGCAGGATCCATGTCCTTCTACAGTTCCTGCACAGGCCTTGGAAATGGGATGTCTTGGGTTTGAATGTCAACAACATATGTAACTTACCAGATATGTGACTTTGAGAAAATATTTTAACTTCTTGAGGCTTTATTTTTCTCCACTCTATGGGCAGGAATAACAAAATTTACCTTAGAGGGTTATTGGAAAGGCTAAATGTAATAGTCTCTGCTAAGAGCCTGGCACACGGTAGATGCTCCATAAATATTAATGACCTTTCCATCCTTTCACACTCTTGAATGAGTACATGCCACTTTGGTTTTTATGACAAGTTACCTTAAATTTTTCATTTCCAAAAAAATCCTTTATTTGTTACTTTAGGTCTAGAAATGCTAATGCATCACATTGTAAAATACACATAATTGACTTTTCACTACTTTATTTATTTGGTAGTGTCACTTAAAAATTGCCAAAAAGTTATATTTCAACATGATGTTCATTTGCAAATCATATTTTTTCACATCTAAATATTGTGCCCTCTGTTTGTTGTTTATAGGGATGTAGTCAATGTAAGATATGTGGATTGCTTGACACTGAAGGGAGAAGAGGAAAATGTCAAAGATTAAATTAGAAATGCTGTCACAGCTGACTTGTTGTAGTCACGATCACATACATTCTTAAGTTTTCTCTATCTGATTAGTATTCTCCATACAAGATTAGATCAGATTGAGGCTGTGTTAATGGTAACAAGTGCATTCTTTAAGCAAAAGAAGTGGTATTCTTTATTTGAAAAATAAGAAGTATAGTTAAGAATAATTATTTTAAAGGAAGGGGGATTGACTTGATATTACTCATTTAATTTACATGCAAAATCTCATAATCTGATTAAAATTCAGCCCAACTGTTTAAAAAGTGAATTGCGTATAGGCATCTTAAGAAATAAGCATATTAGGGCAATGACATTTAAGAAAATAGAAAACACACTGTCATCTAAGAACAAATGGCTTAAATTCCTTAGAGAAAAAAATGATGCCACTCATACCTACGAAATGAATTCTTCTTCTAGTCTTTCAGAAAGGACAGATGCTACCCATTCGTTAAACTGTAGAAACATGTTCATAATCTATTTCCATTTCTTAAAACAACATTTATTATTTTATATTTGTTAAATAAATTATGCAATCCAAAATTTTCATTGATGTTATTCATTAAAATGCACACATAAATTGGAAGAATCAAAAATAGTGCAGAACAATGAAGGTGGGTATGCATGCCCCAGGGAGGGTTTTTATAAATCCATTTTTACTTTTTTCCTAAAATTGACACTCTCATATTGATCAGAAAGAGGTCCTACAAGTATGTATACTTAACTTCATAACTTTCCATGATAACTATCAATAAAATTTGAAATTCTCCCTACAGAATCAGTGACATTACCTTAAGAAATTGATCTTCTTCATTGTTTTAAGCCAAAAAAATGGCAATGGTGACACTATATATGAGATAATTTCATGAATGCCAACACTGAAGAAAAGGAAAGAATAAAAAGCTAAGAAAATCAGAGTTAGAAGGTATAGCTAATTCAGCCCCCTTTAAATGTAAGACAGTTCTATGATTTTCTTTATAAAATGGCCATTCAATCTCGTAACATTTCCAGGGAAAATTTCAACCCTTGGTAGGCAGTTTAACTCATGACTTTAGAATGCTAGTTCATAAATTAAAATTTAAGCCAAGGAGTCTTTCCTTGTAATTTCTACCCATTACGCCATATCTTACTTCTGGTGAAAATATTTAATGAATTCTATTAAATATGACAGTTTTTCAAGTACTTAAATTAATTATCTAGTTTTCTATAGGTTTCTAGTACTCTTTATTTTGCTAATTCTTTTCTGAGTAATTACAGTCTATCAACACACACATGCTAAAAGAAATTAAATTCTCTACATGTGGTCTGACCAATGGCCCATGCAAAAGAGAGAGTATGTCAAGTTACTTCAAATTGATTTAAGTTAGGTGTTTCCTTACCATGAAGTCTTGGGTTTGTGACTTGTGCACCTTCAGTCAAGTGGAATTAGACCAGGTGATGGTGAAATCCAACTCACTGCTCCAGTGCTTCCTTGTGGGTTCAGAGATGCATGGAAATGTCCAGTCAATTCCCCAAAGAGCTTCATCTAACACCCTCTCTAGCTAATTGTACTTGATGGTAGTTCATAGATTTTACCACCTTCTTGGCCCAAAACTCATAGACACAGGGTGGTAAGAAGGAGACCAAATGGAAACAGGGAGAACAATGAGAAAAGAGACCTGATTTATACTCCTTCAATAAAATCAGTGGCAGCAGCCAGAGTTCACCTGCTTTTTCTTTAATTAGTTCATTTGCGTCTCGTCGCCTAAAAAGACATTTAGAATTCTTTTTTGGAAAAAGCATTTGGTGGTGAAATAATTTAATTATAATAAATGGAGGAGCAGGTTGTGACCCTGAATTACGTTAACATAACGTGTAAGGAACTTGCTGTAGCACCTCAGTGGTGGTTTTAAACTAGAAAAAGGCCGTGTTGGCTGGGATGAGGGTTGTGTGCAGAGTGAGTCATATGTAAAAGAGACATCATATGTAAAATATTTTCCTTGATTATGTTTTCAGTGTAGAAAAAAGACAGCTACAGAGATTGGAAAAAAATGCAAATAATCATGGCACTTTCCTTACACATCTCCAAAGAAGGAATCCCAGAGTCTTACTGAATAAGCATTCTGCCTACTTTTAATTCCTAACTAGAAATTTCAAGCACCTGCATAAGGCCAGAAAATATTTCACGAAACGCTCAGCAAAGAAGCATTTTGTGAGATGTGTTCTTTAGTTCTACGTGCTTTCTACTGACATTATGTTGAACTTATATGTCCTAAGACAAGCAATTAATAAATTCGTAGCATTAATAAAACCTGTTTAACATACTCTTGTTTGCAAATTAGATATTGATTCTCCTTTCTTTGTTGCCCTGTTATCACATTTTGAAATCACATTTTAAGACAGTCAAATATTTGCATATATTGAGCAACTATTGTGGGTAGGAGTTTTATTCTGGGCTCTCAGAGCTGCAAAGAAAGTAAGTGGTATTTTTCCTGGACTCAACCTTATTTTCTAATACATAACTTAGATGAACAGATGTGAACATGTATCTTGGAAAGTTTTGACATTTTACTCTTTCAATAACAATTTTACAATATATGTTTAAGTAATGAGTACTCAGGAAACTTGGAAGTAGGATTCCTTTTATCCACTGCTACTTAACACACATTTAAGCAAAGGAGCTGCTTAGCAAATGTGGTTAAACTAATGAATGAAGGAACAAGAACTACAACTAGAAATAACCTGTTGTGGTTTAAATATCATCTTTCCATATAGGCATACGCTATTAAAGGAGCTTCGAGATTAGTGAGTTAGGAAACTCAGTCTACTGCTTTGGCTGAGTTCAGAAGATTTAGTGTCTCATCAAAAGGATCAAGCGAATAGCGTAAGCAGGATTAGAACTCAGGTCTCTGAACTCAGCCTGGTGTTCTTTCCTAACTTATAAATAAGTTTGCAAAGTCAATCCTAGGGGGAAGAAAAGGAAAGTTACTGCATTTTATTTTCAGTGCTGTCTCACTTTTTATTATGGGAGAAAGCACATAGGGTACCCCTGAATTTGAGACATTCTATGCTGCCTGCTGTAGCCTCCAAGAGTTCCCCGCCATGATAACTCCTCAGGACCCGCCATCTACAGCCAACCGCCAATAAATCCTCAATGCTCCTGAAATAGGAAAAGTTCCCATGTCCTCCTTGCAGGGCGTGTGATGGGGTGTAGCTCGCTTCTTCAGTGCCCCGCTTCTCAGACTTCTAGGGGAGTATACAGATGGGTAGGGAGCCCCACGGCAGTGTCTAGAGGTGAATGTTTATAGCTGAAGCCCCAGTAGGCATATGTTACAGGGTGCTCTTTAAGTTTAGCTTCCCGTAGGTGGCCTGTGTTAGTCAACTCAATTAGACCCCTCCCTTATCGCAAGGACAGAGGGCTTTCTGTATCCCAGGGTTCTTGCTTTGGTGTACTGGAAGAATTGGATCACAGGTGGGCTTGGAGAATGAGTGCAAGGTTTTATTGAGTGGAAGTAGCTTTCAGCAGATGGGGGAGCCAGAGGAAATGGTTTTCCCTGGAGTCAGGCCGCTTGGAGGCCCAGGCTGTCCTCTGACTGCCCTGGCCAAACTCCACCACGTTCTGTTAGTTGATAGTCTGCCGACGTGACGATTTCTGTCCTGTGCTCTTCCACTCGGCATGCTCCCATTGGTGTCCTCTCAACATCCAGCCACTTGTGTCTTTTTCTACCAATGTGTTCGTCTGGATGTCCAGCCGCCTGTGTGTTCCTCTGCTGATGTGCTCCTCTCCACATCCCGCTGCCTATGTGTTTGCTGGCTAGAGCATTAGGGTTTTTATAGGCACAGGATGGGGGCGTGGCAGGCCAGGGTTTCTTGGGAAATGCAACATTTGGGCAGGAAAACAAAAATGCCTGTCCTCACTTAGGTCCCTGGGCAGAGGCCCAGGCGTGGAGCCCTAGCCAGAGACCAAGCCCTTCCCCTTCAGGCACTTCCCTGACCCCCTTCCATATCGCTACCACCTCTCTCCCAGCATGTTATTGCATTGACTTTTCAACAACACTAAAAGGGAAATGAATGCAATGGTCAGTTCCTTAACCCAAAGGAATAGACTAATAATGGAGCATTTTCAGGTGATGGGGTTGGCTGCTGGAGAGAGACTAAGAGGATGAATATGCTTTGCATAATGCCGTAGAGGTATTCTATATAACATACTCAATGGATATCAATGCATGTTTTTTCATAGTATTGAGCTATTTAAAAATAATCTGACTTCCAGTCTTATTGCAACTATAATGTTTTTAAAACTTCCCTGGGCATCATTTTCCTCATCTGTGAAAACAGTTAATAATACTTGTCAATGACCTCCAGCTAGAGACCACCAGGAACACACCCGTAGTTTTAAAAAGTGTGTTTTATTACTTATTACTGTGAGGGAGAACATACACCAGGATGACTATAGGGCATCTCGGCAAGATCGTGCTAGAAAACAGAGGTGTACTCTGGATGGGGTGTTATGTGGAAGTGAGGACAATTCTACGATATTGTGTCTGTAAACATCTAATCTAGAAGGAAGGCAAAGTAGACTGAAGCCACAGCTTTACAGTAGTCCCACCTTATTCGTGGTTTCACTTTCCAGTTTCAGTCCTCCGCAGTATGGTCCAAAAATATTAAATAGAAAATTCTAGAAATAAACAATGTATAAATTTTAAGTTGCACACCATTTTTAGCAGCATGATGAAATCTGCCATCCTTCTTGGAAGGAAAGTCATCCCTTTGTCAGTGTATCCATGCTATAGATGTTACTCACCCCATAGTCACTTAGTAGCTTTCTTGGTGATCAGATTAAAATAAAATAAAACAATGACAACGACAACAACAACGAAAACACTATACAATAAAGATAGAGTTTGGTACTATCTGCGGTTTCAGGTATTCCTGAAGGCTTTGGAATGCATTCCCTGAGGATAAAAGAGAACAATTATACTTCCTAAAGCAACAACAACCACTCATATTAATTAGGAAAGGGAATATTTGATATTTTGTGGTTTACGCAGTGCTATGTTTTTGTCTATGCTTAGGAAAAATAAGGAAGCGGCCTTGTTTGTCTTACTTTAACACTGTTGCAGGGTGACCACGTCTAAGTTTGGCGCTCTTTGAAATTGTTTACGTCCAAGGAAAGAACAATGTAGCCTAGCTATGAGTACCAGGCCAGCTCTGAACAACACTGTGAACTAGTTGTGTTAGCAAAGTTCCTAGAAGTCAGAGTCTAGTTATGAAAAAATAGAAATAAATCTTGTTTTGAAATTTTTGGTGTTTAATTTTCTTTTGCTTTGTATTTTTTTGAAAAGTATATGAAGAAATTTATGAAACTAAATGTGATACAAAGAAAAATATCTTCCTCCTGCCATCACTCTCTTGGTTTCTTCTCTTTCCTTGCTTAGTAAAAATATTTTGAAAATTGAGCACATTTTGAATCATAATTAATTTGTTCCCCTAAACAATATAGATAGCTTTTGACTCTGTGATGACTGGGCAACCTCTAGAAAATGCTGATGAGATGTAGTACCTTTAACATACTGTTATGCGAGCACATTCCTGATTTTGTATTTTCAAAACATGCTTGTTTTCGAACTTGTTCTAAAAGTATGCATATACCAATAATGAGATGATTGAATATGGTGGGGATGGTACAGGCAGAAGAGAAAAAACAGTTTGGCAGTTTTTTGTAGGCTCTTGGTGCCAGGCTTCCTGACACTGGTCATTTTAGAGAAGGTGGTAGTTCCTTGGGGAGTGGGCTACCTTCTTGTATTTTCCCACTGTCAGTGATAGAGTTACCTACAGGCTCTCACCTACAGGAATGGGAGATGACGCTATGTTAGATCTGTGATCCTCCAATTACCTACTGTTAAATGTCAGTCCTTTGTTGTTTGCGAAAAATAAGGAGTGTGTGGCTTTGATTCTACAAGAAAAAGGAGCCTGCTAACTTGAAGACTGGGGGAGTTGCAGGTCTGTTCCTTGAAAAGACTGAAGGCATGTTAAAAGAGGAGGGTTCGTATTATCTTGGATATAAAACATCTAAAAGAAATGGGTAGGGAATGGCAACTGAATGTCCACCCACATGATTTCATGGGGGCAAAAAGCAGAGAGACAATGAAAGCAGGCCCACCTACATGTTTTTACTGGGAAATAAAAGAAAAGCAGTAAAGACCCATTTCCCATGTCAGAGAGGCTCCTGGAGAAAGAAAGGAATACAAAAATCCCTCAATATCAGACCCTCTGAATGCTTTCAATGGATGTTAACCACCCACTTTCTTTGGGTCCATCAGTCTCAAATGCAGGTAAGGCTTTATGGATGTCAAAAAAATAAATAAGTTATTTTCTCTAGTTTTTTTAAGCTCAAATTTCTTTTATCTTTAAGCCCTTCCTTGGCCCTCATCTAGCAAATAGATATAGAGCATCCAGCATACTGCAGACACCGTCCGCGTGAGAGTTTTCCAGTTGTTTCAGAGGTCAAGTGATTATGCAGCTCAAACCCCTAAAATTTCTTACTAATGTGAAATTATTATTATTTTTTTGAGACAAAGTCCCACTCTGTCTCCCAGGTTGGAGTACAGTGGCACAATCTCGGCTCAGTGCAACCTTCACCTGCCGGGTTCAAGCCATTCTCCTGCCTCAGCTTCCCAAGTAGCTGGGACTACAGATGTGCACCACCACATCCGGCTAATTTTTTTGTATTTTTTTTAGTAGAGATGGAGTTCCACCATGTTGGCCAGGCTGGTTACGAACTCCTGACCTCAAGTGATCTGCCTGCCTCGGCCTCCAAAAGTGCTGGGATTACAGATGTGAGCCACCACTCCTGGCCTGAAGTTCTTTAATAAATACCTATATCTTCACCTTTTTGACATGCTGAAATCACTATACTTATTCCATTACTATTATTAAAGCTATATGTGTTATCTCATTGAATCCTCATACTGTTAAGGGAGACACTACTACTATTCCTATCTGTTTTTCAGATGAAGAAGCTAAAGTTGAGAGAGATAAACTAACAAGCTCAAGACTAAAAGGTTAGGATCTTAGTCTGTTTCAGCTGCATAAGAAAGTACCATAAATTGGGGGGCTTATAAACAACATAAATTTATTACCCACAGTTCTGAAGGTAGAAAGCCCAAGATGAGGGTTTCAGCACAGTCAGGGCCCATGGAGGGCGATCTTCCAGGTTGCAGACTACTGACTTCCTGCTGCATCTTCACATAGTAGAAGGGGCAAGTGAGCTCCCTTGAGCCTATAAGGCCACTAATCCCATTCTTGAGGGCTCTGCTTTCATGATCTAGCTACTTCCCAAAGGCCTCATCTTTTAACATTATCACATCGGAGATTAGGTTTCAATATATGACTTTCAATGGGATGCAAACATTCAGACTACGCCAGTTAGTTAAGTGGCAGATCAGGATTCACTCAAGATTTTCTCCTCTACCCAAGTGTATTAGTACATTTTCAGGCTGCTGATAAAGACATACCCAAGACAGGGTAATTTATAAAGAAAAGAGGTTTAATGGACTCACAATTCCACATGGCTGGTGAGGCCTAACAGTCATGGCGGAAGGCGAAAGGCATGTCTTACATGGCATCAGGCCAAGAAAAAGAATAAGAAGCAAATGAAAGGGGTTTCCCCTTATAAAACCATCAGATCTCATGAGACTTATTCACTACCATGAGAACAGTGTGGGGCAACTGCTGCCATGATTCAATTATCTCCCACCAGGTACCTCCCACAATACGTGGGAATTATGGGAGCTACAATTCAAGATCAGATTTGGGCGAGGACACAGCTAAACCATATCACTGAAGCATTGATAGGTACTGTGCACTTTTACCTTATTTAAAAGTGATACTCTTTATATATTTCTTCCATTTATAGTTGGCATTCATGTTCTTGCTTTATGCTGACTATGTAAGTGCACGTGGCATGTAGGTTAACCAAATTCTGTTATCTAATGATGGGAATACAGCCTCTGTTTTCAAAGAATTGCAAATCCAAACCCAAGGGCCAGGTGTATTTTGTCTTTTCATAAGATTTATTCCACAGGATATTTATCATTTTATATTCAATTTATTCCTGTGGTTTTTTTTTTCCAGAATTGTGGCCTTAGGGCAGGAGTTTGCAAGAATTTCATAACACATTAAATTAACCCAGAGCCAAAGTAAATATCCAATTATGCCAATCATTTTATCTTCGGCTCCCCCAAGAAGTATTTCCTCTATTTATTGAGTGTATGCTAGTTTCCAAACAGTGTGTGAGACACTTGGAATACACATTTAATAAAATTTGGGCCTTAAGAGGTAGCATAAGGAATGGACATATATGCAGGTAGCTATGTCAATGGTGATTGTTAAATATGAAAGAATTTTGTGAGGCATTTGCTTGGAATCAGCTGTTAGAAATATTTACACCACAGAAATCTGCTAATACTACAAATCAGGTTTGGGTTTTTTTGTTTGTTTCTGTAGGAGAGGAGAGAAAATGTGACTGTTGAGTTTAAAAGACCTCTATTTCCTGTTGAGATAAGATCATATGCTGAGAATGGAGGGTAATGGAGGTGAGGTAGGTGACTTTAGAGTAGAAATGTTTTGGAAGAGCTGTTGAGAAAAATAGCAAAAGGAAAGAACTGAGAAGAAGGAAGAACACTGAAGTTATTATATACATATCTATGTGTATACATAGATATGTATACATATATTCTATATATAATAAACACACATATATGTATATGTATGTATATTATGTATATATGTGTGTATGTATATGTATATACATACACACACCTGTAGTTTTCAGTTTTTATATATATAACTTTATATATGTATGTTTTATATATAAAGAAGTTATATATAGTCATATAATCAAAATATATATATAACTTTATATATGTTTTATATATAAAGTTACGTATATAACAACTTCAATATTCTTCCTTCTATTTTTAGATTATATCTATAAATTCTATAATTATTTGTAGATACTATCTATAGATACTTCTTCAGAAAAAAAACACAAAAATTGTAAATTGCCATATAAAGATGGTAAAATTGTTAATTTCACCTGAAGTTTAGATGTTTTGTCTGATAAAAATTAAAGAAAAATGAGTTCTAGTTAATTGTCCCATTAAATTACGTAGAAGAGAACCAGTTTGCCCCTCTGTCTAAGGTTGAATTATGGTTGTGTTGTCCATAATTATATTGTCTTATCTGTCAAGTAATTATTTTTAAAAGTATCAATGATGCATTTCATTTGGATATTATACTCTATAAAGTGCTTTTAGTTTACATTATCTCTTTTGATCTCATCAATTGTTGATCTCTGGTTGGCATATTACTGTATTTCAATGACACTGCTAGACCTTCTACCACACGCTTTGAAGAAAGACTCATGTAAAAGCAAATTTAAAGTTATCTCTGATGACTTTTAGATAAACAAATAAGCCTGAAGAAAAATAACCCAAAGGGCTGGAAATTCATGGCAAATTGTAACTATTTAAGAAAGAGTTTCATTAGAAACATAAGATATGTGGGTTTGATAAAGCATAGGGCAATGGAAAGTACTTGTAAATCAGTGACAAAAATTTATTATGAATTTGTCTCTATCTCTGAGCTAAACAATCTAAGATGAATAATTTTCTTCTGATCAAAAATGCAAAAGTAGAAATTTTTGTTTGTTTGTTTTGTTTTGTTTTGTTTTGTTTTGTTTTGTTTTGAGACGGAGTCTCGCTCTGTCGCCCAGGCTGCGGTGCAGTGGCGCCATCTGGGCTCACTGCAAGCTCCGCCTCCCAGATTCACGCCATTCTCCTGCCTCAGCCTCTCGAGGTAGCTGGGACTACAGGCGCCCACCACTACGCCTGGCTAATTTTTTTGTATTTTTAGTAGAGACAGAGTTTCACCATGTTAGCCAGATGGTCACAATCTCCTGACCTTGTGATCTGCTGGCCTCGGCCTCCCAAAGTGCTGGGATTACAGGCTTGAGCCACCGCGCCCGGCCATAAGTAGAAATTTTTAAAAGCTACATATTTTTTTTCTAGAAATAACAGAGAAAATGCTTAAACATATGTCTCTATTAACCTGCTGTCCACCGATTGGCAATTTCAGTTTATTGCTCTTGTCTGTACATATTAGAATAGATATTCTATAATAACAGCAATAATACATAAGAATAAGTGAAATTTGAAAGCTAATGCTCAAGCTTTCCTAATTATTTTTTTAATAACAAGAGGCAGTCGTTAAGGACAGAAGTCTGATTCCTTTAGATGAAAAATCTCTTTATATTCTAGCTTTGAATTTGGCAGCTATTGTTTGAGCATTTATTGTGTGCATGGTAGTTAGATGGGCTCTTCCTGAATTTAGAAAAATAATCCAAAGTATATTTAACTCTCCATGACTTTAGCACTCCTTCCTAGAGCCTTTGAGAGCATTAATAGCAAAAATAAGAATAGCTGTTTGGAAATTTGGGAGAGAGTCAACATTTTTATGACATTTCTAACCTTTAGGACATTCCTTGCCTGGCTGTCACAGACCAAACTTTTGAGTCACTTTGTGTCTTGCAGGGAACATTTTCCAGTCACCACTGTCCTTTCCATTTAGTGAATATTAACTACTTGAATAAAATATGCCTATCAGATAGTTTCAACTATTTACTCCAGCCTAAGCTAATTTTACTATTTAAGAATTATGGACTGTGTAAACCAATATTGATAAATTAAAAACATATTAATTGCATGCAATTTACAAATTTGTAGCTATTCTAGGGACATGTTTCAACAGTGTAGACCATTTACAATGTCCTTTTAAATCATCTTTAGTGGAATTCATTCTTTTTTTTGTCTTCCTTTTTTTTAAATGTCGTTTAGGTCCTCAAAGTTTAAAATAAAAGATAAAGACAGGTAGACTGCTCTTTCTACCACTGGAATATTCATATCTTTTAGCTTCCTCTATTCACACTCATTATTAGGAATATATTTTTCCACTCTAGGAAACAGGTATTACACTTTCAAATAAATGAACATTTACATTAAATTATTGCTGTCAAATTGTATATGAATTTATCATAAGTAAAGTTAATAGTTGACCTTTCATCTCTTGTCTTACTTTCTATACTTAAATTGGGCTCAACATTCACAAATTAGGTTCAAAGAACATTACTGATATTATCTTTTATTGTAGAAATTGTGCTTGCCTATAAATTATCCCATTTAATCTCTAAATAGTTTATGAGATATTAGTATGCCTATCTCAGAAATATAATAGTTCAGAAAAAAATGAGAATACAAATTAGGCAAACTTACAGTCATGTCAAAGAAAATTAGAGCAATTACTACCTATGAACACAAGTCTTTCGATTATTTTCACTGTATTTCAGTTGCTTCTGTACCAAAAAAAGTTTGATTTTAGCAGTGGCAGTTCCTGTAGACACTGGTACATGACCTTTTGCTTTCTTACTTTAAACTCACTAAGGAATTGTGGAAATTGAAATCATGGTCCGTTATTAACTTGTGTAATACTGGGCAACCCAGAAGGCCATACAGAACAATAAGACTATCTAGCCAGTAGCTTAAGGTTAGGGATCCAATAATGGAATTTTAGAAATCTCTCACTGACAGAATGATTTGTGTTACAAACAAAAATGCCCAGAAAGTTGAGACCAGTCATGAAAAACAATGTCCCAGAAATAAAAAAAGTTTTTAGTGGAAAATGAGTATTCAGTCATTTAAAAGCTCTGGATATATTAGAGAAAGAGAGTTCGAGTCGGTGTTCTATCAGTTACATTATAGGTCATTTAGTCTAGTAGTGTCCAAATCTTCTTTAAACAGCTCAATCATTTTCTTCCCAAGTAAAATCTTACATTCTATTTTAATGTTTAGCAAATAACAGTGATGTGTTTGAATTATTGCTTTCCAAGTGACATTTGCCACTTATATTCTATCTATTTCTCAATTTTATTTTGGATACCCATTGAAGAAATATGTGTGGTATGTAACACATTTGATTGTGTCTGTTCTGTTTGCTGCTTTTGAATTCTTTTTAGAAAATTTAAACCAAATTTTTGCACAACACCTAATTTAGTTCAGTAATACAAAAGAAAAGCCTGGGAATCATAGGAGGTCAATTTACCTGCCAATAACACAAAGGAGTACTAGTTGTTGTGAATCTCAGCATAGCAGTTCATTATGATATTTTTCTAAAAAGCCACCTGACTCCACAGAATGAAAGCACTCATTCATTCTCACTTCCTCCTCCTTTTCCTCCCTCCTTTAGCCATCAAAAAGTAATGGCATTTCCATTCACATCACCATTGATGTTTCCATCATAGGAGCAGCAGAAAAGAGTTCTAAACATGGTGCCGAAGACAAGACTCAGACCATTATTACAGCAATGAAAGAAAGAATGAAGATCAGGGAGAAAAACCGGCCAGAAGTATTTGAAGTAATCCAGGAAATGTTTCAGATTTCTAAAGAAGATTTTGTGCAGTTTACAAAGGCGGCCAAACAGAGTGTACTGGATGGGACATCTAAGTGGTCTGCAAAAATAACCATTACAGGTAAAAATAAGTCTTCTTAAAAATTTGTATTGTAAATTGAGATTTTTATGTGCCCTAGAAATAACTGCTAATAATAATTATAGGTAAAATAAATGGTTATTTTTTGAATCATGTTAATATGAACAAGACTAGTTGGTACTTCACATTTTGAAAATACATACTAGATAAGTGAAATAATTTTAGTCTGTGTCTTGTTCTAATCAAAATTTCTTTCATAGGAAAAAGTTTCTGTTTTTCAATATATTCACCTGCAGTGTACAAGAAATGAGCATTTTTGTTGCCTACCAGTGATAAATTATAACAGTAGCTAATAATCTGTTCAGTTAATCTTTTTAAATGAGAAAAGCGATGTTATTTTACTTACTCCTGGCTCAACATCCCTCATCCATTTGGTCCTCGAGTCAGGACAATTTGAGTTTAATGATATCTAGTAAATTGGACTTCTGAAGTTGCTTGTAATGTCAACAGCGAGTGACTGTGCAGCCTGTTAACATTTACCAAGACTCTTCACTTACTCATTTTGTATTTACAAGATAAAGAAAGATGCTTTCTCAACTATGTAGAGTTGATCAATATTGACGGCAGACTCATAAATAAATCAGTTTGGATTACAGGCCTTTGAATTATGTTGGGTAATTTTTCATATAAGTGTAGGTGTATCTTCCTCATTCCTCTGTACATGTATGCAGTAATGTGTATGAGTATATAGCTAATATGTATATGCATGTGTATGTATATAGCTACTTTTCATTAAAGACAAGGGCAAAAATTACAGATTTTAATGTTGTATATTTATTTTTATTAAATTTTTTTAAAGTTCTGTGAGTCATGAGAATGAAAGCAATGGGGATGCATCTATAAGCCCAAAGAACCAAATGACAGAAAAATTGTCTTTGTTATTATTATTTTTTGTTTCTGAGGACTCTGTATGTTAAAATGTTTATTTTGGTTTATTTCAGTGGTTTCTGCACAGGGTCTACAGGCAAAAGATAAAACAGGGTCTAGTGATCCATATGTTACAGTTCAAGTTGGAAAGAACAAAAGAAGAACAAAAACCATTTTTGGAAATTTGAATCCAGTATGGGATGAGAAGTTTTATTTGTGAGTATATAATGTGAAACCTTTACAAATATTAAATTATTTAACAATGAATTTAAGACAGGCATACAAAGGATGCAATAATTATCTCATTTTTTAATAATCTCTTACCCAAAAGTAATAAAAAAGTAAAAGTAATGTTATAAACTCCTTCAATACTCTCATAATATTTATTATTTATCCTTCATCTTTGGAAGCAAGTGAATAAGAAGAATACTTCAAATCAAAAAAAGATGGCATGACTGGGGTGGCTTTGCAGGAGATAAAAAAAGATACACAACATGATCTATAACTTGCGATGACCCAACATAGCCAGAAATGTAATCTTGATTTAACAGTATCTTGACATCTGAAGATTTATATCTAAAGCCAGTAGACTTAGAGCATCTCCTGGCCCATCACTTGGGGTGGAACCATATCTACATTAGCTTATACTATTGAGATGGTTGATGATAACTGTTATAACCTTGCACATTCCACGAGGGCATTTATTTTTAAACCTCTTACATCTTTTACTGAAAAGCAGAAACTCATTTTTCTCTCAAAAGTTCTTTTTTTTAACACTCCTTTGTAAAAAAATGAATTTCAGTTGTTATTTGGTAGAAGTAAAAATTCCTACATGAGTTAAAGACAGTCTTTTTTCTTTAGTTCTCTCTTTGCAAATGCTTTAAACAGGAATCTCATTACCATGGTAGGTAAATACACCCAGAACATATAGCTTATTTGGGAATGTGGGCAATATTGTGTAAGAAGTAGAGTTTCTTGCATATATGGCCTGATGAAGGAAGTCTTAAGAAATAGGTTTGGAAAATCAATTGGAACCAAATAACAGAGGGTACTGTAGAATGAACTAAGGGATTTGGAGGATTTCTCCCTTCAGAGTTCTGGGAGAGATTAGTATCCCTTTACGTGTTAAAATAGAAGACAAGAAATCAATTGGAAGTTAAAATTAAATTTCCTGTTGGAGTCACGTAAATGAATATAGCAGGAAAGGAACAACAAAGGGGAGGGATGAAGACTATGGAAAACTGGAAAACAGGTGATTCCCAGAAAAGAAATGGCTTCCGTTGCCATGCGATCATGTAGACAAGATGCAGCTAGAGCTTCCAGTTTTTCAGGAAGCTGGATATCTGAAACCTTAGAAACAGTTTTATTGAGGTGTAATTGACATTACATAAAATCTACACATTTAAAGTGTACATTTTGTTAAGTTTTGACATATGTGTACCTCCTGTCACTACAGACAAGATAATGAACATATCCATCAGTGCCCCAAAATATTCTTTATGCCTCATGGAAAGTCATCCCTTCTGACTTCCCGTGTGCAAAGGCAGTCTCTGGTTTGCTTTCTGATGCTATAGGATACTTTTCATTTTGCATTTTCTAGAATTTCCTATAACTAGAACAATATGGCATGTAATGCTTTGTGTGGTTCTATTCATTCAACGTAATTATTTTGAGATCCATCCAAATTGTAGGGTATGTCAATAGCTTATTTCTATTGCTTGTTAGCATTCCATTTTATTAATATATCACAGTTTATTTTACTATTCACCTCTTGATGGATATTTTGGTTTGTTTCCAGTTTTTGGTTAATGACAACAGAGTGACCCATATGTTAAATGAATGACTCATGCTAAAACTGACATTTGTATGTAAATATTTGTGTGGACATATGTTTTTATTTCTCTTGAATAAATACCTAGAAGTGGAATGAATAGCTGAATCACGTATTCGGAATATGTTTATTCCGAATTAATTTAGGAATTGATTCATCTTTTTTTAACAAAACAAAACAAAACAAAAAAACCCTGATGGAATTTTGGTTGCTTTAAAGCACTGGCTAAGATTTCCAGTATGATGCCAAATCAGAGGTAAGAGCAGACATCTTAGTCTCATTCCCAATCTCAAGTGGAAAACTTCATTTCTTGATTAACTATGGTATTAGCTGTAGCTTTGTTGTAGATGCCATTTATCCAGTTAAAAAGTGATTTTTCTATTCTCAGTGAACTGAGAGTTTTGACCAGAAATAGATGTTGCATTTTGTTACATTCTATTTCTGTATCTATTGAGATGATCATATGATTCTGACTGTCATTTTAATTTTTTTTTGCTTTTTCAATAACAAATCTGCAGTTGTCCACATTTTTGCTTCTCTGTGTATAACATATCTCCCCTACTCCTCCAACTGCTTTTAAAATATTTTTTCAACTCATTTGTACAATTGGTTTATGATTTCACATGGTGTAATATTCTTCCTTTTTCTAGTGTTTAGGGTTTGTTTAGCTGTTTGGGACTGTGGGTCTACAGTTTTCTTTCAAATTTGGAAACATTTGGTCATTATTTCTTTAAATATTCATTCTGCTGTCTGTTTGGAGGCTCTACTTGAATACATATTAGGCCTCCTGAAGTTGCCTCATAGCTCCTTGACACTCTGAGGACTTTTCTTTCTTTCTTTTTTTTTAAATTTTACTTTAAGTTCTGGGATACATGTGCAGAAAGTGCAGGTTTGTTACATAGGTATACATGTTCCATGGTGGTTTGCTGCACCTATCAACCCATCATCTAGGTTTTAAGCCCAGCATGCATTAGGTATTTGTCCTAATGCTCTCCCTCCACTTGCGCCCCACCCCCCAACTTTACTTAATTTTTTTTTTCTTATTTTTTTCTTCTGTATTTCACTTTGGATTGCTTCCATTGTGTGTGTTTAAATTCACTAAGCTTTGCTTCTGTAATGTCTAACCTGCTAAAATCTAAGCCACTGTAATTTTCATATTAGGCATTTTCTTTTCCATCCTAGGAAATCCTAACTGGGTCTTTGCATCTTCCATGCCTCAACTTAAATTTTTGAAAACATGCAGTATTTATGATAACTGTTTTGATGTCCTTCCCTACCAATTCTAACATCTATGTCCAATCTTGGTCACTTTTGATTGATGGATTTTTCTCCTCATTATGCATTACATTTTTCTGCTACTTTGCTTGCCTGGTAATTTTAGCTTGAATTGCAGACATTGCAAATGTTACTTTGTTGCTTGCTGGATATCGTAGCATCCTATAGGTATTATTGAGCTTAGTTCTGGACATACTTAAGTTACATGGAAATATTTTTGTGCTTTGGATCTTGCTTTTCAAATGTGTTAAATGGGAATGAAATAGTGCTCAATTTCAGGCTAATTATTCCCCATATAATGAAGGCAAGACTCTTCAGCATACTCTTCCTACTAACTCATGAATTAGGAGGTTTTGTCTTCTGCCCAGTAGAAATTAGTATGATTTCTAGGACTGGCTGTGTGTTGGGCACTATTGCATCAAACTTTTAAATCTTAATCTGGCCTTGGGCAGTTTCTTTATGTGCATGCACTTATCATTACTCAACTCATTTCTCAAGGGGACCCCTGTGCAGATTGTTGAAATCTTCCTTCTGTTCAGCTCTTTTATTTTTGATATTATGCCCTGTGACCTCTAGCTGCCTTGGTCTTCCCCAACTTTCAATTCTGTCTTTCAACTCAAAGAGTCTAATGGACTCTACCTTGGTTTCTTTTTTTTTTTAATTTTTTATTTTATTTTATTATTATTATACTTTAAGTTTTAGAGTACATGTGCACAACGTGCAGCAAACTATCTACCTTGGTTTCTATTCCTTGCACAATGATTGGAAAACTCCCTCAAGGCAATAAGCTGAAGTAATCATAGGGCTCACTTTCTTTCTTTCTTTGTTTTTCTCTCTCTCAGGGATCACTGTTCATCACTGACATATCTCCATTATATTGAAAACCACTCTTTGATATATTTTGCTCACTGCTTGATTTTTTTATGTGGGAGGGTATCTCTGGTCCCTGTTAATCCCTCTTGACTAGAATAGAAAGTCTGGAAACCTGAATTTGATTGATAAGCCAAAAACAAAATAAAACAGTATGAGAGCCAACATAGGGCATGTCAAAGAGAATAAAATTTCTAGAAATATTGATCCAGTTGTAATCAGTAAAATAAAATAGAAATATTTATTGTATTATTTTAATCCTTCAAAGGGTCCTCCTTGAGAAATCAACTGAGTAATGATAAGTGCAGCCAAATAATGATGCATGTGATAAAACTACCTAGGACCACCCAAGTACTTGATGTGACAATTCGCAGTGCTCATCCAGACCAGGGCTAGTGCTTGTTCCCACCAGACTGGCTAAAATGCATCATAGTTCATGGGGAAAGTACACAGAAGTACACACCGGAATGGACCATTAAACTATGAATTATCTGTATTATTATTGGCAGTTTTCATATAATTTTCCATGTTGTGTGCCTGGTTTCCTTTTGATAGGAGGCTCTATCTGTACTGGCAGTAACAATATATGTATTTTTTAAACATCATTTCAAAGAAGAAATTCAAATTTAACACTGTACCTGGCCATGCATGAACTATATATAAGTACATAATATTTCAAAATATTTTCCACTTTACTGATAAAATATTTATTAACTTTAAGTGAAGCTACACTTGTAATTCTTTTCTATTTGTCTCCTTTTTAAATGCCAACTTTTTTAACATTAGTTCTTTCTGTCATCAGTTTCCTGAATTCTGAGATTTTATTCTTATTATACAGGTTCTATATCACTGGCTCCAGAAATACTATTTTGAAGCTACCAGTGCATGTTTTCATTTATCATAAAAATGGCATGAGAATTGCAGAGTTACCTTTTCTTTATAAACGGTTCTCTTTTGCAGAAAGAAATGAGTTCACAGTGAATTTATGTTCAGACGTTGAAAAATGTATACACATCACAGATGAACTCATCCATACCTTCCCCTCCCCTGACAGTTCTGCCCTGTGAACTGGGGTGGAAAAATATATACTGACATTCTGAAAATAAGATGTTTTATTAATAGTGTGACTTTAACTTCTGAGCTTTAGCTTGTCTAATATGAAAAATAGGGATAATAATACATACCTCACAGAATTGTTGTGTTTTTTGAGGTAGATACTATATATGAATTTCATAGAACTTGTTAAGTGTTAAAAATGATAGCTGTATTATTATTAGCATTAATAACATGATTATATCTTTGTGCTGAGCTTCAGGTCTTTACACTAAATATGACAGTAATAGTCCCATGCCAAAAAAGTTCCAACTTGAATAGTGAGGCCAAGGGAGAACCAATGAATAGGTTGCTGTAAAAAGAAAAAAAAAATTCTACTAAAATAAGAATCAGAGAACTGAGACTGGGAAATGGATCTGAGAGATAGTTTTGTCCAACTTGCTCACTTCACTGATGAGAAAATCAAAGCTCAGATGGGTTGTAGTACATTCGACACTACAAAGTAGTGCCCTGTTGTGAAGCCACAAATAAGATACAAGCAGAAATTGGGAAGTGTGATTTTTTTTCCCCCTACATCCAAACTCTTCACTTGAAAAATTGCTGCAGACCTAAACAAGGCAAGCAATCACAAAACTGGTAAAATGAAAAGGTAGTTGAAATAATTTTTCAACTTTGGGATTTGGCCTTAATTATCCCCCCATTAATTGCACTTTAATGCCCTCTAGAGATTTTAATGCTAAATAATTTCAATTTTAATTTTATTTATCTTACTTTAAAACAAAGAGTTTGAATTTATAATCTTTAAAATACTATAGATGTTGTGTGATTTCAGAATGGGGCACTCTGGACAGCATTTGGAGAGAACAGAGGCATAACCAATTAAGCCCTTACAGAAATCTGAGTTACAAGGGGTTGTAAACAAATGTTTAATTCCTAAAATATCACGTGAAGATTAATTAAGATAACACATATGAAAGCACTTTGAAAATGATAAAGTGTCATATAAATCTAAGGTGCTGGTTATCTTTGCTCTTTGATACTGAATTGTATAGTTGATCATTTCATAATTAATTATGACCTTCAATTTCACTTTCCTTTGCTACTGTTAATGAAATGTCTTATGCTTATCATAAACCATTCCCTCAGGAGGAAAACAAGTAAGTCTCTCTCAGTGAGTTATAGAGAGAAAATGCCAGTATGGTCTGCCAGTTTGAATAAGAAATTTGAGAGTTAGGAGATGACATTTTCTTCATATGTTGATGCTGTTCTCTGAGGACTCTATAGTTGAGGCCTTGGTGCCTCCTTTTTGCAAACTTCTGAAATAAAAACAAATTTCATGCTGACTCCCTGCAAGAGTTGAGGTAGGTCATAAAGCTGATAGTAGATATGTGTTACTTAATCTGTTTTTAATAGATATTAACCATTGGAGTAAAGAATTAAGTTAATGAAAGTCTAGTCAACAAAATGCCTGTGATAGGAGTGCAAATGTGTCCTCATTTATAGTAGCATTGAATAGGCATGGGAATGGTAGTTAAGTATTCTACGTATGTAACCGACTGGACAATCAGCTCCACTTACTTCTTGGAGTATCCATTTAATTCCACCTAATTTCCTGAGTGACCGTTATATGTAAAGCACTGTAGTTAAGTACCATGGAAAGTATTGACTTAAAGAGTGATTCCACGTTATACAAAAAGCTCTCTGGCCAACAAGATTATAAACCTGAATACCAGTACTATTCTGGGTCTAACATGTTTCTGGACCAATCCTTAACCTCTTTGAATCTCAGTTTCGCCATGGGAAATGTGCTAAAAGTTATTCCCCATCTTGACAGACAGTAACACTAAACTCATAATGCTGTAGTTTAGAAGCATGATTGTTTTGGACCTTTTGAAGTATATGGCAGCCACGTTCAATTCCTAGCTACCCAGATGTGGTGCGCAGAGTGCCTCAGGCCCATGGCTCTCCACCGTGCCATGTGCTGCTCAGCCGGGGCTGAGTATCAGTTAAGCATAAACTAAGCTCTATAAAAGATAATTTATTTAATACCATATTTAAAATATTTTGATAGCACAGCAGACTAATATTTTAAAATGACAGCCTGAACATAATCATGCATCTGATTTATTGCCTAGATTACCAGCAGTCTTTTCCTAGGCTATGTGGGAAGGGAGTATTTCCTCAGTTGTCTGAGCCATTTTACAGTGATGGTACCAACATCAGCAAGTCATTTGTCACAGAAGATGGTTCCACAGTTTCTAAAGCAAGGAGTTTAGTCACACTTTATGGGATTAGAATTTATTTATTTATTTATTTCTCTTTTTTTTCTAATCATTGCCTACATTGTGATTATGTCTAGCAGCAGGAAAATAATAATAACCAATTCTACTGTTCGCTTGCTAAATGAGATTGAGCCATTACCTATCCACATACAGCGAAGCCAACAGAACAGAATTTACATTATCACTGCTTCTCACTAGAATCTAAGGGTTTTATAATAAATAGCGGAAGGAGTTATGGAGAGATCTAAATTGAATGTCATAAAATATAAACTTAGGGTCACCAAAGAGAATTAATTCACAGTCAGTAAACTAGAAAATATCAAATCAAGATGCATGTTTAGAGCTATCACTGTAATATTCCATAGGCAGGGGTGCAAGGTGCTATGAACTTGACTTAGTTTTAAATTGAGAACCAAACAGAACTTAAATAAAATCTCCCAGATCTTTAGGGAGCAGTTGGGGGTACAAACAGCAATCTTTGTGGGTAAAAAGGACTGTTCTGCAGGAATCTGTCTCAGTCAGAGGAAAGAGAACCCTCTACAATTAAACTAGTACATGGAAAACGGATTAGGTGAGGACAAATTTTAATATATGAGAACAGAAAGTCCTTGCAGAAACCAGGAAAAGCCAAACAAATTGTCCCAAGGGCAGAAATGATTATGCTTGTTTATTCCTCTCTTCTTCTCTGAGAGTTTATTCACCTATATCTGTTTTTCCATCTTTCCATTTGCACACACACTCCTTTCACTGTGTCCCTATCTCCCTCCTTTCCCCGCTTTTCCCTTTCCTCGCTTCTCTGCACACTGATCTGATTCTTGATCACTACTCAATAGATTTTCTTGTTTTTCACTTCCCCATGGTATATCATAGCCTTGGCCATGTGTTTCCCAACTCTAGCACTCAGTTTGCTGCTGGAAACCTATTTGGGTTTTTCAATAATTAGCTCAGTTCATCTTTACAAAGCACCATACAAGTCCTGGGTTATTGGTCTATCAATGATTGGAACATCTTAAAACTATCACTTGTATGTTTCATGTGTGGAATGGAGACCAGGGAAGTCTTAATGGGGCATGCTAGTCACTCATTTGTGGGTTGAAGCAATTTCCCCTGAGTGTAGTATTACACTACAACCAACTGATCTAGCAGCATTTTCAAGATCCGAAAACTAAAATGCCAATCTATCTCTACTTGGTTCATTCCCTCACTTCTTGGATGTACCCCTTGTGTAGACCACCTATTTTGAAAGCAGAAAAAGATCAACACGCTAGTACTGTCCCTGGCCAAACTGGGAGTCTGCAGATCCCTGTTGACTCAGATCCATATGGTGTAAAATTCAGCTTTCTGAGCATTTTTTTGGTTAGTATCCGCCCCAACACTCTGTAGATAAATAATTCGTTGAACATGTATTTAAGTGTGAGGTACTCTCCACAGTGTTACAGACACTGAGGTAAATATGTAAGACACATGATTTTTTTTGCCCCAGAGCTTTCATTACAATTGGAGTGGAGATGATGCTGAGGCTAACATCGTCAACAGGGGGAGCCAGTCCTAGGGAGGTAGGGGAGAAGTGGTCAGTTCTGCCTGGTGCTGCCAACTTGACTTGACAATAGGATAGATATTTGACTCCAAATAAAAGATGTTTAAAGCAAGGTAATATTTGAAAGCTGGGCAAAAGAAGTTTTAAATAGGTAAGCAATGTGTTGAAGAAATATTAATGGCAAGGAAGAAATATCTAAAACAAAACCCAAATCATTGCAAATATCATTATAATTATAGGCATGGATATTTGTGTGGTCATTTACTGTATCTCAAATCCTATCATATGTATAATACTTCACAACTAATCATTGTCATTATGATTGTTGTTATCATTTTACAAATGAGAAACCTTTGGGAGACCAATAGATTTTTGCTAAATAATCCATCCCAACAAGCAAAATGGAAGAAACACAACTCATGCCTGTATCTTCTATTATCACATAAATATCCACTTAAAGGTGTGTACTATAAACTCTAAAGCAACCACTAAAAAGAGAAAACAAAAAATGTTATGGTTAAAAAGCTAATAAAGTAGACTTTTTTTTTTTTTTTTTTTTTTGAGACGGAGTCTCGCTCTGTCGCCCAGGCTGGGGTGCAGTGGCGCGATCTCGGCTCAATGCAAGCTCCGCCTCCTGGGTTCACCCCATTCTCCTGCCTCAGCCTCCCGAGTAGCTGGGACTACAGGCGCCCGCCACCACGCCCAGCTAATTTTTGTATTTTTAGTAGAGACAGGGTTTCACCATGTTAGCCAGGATGGTCTCAATCTCCTGACCTTGTGATCCGCCTGCCTCGGCCTCCCAAAGTGCTGGGATTATAGGTGTGAGCCACCACGCGCGGCCTAAGTAGACAAATTTTAATATCAAAAATGATAAATCCTATAAAGGGGGTAAAATAAACAAATGGGGGAAAACAGAAAGCAAATAGCAAGATGATAGACTAAAACTTAAATATGCCAATGATCACATTGCATAAAAAACATCTAAATGCCCCGAATAAAAGGCAGAGATTGTCAGATTGAATAAAAAAGCAACATGCAAGCATATCCTGCCTGTAAGAAATACACTTTAAATAAAGACACAAATAGTTATACTACTCGTAGGTAGGCTACTTAGAACACTTTGCCCAACAAGAACAGAATTATCTATCATTTTGAAGTACTCACAGGAGATTTGTGTTGATAGCAAATAAACACATGAAAATATGCCCAATAGCATTAGTTATTAGGGAAATTCAAATTAAAACTATGTGAAAATCACATCATACTTAGTATAATAGTATGTTCTTTGTCCCCTAGTATTATTTTTTTCTGCCCTTTTTTGAACCACTTGAATATTTTTTATAATTGTATATGATATAGTTTGTTGGGTTATTTATATCTCATTATTTTGTTATTCTAGTTATTGCTTTAGAGTTTATTATGTATATATCTTTAAGTTATAACAGCCTACCAGTAATATAATATTAATACTACTTCACATACAATATGAGAAAGTTATAATAATACACTTCTAGTTGTCTCCTCTATACCTTTATCCTGTTGTCACTAAGTGTTGGTGAGAATTCTCATAGAACTGGAATTCTGTTGTTGGTGGGAATATAAAATGGTAAACCACTTGGGAAAAGAATTCATTCCTTTATTGAAAAGAAAATATGTGTCCATACAAAGACTTGTATACAGATATTCATAGCTGCTTTTTTATAATAACTTAAAACTGAAAACAACCCCAAGTCTTCATCAATAGGTGAATAGATATCAATAGGTGAATAGATATAAGTCGTGGTAAATCCAGAGACTGAAATACTAGTTAATAGTGAAAAGGAATGAGCTGTAGGTATACACAATATCTTGGGTAAGTCTCAAAATAATTATGGTAAGTGACAGAATTCAGACAGGAATTCTTACAGTATAATTTCATCTATATAAAATTATAGAAAATGCAAAATGCAGACTAATTTCCAGTGTAAGAAATCAGATCAGTGTTTTCCTGGGGAGTAAGGAAAGGAAAGGATGAGAGGAACTGATTACAAAGAATCTCAAAGGAACTTTTGGAGAAACTTTTGAAATACAACTTTAATTATGTTAATCATGGTGATGATTATATAGGTGAATGCATATGCCAAGACCTAAAAATATTGTACATTTCAAATGTATGCAGCTAATTGTATTTTAGTTATACCCCAATAAACAGTTGAAGAAAAAACTCTGACAAAAAATAACTCATTCACTGTGTTAGCAGAGTCAGTATTCCACTAATTACACCCCACAAATTCAAGATGATATAAAATTGCTGCTTCTACTATGATGATTATGACCACACAGTAATATCAGTGATCCTGACCACCACCATCCTTTGTGGTCTGGCATTAATGGTTTACAGTGTTCAACACATCTAAAATCTAAAATACAGTATCATGTGCATTTACATCCTTACATTTATGGCTGAGAAAAATGTCTCAGACTTTTGTGAAATTGTAGATAGTATAGCCAGAACCCCAAGTTCCTTAATGGGCTAGTTAGGATGTAATACTGTTGTGAATTTTTTATACGTTACTCATTGAGTTCTATATAAAAAGTCATTACTCAAAATTAAAAGAATGTGCTATCTCAGGCATATCTACTACTTGCCTTTAACATTTTTCCCCATTAGTCTTACGACATTTGAGACCATTTTTGATACAGTCCTTCCAAATTTTTATGTACTTTATATATGTTACTGTAATTTTCCTCACCTAAGTTTTGAGCTACTTAAGGACAACCTCCTAAAATAATTTTGGGTATAAAGTAAGCATAAAAATATGTTTAATAATTATTTTCAAAAGATAATTTCTATAATTGATTTTTTTACCAATGAAAGCATCTTCTATAAACTTTTACTGTTAATTTAAAAAATTTATTTGCACTATTGCTTCACTCTTATTTCTCCTTTGTTTTCAATGACATTTTCTTCCAAATAATTCCAAAGACATGCCTTTCTTTTCTGTGCACGATACTCAAACATTATGATATGAACTCAGATGTTGACATTTTTATCAGCATCTCCACAATGTTTTCCTGCCTGATGAAATGTTAAGAATGCCTTTAGTCTTCATTATATGTTTGTTATTTTCTTTCAGTTATGTTTCTACCCAGTAAACTTTGAAGCTGATTTTGACTAGAATTGGACTGGGAGGGACAATAAAATGGATAGCACTTCTTTTGACTTAGTTAAAGCACTAAAATAAGAAGTAGGAAGTAACCTCTTGAGCTTTTATTATGATTAGATCCATATCATCTTTTTTCACCCTGTCCTTACAGAACAATGTATAAGGTTAAGAAAGAACAAGATGGAAACCTACCACTAACTCTGGGGGAACATTTGGCATGACTTTTCACTGCAAGATGATGCCTAAGGCGCCCTCTGGCATTCATAGGTTTATTACTTTATAGAACTCTACTAATTGGCAGATAATTAAGTATATGTGCTGGGAAAATTTCATCAAAAAGGAGACATTAACTTTATCTTTTTAATATTGCTGCTACAAGGGCCATATTTAAAATGGTTTAAGACATGCTTTAATAAATATTTAATTTTAAGCAATTATTTGTTCCTTGCTTTGTTCCAAGGATGAATTAAAACAAATAATTCAGTTGTATTTTTCAATTGCATGTTCAATCACAAGGATTGAGATGAAACCAAATGATTTGAACCCAATCTATTTCATAATATGAGAGTAATGTTGTAGAAAAAAATGATACAGTTGGGGGAAATTAAGTAGCTGATAAATTGATGAACTGGCACTCCAGGCGATCTCAGATTTTGGAGGCTACTCTACAGTTAGAGTCCTTTAAGTACAAGTAGTAGCCGGTGCACAGTCAGAGAGAAACAATCCCCTTAGATAACTTTCTGTTTATGGAAAAGGGATCAGCGTGGCATGCAACTCAAAAATAACTCTTATGTCAATGCTCTCTACCGACCTAACTTTCCTTACCATCTTTGGCCACTCCATCCTGACCTGAGACCTCTGACTATTTTGCCTAGTTTTTGCTGTGCCTTTTTAAATATTGGCACCCAACTCTCTTTTCACCACTTTTTAGAAATCTTACCCTTTTTCTTTATCAGCCACTCCTTATGAGTATGGATCTTGTGATTTTAGAACTCCAAGAAAATTCTTAACAGCCAGAAGTTTCTTTACTGCTCCCTACTTTAGAGTCACATGTCAGGTTAATATTCTCATGTGAGCTTGAAAGCTTTAGATTTCTTTGAGTAGACAAAATTAATCCCCTATCTGGCGAGAGAGGAATTGGGAAGTTCCCTGAGGAATGGCTGAATTTCTGGAAAAGCATTCACTAATGTCTAAATGATCCTCTCTAGGATCAATGCTGTTCTCAAATGAATCAAATTTAGTATATCTTGATGATCCCAGGGCTTCCTCAACTTTGTCGTTAAGCTGTACAATGCCGTTCTTCTCTCCATCTCCCCGACACTGATCTCTTCAGTATCTTTAATAATCAGACTAGGTTTTGTGAATGCACTAGTTATTTTTTTTAAATGTAATATCTTTCTTATACTTGCAAAGCACATACTGGATTTTCAGTTAGGACACATCCTTCTTCATCATGCAGAACTGGTCATTACACAATCGAGCCATGTGAAATTCTTGACATTTGACCCTTTTGACCTATAAAAATGGAAATATTATATGGTTCAACCTAAAGTAATCGCTTTCATCAGAATGATTTCTATGTGAACCATCAGTCTTACCTCTTTATCACCTAGAGCACAGTATTTGTTATACTTTTTAAAATATAAGCTATGCTTATGTTTGATCAAATTGGGTTGTTTTATGTTTTATTACACAAACTTTTGGAAATATTAAATACATTCAAACAGGTGTCTGGTAAATTTTTCATTCAGATGTTCATAAACATATTTATTCAACTTTAGTTCTTATGGCACTTAAGTTTGCATTTTAATGATAAAGGGCAATACTGCAGACAGATGAGTACCAGTGCCAAAATATGACAGGTGTTGCCAAGTGTTTTGTGGTATTTGTGCAGTGACTTGGCATTTTCAAAAATTCCATCTCTTTGCATTTTTCACATCTAGCAAAAGAGCCCAGAGAGGACTGAGGAATAACCAACATTACTATTTGTGAATTCTTAAGAACATTTGCTCCGTTTGAGATAATTGGTTGAAGCTTAGACTTAAGTGGAAAAGTTAATTGGAATGTGAGATTTCCTAACATTTCTCCAGCAGTTCCTTGGTGATTAGTACAATCTTCTTTGTATAAGCCTGTACTGTGCTGTTGTATTGCTCATGTTTGGGATGAGAGGGATGTTAGTTGACAGTGTTTACTTTTGTGATTGCCTCTCCCGATTCAAGTTTGGTGTTCAGATAAAGTCTGTTTGGGAAGCTGATGGAACCACAACTTGTTACTGGCATTTCCATCATTGCCTCAAAGTTTCTTGAAAGATGGCAGCTCTTCTTTTCTAGCAAGGAAGGTGGGGGAATAGCTAAGAGAAAGGATGCCAGGTGTCTACAGAAATGAATGCTGACTGATCCTGTTTTCTTGCCAAAAATAAACTCTGGCTATTGATTTTGTTTAACTCTTTTTCTCTGGCAAGAAATATTTATTATCTCCCTAGAGGTCTTTTAGATGTGGGAATGTGAAGCTTTTCATTAGAATGTTTTTCTGTTCAGATAGGCTGGTAAGGAAATAGAAAAGTATTGCATGAATATTTATGCCTGTATTTTGTTTACTGTAGGATGGATGTGCTCCCTAAAAGTCAATATAATATAAAAAGATAGGTTTTCAATGATCTCATCAGCAAATATTAAACAGTAAAAATTCTTAGTGTTAATGAGAGTACAGAGAAGCAGATAGAAGGGTAAGCACATACGTGTTTCTGGATAACATTTTAGTAATGTGTGTGTATACAGATATGCATATAATATGCACACCTTTAAATCTAGCAAAGCTACTTTTAATAATTTGACTAACATATTTTCACAAGTTTATAAACATATACATATACAAGGGGTTCTGTGGTTCTGTGTAGTATTGCTTCCAACAGTAGATAAATGGAAACTACTTAAATGTCTATCTACTGTATATAGGGGAATAGTTAAATAAATTAGGACACAGTAATATAATGAAATACAATATACTTATTAAAAAGAATGATGTGTCAGGATGTACCCAATGTGTTAAGTTAAAGGGGTAAATGATATGTACAATACGATCCCATATTTGTCACAATTCAAAGTAGATACATGTATCTACTTTGATAACAATATATCAAACTTTTTAAAGGCAAATACTAATACTAAATAATAACTTTCTATTAAAATATTGACAATAACATTCAGTGAGTCAAGTAATGAACTGGATACAGCTATCACAATAAGAATTGTGCTCATTGCAGACGGAAATTGATAGAGGAGAGTTCCATATTTCTGAAAAACCCATTGTCTCTCTCTCTCTCTCTTGCTCTCTCTCCATATATATGTATACATACAAGTATACATATATAAACATATATGTATGTATATACATACATATACATATATACATATATAAACATATGTATACATACATATATACATATATAAACATATGTATACATACATATATACATATATACACATACATACATACATATATATATATACACATATATATATATATACTTTTTAAAAAAATTGTGACAGAGTCTCACTCTGTCGCCCAGGCTAGAGCACAATGGCGCAATCTCTGCTCATGGGAACCTCTGCCTCCCAGGCTCAAGCGATTTTCCTGCCTCAGGCTCCTGAGTAACTGAGATTACAGGCATGTGCCACGATGCTCGGGAAATTTTTGTATGTTTAGTAGAGATGAGGATTTGCCATGTTGGCCAGGCTGTTCTCAAACTCCTGACCTCAAGTGATCCGCCTGCCTCAGCCTCCCAAAGTGCTGGGATTACAGGAATAAGCCACCATGCCCGGCCAACACTCAATATTTTTAAAAGTCTTTAAACTATCCATATACTTATACAGACTGACTATATAAGCATTAAAAACAATTATAATAGTTTATAAAGTGCTATTATTTTTCCAAAACTTTTATATCCACAATTTTCTTTCCAATTCACTCATTGTTACTAGTGCAAAATGTTTATTAGTCTTTATACAGAGGTTTCCTTTTCTGAAATAAGAAAGTTGGATCATACACTCCAGAAAAATGCTTTGTGTTTAAGATTTATTATCAAGACACAAATGCTAAGATCTTTCAGAAAAGGACAAAGAAATACTGAAAGGACTGAGAGAGAGAACCAAAGATATACTTAAAGCTAAATATGTAGTTGTATGTATTTTTTCATGGCATTTTCTTTATGGGTTTGGCATGTGGTGTGCTGGTCATTTGCCTTTCAGCTCTTCTATTCCTTAACTGCTGTTATAGTTTTCTGGTAATTTACAGAATGCAACAGTGGGAGAAATTAAAACCACCAACTCTCAGTCAAATACGAAGTTGAAAAGAATGCATGCATTCATTCCAGAGATACTTACAAGTATTGCTTATGTATCTATACACTCCAAAGTGCTATACTAAGTGATACACATGTACACATTAATCCATTTAATTCTTACAACAGTATTATGAGGTAGGTATCATTATTATTATCACCATTAAACAGAAGACAAAACCAAGGCAAAGAGATTAAGTAGTACAATAGTCAACAAGTGGTGGAACCAAAAGTGAACTCTCATTTTTATTTTTTTTCTTGTTAAGTTTTACTGTGGTATAATATACATATGATACAATTTATTCATTTTAAGTGTGCATCTGGATTTGTTCATGTAGCCTAATGTTTTTGAGTTTCATTCATGTGGGGTATGTCTCAGCAGGTGGTTTCTTTTTAATAATGAATACTATTCCATTGTATGGGTACACTACATTTTGTCTCTTCTCCAGTTGGTAGAGGTTTGAATTGACTCTACTTTTAGGTATTATGAATAATGTTGCTTGAGCCCTTAATCTTAACCAGTATTCTGAACTACATCTCCATCATATGAGTGATTTTTAGGTAACTACTGTAAAAAATTTTGCTATCTCTAGTTCTGATCATGTATGTAGTTATATATACAGAATCATAAATATATGAACACATGTATACATACATATACACATACATATATATCATCAATTCAATATGTATATATGTGTAATTATGATGTGGGATATTTCTCAGCCCCTTCGCCAGACTTGTAGAAGGGGCGCCCTCTCTACTTGTCCCACTGCGCTCAACCTCTTGCAGGAGTGAGCAAGTGAGCGTGGGATATAGCCAGCTGCTCTGAGTATAGGAGTAAGCCCCATGTGGGACCTGTGGCCAGACCAGGTGTGTCACTTCAAGGGGAACATGGCACTGCCCAGGTGAGGGTGCCCACGACCCCAAAACCCCAGAGGGGGTGTTACAGTGCTTCTTTACTTTTGTTGTCCATGGATGGTGGTGTGTTAGCAGCTCAGTTGGCCCCTTGCCTCATCATGTGGGGTGGGTGCCCTCTGCTGACAAGTGCAAGGGGCCAGTGTGACAGCCTTTTCTTCCTACCTGCACTCAGTGGGTCCCAAGCTCTTGTCTGGTGTCCAAGAAGAATGAGGTCATGTGGACAATTGAAGGATGGTGAAGGTGGAGAATTCTATTGAGTGATGAAAACAGCTCTCAGCGGAGAGGGGAGCTAGAGAGGGGACAGGAAGTTCAGGTCATCTTTGCTGGAGTCTCATTGTCTCTCCCTCAAGGTCAGGCCGTCTCTCCTCTACTGACTGAATCTGGGGTCTTTATAGGCACAGGATGGTGTGTGCATGCTGACTGGTTTGTGAGTATGCAAAAAAGGTTAAAGTGAAGACCTCACTCAAAGGTGGACATGAAAACGTAGAAAACCAATTAGGAAAGGGCAGGTATGTATAAAATAGATGAAGGGTGGGGATCAGTCAGAGGATAGCACATCAAACAGGAAGACAAGTTCTGAATCCAGTCCAAGGATTTAACTTGCAACTAGGCTTTCAGGCTTTAAACTGTATTCAGCTTTGAGGAGGGGTTTCACCTGCTACACAACCCTATCTGCCTAGGCATCTGGCTGCCTCCTGTCACTATCAATTATATACATACCTTCAACAATATGGGTATATATACAAATCCACATAAAACGATGTATATATCCAATCATATATATACACACACAGAGACATAAATATATATACAAAAGAATATAAAATTTAAGTATTAGAATCATTATAATCCCTACATTATAAGTTTTTTTGTCTCAGTGATCCATTGTAAAAATTTCCACATTGTAAAAGATATTGCTAAACCTAAATGTTTAATAATTGATTATGATTTTATTGTATCAGTATATATACATTATTTAATCAATCTCCTGGGTTTTATAATTAGGAAATTAGAATGTATTATATTTTATATATCTATGTTGACATGTCCTTTGCTGTTAAGGGTGGAATATATTTATACATTTGAATAATGTAATTAGTTACAAGCAGTTACCTGTAATTAAAAATCTAAGTGCCTAGAACATTTCTATGTGATATATATGTGTGTATATATATATGTGTGTGTGTGTGTGTGTGTGTGTGTGTATGTAATATTTAATCCCCTTAAAAGTAATTATCATTACTTCAGTTTTATCGATTGGGCGCAGAGGCTCAGTGCAACTGAGCAACTTTCCCGAAGTCGTATTGCTAGTGAGTGGCTCCAATGGAATTTGAACTAGACAGGTCTTTTTCTAAGCTAGTTCTATTATTCCATCATGTCTAATACATATTGACCTTGAAAGTGAAATACAAAAAATGTGTAACTAATACTGTGAATCACAGATCTTTGAATATTATAGCTAGAATAAGAAAACCACAAACAACAGCAACAGACACTGTTCCAGTCCCTTTACAGTTGTATGATCTTTTGTTCCTCATTACAACCAATGACTTTAGAGATTATTGATGTTTAGCTCTTTGTTCTATGGACGGGTAAATTTTTAGAAAGAACACATATCGCCACTTAAATAAAAGTCAGATTTGGGAAGATAATTTCCTTATTAAAATATCAAATAAATATCAAACATACATCCAAAGTGGATCTTGTTTCTTCAAACAAATAGTTTAATTTCTGCTACAATAATTATGCCACTAATTCAAACAAGTATATTTGTAATATCTAATGAGGAATTAAAAAGAGAGTATAATTACTCCTACCTGTGATGTTTCTCTTATTTATTATGCAAACGATTTTGAATACCTACTTGCTGCAGGCACTAGAGCTTGGAACAAACAAAAAACTCCCAGGACACTTTCACACAGGGATGAATCTTTATGTGGGTTTTGAAAGACAGGTAAGTGTTCACCAGAGGAGTAGGGAAAAGACATCCTTAATGAGGAAAAACATGAATACAGGGTTTGAGCTGGGAAAATACAAGGTGAACCAAAGAAATGGTGAATAGAAATCACCACGAGCACATGTGCACACTTGTGCACACACACACACACACACTTCTAATTTCTTGAGAGAATAATCTGATCTGCCTGTTCGCTGATATCTCTCTTCTTAAGTGGTCTCTCTTTTCGTAGCAAAATGAACACGGGGTATTTTCCTAAACAATTTTTTATGTTTATTATTTTAATAATTATATTTTACATTATAATTTTGATAGTATTTTAAAAACTTAGTATTCACTTACTGTTATTATTCAACTGTTTTAATGTTATTTATTAGTCATCAAAACAGCTGTTAAAACAAGTTTATTCTGCAACTTTATCTGCGGAGAAATTATTAGATATAAACATATAATACAAGACTTTGAAAGATTTATAATCTAATTGTGGGTTCTAGAAGGTGGTTCAGGGAAATTAATGTAGTTTATAAGGTCATATTTTGCCCTTTGTTTCTATGATCTGTTAAAACATAAGTGCTTTCTTCAGTCAACCCTTAAAAGCCAGTGCATGAACTCCTCTTTTCCTTTTCCAAAAGTCATGCTAATAATATAATTCCTTTCTTGTTCTTATTTTCATTGTTTCCTATGTTATTGACTTCTGAAATGGATTTACAGTGCCTTAATACTACAAAGAAAAACTATGAGAGAATTTAAAGTGTTGAGGACTCTTTTTTTTTTTAAACTCCAATACTCCAATAACTAAATTGCTCCTGTTAAATGTAGGTGAGAAAAGTTTCTCTGCATCAACACTGGGTTTTGAAGTCAGAGTTTGTCCATCTACTATAATAGAATTTGAAGATAATAGTGTTAGGGATCTTCATGCAATAACAAGTGAGATACCGATATTGCAATAGAAGTGGGTTACATAATTCATGATCAATCACTAATAGGAAATGTGAAAGTTGAGTGTCTTATAGTATTTCCATTTGCTGGGTCAGAGTTTAAGGAATTAAGCTGTAACTAGAGAATTTAATTACTGTTTGAAAGGCTGCCGTGGCTGCTTTGCCTCGAGATGGCTCTGGCAGGAGGTTTCTGCTGATGATTTTCTCAACTGATGCCCTGCCTTCCAGGCCGAGCTAGAATGAGATCATTCATAATTACTAGAAGATATTTGAAACTACATTTTTTATTGTAACAGAAAAAATATAAATAATAAAATAACATTTTTCACAAATTCTATCACCTATATTTTGATATTTTGATATATACGCTTATAGCTTATTTTAATGAATATATATTTTTATATACGTATATATTTATTAATCATGTATATTCAGTAGTTACTTATTTTATTTATTTATTTTTTTTAAGACAGAGTCTCGTTCTGTCACCCAGGCTGGAGTGCAGTGGTGTTATCTCAGTTCAATGCAACCTCCGCCTCCCCAGTTCAAGCGATTCTCCTGCCTTAGCCTCCTGAGTAGCTGGAGTTGCAGGTGTCTGCCACCATGCCAGGCTAATTTGTTTTGTATTCTAAGTAGAGACAGGGTTTCACCATTTTGGCCAGGCTGGTCTCGAACTCCTGACCTCAAGTGATCTGTCCACTTCAGCCTCCCAAAGTGCTAGGATTACAGGCGTGAGCCACTCTGCCTGGTCCATTATTTATTTTATCAGTATATCTTTTAATAAAAGCTGGTACAATACTATTTTAAATATTACAGGATCTTTTTACAATTAAAATATGTAGCTAGAAATTTTAGATATTCTTAACAAACGTGATTTCTAATGGTGACAGCACTTACTATTGAGATTTTTCTGGTATAGTTGCAGTGTGAAGTATATTTTAGTTGCTTCATTAGATCTAGCCCAACTATAAGTGCAGTTTTCAATATTTAACAGCTCTCTTCTACTATACTACTTCAGCAATGCTGTTGTATTCCGAGATGGTTACTTGGGCAGGAATTTGTTTTTTTCCATTGAAGTCAGGCAATCAGGCTTTACTGACTATGAAAGCCATGAGCGTTTCTCTAGGTAGAGCGATCCATCTCATGATGGGTTAAACTCTGATAACTTGGCCAAAAAAATTTTGCTTTAATGATAGGAAATATCTATTTAGACCATATCTAGGAGACTCTATATCTGAAAATATTTGCAAAGGTGGAATAAGCAATTATAAGGAAATTAGTCATTTTGATGACTGCCAAAAGGAAATTGGCCAAATAAGTGATTGGCTCTGCAGAGCACAGCACCTGTAAATTAGAAACTAAAATCAAAACAAAACACAGACACACATACAATAATACTGAGGCCAGAAAAGGAGTATATTTTTCTTTAATTTTGAATGGAATAAAAGACCTTATTCCCATGGAAACAAAACCAGCTCTCTCTTTAACAATGAAAACATTTAAAATTAGAAATATGAATCACTCTTTAAGAAGAGAATTATTTTTAATTAAAGGAAAACTGCAAAACAAATAACTTGGCTCTAGCAGTACTTTATTTATCAAGTTTGTGCAGTAAAAATTCTTAATTTCTGTTGATAAAAGAAAAGCCAAATTCACAAACTGGTAAACCCTAAACCCGGGGTCTTGGTTAAAAAATTATTCAGTTCAGAAATGGTTTAGTGAGACTATGCATTCTCCCACTATTACACATGATAGATTTTTTTCCTCTTGTATGTGAGGATATTTCTCTTGCTGTCAAATTGTTTACTACAAGAGCCTACCATTTCCCAGCTAAAATGCAAACCTGTATATTTTCATAAAAGTCAAGGTTTGTGAAACACATTTTAAATAGCTAAGGAATACCATAGAACACAGCAAGTATAAAAACTAATAAGAGTTCTTAAACTTATTTAAATTTATTTCAGATATAATCAAACAAAATGAACTTACTATGTTTTTTATTCTTTTCCTACTTGATCCAATCAGAATTGCATTAATCTCACATTAAGCCACAGCTTTATCAAAGAAGACATTCATTTATTTCATTCAACAAGAAGTTCAGATATAAGTATGGTAACTCAATTATCCCTTCAAAGAACAAAGCTTATTTTATCTTCCTATTTTAACATTTTTAGTGAAGCCTGTTCTACATCCATGTTTCAGGGTAGTAAAGGGAGAAAAAAGAGGAGACAGCATCAGAATACTATTGCTCATATCTCTTTGGAAGAACTTTGTCTAATGTCCATCTCTAGTTGCAGGAGAGGTTGGGAAATTGCATAAAACTAAAAAAGGGAAGGAGGGGAGTGGTTTGAAAGATTGTTGTATGAGTGTACTTATAGCATCTGCCACCAACAACCTCTTTAGCTTCTCAGCATGTATATATGACTTTTCTACATGTATGTTTACTTTAAATGAAGTGAATTCATTCTCTTCCTTTCAATGTAGGTAATCTAAAAATTATATTCAGTTACTGCATTTAGCTTGAAGTCCAGGATCTTTCTGTAGTCTCTTCACAAGCTTCAGGTTTGGTTCTTTGTAGATCCTGGGACACAAATTAAACACTATGTATCTTTGTCCAACACTCCCAATGTATTGTGGAGAGAAAAGAAAATAGGATGACAGCAATTTAAAATTTCTGATTTAGTAAGACAGGAAATGGAAAATACATAGTCTTTGTATGTAGCAACCATAGAGTCCTGCTGGACAGGTATATTCAGGACTTCCTGGTCCTAGCAACAGAAGTAGTTTCTGGGTTAGTCAATCTTGTATGACCTGCTACTTTCTAGATGAATTTCGTTTATCAGTTTCCCTCTACTAGTTTGAGTCTACATATGGGTAAACCTTCTTTGCTCATTTTATCAGTGCCTACACTCAAGGGTGAGTACTGTGAAAGGTGAAAGTAAATTAAAAAGGGCTCCAAAAGAATGAAAAGTCATTCCATTATCTGCAATATCCATAAATGAGGACCATCCCAGGAAATCCAGGCATGTGGTCTTCCTAGCTGGGGAGATGCTCTACTTGGAGTCTTTTTTTTTTTCTTTTAATTGCTGTGAGTGCAGGGACCCAGGAATTACTTTAAGCACAGCTGTAGCCAGCCAAATGTGAGACACATTGGCTAAAGTCCATCTCTAGTTGCAGGGGAGGTTGGGAAATTGCATAAAACTAAAAAAGGGAAGGAGAGGAGTGGTTTGAAAGGTTGTTGTATGAGTGTACTTATAGCGTCTGCCACCAACAACCTCTTTAGCTTCTCAGCATGTATATATGACTTTTGGGCAGTACTGTTTCCTGGAGAATTTACTAGGCTTCCAGGAGACGGGCTCTAAGACAATTTTATGAGCAAGTAACCACGTAAGCCTGGACAATTTTGTCTCTTATCTCTTGGCTCCTCTGTTCTGATCAATTCATCTCCCTTAACCTAATGGCTGCAGCCTCAGTTCCTGAAAAATAATATGCCAGGGTGAGAATGCAACACCTTTAATTTGGTTTTTGCCACTAAGCTACCATTCATTTTGACTCGAAGACCTCTTAAAGGATGGTGCTGGAAAAGCCCTAGGGCAACAATTTTATCTATTTCTGAAGTTGCACTTAGAAGCCTCTGCTTGTACAGGTACCTTTTTGTGTTCAGAATCAGCTGGCTTTTCTCAACCCTGCAGAGTTCCAAATTATGATATTCTCAGTCAATTTATATTGCAGGACACTAGCACATGACCCTCTTTTGAACATGGCTGCTCTCCTTTGCATCTCTACCTATAAACTGTCTACATTCAGTTTGAATGTATCTCTGTGTATGGTAGTATATTCTTGAAAGGGGGAAACATTTGATAATCACTTGCCAACATTCTGAATTTTATTTCCCACCATTCCCACTAATAAAAAAGCTTCAGGTGGCATGGTGGTCAAAGTTTATAGTGAGCAAGATTTGACCAGCTGTTTTGCAATTGCGTATCAAAATGTATCGGCTTTCTAGCCCGAGGTGATTAAATCTTCACTCTCTGTGCCAGCATCTCCTCCACAGAGTCAGTTCTATGTTTTTAGACTCTGTTACTTGCCACTCCCTTCATGCTTTAAAAATTATTATGTTAGTGAGTATTCTTAGTTGCAAACAACACAGTCCACTTTGGTTAGTTTAGGCTGAGAGATTATTTGTAGACTACTAGGTCACTCAAGAATGACTGTAGAGGTTAAAGTACTAGCTTCTGAAGCTACTGTGTGGGAACTGGGTCAAATTATGTGGTGACATTTCTTTGGGGAAAACACCGATCAATACTTTTGCCCCTCGGGACTAAATAGTACTGTGAAACCCTGTATCACAGTACTACATAGCATCCACTGTTGGGGGAAAAAAAAAGCAGTTCCCATGATATGGGCACTGTACACTGTACCACTTTGAGTTTACACCTTGCTTGAATGCAGGGTAAATACCTGGAACATAGCTACAAAGGAATCCAGGAGTGTGAGTTATCTAACTTCAGTCTTCAGAAGATGAGCAATACAAGGAGGGATCTAGTCAAAATGAAAGCAGAATGCTCGAGAGGCTGGGCATCCATACATATGCTTCTCCACCACAGAATCATAAACTGAAATCTCCAGTTTCAAACCCATCACAACACCCTTACGTAATCTTCAACATTTGAAACAGCAGCCTCACTCTTACCTTTGCTCTGTGAAGTAAAACTGTACGTTTCTGACAGTTTAAATGTGAAACATAATGACAAACTTAATATTCCTCAAAAAAAGCTGTTTGGAAGAGAAAAAATGTAAGAGCTGGCCAGTCTTTACGGGGAAAAAGTAGAACCAATGTTAGTTGCGACAAATATTAGTAATGTGACAGGTTAATAAGAAATAATTAGGGTTCAGGGCCTAGAGAAATGCTCTGTGCTATTGTTGCAACTCTTCTGTAAATCTAAAATTATTCTAAAATAAAGTTCATTTAATTAAAAAAATGAAAAAAACAGTCAACCAGAAATGCACAGAGACTCAAACTCCCAAGACAAATTGCAAGTACACTTATACAAGGAACATCAGTGGTCATTTATAGTTGTCCTTCATCTATTGGTATCCCATTTATTTTGAACAGAAATTTGGAAAGAAAGATAATATTGTCTCTCCCTCCTTTTTCTATATCATGTATATGTATTATGTAGAAAGACACATGCATATGTGTGTATGTTTACCCATATAGTTACTACTATTTTGTATGGATTGCTATTTGTATGCATATTTAACCACTTAATACACCTTTACCTTGCTTTTATAGCAAAAACTAGAAGCTCAAAAAAATTTGCCTCAAAATGAGATGGATATTTTTTCTTGTGAAGGAATAGATTCTAGAAATGTTTACCAATCTTTATTATCTAGAGCTTGCTATTTATTGTGCCTGCTATTTGCAGGTAAAAAATGCATTAGAACTCTGTCTTCCAGGGCTTACATAAACTCTGATGATTTATTTATCAAAAAATGACAAAAAGGGACATCTTTCTGCATTTGCAATGTATTGAGAGTTAAGTTTAAGATGATAACTGTATCTTTTGCTACTCTAAAATGCCTTCTATCTTTTTCTAAGATAAGAATGAAATAAACTAGTAGTTGTGTCTTTGTTTCTACTTAGACTTTTCTTCTTTTTGATAGCAAAGAACTTAGAATGTTAGCCACTTTTAATATAAATTTTGGGTAAATTACCAAAAGTGTTATCATCCAAATATGCTTGCTACAATAATTTCAGGTGTGGGTTCATAGTTATCTTGGGAATTCTGAGTCAATGGGAGACAGCTGTGCTCTTACTATTCCAACTGCTCTCCATGGTTGATAGTGAGCTTTGTTAGCTGCTCCAGACACAATGTCATGGATTAATTCTTCCTTTCTCCCCACAATTTCTACCTCATTTTACTAATAAAATAGCTCAAACTTAGATATTTTTATGAATATATTTCTAAGAATGACAAAATTATTTTTTCTTCAAATGTAAAAGGGATTTTATTTTGGTGAAACTTTACAGACTTTAGTGAATATTTGTTGAAAGATACATGCCAGAAATTGTCAATAATAGATATATTAAACATAGGCTCTAACTTCAAAAAGAACGTGGAACTTGTGGAATAATGGCGTCTTATAGCTAATATGGATGAAACATTGCCTGGCACTGTGCTAACTGCTATAAGGTATTATCTACCATTTCCCACAAGAATTTTCTAAGACAAGTGTTATTACCCCATGTTATTTATAGATAAAGTAACTGAGATTTATAGAAGTTAAGTTAGGTAGACATAGTAGTTCTCAACCCTGTCAGACCCAGTGAATCACTTTTATGTAAAATAATTCATAATGACCTATTTTATGCTGAAACAAAGTAACGCATGACTTAACCTATCTATAGATGTAATTTGAAAAATCAGTATAATGTTCCAACTTAAAATGAAGGAGAACTAAAAGTATTCTAATATGTATTTTAACGTGTAAGGGCTTGGATACAACTACCCTAGAATACATAGTAGACACTGGCTTTCACTGTTGATAGAATTAAGATGAATGTGACCATTTCAAATGCACACTGATACAAATACTATAAATACTACAGTTCAAATATTATAGTTCAAATACTTTGTGTAGTTTCGACACAGGTGATGTAATTTTTCAAAATGGAAAGGAAGCCTTGGTGAAGTTCTTAACAGCAACAACAAAACCTTCTTTGATTAGTGATTGACATGCTAGTTCCTTTCCAGGACATTTCAGTGTCTAGTAAATCATGCAAAAGACATGGTGTTTCTACCTAAAAGAATTACATCCTGAGCTAAGGTAATCATCAATGAGTTAAGAAATTTCCTTAATGCCTGATGGGTCATTTTAAATCATGCACACTGTCCTGTACATGGTGGGGTATCTAAATCTCTAGCCTATTCCACTGAATGCCAGTAACGTCCGTGAATGTTCGTGAAAACCAAAAATGTCCCAGAAATTAGTAAAATGCTCTGTGTTGAAAACTCCTATGTTAAGTAGAAACAGTGGTGCTACAATTCGTATATAGGCCCATCAGATTCAAATATTATTCTTGTATGTGCTGTATTATTTTGCCTTATAAGTTAATGAAAGAGACATTATACTCAGGAATTCTCAAATACTTTTTGCACCATGAACCTGTTGGGAAGTCTAGTGAAAACCATAGATGTCTTTTCAAAATGTACTTTTTCATATAAAAATAAAATTCATAGAATTAAATCAATTATATTGAAACACAGTTTTAGTTTAATGATAGGTACAAATAATATTTTAAGGTTCATAACACTTAGAATGTTATATGTAAGTATCTGTGGTTGTATTGATGACAAAAATGCTGCTGTGGTTTGTTGCCTATATTCATAATTGAAAATATAAAGATGATCTCTTCCTCTCTCTATATATTATAAAATATGTTTTATACATATATCTATATTAATTATAGATAATATATAGATTATATATAGAGATAGATATCTATATCTATCTATATAGATTATATAGATAATGCATATATAATATGTATATTCTCCTTATATGTGTGTGTGTATATACATATATAATATATGTATTTTAATCCAAGTTCAAGAATGCTCAGAACTCATCCATGAACCCTGAGATAAAGCACCTGTGCTAGAGGAAATCATGTACAGGATACACAGAAAGCAAAGAGTTGATTGCAACTAAATGGTTCAATAAGTTGCAGGAAAAGTGATATACATCAGTTTACTTGCAGATTCCTAAAGATTGATTGGTTAACAGGCAAAGAAGCCTAGGGAAGAGTGTATACAAAAACCACAGTGTCAGAAAAGACCATAATATGTGTAGGCAATACTAAGTAGCTTGCCTCAACAAAAGAGGGTGAAGAAAACCTGGAAATTAACGATGGACTAGAATGCACAGTTTGTTCTTTAAATCAGAAGGATTTTGCTCTAATTCTACTTGATTTAATAATATCTTATGTGCTTACTGGGATTTTTAGTTTTTCAAGTCCTTCAGAAAACTATTATTGTCATTTTGTAGTCTGTGAAGTCCACATTCTCAACACCCATTGCAATAAAATTAGCTTTATTTTTATGGTGAAGAATTTTCCAAGCATGGATATTTTTATCAAGATAACTATTGTCAATAGGAAATATGGCATAAGTGAAAATATCACAAGCAAAGATTTCTTACCCATATTTGATTATATCTAAATCAGTTAAAGGAAATAGGATGGAATGGGATTTGATTTTCCCTTATTAACATTATTTAGCTTTTCTTCAGTATAGTTGCATTATGTGCCTGCAACATCCCATGGATAGATGAAATGGGTTATCTCATTTATTATGTAGTATATTATGCCTTTCTAGAATAGATAGAAAATAAAGTACTAACATCAAATGGAATTTAGAGCAGTTTTCAATTGTTGTTAACTTATCCACATTTATTTTCAGTGAGTGTCATAACTCCACAGATCGAATCAAAGTCAGAGTATGGGATGAAGATGATGATATTAAATCCAGAGTCAAGCAACATTTCAAAAAGGAGTCAGATGATTTTCTGGGACAAACAATTGTAGAAGTGAGGACCTTGAGTGGAGAAATGGATGTCTGGTACAACTTAGGTGATTTTTTTTTTTATCTACTTGAAAACGAGTTAAATAAAACCCCTGAATACCTGTGGCATGTATTACATTCCCATATAAGTAAAAATAACCAATGCCTTTCCAGGACATTCTGTTGAACTTTAGATGATTCATTTCATTGACAAGAAAAGGCTATTCTTTTTTCAATACTGTTGAAAGACTTTGGTAAATTTGAGGTGAAAGGAGAAATCCCTTTCCAAGAACTACCTAGATGTCTTTTAGAGAAAAATGTTATTGCATTCTTAATTTTTAATGTATGAAATACAGCTTCACAAACCCTTGCCAAATACATGCGAAACAAATAACCTATTATTTAATGCTATTTGACTTATTTCCTTCTTGTCCATTAATGAAATTTTGGCAATGAAGGAAAAATGTATTTTGAATTGCTTTCAAATGACGGTATAACAGTAGGCTTTAGTTGACAAAGTCAAGTAAACATGTGAACTCATGCAGACTCTCTTGATGAAGATACTGAGAAGGTGATTAATTGGAATGATTTAAAAAATTATTATGGAACCAGAAATTAAATAAGGTAAGTTTTAATTTAACTTTTACTAGAATAAAATAATAACATAGAATTTTCTGTGGTGATTTAATAGTAGTAAAATATATGGGTCACCTCAGTTTCTGCAAAGGCACGATCTGAAGATGTCTTAATCATATCCTATAAAGTGTTTTAATTAAACTTTTGAGGGCTGGCTGGATATGAATTAAAGAGTTGACACATTCCTTGGGTTACAAAGAGTTACCACTTAGGATACCAACATATGTTAACAAATTAAAAAGTGCTTTTGACTTTAAAAAAATCTGCATACTTTTAGTAATGAAATAATTGACAAATGGAGGTCACATTGAATTCACAAAACTCTAGATTATAGAATAATTCAATGAAAGAGATATTTAATTTATCTGAACACAGATGATTCAAGTTAAACTAAGAACTAATTATTAAAACTATCTTAAGAAATCTTCCTTAAAGAAGATTTGTACTCTTATGTATTGGAGTAGAATTTTTACCTCTGCTATAATGAGCCACCCCCCAAAGCTTGTTTTAACTATTAAATGACTTCGTATATGAAAATAGAATTACTAACTGAGGGTAAATTTCAGGCCATTAACTCTGTGGAACATTCACAAATTATTTCTTTATGAAAGAGGTTTATCTTTATATGGACTTCTTTTCTGTAATACGTTAACATATTCTTGGGTCGAGGCAGTAAAGTTGTAATTCAGAACAGAAATTTCTCCAATGTATTCTTTTAACAAAACATATATGAGTACCTGGCACAGTGGCTCACACCTGTAATCCCAACATTTTGGGAGGTGGAGGAGGGAGGATTGCTTAAGGCCAGGAGTTTGAGTTCAGACTGGACAACATAGTGAGACCCATCTCTACCAAAAATTTAAAAAATATTAGCCAAGCATGGTGCCATGTGCCTGTAGTCCCAGCTACTCTGGAGGCTGAGGCAGGAGGATCACTCGAATCCAGGACACTGAGGCTGCAGTGGACTAAAAGATTATGCCACTGCATCCCAGCCTGGGTCACAGAGTGAGACCTTGTAAAAAAAAAATAAATACATAAGAAGAAGAACAAAAAGAAAAACCATGTACCAGACTATATTCAGAACTTGCTGAGGAATTTGAATATGCTGCTATTAGTAAAATCAGCCATCTAGCTCTTATGCTGAAACTGTCCTTCAGTCTATGAGATGAAAATGTGATGAAACGCAATATTGTAAGTCTTTACCTACCCACCCTCAGTAGTTTTTTGCCCTCATTGCTGATGTTTAACCTTTGAGAGTGTGTACAGGTTTTACCTTTTTTAGCTTTGTGTAAAATCCCTAAATACATTCTATCCAAACAAATAACCTATTTCTATTCTTGATACAACCCTCCTTATCACTTAAAATTCATTCCACTACACAAAGGAAGTTTTGACTGAAAGCCTTTGGTGTCCAAGCAGAGCCTGCTTCCCAAAGATCCTTAGGGATGATGACAGTTAAAAATCAAAGAACCAATAAAGCTCCCCTGGATTTCTGGAAAGAGGTGTGTGACCAAAAAAGACCCTAGGTCTTGCATTTCTCTTGGCCCCAGCAGAGAATTTTTATTTTTATTTATTTATTTATTTTTGAGACGGAGTCTCGCTCTATCCCCCAGGCTGGAGGGCAGTGTCGCGATCTTGGCTCACTGCAAGCTCCGCCTCCCAGGTTCACACCATTCTGCTGCCTCAGCCTCCCGAGTAGCTGGGACTACAGGCGCCTGCAACCACGGCCGGCTAATTTTTTTTTTTTTTTATTTTTTTTTATTTTTTAGTGGAGACGGGGTTTCACCGTGTTAGCCAGAATGGTCTCGATCTCCTGACCTCGTGATCCTCCCGCCTCGGCCTCCCAAAATGCTGGGATTACAGGCGTGAGCCATCGCGCCGGGCCCAGCAGAGAATTTTAATATTTCTTGAGAATCAACTCCCTCTCAACCAGTAGGAAAATCGCTTATGATCCTGGCACTTAGAAGGGAAGAATCTTTGCAACACAAATGACGATTAAAGAATAACAGTGAAAAGTCAGCAGACATTCCACAAGAGGGAAGTCATCTTCATGGTTTAACTGTACCTTATACGGCTAAAGATACAGCTATGTTTAGAAAGAGGGCCAATTTAAAGTCCTCCGCACTGACTTTGTGTCACTTACCTAAATCCTATTTTCATTTGTGAAATGGGTCAGATTGCCTCTGTGTTTTGTATCTGAAATGGGTCTTGAACTTAGGACCCTCCACTACAATCACAGCCTAGATTATGCCTCTATTTATCGCAAAGCTATTGCTCAGTTTATACCGAACACGTACGCACGCACATTTTATGGCTAAATTGACTATATGTTGTTTCCATTCAAATAAACAGTCCAGCACTTATAAGTTAGCCTAGGGTATAGACTGTAGGTCTTTATAAATCACTGACAATGAAAACTATTAACATTTTGTTATAAACCAGAACTTTGGCTCATCTTTTCAAGTACAAAGAGAAGAAACCAAGTAGTGACAGCTTTCAGATAAAATAATTTCCTATTTATACACCGTTTTTCTTGATTTTGATTGCCAAATAACTTATTTAATTTCATTGTATAAACTGATCAAATACACAGAAATATATGAGAATTGCAGGGTCTTCTGATTAGTTTTTTTATTTGGAATATCTGTAAGACGCTTGATAATTACAATACCACAATAGGCAAATATTTTTAATTGTATTTAGGGGAATCATAGTTACTTTTTTTGCATTTTTAAATAGAGACAGGGTCTCACTCTGTTAGACAAGGTGAAGTGCCCTGGTGTGATCATAGCTTAGTATAACCTCAAACTCCTGAGTTCAAGAGATCCTCCTGCCTCAGCCTCCTAATTAGCTAAGACTGCAGGCAAGCACCAACACACCTGCCTAATTAAAAAAAAAAAATGTAGAGACTAGATCTTGCTATGTTGCCTAGGCTGGTCTCAAACTCCTAGCATTAAGTGGTCCTCCCACCTTGGCTTCCCAAAACACTGAGATTATAGGCAAGAGCTACCACATATGGCCTCATCATGGTTACTTAATAAGCAGCTCTGACTCAGAAAAATAGCTTTTAGCTACTTAAGCCGTTTTTTTGTTTTTTTGTTTTTTAGCTTTTGAGAGGTCGTATGAGAAAAACATTATTGTCAGACATGACTGACCAATTGCCTTTTTGCTTTATCAGAGAAAAGGACAGATAAGTCAGCTGTATCTGGGGCCATACGATTGAAAATCAATGTGGAGATAAAAGGAGAAGAGAAGGTTGCTCCATATCATATTCAATATACATGTTTACATGAGGTAAATAAATGGAATTTTACTAATACAAAATATAAGAAATGTTCTTGATTATGGATTATAAAACAGAATATTTGGTTTAAAAATCATTGAATTTGTAGAGTGGTTCCTGGAGTTCTGACTCTATACTACAGCAGGTGATATACTAAGATATCATAAATTCTATGTGTTGTATTACCCCTGACGAACTTGTCATCTAATGAGAGTTTAGAACAAGCCTGTGAGGCAGGTGTGAATAGGCAATAAGATGATAATGCATAAGTAGATACAAAAAAATTAATGTTCTTCCAAAGAGGAAGAAGAGTGTTAAAAATATTGATTGAAGAAATGAGTCATGCCACATATTTTGGAAGCATTAAATATGTAGTAGTTTGGTATTGCAGGAGAGGATCAAATCGTAATTGTGTTTGAGAACTCCGAGTTAGAGTTCAGATTTTATTGAAGATTTAATTAGGACTCTATTTATAACTAGAAACATAAAAATGTGGTGCTGTTTTGATGGCTTTTGGGAGCCAATGTAATAAGCAGTTAATTTTTCTTCCTGTTTCTGAGTACAACAAGCAGTTTCATACATACTGCACAGTCCTCCGTGTTAACCTCTCTTTCTACAAACATGTGAGTATGGAGAAAATGAAGATGTGGTTACTCACCCAAAAAGTAGGGCCTAGTTGGCTTGGAGAGAGGTAAACACCACCCAACATCAATCAAAAGCACAGTTTCACCAGTTCCCTTTTGTGTCTCAGTAGAGAAGCACAGACAAATCATCTTGGGAGTCTATCAAATGTTTGTCGCTGAGAGCTTAGTTAGAGGTGTCACGGGAGACTTTCTCTGATGCAAATGATACTTGTCTCATATCAAAAAATAGGTGAAGCTGAGGAATGTACTCTTCTTCATGTGTTTCAAAGTAACAAAGTACCTTCCTCAGAAAAAGACAACTGAAAGATAGTTCTACTTTTGTGCATATTATTTTTTCTACATATATTCATGAAAATTTATACATGTAAATATTTATACCCCATTTTACTAAGAAAGAAATGAGGAACCGTGTTTAAATCGTGTGTATATTACACACGATTTAGGTATAGGACCTAGGCTTAATTTCATAATCACAGTTTTGTGGTTAGTGATATTATTCCCTCAAGAGAGATGGTTCATTTTTCAGACCAATAAAAAGAAATCCCTTGAACTGGCATGATGGAGAATTCGGGCCTTAAAGTGTGGGCAGAGAAGATCTGCAGTCAGAGAAACAGCAGTACACTTCACTTTACAAAGTCTTTTCTACTGGTCCAAGAACCAGAAAGAACTGAAATCTAAGAAAAAGTCCTTCAGTTTACCCTGGCTTTATCAAAGTAGCAGTTGCTAAACTTAGAAGCAAAAAGGAATTGAGAGTAGTAATTTTATTTCGTTACAAAATTCTCCAACATTCATTTTCAACCTCGATTCATTGCCCTGACTCTTACCATTTTGCAGCCCAAATCCTTTAGTATCATTTACACAGCTAAATTTTGCCTTAACATAGTCAAAATCAGATTATTCATCCAGGGCACTATAATTTACTCAGAATGCCTGAATGCAAAATACGCTCTATCATGTAGAAATGTTTTCAGGCAAAAACACTCACTTCCTTCTGCAAATGGTTTGGTATGTACAAAATATTTGAATCATTGATTCTGTGTAGACCCACCCAACTTTACTATCTAAAGTGCCTTAGGAAGGTACTTTATCACTTTGAACATGAATAAGGGTACATTCTTCAGCCTCATCTCATATTTTTTGATGTAAGACAAGTATCATTTGCATCAGGGAGTCACCAGTGACACCTCTAACTAACCTCTCAGCTGCAGTGTAATAGAATCTAATTCTGAGAATGGAACTTGGCGATGTATGGTTTAATAAGCCTTCCAGGTGATTCTCATATACTTTAAAGTTTGAGAACCTGTGCCTTATTTGCTGAGGAAACTAAAGCCTTGATTTTTCCTAGGTTACAAAGCCTGTTACTGTCAGAGACCTATCCAGAGCTATTATGACATCTTGTCCTAAATATTAAACTATGTCCTTCCTTCCCATATTTATATCAGCGCTTTTACCCAGGCAGAAATCAAAGCAGATTTTGCATAAAAGATGAATTGAGTTAGAATAAAAATTCAAGATATTCCTATTGCTTGCAGATGCTGATGAAACATTAGAGGCAATGACAGTGCAAGAGCATTTTACTGGAAGTTTTAGTTAAATGTTTCTGGCCTATTCTGAGGAATCACTGAACAATTAAAAACCACTTGCTTTTAGAATCTGTTCCATTACTTGACTGAAGTGAAATCTAATGGTGGAGTGAAAATCCCAGAAGTCAAAGGGGATGAAGCCTGGAAGGTTTTCTTTGATGATGCTTCCCAAGAAATAGTTGATGAATTTGCTATGCGTTATGGAATTGAATCCATTTATCAAGCTATGACGTAAGTACTACAGAACATTTACATGGTCAATATCTCTATTAAAATATAAAGAAAGAAAGGAGCGTTCATCTCACTTCTAATTCAAATGAAACTGATTAAAAAGAGGATTATATTTCACTGTGCATGTTTGATGCTGACTACTCTCTCTTACAGCTGTAAAGTATTAATGACTTGGTAATTCACTACCACCATCCTCCAATCCTTGTTCTGTCCTCCAAGTGTGGTTCCTTGACAAATAGTATCAACAGCACCTGGCAACTTAGCAATGCAAATTATCCACCCCATCCCAGACCTACTGAATCAGAAACTCTGAGGGTGGAATCCAGCAACCTATGGTTTAACAAGTCTTCCAGGTGATTCTCATATACTTTAAAGTTTGAGAGCCAGTGACTTATTCCATATCTGAGGTAACTAAAGCCCTGGTTTGTCCAAGGTCACAAAGCCTGTTAGTGAGAGAGACAGGTCCAGAGCTATTATGGTGTCTTGTTCCAAATTTTAGACTATGTCTTTCCTTCTCATATTTATATCAGTACTGCTAATTCAGTAAAACAAAGATTTATTTAGCACCCATAGAACGCAAACAGTATAAAAAATGTGATACCACAGAATTAACTTATTATAATTTCAGTGAGGATTTAGAACTGAATTTCAGTAAGGGTTTAGTAATGAACAGAAGTATTCATTACTTCCCCATAGTTTCCTTTTTGAGACCTGGTCTAATTTTATAAGTGCATATGGTTCAGATATATACCAGGTGTAATTTGTAAATTATTTATATTAGATGACTTTTTTCATATTAACAACAAGATCTCATTTTCATGTAAACTGAATAGATACTGGTCCAGATAAGAAGTCAATTTCAATCATCTTAATGATGAATGAAGACTGGGCCAAAATCAGTGTTCATTTTCTTTTGTTTTTTTTTTTTTTTTGAATGTAAGTTCTGGGGTACATGTGCAGAATGTGCATGTTTGTTACGTAGGTATACATGCGCCATGGTGGTTTGCTGCACCCATCAACCCATCATCTACATTAGGTATTTCTCCTAATGCTATCCCTCCCTTAGCCGTCTACGCCCCAACAGGCCCCGGTGTGTGATGTTCCCCGCCCTGTGTCCATGTGTTCTCATTGTTCAGCTCTCACTTTTGAGTGAGAACATGCAGTGTTTGGTTTTCTGTTCTTGTGTTAGTTTGCTGAGAATGACGGTTTCCAGCTTCAACAATGTCCCTGCAAAGGACATGAACTCATCCTTTTTTATAGCTGCATAGTATTCCATGGTGCATATGTGCCACATTTTCTTTATCCAGTTTATCATTGATGGGCATTTGGGTTGGTTCCAAGTCTTTGCTATTATGAACAGTGCTGTGATAAACATACGTGTGCATGAGTCTTTATAGTAGAATGATTTATAATCCTTTGGGTATATATCTAGTAATGGGCTTGCTGGGTCAAATGGTATTTCTAGTTCTAGATCCTTGAGGAATCACCACACTGTGTTCCACAATGGTTGAACTAATTTACACTCTCATCAACAGTGTAAAAGCATTCCTATTTCTCCACATCCTCTCCAGCATCTGTTGTTTCCTGACTTTTTAATGATCACCATTCTAACTGGCATGTGATGGTATGTGATTGTGGTTTTGATTTGCATTTCTCTAATGACCAGTGATGATGAGCTTTTTTTTCATATGTTTCTTGGCTGCCTAAAGGTCTTCTTTTGAGAAGTGTAAGTACATATCCTTTGCCCACTTTGTAATGGGGCTGTTTGTTTTTTTCTTGCAAATTTGTTTAAGTTCTTTGTAGATTCTCGATATTAGCCCTTTGTCAAATGGATAGATTGCAAAAATTTTCTCTCATTCTGTAGGTTGCCTATTCACTCTGATGATAGTTTCTTTTGCTGTGCAGAAGCTCTTTAGTTTAATTAGATCCCATTTGTCAATTTTGGCTTTTGTTGCCACTGCTTTTGCTGTTTTAGTCATGAAGTTTTTGGCCATACCTATGTCCTGAATGGAATTGTCTAGGTTTTCTTCTAGGGTTTTTATGCTTTTAGGTTTTACATTTAAGTCTTTAATCCATCTTGAGTTAATTTTTGTAAAATGTGTAAGGAAGGGATCCAGTTTCAGCTTTCTGCATATGGCTAGCCAGTTTTCCCAACACCATTTATTAAATAGGAAACCCTTTCCCCATTGCTTGTTTGTGTCAGGTTTGTCAAAGATCAGATAGTTGTAGATGTGTGGCGTTATTACTGAGGCCTCTGTTCTGTTCCATTGGTCTCTATATCTGTGTTGGTACCAGTACCATGCTGTTTGGTTTACTTAAGTCAGGTAATGTGATGTGTCCAGCTTTGTTCTTTTTGCTTAGGATTGTCTTGGCTATGCTGGCTCTTTTTTTATTCCATATGAAATTTAAAGTAGTGTTTTTCTAATTCTGTGAAGAAAGTCAGTGGTAGCTTGATGAAGCATACTTCCCAAAGTAATTGATAGATTCAATGCTATCAGTGTTTCTTTTCAAAGTTTACTGTTCATAGCCCTTAATCTCTAATCATAATTCTAGAACAACATAATGTAAGCATGAATGATAATTACTGATAGAGAAATTGTGCATGCTTTTTCAGTACATAGAATGTCCTTATGCTAAATAATAAAGATATATAGATTCTTAGATGTGAAAAAAAAATAAGAAACCTTAGAGATCACTCGATTGAACCTCCTTCTCAAATCTAGAAACTTTGTTATTGGATCCCTGACTAATGGTCATCATCCCTTGTTCATCCACATCCAGTAATAGGGAGCTCACTACTTTGGAGGGAACTTGTTTTATAATTGGTCAACCATAATAGAGTCTGTGATTTTGACATCTGTTCCATCCCATGCCAAAGGCTATGATTCAGAACACCTAGTATAAAGTTATAGCACAATTAAAATGCAAGTATGATGAACAGTCTAAGGGAAATGAATTGTTCTGCCTAAAGAAAGGTAGGTTACAAAATCAAAACAACCTGCTGCTGGATAGAATCCCATTAAAAGAAAAGATTAAGTTAAATTTATTCTAAAATATCTCTGGGAGCTGATGTTAGATTCATTCATTTCCATCTTTTCTGTGTTCTAAGAAACACAGTCATGTTAATATAGAAAAATGGTAAGTATGTATCACATAGATCGTTGGAAAGAGGAGAATTAGCCCTTCCTTATTTTATTACATTGTATAATGTAACTCTTGCCTCTCAATCTAAGTAAAAGATAAGTATTTTTCTTTTTTTTTTTTTTTCCAGTTAATTTAGAAAGCTTATTTTGCCAAGGTTGAGGACACGCTCCCATGACATGGTCTCAGGAGTTCCTGACGACATGTGCCCAAGGTGGTCGGGGCACAGCTTGGTTTTATACATTTTAGGGAGACATGAGACATTAATATATGTAAGATGTACATTGGTTCCATCCAGAAAGGCGGGGTCAACTCACAGCAAGGAGGGGGCTTCCAGGGCACAGGTAGAGGAGAGACAAATGGTTGCTTTTTTTGAGTTTCTGATAAGCCTTTAAGATAAGTATTTTTCAAAAATATTTTGAATATTTATTTGGTAGCAAGTGACCTGCAGGTATATTGGGTCTCATTGTATTTATAAATCTCAGGAAAGGCAAAACTCCTGTTCACACTAGACAACTGTCTAAGAGCAGGGGTTGGAATTTTTTTTTCTGTAAAGGGCCAGATAGTAAATATTTTGTAGTTGTACCAGTCTCTGTTACACTGCTTAGCTCTGCAGTACTAGTGCAAAGCAGCCATAGATATTAAGTAAATAAATGGAAATGGCTGTGTGCTGATAAAACTTTATTTTAAAAAACAGAAACTCGGAATTTGGTCAGGGTTTGGCATGAGGGCATGAGGGCCATAGATTCACTGGTCTAAGGAGTGAAAACAAGGCAGATAGAAATAAAGCAAAAGAATGCCTTAGGTTTTGTGATTCATTGACAATTACACTTCAGTGACAATAATGTGGTAGATTATGTGTACTTGTGGTTATACATTTGATTTAAAAATATTTTTATATATCACATGTTTCTTTTAGCACTGAATACTTATCATGACAAGCCTAACATTTTTCCCAGCTTAGCAAAACTTTAGACAGGCTTCTTTCTGCCTCTATCGCCCTGACGTCCGTTTCCTCCCAGCCCTTGCAGATTCCAAATGACCTAAACCCACAGGCCTCTGACCTCCTTTCCCTTAGAGCATTTACTTTAGAAAACTTACAATTGTAAATTCTTTCTCTGTTCCTTTGAGATGTAACTAAAAAAAAAAAAAAAAAAACCCTTACCTGATCTTGTCCCTGTTGCAGTAGCCTTAATGAAAATTCCCTTGTCTAATTAACTTTGGTGCAATTTTTGCTTTGGCAGTACAAAATTTTCCATTACTTTGCCAGAAGAAAAAAATTCTGTTGACAATCTGATCAATCCTAAGGAAATTACTACCAACATAGATACAATCTCTATTGTACCAATAAAGATTTTATGAATACCAATATTATTTATTGGTATTCATTAGTTATTAGAAATTATTGTTTTTATACAAAAATATACGTGTACTCATTTTATCTCAATCTGTTAATATAATTGTAATCTGTAATTATATCCAGGAAAGAGAATAGAATGGAACAGCATAGAGGTGCACTTCAATTCTATTCCACGACTTACAAATTGAAATTTTGAAGAGAGAAATCATATCTTTCATTACTGCTTCATAAGAAGTTCTTGATACATGATAGAAAGTCAGTACATATTTGCAATTGAGGGAATCAGAGGCAGAAGCTGTTTATCAGAATTACATTTATTTTTACCTTCTCCTAGTGTGTTTCTAGATGCCAGAGTTTTTCAGTTGCCAAAAAGAAAGTGAAAATGAAAAGTTTAATTGAGCTGATATAGGGGTCTATGTCACCATTTATGCTGTAATAAGGGTGAGAGCACACTACATTGATTGATCGTTTTTAAAAATTTGAGGAAGTTTCAGAGTACTGAGTTCTTTTTTCAGTCAAGAGTTGAAATACAGCTTTCAGAGATAGTTTCCACCATACTTTTAAAATGATGCTTTTGCAATTGAATTGTAACTTGAGCCCTAAGCTATTGCTGGCCAAGCACTAACTCAACTGAAAAAAAAACTGTTTATGAATAAATCTATCTTTTAATTTAAACCGGTTGACTAATGAATAGGTATTTTTCTGTTGTTCTGAAACCTTGCATCAGGGAACAACAACAATAAAAGTAACCGGAAAGCCAACCAACCAACCAACGAAAGAACAACAAAACCTAGAACGCAACATTTGAAGCCTGTCTCAGAAGTACTTCCTCTTAATTCTTAAAAAAACAAAATTGGAAAACTCAGCTACAAAGAAGAAATGCTGTCTTTTCTCTATAATAAGGATACTTAACCATTTTCGAAAAAGACAAAAGTCCTTAATTCTGTGGATTTTCCTAGACACTATTTGATCAAAAACAGAAATCAAATTGTACCTTCTTTTGATATTTAAATACTCTTTAGGGTTAGCCAAATCCCCGGGTAATTTCATAATCTTCCTCTTTTATTAGAGATTTCTTGGTTTCTTTTGAGCACATTCCCATTTCTTTGAAGATGGATTTGGAGAATAAATAAATAAGGGGAAGTATGTTTTAAGTCAGAATCTGGTAGTACACTACTGAATTTTTCTCTTGTGAATTTCTTTTCAGACAAAAGAGTCTGAAACTATTTTGCTGGTAAACCTGAGCATTAGGACTGAACGTCCCAGTGCTCCAAGGTACCTCCAGCTTACTATAAAGCATTCCTCTTTCCACAGAATATTTTCTGTGAGGGTACCATTTATTAGCCCTACCTGTTACATAAAAATGACCCTTTGTTCTGGAGCATGCGTCAGTAGGAGAGGGATTACAATTTTCCTGTTTGGACAAGTGATTGATCAAGGACCTGAAGAATTTGTTCCCACATGGCAAATGCAACCATCCATCTAAAATAAAAACAATTTTCTAACTAATGATAGTAAGAATGATAGGCTGTTCCCCTTCTCTAAGGAACACACCATTCCACATATTTTGCATCATGGGGTGAGGCATAGAACTTGTTTCCATCATCAATATTTTGGGAGTTCTTGATGCTTTTCATCTATATATGCAATGTGTATGTTCCTAATAGTGTTTTGACAGACTAATTGTTCACAGCTGAACACATCCGGGGAATTCTATATCAGTCATTATGGTTTAAATCATCCTCTGGAGATTATTTCTGTCAAGAAAATACATTTTCTTGAGTGTTTAATCAGTCATTTATTGTAACATGAAGGCTAAGATGTCTCACAAAGTCTGAGATTCTATTAGGCTATGGTTTTGCCTCTACAATAGCAAAGGAGAGGAAAGCATTAGGTCGGTGTTTTTTACCTTGATGTGCTTACAAAACAACCTGTAATGTACCCTGGCACTGACCATCTTTATCTAATTTATATTTAAATCAGAACTGTTTGGATACAGGTTACTTTAAAGTCACAGTCTGTTTTAACTGCTTTATCCAGGAGTCTATCTGTAAAAAAGAGTGCTGCTTAATGGAGTCATTCATTTGTTTAAGAAATATTTACTCAGTGCCTATCATGTGCCAGAAACATTTCTATGGTTACAGCAGTGAACAAGAAGTCAGTCTAGTTTCTCATGAACCCCACATTCTAGAAGATGAAATTAATTTATTCAATAGATTTTCTGAGGATGTAAGTATGAGGACTTATATAGAATGTCTTAGTCTGTGAGGCTGCTATAAAAAATACCATCAATTGAGTGGCTTATAAACAACAGAAATTTATTTCTCACAGTCCTGGATGCTAGAAGGTCCAAAATTAAGGTGCCATCAGATCTGGTGTCTGACGAGGGCCATTTCCTGGTTCATTTATGGCTGTCATTTCACTGTGTGCAAGCTTCACATGGCCAAAGGGATGGAAGCTCTCTGGGGCCTCTTTTATAAGACAACTAAAATCCCATTCATGAGGGGCTCCCCACTTATGATCTAATCACCTCTCAACAGCCTCACCACTTAATACTACAACCTTGAGTCATAGGTTTCAACATATGAGTTTTTCATGAACACAACTGTTCAGACCACAGCACAAGGCAATGGGGAAATAGCAGTAAAAGATAGCTCTTGTCTCTAGTAAGCTCCTGATTTAGGGGGAAGAGAACAAAGAGATTAAATAGTAACAAGCATGGGGGCTATAAGGGCATAGGTATAGAGGAAGCAAATCCAAGCACAGATGAGAAGTGTCAGAGGAAGCCGATGGGCAGCCTGAGGGCCCCACCCTTACTTGTCCTTCAACTTCTGTCTTCCTCTAAAATCTGTGCCTTTTATTTATTTTCCAGTCACACACCATTGCTCTTGTACTCAAAATCTCCATAACTGGGCTCTAGCAACCCATAGCATCTTTGAGAAGCTATGATGTTTTTGGTCAAAACAGAAGTGACATTTAAGTGTTTGAGTCATCTTTAGTGACGAGAATGAATAAAATTCTAACTTATCACTGATAAGTTAGAATGCTGAGCTGAATTTGGGGGAGCAAGTGTGATGAATATTGTTTTAGTGTATTTCTAACATCAGAAATGCAGATAGTCTTTCCTTTCATTTTGCATAGTATCTCTGAAATTGCTTGCAACAATCTAAGAATCATAATCTTCCTTTTGGTACTTCTTTCCAATCACCTTGTTCTTCTGTTCATTGATTATTTTTAAACTTTAGATGAAAGTCATTTCTAGTCTTTGAAAACCACAAGTTCCGTATGATTTCGGACACCTGTCCCTGAACTGGCATGTGAGTTAGAGGATTGTTTTATTTTTTTTGTTCAACAATAGCAAGTGACATTAACCCAGATGTGCTATTTGAAATACATATTAGACCAATAATATTTTGACTATTAATGGTTAATAACTTTGTAGCAGTTGCTTTAGCCAAAAACTTGCCAGTAACTATCTCATTATTTGCTTTTTAAATTTTTTTAAAAATTGATTGATAAAATTTTATGTATTTATTATATACAACATGATGTTTTGAAGTATATATACATTGTAAAATGACTAAATCTAGCTAATGAACATATATATTACTTTACATAGTTATTTGTGTCATGAGTACACTTCCACGCTGTTAGCATTTTTCAAGAATACAATGCATTGTTATTAACTATCATCACCATGTTGTACAATAGGCATTTTGAACTTATACCTCATATCCAAGTGAAAATTTTTATGCTTTAACAAATATCTCCCAGCACCCACCCTGCTAGCCAACTCCAGCTCCTGGTAACTACCATTTTACTCTCTAATTCAGTAAGTTCCTCTTTTTTTATATATTTCACATATGAATGAGATGATCATATGGTATTTTTCTTTCTGTGCCTGGCTTATTTCATTTAACATAATGTTCTCCATGTTCATCCATGTTGTTGCAAATGATAAAATTTCCTCCATTTTTATGGCTGAATACTATTCCATTGTATGTATATACATTTTCTTTATCCATTTATCTGTCAATGGACAGTTACATTGATTTCATATCTCGGCTATTGTGAGTAATGCTGCAATAAATATGGGTGTGCGGATATTTCTTGACATACTGATTTATTTTCTTTGGCTATAAGCCCAGTAGTGGAAATAATAGATTATATAATAGTTCTATTTTTAACTTTTTGAGGAAGCTTCTTACTGTTTGTCATAATTGCTGTAATAATTTACATTACCATCAACAGTGTACGAGATTCTGTTTGCTCCACCTCCTTGCCAAGGCTTGTTATCTTTTACCTTTTTTGGTAATAGCCATTCCAATAGGAGTGAGGTGATAGCTTATCGTGGTTTTAATTTGCATTTCTCTGATGATTAGTGATGTTACATATTTTTCATATACTATTGGGCATTTGTATGTCTTCTTCAGGGAAATATCTATTCAGATCCTTTGCCCATTTTTTAATCATGTTATTTGTTTTCTTGCTGTTTAATTATTTGAGTTCCTTTTATATTTTGGATATTAACGCTTTATTAAATGTATAGTTGGCAAATTTTTTCTCCCACATTGTAGGGTGGCTCCTCACTTTGTTGATTGTTTCCTTTACTGTGAAGAAGCTTTTTAGGTTAATTCAATCCCATTGTCTATTTTTGCTTTTGTTGCCTGTGCTTTTGAGGTTGTAACTAATACATCATTGCACAGACCAATGTCATGCAGTTTTTCCTCTATGTTTTCTTCTAGTAGTTTTATAGTTTTGGGTCTTACATTCAAGTCTTCAATCAATTTAGAGTTGATATTTTATATGGTGTGGGATAAGGGTGGGTCAAATTGTATTCTTCTGCATGTGGACATCCAGTTTTTTCAACATCATTATTAAAGAGATTATCCTTTTCTCATTGGCACTCCCGTTGAAAATCATTTGTCAGTAAATGTGTGGATTTATTTCTGGGCCCTCTATTCTGTTCCATTAATCTATGTGTCTATTTTTATGTCAGTACCATGTTTCATTATTTGCAGTAAGTATCATCTTTTTAGAGTTTATTACTCTAACTTTTCCCATGGAACTAAAATTCCATTTGTTGAATTCTTCTGACACTAGCACCATTTACTTGCAAAAGTAAAGTCAAATGTTTTAATGTTAATCCATTGTTTTTAATCATGTCTTTAGGGGAGAATATTAAACATTTCCAGAGATTGCAACAGTACTTTTTGACCTTTTTTTTTTGAAGATGTACTCTCTGGTTTTTGAAGAAGTGGTTTGCAGCACCTCTGAGTCAGTCATTTTTAATTATTGGTTGTACTTGTAATCCTATTTCCACCCTGAGAATAATTTAAGTAGTGTTAGAACTGTAGCTGTTAAAAGTAAATGATTTTCAATGAATATGGTTAGAAGCAAGAAAAAGTTTGCCTTGGCTGTAACTACACATAAAGAGAGAACCCATGCAAACTCAGAGGCGGACATCTTGCCAAATTGAACCTCCTATAGAAGCCCATTAGCTGAAAGCTCTGCAAAGAGCAATGATTGCCTCAGGCTGACTTCTGTGTCCAGTGCTTTCTTGCTATTTTTCCTAACCCCTGGCTGCAATAGAATCAAATGCTCATGGTGGAGAGAAGTGATGAATGCAGCCGGACACAGCCAACATGTTATTTATATTCAGAAAGGCATAGCATGTTAGAGCATGTAAGGGTTAGATCTTCTAAAAATCCTTTCATTTTGCAGATGGAAAAACTGAATCTAGAAGTGATGAAGTCACTTTTTAAGGTCACAGAAGACGGCTAGGTTTAGCATGAAGCATCTTTATGCCTTGGTACTCTTAACTCTAAATTGGCCACCCAGATTCCTTTTATCCCGCCTCATTTTATATATCTATATCTATATCTATATCTATATCTATATCTATATATATGTACATACACACACACACATGCACACACACTTTGCTGACCATTTCTTCAAGGTTTCAAAGAAATGTAGCCACTAATACTGATTCATATTTTTCCTTTTGTAAGATTTGTCTGTTTTTCTTTTTTCCTTCAACCATCCAAGAAATGTTTACTTTGATACATACTACTACCACCTTTATCACATCAATTGCCTAATCATTTACTATTTAGAGTCATGAAAAGGCAAGTTCAACATAGACTATTGTTTTGGTACTAGGAGCTACCTTCCTTAATTTAGCATGCTTTTAAGCACAGTTTCTAGAAAAGGATAGGTATTTTTACCAAACTGGGGAAAAAATTATTGTAATGACCTGAAAATTCTGTTGCTCAGTTTCAGTATTTTATTTTGCAAAATCAGTATCAAATGAGTAAGCTTTTAATCTTGGCTGTCAACCATTTGTTTAAATCCCAAGTCACTAGTTATTTTTAAGAAGTTAATTTTAATGTAAGTTCTAACAGGTGGCAACTACTCCTAAGTATTGTATCTTTAATCTTTAGGTGTATTAAAAACTGTTTAATTTAACTATAACTAAATGTATTACTCATATTTAAATTTTTGACATATTTACATTTCCTTTCAATCAAACAACAAAAGTTTTGCTGATTAATTAGCTCACAAGAAAAACACTATGGTAATGCTAAGTTGTTATTGAAACTGGTAATAAAATATCTAGTGGAAAGAAAAGTAGCATTAAGTGAAATGCTTGGTTTTTCTTATTAGCCTTTTTTGATTTTCACATATTCACCATTCTCATACCTTTATTTTGCGTTAGGAACTTATGCACCAAGATCATTTCATTAATATCTTTAAAATTCTTGATATATTTTACTAAGTAATATTAAACTGGTATCTATTTTACAGTAATTTTATTATACCATGAGGCATGTACTCCTAACTAGAAATTACTTGTCAGTAATACATTTTGAAAGAGAAAAGTCATTTTGTCAGCGATTTGTTTGACTTCTTCAACAAAATTCTTGTTCAATGATATTTTAAAACATTATAGGTTATACAATTTTGCATGATGTACTTTAAAGTTTATGTAGTTTTCTTCAAAAGGAAAATATGTACAAATAATTTAGTCAAACAAGAATAAAAAACATGTTAAATTATCTTATTAGTGCTTAAGGTTACAAAGAGACTTTTAAAATCAACAATAGGCAAAATTTGAATTAGCAAAATTTAAGATGTATATTTTACATATTTTTTTCTGGTTAGGGTAATAAAACACGTTAATGCTACATTTAAAAATATACAATGTACATTTTTTAAATAACAAAAATGTATAACGCCAACCAGAGATAACACTATGATCATATTCAGCAGTATTTCCTGCTGGGTGTTTGTTTTTGTGTTTTCATGTAGACATATACACATATCTATTTGTGTTTGGTGTGCATGTGTGTGTGTGTGTGTTGAAATAGTGAAATGTTTTTATCCTGCTTGTTTTGGCAACTTTCAGGGTTTCTTTGAATACGTGTTTGCTGACCACCTGGATGTTGTCAGCATCCACCTGTAAACTTTGAAAGACCAGCCCCTAAAAATTTTCCACTTTCTGCCATTTCTTTATTCAAATGAAGCACTCTTTTAGACTGGGGGAAAATATTTTTTAGCTTCTATTGGTGAGTTTTCTAAGTATATTTCTTTTTCTGAACAATGTAAACAACCAGTAAATTTTGTCTTGCTAAAAGCAGAGCATAAAAGATTCTACATAATCCCCAGGGTATATTGTTCCCAGGGTTCTTCCAGCCCTTTCTTCTAAGTAGCTTCACATCCCATTGCTCATTCCCTATTGTACAGGCAGTATTAGAATCTTGGGAGTTTTATGCTCTTTAATGGATATAGAGTGAGAAGGTGTGGGAAAGGAGAAACAGCTTTACTGCCTGGGGAGTCCATTAGCATGAAATAGGGAGGGATTGATAGCCTTGCTTGGCAGCAGTCTAGGCCCCAGATCTCTGATAAAGGGGGCAGACATTGGAAGGTTTCTAGAAATACCCTCCCATTCCTCTCTGTCAGGTTAGTGTTTTAGGAGTTTATATATCAGCAGTCACTGAATAGTTCTCCATCTAGCCAGCTGCCTAAAGTTAGAAAAAGTTCCTTCCAGAAACTGGGAAATCTTTGATTGGTAACCTTAATTTCCAATACGGTTGTGATTTTGCATCCTTTTTGGTTTTCTTGGAAGTTTCCATGGGATGCTTAGAGGGATTGAGTCAGGTGCAGCTAGCTACCATCCATCATGCCCCAGAAATCACCTCAGTTAATTTTAATCAAAATGTAAAATATTTCTGTCAGCTTTCTAAGAGGAATACTGGCCTAATGCTTTAAAAAAGTTAAAATGCTGCTTTCAGTTTACTGATTATAAGTAGAATATTATTCGCCTTCAAAGTAGCCATTGTTATTACAGTGTTAACTGCTAAGTACTTCCGCCACATTTTCACAACATAATTGGATGTCTTCATAAACTGTCATACTCAAGCATATGTCCTGTACACTCTAACTCTACATCAATACCTTTAGTTTATATTTGGGTTCATATTACTTTAATTTGTTTTAATTAAGTAATGTTTCTTGGTCAATTAGTATGCACAAGAAAACACTGTGCTAAATATGGGCTGGATATATATCTTAAATTTTGCTGATTCAAATTTTGCCTATTGTTGACTTTAAGAGTCTCTTTGTAACCTCAAGTACTAAGAAGAAAGATAATTCAACTTGTTTTTTTATTCTTTGATAAACTAAAAACTTATGTATATTTCTCTTTGTTTTTGTAAATAAAACTGCATAACCTTTAAAGTATATAATGTAAAACTGTATAAAGCTATAATACTTATTGGGGAATAAGTCAAACAAATCAATAACACAATGCTTTTTTTTCTTTCAAAAGTTATCAAAGCATAAACCAAACACATTCCAGAAGGAACAGATACGTATACAAGTAATACACAATATTGAAGAAAGAGGGCCAAAGTAAATAAAATCATTATGTCAAAGATATATCTGTAGTCCCATGTTCATTGCAGCATTAGTCACAATAACTAAGACATGGAATCAACCTAAGTGTTAGTCAATGGGTGAATGTATTGAGAAAATGTACTATGTACTCACAATGGAATACTTTTAGCCTTAAAAAAAAGAATGAAATCTTGTCATTTGCAACAAGATGGTTAAACCCTGGGAATATTATGGTTAAGGGAAATAAGGCAGGCACAGAAAGACAAATACTGCATAATCTCACTTATATGTGGCATCAAAAAAAAAAAACAAAACAAAACTGGAATTCACGGAAATAAAGAGCGGAATGGTGATTACCAGGGTCTTAGGGAAAGGAGGCGGATTGTGGAGCTATTGGTCAAGGAATACAAAATTTTAGTTAGATGGGAGGAATAAATTCCAGAAATTCATTTTACAACATGGTGACTATAGTTAATAACAATGTGTTGTATTCTTGAAAAGAGCAAAGCGAATAGATTTTATGTTTTCTCACCACAAAAAAAGATAAGTATGGGAGGTAGTGCAAATGTTAATTAGCTTAATTCAGCCATTCCATATTGTATACATATTTCAAACCAACATATTGTACATGATAAACATGTAATTTTTATTTGTCAATTAAAAATAAAGAATTTTTTTTATAAAGAGAGTGAGGAGGATAAATTAAGAGAAGCTATACCATGGTGGATGGTTAAGAAGGAGTCTCTAAAGATACACTGCCTGAATTCCAGTCTTTGAGAGAGAACCTTACCTGCTCTGTGACTTTAAAGAAAAAAAGAATTAGAAAAGGAAAGAAATGTTTAATTATGACAAATACAGAGAGGACATTAGACTTCAGAAACATTGGCAAAACAAAAACAATTAAGTATTTAAAGACTAAGTTGGAATTACTAAGGTTACCTAGTTTACTTGGTGTTTTCATGCTGTTCATGATAGGAACAGCAGCTTTCCATCTTGATTTTATATTTTCAGAGATCATTCTAAATCTTCAGTTATAACATTGTCAAAGTCAGGCTGAAAATTGTTTTGTTAGGAAGTTTGGGTACTACAGAAAAATTCAAGGTTTTATATCTTAGAGATCAGAAGCAGACAGTAATTCTGTGATATTTGGATTATCTCCAGGTACAAAGTATTTTTTTTTCCTTCTGACTGTGGTATGTGAAGTGGTCGTTCTTAATGAAAGCATGGCAGGAGTGTCCATTTTCACTTCTACACTTTCTAAATTGTTTTTCTGCTTCCACTGCCGACTCATTTGAATCCATCTTTATACCACTTCAGAGTCATCTTTTCAAATTAATCTGATAATGCTAGCTCTTTCTGCAGAAATCTCAGGTAACTTCATGTAGTTCACAAGAGAAAATCAAAACTCCTTGGCTAGATATTGTACCAATCAAGGTTTGGCCTTGACCTACTTTACCTTGGTCATCCCCTGGTACCTCTTCACTTTCCATCTTATTTCCTCTTAGTGCAAACTCCTGTCACTCTATTAACATTGATCTTGCTAAGGTCATGATGATGTTTATTTGTCAAGTCAAATAACTTCTTTTCTGTCCTATTTTATAAGACTCTTACTGCACTTAACAGTATCAATCATCCTTTTATCAAGATTATCCTGATTCCAGTTTCCTGGGTTTACTTTTACCTATCTAGTATTTATTTAGTCTCAATTATAGAATTTACTTTTTTTCTTCTTGTATAATTTCCTTTCATATGGCTATTTCCCAGGTGACATTCTCTAACATTTCTTCATTTATTGTACATATTTTCCCTAGGTAATCTTATCCTTTCTCATGGTTTTTGATAATTCATGATGATGATCCCAAATCTAGGTGTTTAGTCCATGTCTCCAAAAACCAGTAACATTCCTACATGGAAGCTCTATGAGCACCTTAAGCTCATAGTTGACTAGATACATTATCCCCACCTTCAATTTTTTTCAATTTTTAGTTCCCAGCTCACTTGGCAGAAGAACCATTCACGTAGTCACTCAAACTAGAACCTTGAAACTTAACCTTTTCTCTTCCCCATCCTGCTCTCCTTATGAATTCTAAGTCCTGACAGTTATTCCTCTCTGAATATTTCTCAAATCCATTTCCTCCTCATCATCTACACACAACTACTCTAGTTCAGACATCCATCGTCTCTTCTCTTCATAGCCTCCTAATTGGACTCTTTACTTTCACCTTCCTTAAACTCATCCTCCTACATGCTCCTTCCATCAAATTAACCTATTTAAAATCCAGATCTGATTATTTCACTTCCTAAGACATGTTGAAGAACTAGAGTTCCTTGCTAATACTTTTTAACTTATATTTACTCTAAGATTTTGAACTTTCTCCAAAAATGTTTTTTGATGCATAGAATAGATCCAACTTACCTAACATGTTACATAAGACTCTCTGTAAACCCCTCAGACTTATCTTTGGCCATACCAATCCTAATTGTTCTCCTGGAAATTTGTGCTCTGTTAACCTAATATTGCTGGAGTTCACTTTACACAATATTTTCTTTCTTTCCATAGTGCCTTGATTTGTACTTTTCCATTCCTCTGGAATACATTCTTTATCCATCAATGATATCAAACTCTATGCCACGCTTGGCTATCTCTTAGTCATTCATTGACTGTTAGCCCAGCCTCATCTCAAGACATCTCCCCTGACCCTCCTCACCAGGCTGTGATATACACATTCTAACTGAGTGTCTTCATAGCACTCTTCTATGCCTTTTTCATAATTTTTGCATAACTGTACAAAATTTATTACATGACCGATTCCCCCAGCAGTCTATAAGCAGATTCATTACTGCATATCCAAAGCTAATATAGCATCTGCCATGTAAGTGTGCTCAGTAAATATTTGTTGGACCAACTTGTAGAGAAGCTAAGCTCTTCACTCTTTCATGATCATTACCTCAACTCTCATTCTGTAGTCCTTGTGTTTCCTTCTGACTTCTCCTCTCTTCACCGCTATGGGATTCAATTCGGCCTTTGGAGGATTGCCCTGCACCTCCAAGCCTGCTCCTCCATCCTATGGCCCACCCAAACCTTTTGGCTGCCTCTATGATTGCACTTTCTGCTGTACAACAAAATTAGGATTCGAGGTATGTGCTTCTCTTTTAAGAGTATGCATTTTATTAGATGAAGACTATGTTTTAATCAACTCCACATCCTTACCATTAAGAAGAGTACCAGGAATACAGTAAGTACATAACCAGTGAAGAAAGAGTACTCTGACCAGATGGCTTGAATAGGAAAAAAATGGTTAAATACTATAAAACTCTTAGAATAAATTATAATACTAATTCTAATCAATTTTCATAGATGAATGTATTATAATTACTATTTGACTATACATTGAAGTTATTTTTAAAAGAGAAGCTTAAAGTGTGAATGTAAGTTGGACATTACTTTTTTCTAACTTTTCTGTGAATAACATATGTTAGCACTAATGATAAACGTGTGGTGAAGATTGTATTAAACTATATAACTCAAGACTACACTTATTTACATGACGTTTCCTGAATTATTCAAATTTTCACATATAACCTATGAATTATTTATTAACCTCTCATTTTGATCATGAAACACTGCTCTGGCATTCAAAAACCACAGTTTCTTAGGGTATTTTTATCATCAAGATATTTGCTTAACCATCTCAAAGTATAAAATAGGCAAAGGGTGGTTTTTGATACTTCTAATCTTCCCATATTGCATTTGTATTTCCCTCAGATGACTTTTAAGTAGTGAGCAATGTTCAATAATTGTGTCATTTACTTTCAAATTTATTTAGTTTATTTTAAACTGACAGATAAAATTATACATATTTATCATGTACAATATGATGCCTTGAGGCACATATACTCTGTGGTATGATTAAATCTAGCTGATTAACGTATACATCATCTCACATAGTTATCATTTTTGTGGGAGAACTTTTAACATCCGTTCTCCTAGCGTTTTTCACAAATACAATATATCATCATTAACTATAGTCACCATTCTGTAAAATAGATCTTTAGGACTTATCCCCCCATTTAATAAAATGTTATATCCTTTGACCAGGATCTTCCCAACCCTGCACCCCCTAACTGCTCCAACCTCTAGTAACTACCTTTCAACTCTCTACTTCTCTGACTTCAACCTTTCAGACTGTACATATGAGTGAGATCATGCTGTATTTGTCTTTCTGTGTCTGGCTTATTTCACATAATGTCCTCCAGGTTCATCCATGTTGTTGCAAATGGCAGGATTTCCTTCTTTTTATGACTGAACAGTATTCTCTGATGTATATAACCATATTTTCTTTATCCATTCATCTACTGATAGATACTTAGGTTGATTCTATTCCTTGGCTGTTGTGCTGCAATACACATGGGAGTGCAGATATCTCTTTGACGTGCTGATTTCGTCTTATTTGTAGATATATCCATTAATGGGAATGATGAATCATATGATTGTCCTATTTTTTAGTTTTTTGAAGAACCACCATACTATTTCCCTTAATGGCTGTACTAATTTACATTCCCACCAACAGTATACAGGGTTCCCTTTTCTCCACATCCTTGCAAAACACTTCTTACCTCTTATCTTTTGGGTAATAGCCATTCTAATAGGAGTGAGGTAATATCTGATGTGGTCTTAATCGGCATTTCCCTGATGATTGGTGATGTTGAACTTTTTTTATATATACCTTTCAGCCTTTTCTGTGTCTTCTTTTGAAAACTGCCTATGTGGGTCTTTTGCCCATTTTTACTCGGATTATTTGTTTTCTTGCTACTGAGTTATTCAAGGTTCTTATATGGTTTGGGTATTAACACCTTATCAGATGTACAGTTGACATTTTGTTACAGTTGATTACAGTTGACAGTTGATATTTTCTCTCATCCTGCAGGTTATCTCTTCACTCTCTTGAGTTTTTCCTTTGCTGTGCAGAAACTTTTTAATTTGATGTGCTCTTGTTTATCTGGTTTTGCTTCTTTTGCCTGTGCTTTTGAGGTCATATCAAAAAAATAATTATGTCATTTTTTACATAAATCTTTTAGTTTCACTTATAAAAATCATCCTGTGAATGCCTTAAGTAAGTTATTCCTGTGTCGCTCTACTATTTATGCTTGAAGTAACCACTAAGCTGCTGTTGCTTCCTTAACCAAGCACCAAAAATCTCAAGGTGGCAGCTAAAAAAGTAAAGCCAAGTAATATGGCTGCTTTATGAGAGCACCAATCCTTTCTAAAACCAAGAACAAGATTACTCAGCCTGATGACCTCCAGTATCCCTCTAAAAAGACAATGCAGGGTCTGGGTAATAACCCCCTTGTTTTTGAGTGTCCTAACAATTTATTTTCAAAATTGACTATGGCATTTCTATATCTCTTCTTCCCCCTAGTTCTTTTATTGTCACCTACACCATTTTAGGCATTACATTTTCCACAACTTTTGACCTGTGATTTTAGTCTGACAAATGTAATTACTTGTGAATTGTTGAAAAAAAAAAAAAAGAAATGTGATAGCATAGCTCTAAGAATTTTTAATTTCTATTTTTAACTAATATTTTTTGTTAAATAAATAATATTGTTTGTGGATTCTTAATACATATTAATTATAATCAATTCAGTGTATAATAAAGTCATAACACTTATCATTTCCTTAAAGAAGCAGTCATTAATAATCGAAATCCAGGGTTAATTTGCACAAATCATGGAACTCACATAGCATAAATTTTTATTCGTGATTCTTAAAGATGCACCTTTAAAGATTTAACCTTTTTTGTTAATCAGTATTATGACAAAGTAGGTAGCAAGGTGCCTGGTTAAGATATAAGAAAAGCCACAGTTTTCAGGACCATCATTTATTTTTTGTGAGTGCCACTCAGGGCAGCTATTTATGTATGTGTTCAATAATACAAAATTCAGAAATGTCTAGATGCTTTGGTGGCATAGTAAGATATGAGAGCAAAATAGGATCACATTATATAGTGAAATTTTCTTTCCTCCATGTATATTTTATCTTTCACTTTTATCATAAGCTGTGCTTTCCATTTTCAAGTCTTTTGTTGTAGTTCAAATGAAAAAGGTTTCCTTGAGAGAAGTAACAAACTTGGACCCTTGATGCTTCTGATGGGTATAAATGATACCATTATTCAAGGTTTAAAAGAAATGATCTTTAAGCATAAAGCTGGCATTATTCAATCTGTTCTCACTATTCATCTGTTTGCCTAATTAAATCTTGTCTGTAACAAAGTGCTTAGAAAAGAGAATTGCTTACAGAAGATATTTCTTTCTGAAAAATCATACAAACTGGACTCAAGTCAGAGGTTAAATTGACTTATTAATTCAATGTATATTGAGAGGAGGGTGTCTTGCTACTTTACAACTGTGAGAGGCATACAAATGCAAAACAACATTTTGGTGAAAATATGACATTTCAGGAACCAAAATAAGTAGAAGCAGGGTTGAGGAAGTAGGGAAACTCCTGCGCAGTTGCTTTCCGATGGTGCTAAATTCCACTGGAAATTGTACTTTTGGTGCATACATGCAACATTCAAAGTTGAGTTTACACATCTTTGTGGCAAATTACGTTCTTTTTTTTAAAGACACATTTATTCCGCATCATGATCAAACTATTACATTTAGCAATCAACATCAAGGGTGCAAAAAATATCTGCATTAAAAACGTTCACTGGAATGCTTTACACAAAACAGAAACTAAAATAACGTGTTATACAATTGGTCACAAATATAATCCTTGAGATTTTGGCCCATACACATGAGTATTGTCTAAAACACATCTTCTTTGACAGCAGCAAGCCCTGTCACCACTGTGCCCAGCTGAATTCACAACTGTGTTGTAACCCATAGCTTCCTTGTCACTTCTCTGGCTCTCTTCTCCTGCTAAACTTTGTTTCCTGGCAGTAATTAAGATCTTCTGCCACTGCCATAGCTACTGCTGCTACTGGAACCACCATGACCACCTTGGTTTCCTGGTTGGCAAAGTATTGGCCTCCATGACCACAGGAACTAGAGCTTCTGCCTCCAAAGTTTCTACCCTTCATTCATCCAAAATTTGAAGATTGAATCCTATCATTGCCAAAATTGTTGTAGCTTCCACTACTTCCGAAACTGCTTCCATTATTACCAAATCCATTATATTCATCCCCACTGCCACCATATCCACTACCACCACAGCTGCCACCAAAGCCACACAGTCACTAACGTTTCCTCCATGACCAAAGTTGTTATTCCCCCGAAACCGCCTCCATGGCCACCACCAAAGCTTTTAGGACCACTTTGACCTCTTCAACTGGGTGAGGCACTAGCCATCTCTTGCTCTGACAGGGCTTTTCTTACTTCACAGTTGTGGCCATTCACAGTAAGGTGTTTCTGAATGACAGCCTTATTTATGGAGCCATGGTCATCAAAGGTTACACAAGCAAGACCCCTTTTCTTGCCACTGCCTCAGCTATGATTTCAATCACTTCAATTTCCCTGTACTGTTCAAAATAATCTCTTGGGTGATGTCCTTCAATGTCTTCTTTAATGCCACCCACCAAGATCTTTTTCAAATTTAAGTGGGTACCTGGTCTTTGAGAATCTTCTCTTGAGACAGCTCTCTTTGTTTCCACAACTCTTGCATCTGCCTTTGCGGCCTTGCGTTCATGGCTACATCCACCTCCTCCACAGTGGCATATGTGACAAACCCAAAGCCCCTGGAGTGCTGGGTATTTGGGTTTCTCATTACCACATAGCCTGTGAGTGTTCCCCGTCACCCCTCAGACTCACATTAACTTTTTTCAAAGCTTAACCCTCTGATGCAGAGCTTCTGCAGCTGTTCAGGCTCTTTCAAAAACTGACTTCGACATGACAACAGTGGCAAGGGAGACTTTAACAATGCTTTCTCGGCAGCGTCCATGGGCAAAAAGGGCAAATTACACTCTAATTAAGGCACTTTACATTTGTGAATGGGAAATTTTCAGAAGGCCAAAATTGTTTTTCTTTCAATTAGAGATTGTGCAGTTTTCTCTCCTTTTCATAGATGTAGCTGTGGAATTAATTGCTGATGTTAGAAGCTCTGTTGTTGTATGAATTAATTAATTTCTGTCTTAAAAACACTTTATGTTTTTTGTCTTTCAGGCACTTTTCATGTCTGTCTTCTAAATACATGTGCCCCGGTGTCCCTGCCGTCATGAGCACCTTGCTGGCTAATATAAATGCTTTTTATGCTCACACAACAGTTTCAACAAACATACAGGTTTCTGCCTCAGATCGATTTGCTGCTACCAACTTTGGTGTAAGTATAATTTTTTAAACTTTAAAATTCCTAGCAGCTTATGGGAGTTACATTTCAAGAGACTTTGAACTTAAGATATTCCTGGAATCTTATTGCAGAAAGGACATTTTAGGGAATAGCGTAATGGGTTCCAGCTCAAAGTTCATTTGAAACATTTTTAGTAAATTAACTTTGACAATCAATAAGAATTTTCATTAGATTGAATCTTCATATCTTAAAGGATCTTTTTCAGTGAGGGAAAAACATACATTTTATAAGAGAATGCTGGGACTTTATAGGGAATTCTCAACATATGCAAATTTGGTATTCAACATTTCAGATTCACTGTCTTGTAGATATAGTTCCCTAGTAAGTGTGAGCTTGGCTGCCATCTCTGGAACATATTAGGCTCCATTTGCACTTCCTATTGGTTCCTTCTGGTACTGATGGATAGTGGCACATCCTCTAAGTAAAACATGGCATGTGTTTAAGGAGCCTACAAAAAACAATCTGTGCCTAATTAAGGCTGTCCATCTGACATATGCAAAGGCATCAAGAATGCATTGAAAAGTAGAAATTCAGGGAATCAAAGGAGCCCCAAGAATTCGTCTGTTGCATCCATCAGTGTAACTCTTTCTCTGCAAGTATACTGTAACTGAAATTGGCAAGACTGGAAATAGGATATAAACTAAGAGTATTTCTAGTAAAGTGGTAAGAGTCAGAATTAAAAATGAGTGGAGATGGAGAAGAGAGGATAGATACCAAAGGTTTTCAGGGCATAAAATCAGCAGCCTCAATAGCATTTGGTATGTTTGGGGACATGGACAGGGAGGGAAGGAGAAGATGCCTGGAAATATTCCCAGGTTTCTGGTCAGGGCAAATGGGTAGGCAGTAGCGCTGTTCAGTAATCCTGTGAGACAGGTTTTTTGTTCTCTTTTTTTTTTTTTCATGGAGGAAACTAAGATCAGTTGTGGGAAGATGATTTTTCATGGCACAATGTTGTTTCCACTGCACTTCCAATTTAGTTTACTGAATATATTTTTGTTACAGAGTATATTGTTTAGAAATCAAATTTTGAGTTATGTGTCATAGAAAAGAAACAGTTGAGACACAGCAAATAAAAGAGTGAAAACCCAATAGGGAAAAAGATGTGCTCCTGTGTTTACTCTTTTTCTGTCCTTTTCCTCTGAAAGAGAAATGCATGCGAGGTGTATGAAGTGAATTAGAATAATCAAAGGAAAGTATAATTGTTATTTAATGCCAAATCAAATAAAATGCCAGTAAAGGAGACTACTCTTTGGGTTAGGAGTTATGCAGTTTCACTTTTTGTTGAAATTTAGCAAGTCAGTTTAGTCGTCTAAGCCTCAGTTCCTCAACATGCTCAATGAAGAAGATAATTCTTACTTTAACATGTTTCTCAAATTTAAAATAATGATAAAATGAGATAAAAGATGGCAAGCCAGTTGATAAAAGCTAAAAGTGTCAGTGTATAAAATATGAGAATTTTGTCTCTCCTGCCTTACCTACAGTATAACCTACAGTATCAGCTACTTTTGTTAGACAGATTGACTCTTGCAGAAGCTGGAACCAAAGAACGTTCCCTAGCCAGTTCAACAAAATCCTGTTGTTACCAAATACCAGATCATAGAACAGCTTTGTTATAAAAACCTCATCTTAGTAACAGCACTTGCTGTCTTGGGATTTTACCTATAATATAAAGCATGCTGCACTATGAAATTGTTTTGCTTCTAATATTCCGTCTGTGTATATTGTGAAGAAAAAGCCAACATCATGGAACATTGAGCCTTTCTCCCTCTGAGAAAGATGTGTTTAAGTGATTAATATCCACCATAAAAACTACCTAGAGGAAAATTAGATAACATGCTCCTTTACTTCATGTTGACCCAAAGAAGAGACAGCAGATTGATTTCAGTACATTTTAGTATTTCAGTGGCAGTGTAGTTATAACAAACTTCCTTTTGTAAATCCAATAACTTATTATAGAATAGGGCCAAAAGAAAGAGAAATGTTTCTTCAAACTACATCAGAAAAGTTGGTGATTTGGTATATAAATTTGACTATATTTTTCTAGCTATCAAAAATAATGCCATTTGATGAGTCAAATATACCTAAGTATATCTCCTGCCTCTACATTGGAACCTCAGGTTTTTATTCACCTAACTGTTAAAGCTGATTCTGTCATCTGGGACACATTGACAATTATATGCTCCCTTCTTGATCCTTCTCAAAGGTGCATAGCCCACACATTTTGAGACTCCAAACCAGTAGAAAAAGCTTTCTTACCTATGAGAATTGTAAAACAAATCTTTAAGAAAAGAAAACCATTTTACATTTAGACCTTTTCAAGTATAAATCTTATTTGAAATCATGATGTGGATGAAATATGTTCAAAAATAAAGTGAAAAGGACAGAACCCTTGGGTGTACAGAAGAGATGCAAGCAAAGTTTACCTAGGAAAATGGCTAGACCAATTGGATGACAGTGATTTTTTTTTAAAATGTGATTTTATCGCACCATTGCACTCCAGCCTGGGCAACAGAATGAGACCCTGTCTCTAAAAAAAAAGTGATAACTGTAAAAGGTAAGGTAAACTATTTTGGGAAAAGGGTAGTATATCATATAATTAACTGTCATAGAGAGTTCAAGTAAAATGGAGAAAGAAATTAGCCCATTGAATTTGGCAAGTAGAATGTCATTGGTCAGTGAAGCAATTGAGGTTGAAGCCTGATTTCACGAAGTTTGTTCAGTGAATGGCATATAACAAGCTTGTCCAACCCACAGCCCGTGGGCCACATGCAGCCCAGAGTGGCTTTGAATATAGCCCAATACAAATTCGTAAACTTTCTTAAAACATTGTGAGACTTATGCATGATTTTTTTTATTCCTCATCAGCTATCATTAGTGTTAGCGTATTTCATGTGTGGCCCAAGACAATTCTTCTTTTTCTATTGTGGCTCATGGAAGCCAAAAGATTGAATATCCCTGGCATAGAAGCACAGTTATATAAATTAAAGCTCAATTATTCCATAAATATGATACAGTCATTAAAAATCGAGTTTTTATGGAAGAGGTTCAATAATTGAGCAGTGCCCATGATAATAATAAATGAAAAAAGTATGCTAAAAAACTCTATATGCAATTTAATTCCAACATTGAAGGCACACACACACATACATACACACACTTACACACACACATACAGGTTTAGAGATAAGACTGGAAGGAAATGTGGTCAAATACCAAAGACATAGCCACCTAGTTGGGTTATAGCTGACATTTTGTTGGTTTTGTTTTGTATGAATCTTTATACAACAGTCTTTTTGTTATTATTTTACTTTAAGTTCCAGGGTACATGTGCACAACGTGCAGTTTTGTTACATAGGTATACTTGTGCCATGTTGGTTTGCTGCACCCGCCAACTCATCATTTACATTAGGTGTTTCTCCTAATGCTATCCCTCCCCCAGCCCCTCACCCCTCGACAGGCCCCGGTGTGTGATGTTCCCCTCCCTGCATCCATATGTTCTCATTGTTCACCTCCCACTCGTGAGTGAGAACATGTGGTGTTTGCTTTTCTGTTCTTGTGTTACTTTGCTGAGAATGATGTCTAAAATTTTTTATAAAATACCTTAAGTCTGTATTAACTTTATAACAACATTCTGAAAGAAAGCGTGAAATTGGATGAGGAAACAGACTATTCTTTCAAGGAACTTAAATCAGAAGATAAAAAGAGAGATTGGGCAAGGGTAAGAAGGTTTTTCCATATAAAAAGAGACTTTATTTTTATTATCTGCTTGGGTAGGGATTTTTAAACTATTTAATAAGGTAAATATAAACATGTTTATAGAGTGTTAGGAAAGGAGTTAGTTGCAAGAGTGAGGTTGTGAATTTCTCAGATGGGAGAATAAGTGACTATAAGTACTATCTCAGAGGAAACGAAGGAAGTGCAGTCATGAGGGCAGAAGGAGAGGCTAGCCTTTAGAATGAGAAAGGACAAACTCTGTTCTGAAATTCAAGGAAATAGTGTGAGAGTCCTTGCAGAGAACACTAAGCTTTTGATATAGAAGTGAAAAGTTGGGGTAGTTGTACCTTATTTTTTAATCCTTCTTTAAAGTTGTCAGGAAAGACAAGTGTTGCTCATTTACAAAACAATGGGCTGTGAAATGGTTGCAGAGGGGAAGGGGGTTGGTAAAAGTTTGGATAAGCTACTGAGGGGAATACAAAAAAGAATGTTTCAGGGACATGTAAAAGAAATTCCTAGTAAACTGAAAGTGTCATTTGCTGTTGGGCACTATAAATGTGTTGTCACAATTCTTGTGACAGTGAGACTTTCTTAGAGTGTGTCAGCATCCTGATGCTTATCTACTAGGAGATAAAGCTGATGGTTGGATTGACTCTAGGCTGAAATTTTGCAGAAAAGAGGCCATGGGAAGGTAAGGAAATTCATATAAAGATAATGGGGTGAAGGTAAAGTGATTTGCCATTAGCTCTAGTTTTTGGTAAGTGGAACCATGAGAAGCATGATGGATAGCAAGAGAGAAGGAGGGGAGAAGTGGGGAAAGGGACAGAGAGAGTGGAAGAGAGAAAACAGGCAGAGACAGAGGATTGTGGGAGGAACATATTAATAGCACCTTTCAGTTAACATTTTGCAAGGGAAGTCTCAGGTCCAAAAGGTAACTCAGGGAGTAGATTGTTGAAAATTGATTGTAGAACAGTGGTATGCTACAACTGGCTGGTACCTGCTCATGAGAACTGATCAGTAAATTTTCAGGAATATTGCAAGCTTGTTAAACACAGCCATCCTTGAAATTGGACATATTAAAAGTATTTACAACATGAAAGTTAGCAAATGCTAAAAATCAAGGCTTTTTGCTTTCAGAGAGCCACTTTACCAGCGCATCACTGAGTATAAATGTTATTTGGAGTCCAGACAAAGAACTTTACTAGATAAAGTGTCTCTATGTGTGTTGAACGCACTCATGGGTAGATCAGGAGTTGAAAAGTAACAAAATTCCATGAGGTGGGAGGCAGTCAATATTTTAATTTTGAAGGTGTCTTTAGGAAATTTATTTAGTGAATTATCTTGAAATACAAATATCAAATAAATCAATTGTAAAATTAATATTTTTGAGCTGTTTATTTACTTGAGTATATACATGCTCAATATATATAACCAAGTATAAGTGATATTTTTATTGACTGACCAACCTCTATAATATTTTCTTTCTACACATTTTTGGCTGCATTTTCTTTGATCACGTCATATGACAAAAAAATTGAAATATTATTTTTATAATTTTTTTTTTTACTTAGCTGAGTTGACATATTTTTTAATGGACGCTTTAGAAGAGTTTATTTCACTTTCACAATGCCACATGCGTTTTAGTGATTTTCATAAAATTTGGGAAAACACCAATTATTTTTTTCATATGTGATGTAAAAGCAAAAATTACAGCTGACAAAGTTAAACAGGCAAGGCAAACTTTATTCAAGACTATTGCAATAGGGAAGAGAGGCCAGAGCTCAATTAGAGCTCAACTCCACTGAAATGAAAGGCAGGGCTGAAATAAGGAGAAAGTATTGAAGGATGATAGTGGGGAGGTTGATCAATGGGATGTAACCAGTGCACTGAGTAATTTTGAGTCTGTAATTTTTTCTTCTGCGATTAGGCCATCTTTGTTTGCTAATTACAGGCATGGAAGTTAGGGTCCTATCTTCCCAAAGAGGGTGGGAGGTAGGAGTGCTCTCTCCTTGATGATTACATTTCAAAGGGAAGGCTCCCAAGTCTTTCAGAAAGGCATTCTTGGATTATGAAACTGGCAAGAGGCTTTAAAAAATATTTCCATGTGAAGGGGCAGAAAAAGAATTTACTGTTACAACTTTTCTAAATAAAATGCTTTAAGAAAAGGGAGGTCGAGACCTAGAGTCAGGAAGAAGCCTATCTAAAGTTTAACCAGGCTGAGGGGAAGGCTAAGCGTGTCTTGATCAGTGAACAATAACATTTCAATGCTTTTCAAGTTTTCCTGTGAAGCGACTCTTTAAATATACTTTGAATTGATGAAATTTATTAATTATTTTGTCATTGAAAGCATCATTTTAGTGGCCTTTCATAATAGTATGATATTTCTGTTGGTATCAGAATTAATCTCAAATCAATAAGAGCTATAAATATATGTCCAATATGTTCATGTTTAACACTAATTGAATTATTTAAAAATTACCAAAATTGCCTATGCATTACTTCTGTTTGAAAAGTCTTTCTTAATGAATTGCTGTTTTTGGTATGATCTGGAAAAAAACTGTTACAATTTGCTTGTCGTGTTCTGAATTATTTTTATCTTATTCCTGAAAATTTTACAAAAATCTAAGATAGCATGAATACATAGCTAGCACCTCCCAGGGGTGCTAAAGAAGGTGAGGGCTGAAGAGCTTAAGCATCATTAGCTTCTGGTTAAATTCATCCCTGCTGTTGAAGCCAGACTTTGAGAAAGAAAGAAAGAAAATAATGAGAGATGCTGAGGATGATGCAGAGGTTATCATACCCCTTCCTTACAAGAGCTTTTCCTTCCAGGGTTCCCCAAATCCTGGGGGGAACTTCCTGAAGGTGCACACTCCGAGGAGCAACTACCTCTTCCCCCTGCCCATGGGCCAAATGCAGTCCACTAACTCACCAACTGGTTTTGTAAGGCCCATAAGCTAAGAATATTTTTTAATATTTTCTAATGTTGAAAAAAAATTTTAAAGACTGTTATTTTGTGAAACATTAAAACTATCTAAAATTCAAATTTCCACATCCATAAATCAAGTTTCACTGGAAAATAATCATGCCTATTAGTTTACATATTGTCTATGGCAGCTACTGTGCTATAGTGTCAGACTGAATAGTTGAGACAGGGTTGGCAAAGTGAAAAATATTTACTAACTAGCCCTTTGTAGATAGTTTGCCAATCCCTGGTCTAGTTATTCTGGTCAACTAATTAAACCAAGTTTTTTTTTTTTTTTTTTTTGCTTGGATTTACCTTTTATTTATTTTAAAAATTTATTTAAATTTCTAATTGGATACGTAATAGTTGTACATATTTATGGGGTACAAGATAAATTTTGATACATGCATACAATATGTAATGATAAAATCGGAATAACTGGAATATCGATCATCTCAAGCATTTATCATTTCTTCATGTTGGGAACATTCCAATTCCACTCTTTTAGTTATTTTGAAATACACAACCAATTATTGTTAACTATAGTTGCCCTATTGTGCTACCAAACACTGGATCTTATTCCTTGTAACTGTATTTTTGAACCTATTATAGTATTTATTATTATTTTTATTATTGATTTGCCCCCTGCTAGACATATGTGGCCCTTATTTAATAAAAAAACTGAATAATGTGGCAGTTTTAGATATTGTGCCATGTCCCTTGGGGAAACATTTTTTAATCACCCAGTCTTTCGTTATTCCACAAATCACACCCTACAGGCAGTAGGCTTGCTCTGCTCTGCAAAGGGAATCTCACTCTAGTTAAATAGAAATGTTGTAAATAAAATTAAAGTTCAAGCTGTCCTGCTGTTTAAAGAATCTCTATGAAAATTCAATCAGCAGCATACTTTTAATTTCACATCATCTGATGTTGTTCTGGCTTTCAGTGACAAGAAGCCCAGCAGTTTTCTTCACAGTTTTCTATTTTCCTTGAATGTAAATTTTCCAGCTAGGCACTGAAGACTAGGTAGGGAAACCAAATGTGTGAACTTTATCAGTCAGAAATCTTTTCAACTCCATGAAACAGAAACTCATGAAATACATTTAACTAAATAAGATTTCCCCCTTTGCTCCCCAACTCATGGAACCTAAGTCCACAGAGGTAGGGAATTCAGAGCTGGTATAGCTGCTCAGTATTGTAATATTTTAAAAGAGTGGGCAGATGGGGTAGGATGGATGTAGGCAATCCTTTTTTTTTTCCATTCGTTCTTTCCATTTTCATCTAATGGGCATGAAATAAGCACTCTATCTTCTGGAGGCTATTAGAGTTTTAGGTGGGAAAAGGGAAGAAACACAGAGGGCAAAAGTTGAAAAGTCTGAATGCTATACCTAACAAAGAATTATACAGCAAACACTAATGTAACAAACACTATCTGCCAAGCACTCTTTTTAAATCTTTCAAAACAATAAGTCATTGGTAGTATGGTAGCTGGGTCTATTTGATTTAATAAGCTGTCTACATCTCATTGGCCAAAACCATGGCATGTGGTCATCCTTGGAGGAAAAGAGGTCGAGAGGGTGAGCATTTCATATGGGCACATTTGACATATGATATTCTTTTAGTAAGGAACAATGGAAGAACGGATATTGGGCAGACAACCACCACCATTTGCCCCAGTGAATATAAGAGGGCCGATGATTTGGGCCACAGTATGGTTGATCAGTCACTTCAACTGTCTTGATGGTTTGTGCCAATCACAGAGATAAGATAAGGCATCCAGAGATGTTACACGAATCACACTCACTTTGATAATCGTCTAAATGATTAACTTTACTGTGGCCTAAACTAATTATTGTAGTGATTCTTCTCCTTTTCTATCTGGATTGAGGGCCACCAACCCAAATGCATGGAAGTTGGAGAGTTAAGAAAGGACTGTATAGCTTGCCTCATCCCCTGGGAAGGTATAATGGAGAGTGGCAGAGAAAGATCTAAGACGTTCAACTCATCTGTATTTTCTGTAGCTTTGTTGGGATAAAGGGTCTTAACCTGCCTAAGAAGATTGCATGCTTCTGGAAGGCAGGGCTCATTTCTTAGGCTCCTTTATTGCCTCCACAGAGGTTAACACAGAGATGATACTCAAACTTTCTTATACTGATGTATAAATCTGATGATGGCAGTTTATTCAGAAAATTGGAGTTTCAGCTTAGGAACAATTTGTCACCTCCTGTTAATATTCAGCTCACTCCATCGAGATCAGTGACTTCGAGGCATAAGAGTTATATACCCCATAAATCCACCTCCTCTGTGAAACTACTGAGAAAAGCTTTCATTTTTGTCAATATCCTCCAAAGTGCAATTTGGTGTTTACAGAATATTAATGTTGGCAGGGGCATTTTATGTCATTTAATCTTACCTCTCCCATTTTATTTTTTGATGAGAAAACTGGAATTCAGAATAGTGGAGTGTCTACCTATAAGGTTTGTATGTGTGACTTTTATGTTTTGACTTTGTTTTTGTTTAATCCACCCAACTTTAACCACACACTTAATAAGAGAAAAGCTCTTTATTCTCACCATCTTCAAATACTTCTGTTAAGAGGACAGTTCAACACTGATACTGCATCAAGTGGAAGCAACAGAAGTTTTTTGGCTGCATGTTTCTACTAATTTTAGCACTAAATCATACACAGCCTTTAAAAGCAATTGATCCTTTCAGATATGAAGTCTGCATTTGCTTCCAAAAAGAAAATATTTTTTCCAATTGGTTTTGACAAAAACAACACCTGCTCCCACTTCCGTAGGTGGTAGAAGTGTAAAAAACTGTAATATATTGTCTGGAGAAGGGGCATGAAGTACAGGAATAAAAAGAAGAATGGGTTGCATTTTCTCTTGCTGACGCATTATATTGTTGTGAATTATTACACATAGAGAAATGTACTGGCAATTTATTTGTCTGATCTCTTTCTACAAAATGCAAGTCTCTAGATACTTTGTTAGAACAGTTACACATTTCTCATTAATCATAGAGAGGAAGTATGACTTATTGAAAAGACCATGAATTTGGTGTCAAAGAGACCTGAGTTTGAATCACTGCTATGCCACATAGTAACTTTATGATCTTGGACAAGTCATTGATATATTTGATCCTTCCTTTCTATAAAATAGAGACAAAACTCAGAATTATTATGAGGTCTTTAGAGTGGTCATTTATTTCCATTCTCCTATTTTGTGTTTGCTTTGTACAGAGGGAAAAATTCATAAAACTACTGGACCAGTTACATAACTCTTTGAGGATTGATCTGTCAAAGTATAGGGTATGTACAAATTTACTTGCCTAAAAGAAAACTGTTGTTTGGTCTAGAGAATTTCTTGCCATATTGTAAAAATTACCCATCATGTAATAGAAAAATAAAAATATTGATCTCAGGTGCTGTTACCCTTAGAAATAATCCAGCAGGTCTCCTTTTTTGTTCAGATTCTTTGCCCCACGTAGACTACAACAATACTCTGTGTGTGTGTGTGTGTGTGTGTGTGTGTGTGTTTGTGTATGCACTTGCAGCTTTAATTTTGTAATTTTTAAAATAGCCATCAGATTCAATGACCCTCAGCTAATTCATGAAGTAGACTATGGCCCAGTCCTCATTTTGAAAGCTCACCCTTTGTTACTGAAATACTCTGCTGATATTTCCCCAATTTCTGAGCTTCCTACTTAATTTACTGCTTCATTCTCTTTCCTCCTGGATCGTGATACCAAGAGTACCATTTGTTCCTGCAAAGCTGCCCAGAATTCATTGTCAACAATTCTATATATCACCTCCTGGGGAAACACATACACATACCACAAATATATTCATGTACATATGTGCATAAGTATACACACATATAATTTTAGTTACAAAATATCTTAGTTATAAAAATTTAGTTACAAATTTTAGTTATAAAATGTCTATAGTAATAACTAATAGATGCTCTCTTGTATCTTACATTCTTTAATAATTTATCCTAAACATCTTTTCTTATTTTAACATATCTATCTCCCATGCATTCATTTTTAATTAGTCTTTTATTGACAGATACTTTAATTGCATACTTATGGAAGTTATAATACCAAATTTAATTTGGTATTATTTCATGTTGGTTATTTCATGTTGGATCTGGGACCAACATAATGAGAAGAGAACAACCATTAAGCCATTGAGAGAGATATTTGGGGGCAACAAGGGCCTGAAGCCACCTCATTCACCACCTCATCATAGGCACACTAACCCTGTTCAAGTTCATGAATATCTCGTAATTAGCGATGGTTTTCCTAATGGCTCTTTAGAAAAGCATGTTAACATGTGAAATTGACCAAAGTAAAAATTGTTTCTTAGTTCAAACATTTTATCATTATAACTTTTCATTCCTTCAAAATTATAAACATCTGTATTTTTAAATGATGCTTCTCATCAAACCTCGCTAAAAGAAACCTTTTTTTAAAATCCATAGTATTTCAGGAAAGACTATATGATGCAAACTTATTTTTTTAACTTTTAAAGTTTTTTTGTGACTAAAAGTAAATGCAGCACATGTATAATTTCCGAAGTATTTTTTAAAAAGTAGTTATCTTGAGAAAATCATGAAAATTTTTTCCTATGTATGCTATACTTAATCCTTTTAGTAGCAAGACTATTTTAGAAGCAAGCATTAATAACATCATAACATTGTAATAATGATATTGTTTTGCATTTATTGCATTGTTAGTGTAAATAGAAGAGTGCAGCTTTCCAAGAGTAAAAATATAATATTTCCAAATTGTTTACGTTCTATAATGTTTTATGACAAAAATATTTTAAGAATACCTTGAGTATTTTTAAAATTGTATACAGTTTACTTTCCATTTTCTTTCATGAGAAGCTAGTTTTAGTTTATTTTCCCACTAGAAGTTTACTGCTGACAACCTTATCCATTTTGTTTCCTAATTAACCAGGAAAACTTTCCTGCAAGCAATACTGAAAGACTGCAAGACCTGAAATCAACTGTTGACCTGTTAACAAGTATCACCTTTTTTAGGATGAAGGTATCTCATTTTATTTCTGTCACTGTTTTGTTGTGACATAGAATACATTCATCCCCTGGTAAAGTCTTGCTTTACCCTCCTCTTGATCAAGTACTGTGTTAACTCCATCGATTAAGCTGTACTATCTTTGCCTGAACTCGATGAATCTTCCAATATAAGGTATAGTGAAGAAGAGATTATCCTAGACACTTAAAATACTCTGATACATTTGGCTCTAATTTAGTTCTCAGTTAAATTTGTCTTAGAGAAAGCTCTCTAGTAAGTGGATGTGGCACTTAAAAAATTTCCAAAGAATGTTAAATGGAAATGGAGTTCACTTCTAATTTTAGTTTTAACTTAGATGTTTTGCCGACTTTTTTGCTACAAGAAAGTAGCTGACTCTTTTAAGTTTACCCCAATTGTGGCAACTTCCATTTTCAGCACTGGGAATGTCTGTGTAGGAATATATTTGATCACCTATCTATTGGTATAATTGGCTAGGCCTTACAAACCAGGTATTTCTTTTTAGATATATCATTTCTGCTTTAATTGCGAGTTTTCGGCAGTCATAGTTCTGGCTTGCAGTGCAACTTATGTAAAGCATTTTCAGAAACTACTTGCCGGGCTGTGGGCTAAAATATACACTCTTTGAAAGACAGTATTACGATGCTTATTCAGAAAATTCCTAAATAGCAACAATTTTTTTCTTTGCATTTGCCCATAATTTTTTTCACTAGAACCTCTAAAAATGGCATTTTGTAATAAAAGAGAGACACAAAGGGAAACCATACTATATCAAAGTTCATTTAGATTCTTTAAAGTTGAATTAAAATTCATTTGGTTTAAAATCAGGCTAACTAGGTGATTAGGATAAATAGAATTTACATCAATTCTAATCTACTGTCAGTAGCTACTGGAACAATGTGCAGCTAATGATGGCGAGACCCAATCAAGTTGACTTAGATTGACAAGTGATGTCTGCCATTGACACTGAGGAGTGAGGAATGGGAGTGAGGGTAGGGTGTGCCAGCACAGTGCTACCCATCTACCATGCCTCCTTGTTTAAAAACACTATCTCCTTAAACTTGTAACTATTCTTCCCCAACCCTCACTACCAGTTGATTACTTTGCTTCCTATTTCAATGAAAAAAAAAATAGGAGGAAAGAAAGAGGAGCATCCTCAAGCTCCAATCACATACTCCCACCACCTACCCCAGTAGGTACTTCCTTGTATGTGTCCATATATTCTTTCTTTTTTAGTATTGATGAGCCATCTGTTTTCTTAGAAAATGTGGTCTCTTCTACTGGTGCAATTGATTTTGTCTTCTCTTGTGCACTAAAATATTGTTCCAGCAATCCTCTCCACTCTCCTGAATTGCCAACTTTCCCCTATGTATGTGCTATTGATTTTACAGTCTTCAAAATACTGCTTGGCATCACTTTCTTCTATAGCTACTACCCCAGTTCATTTCCCTTAATAGCAAAACTCCTTGAAATAGTCATCTATACATTTCTTTCCAATTAATTTCCTCCTATTATCTTTTGAACAAATTTTCTTCTCCTGTTATTCTTTTTTCTCATTGCAGAGAGTAAAAATCACTCTTTTGTTGTACAGTCCTATTAGTTTTGACAAATGTGTAGTCATATAACCACCAGAGCAATAAGATACAGAACAGTTCCATGAGCCTACAAAATTCCCTTGTGCTATACCATTGTTGTCAACCCTTCTCCCACATGCTGGTAACCACCGATTTGTTCTTTGCCTGTAGGTTTGCCTTTCCTAGAACATCATGTAAATGAAATCATACACGATGTAGCATAACACAATAGAGAATCATTGGTGTTGAATGTATCAACAATTCACTTCTGTTAATTGCTAAGGAGTAATTCTTTGTTATGTATGTGCTATCGATTTATCCATTCCCTCATTGAGAGATGTTTGAGTTATTTACAATTTTGGTTTCTTACAAATAAAACTGTTTTAAATAAGCATGGGATTATAGTTGTAAACATATGTTTTTATGTTCCTTGGGTTAAATCCTCAGCAGCAGTGTGTGAGAGTCCCAATTGTTCTGCATCCTCTAGCAAAACTCTTGGGATTTTCCATGTTATGTATGTATGTATGTATATATTTCTTATTCTAGTAGAAGTGACGTTGCATTATCTTAATGTATTAATTTTATTTGTCTAAAAATTAATAATATTGAGAATTTTGGAGGGGTTGATTTTCTATCTGAATATCTTTTTTTGTGAAGAATGTTGAAATTTTTACCCATATTTATTAGCTGGTTTTCTTACTGTTAAGGGCATTTTAATTTTAATTATTTTAAATTGATAGATAAAATTGTATGTATTTATTGTGTACAACATGATGCTTTAAAATGTGTATACATTGCAGAATGGCTAAATCTAGCTAATTAACGTATGCATTACCTCACAAAGTTATCATATTTGTGAGGAGAATATCTAAAATCTACTTTCTTGCATTCTTCAAGAATACAGTAGTCTCGAGTTTTGAGAGTTTTTATATGTTTTGAATACAATTTTTTGTCAGATATGTGATTTGCTATTATTTTTGCCTTGTTTGTGCCTTGTCTTTTAATTAATCTTAAAATATCTCATATAGCAAGTTTTTAATTTTGGTCTACTTTATCATTTTTTTTTTCTAATTATGGATAATGCTCTTGGTTAAACCAACATCACAAAGAGGTTTTTTTGGTGTGTTTCTTCTAAAAGATTGGTTTTACCTTTTATATTTGGGCATATTTTTTATTTAGAATTTTGGGGATTGTTTTGCTGGTTGTTTTTGTTTGATATAAGGTGTAAAGTGTGAATCAAGGATAACATTTTACATATTTATGTTTAATAGTTCCAGCAGCATTTATTAGAAAGATTTTCCTTTCTCCATTGAATTGCTTTCATATTATTGTAAAAAATTAAATTGACCATATATGTATGGGTCTATTTCTGAACTCTCTATACTGTTCAATTGTTTGTACATCCACCACTACCATCCTGTCTTGATTACTGTGACCTTATAGCAAATCATTAAAAAAGATAATGTGCATCCCACCTCGTTTCTTCATTTTTCACAATTGTATAGGTGATTTTCATTCCTTCTGGGATTTTAATTGAGATTGCCTTTCATCTATAGATAAATCCGGAGAGAACTGACATTTTAACAATATTAAAACTTCAACTCTGTCCTTAGTTTTTGACCACACTGTAATCAGACTTTTACTCTCTCACTTCACCAAAAATAATTTGTCAACATCTCATGTTTTATTTCTCTCCTATACCATTGGCTCTTTTGGGAGCAGGGTGGGGGGTACTCTCTACTGCTTTATTCCTTCTCATTTGTCTGTTGTCACAGATTTAGAATTATGTAAGATTTAACCGGATTTATTTCTTGGACCTCTTCTCTTCACTATCCATACTCAACCAGCGTTGTTTCTTTATATTCTTCTGTAAGCTAATAATTTCCAAATTTATATCTCTAACCAGAACTTTTCCACAACTGTAGATTCATTTATCCAAATATCTTCTTGAAATTCATATATATGCCTAATAGGCTTCTTAAACTGTTCAGAATTGACTCCTGAGCTCCCATCCACAGTTTTTCCCATTTAAATTGAAGTCACCTCCCTTATGGCAGTTGCTCAGGCTAAAATATTGGGGTCAACTGGAGTCAGCTCTCACACCAGTCATCCAGTCTGTCAGAAAATCCTGTTAGCTCTTTTTTTCTAAATTTTACCAGAATATGATTTCTTCTAATAATTTCTAATTCTACCACCTTGATCAAGCATCATCTTCTCTAGACTAAATTGTAACGCTGTTCTCATAATTGGTCTTTCTATTTTTTTCATAGCCCACTTTAAGGCAGCGTAAGGGAGCCTTATAAAAGTTAGTTGTTTTGCTAAAATTAGGCCATTTTGCTCTTATGCTTAAACTATCCAGTTCCTTCCCACCTCGCTAAAAGCTAAGATTTTTATAGTGGTCTATATGTAGTTTCCCCTTGTTCTCACCCTACAGCTTCATTTACTCTTGCCGTTTATTGTATTAATTCTATTCCATTGAAACGCTTCCCATCCTTCCTCTGTTTTACTTTTCAACATGCATCATCATGTAATATATTTTACGTATTTATTTTATTATCTACTTGAACTTAAGCCCATGAGGAAAGGGATTTTTGTTTCTATCATTCATTGCTGTATCACCATTATCTGGCATATAGGAAGTGATGAATATTTGTTGAATGATGGAATGGAATGAAATCAATGCATGAAGTACTAACTGGTCACGTTAAGTGTTTTTATTTGAGTGTTTACAGCCATTATCATTTTCAATAAGTTTTTATATCAGAAAGTTAAAATGTTTACACATTTAAAACCACATGGTAAGATGACACTTACTGAACATAGAAAAATCGACTGAAAGTATTTATTGAATATATATTTGAGTAGTTTATACTAGATTACAATGTGTCACTGTTGCATTTGAGAAAATAAATGTCTGTCTTTGTCAGGTTCTGGAGCTGCAAAGCCCCCCAAAAGCGAGCATGGTGGTGAAGGACTGTGTAAGGGCTTGCCTGGATTCTACATACAAGTATATTTTTGACAACTGCCATGAACTCTACTCCCAGCTAACAGACCCGGTAAGAAAATATGTATGTCTTTTATAATCGCCACTTTTGTTTCTAGTATCTGTTTCCATAAGTTTAGCATAATAGTAAATAGAAAAGTATGTTCATTTAATTTCACATTAACTGCAAATTTGAGAATTTCCATACCTTTTCTTCATATTTGAATATCACTTTCACATACATGAACTAATTCGCTCCTTAAAATAACTTTATCTAGTAAAGGCACATATTATTTAAGGTTTTAGCTGGAGAATCAGTTTCAGAAAAATGAAGACATTTTCTCAAGGTCACAAGGTAGGTAATTGGCAGATTTGGGACTAGACATTAGGATTCCAACTCCTGTTTCTATGTCCTTCCCCTAACTCATACTGCCTCCCATATCATTTTATTTTATTTATTTGTTTTTTGAGATGGAGTCTCACTCTGTTGCCCAGGCTGGAGTGCAGTGGCGCAATCTCGGCTCACTGCAACCTCTGCCTCCGGGGTTCAAGCGATTCTCCTGCCTCAGGCTCCCCAGTAGCTGGGATTACAGGCATGAGCCAGCATTCCCAGCTAATTTTTTTTATATTTAATAGAGACGGGGTTTCTCCATGTTGGCCAGGCTGGTCTTGAACTCCTGACCTCAGGTGATCCGCCCGCCTCGGCCTCCCAAAGTGCTGGGATTATAGGCATGAGCCACCACGCCTGGCCTATATGTTAATTTATTAAGAAATATTTCAAAAATACAATTTAAATCAAAACCACAATGAGATACAATCTCACAGCAGTAGTAATGGCTATTATTATTATTTTAAATTTTTATTTCCATAGGTTTTTGGGGAACAAGTGGCATTTGGTTACATGAGTAAGTTCTTTAGTAGTGATTTCTGAGATTTCGGTGCACCCATCACCCAAGCAGTGTACACTGAACCCAATTTGTAGTCTTTTTTCCCTCACACCCCTCCGAGCCTTTCCCCAGAGTCCTCAAAGTCCATTGTATCATTCTTACGCCTTTGCACCCTCATAGCTTAGCTCCCACTTATGAGTGAAAACATACAATGTTTAGCTTTCTATTCCTGAATTACTTCACTTAGAATAATAGTCTTCAGTTCTATCTAGGTTGCTGTGAATGCCATTAATTCATTCCTTTTTATGGCTGAATAGTAGTATTCCATTATGTGGAGATATATATATATATATATATATATCACAGTTTGTTTATTCACTCGTTGATTGATGGGCATTTAGGCTGGTTCCATATTTTTAGAATTGTAAATTGTGCTGCTATAAACCTGCATGTGCAAGTATCTTTTTTGTGCATGGACTTCTTTTCCTCTGGGTAGATACCCAGTAGTGAGATTTCTGGTTTAAATGGTAGTTCTACTCTTAGTTCTCTAAGAGATCTCCACACTGTTTTCCAAAGTGGTTGTGCTAGTTTACATTCCCATTAGCAGTGTAGAAGTGTTCTCTTTTCACTGCATCCATGACAACGTCTATTATTTTTTATGTTTTTACTATGGCCATTCTTCCAGTAGTAATGTGGTATTGCATTGTGGTTTGGATTTGTATTTCCCTGATCATTAGTTAGGTTGAGCATTTTTTCATGTATTTGTTGGCCATTTGTATATCTTCTTTTGAGAACTGTCTATTCATGTCCTTATCCCACTTTCTGATAAGATTTTTTTTCTTACTAATTTGTTTGAGTTTCTTGTAGATTCTGGATATTAGTCCTCTGACAGATGTATAGATTGTGAAGATTTTCTCCCACTCTGTGGGTTGTCTATTTACTCTACTGACTGTTCCTTTTGCTGTGCAGAAGCTCTTTAGTTTAATTAAATCCCACCTATTTATCTTTGTTTTTGTTGCATTTGCTTTTAGGTTCTTGGTCATGAAGACTTTGGCTAAGCCAATGTCTAGAAGGGTTTTTCTGATGTTATCTGCTAGAATTTTTATAGTTCGAGGTCTTAGATTTAAGTTCCTTGACCTATCATGAGTAGATTTTTGTATAAGATGAGAGATGAAGATCCAGTTTCATTTTCCTACATGTGGCTTGCCAATTATCCCAGCACCATTTGTTGAATAGGGTATTCTTTCCCTACTTTATATTTTTGTTTGCTTTGTTAAAGATCAGTTGGCTGTAAGTATGCGGGTTTATTTATGTGTTCTCTATTCTCTTCCATGGGTCTATATGCCTATTTTTATACCAGTACCATGCTGTTTTGGTGACTATGGCCTTACAGTATAATTTGAAGTTAGGTAATGTGAGGTCTCCAGATGTGTTCCTTTTGCTTAGTCTTGCTTTGGCTGTGTGGGCTCTGTTTTGGTTCCATATGAATTTTAGGACTGTTTTTTCTAGTTCTGTGAAGAATTATCATGGTATTTTGATGGGAATTGCATCAAATTTGCAGATTGCTTTTGGCAGTATGGTCATTTTCACAATATTGATTCTACACATCCATAAACATTCAGAATGGCTATTATTAAAACATCAAAAAACAATACATGCTGGTAAGGCTGCAGAAAAAAGGGAATGCTTATACACTGTTGGTGGGAATATAAATGTGTTCAGTCACTGTGGAAGGCAGTATGGAGGTTTCTCAAAAAACTTAAAACAGAACTACCATTTGACCTAGCAATCCCATTACTGAGAATCTATACAAAAGAAAATCAGTTTTTCTACTAAAAAGATAAATGCACTCATATATTCATCACAGCACTATTCACAAAAGCAAAGACATGGAATCAACCTAGGTGCCCATCCATGGTGGACTGGATAAAGAAAATGTGGTATATGCACACCATGGTATACTATGTAGCCATCAAAAAGAATGAAATAATGTCCTTTGCAGCAACATGGATGTGTCCGGAGGTCATTATCCTAAACAAAATAACGCAGGAAAGGAAAACTAAATACTGCATATTCTCACTTATAAGTGAGAGCTTATAAAGATGGGAACAATAGAAACTAGGCCTACTGGCAATGGGAGAGGGCTTAAAAACTCACTATTGGGTCCTATGTTCAGTACCTGGGTAAGGGGATCAGTCGTACGCAAACCTCAGCATCACACAGTCTGTTCAGGTAACAAACCTACATATATACCTCATGAATCTAAAATAAATGTTGAAATTATTTTTAAAAATTTCAGGAATACAAAAAAATATAGAAACCAAATCAAACATGTATATGCTTACTACCTATAACCATGTTAACATTTTCCAATATTTCTCTGCTCTTGTTTAAAGACATTAAATGTTACACATAAAATAGTATTTTGCTTGGGAGGCCGAGGCAGGTAGATCACGAGGTCAGGAGATCGAGACCATCCTGGCTAACACAATGAAACCCCGTCTCTGCTAAAAATACAAAAAATTAACCAGGAGTGGTGGTGGGCACCTGTAGTCCCAACTACTCAGGAGGCTGAGGCAGGAGAATGGTGTGAACCCGGGAGGCGGAGCTTGCAGTGAGCCGAGGTTGCACCACTGCACTCCAGCCTGGGCGACAGAGCGAGACTCTGTCTCAAAAAAAAAAAAAAAAGTAGTATTTCGCTTTGTATTTCCCAATCCCATCCTACTCCTTTTTTGTCCATTGGAGATGGACACTATTCTAATATTGGTGTGTTTGAACGTATTTTCACATATGATCAATGAACGCTTGAGTTTTATGTTCTGTGAATTGCCTGTCAATCTTTTGTGTGTGTTTCTCTTGGTTTTCTTGTCTGTTACTTATTAATTTATAGAAAAATCTAAAAATATTGTGGATACTAATCCTTTTTTGGTTATATGGATTTCATAGATTATTTCCCTCTTGATGACACATCTTTTTGTTATATTGAAGTTTTCTAATGCATACTATGACATATATAGCTATTACTTCTATAAAATTGGATTTTACAAATGTAGTCTAGCTTGGGCAACCTGGGCAACATAGCAAGACCCTATCTCTACAATTTTTTTTTTAATTAGCTGTGTATGGTGGTATGTGTCTATAGTCACACCTACTTAGGAGGTTAAGGTGGTTAGAGTGAGTCCAGGAATTGGAAGTTAGAGTGATCTATGATTGCTCCACTGCATTCCAGCCTTGGTGACACAGCAAGACCCTATCTCTATTTAAAAAAAAAAAATGTGTCTATCACCTGTCCTTTCAGGAAGAGTGCACTTGGTCCACTAGATATTAAAAATTGTGTAATTATCCATGAAACATTCTGTTTACTTGGGAGAGGCAAATTCTAGAAAGCAATGTTAGATGAAGGCAAGTAAGACTCTTCCAAACTGGATTTTTAGCTAGGTTTCATATAGTATATTTCTGGGGTCACTGTTTTTTGTTTTTGTTTTTGTTTTTTTTGTTTTGCTTTATAAGAAAACAAATTAAGCTGAGTTTGGCATTGCATAAGCAAAACAATATATAACCACATACTTGTTCATAACTTTAGCTTATCAACTCTGTTAGATATGCTTAGTTTTAAAACTTGGTCCTCCAGGATTTCTAGGAGCTAAATTGGTGCTCACTTGTACTTTCCCATGAGTAGTTTTCTAATGACTTTTCTTTGTCTAATCTCTACTTTCCATCTTCCTCCCATAGGGCTCTTTCAATTCTTTTACATTTTTCAACATCATTATCTTTATTTTACCTAAAGGCTAAGATTGAAACTTTTTATTGTACCATGTAATTACCCATGCATAACTTTTTTTTTTTTTTTGACAGAGTTTTGCTCTGTCACCCAGACTGGAGCGCAGTGGCGCAATCTCGGCTCACTGCAAACTCCGCCTCTTGGGTTCAAGTGATTCTCCTGCCTCAGCCTCCTGAGTAGCTGGGATTACAGAGGCCCACCACCACGCCTGGCTTATTTTGTATTTTTAGTAGAGACAGGGTTTCACCACGTTAGCCAGGCTGGGCTCGAACTCCTGACCTCAGGGGATCCACCTGCCTCAGCCTCCCAAAGTGCTGCGATTACAGGCGTGAGCCACCGCGCCTGGCCCCATGCATAACTTTATAATCAATCTTACCAGACTTTACCAGGTTCAGTTTCCTACTCCTCACACTCCTGAACCAAACTGCTCTGCTCTCATGAGCCCTAAATTTTATAATTTCCATGAATCAGCCATCCTTTTTCACATCCTTGCATTTATGCATCCTGTTCTATATGCCTGAAGAAATTCTCCCTCCTTCCCTGCTTTCATCAAAATCCAGCTCAAATATGATCTTTGTCAAAGAAAAAATTATTCATTACACCCATTAAAGAATGGTAAGGCAGACTATTCAAAGAGTACTATTACAATAGTTACACAGGAAGGCTACCCCAATAGGATTTTATAGTAGAAAAGAGAAATTGGGCTCAACTATGAATACCACAAGGAAAAGTGGGAATTTATAGCCAAGGAGCTGAGTTAAGGGGAGGGGCTTACTGGATAGAAATTACTAAGAGTTAACATTTGGGGTAAGGGGGGGTCCTGGCTAACAGATCTGATGGGATTCTTGCTGAAGGCAGACCAGGGTGATCAAATATCACCAGAAGCATTGTAGAGGAAGGAAACCTGATCAGATACCAAAGTGTGATCATATATCAAAAATGAAAAATTCTGGCTAAACTGAGAAGATTCTTGCTAAATTGGACAATGCAGAAACTAACATGGAAGTTCGAAAGTTGGGGCCTGGTTAAAAAGAGAGCTCAGAAGAGTTTGATCAAAGTTTGGTCAAAGAGAGAATCTTTATCATTTCCTCATCTACTAATTAATACTCAGTGGATTAATTAAGCTGCCAAAGTGAAGTGGCATACCTTACTTGATGTCTTTCTAATACATAAATAATAACAACAACAATGATAAACGAACAGTTTATTTCTGTAAGAGAGCTTCGTAGGTAGTTCCCATAAAGCAAACGTGCCCCTAACAAAAAGTAAATGAATTATGTCACATCAAAATAATCTAATATAGCTTAATATTTTATGACTTGGCTTTCAGAAAAGATAATTATATAATTTTCTTACTGGTTTTATTTTTAGGTAGATAGATCTTAGATTTTATGCGAAATTTTGTCAATGTAGGGAATGCTTGGGGCTAAGCTTTAAATCTTGGAAAAATACTTTTTCATCAACATTGTTATTATTTGAAATTCTAAAGGAAGCATCCATTGGAGCTGAATTATTTAGGGGGTTAATGCTCTCTCGAGCCCTTTTGAAGCCATCTAGGAATACTTCATATGATTAAGGCTTATCTCCCCTCAGTTGGCTGCAACTCCATGCTCCTAAGAGCTCAAGTTAAGACCTTTTTGTCTTATAGCATACGTCTCACCTGTCTTCAAATTCTAATTATTTAGTTCAAAATTAAATACCTTCATTTCAAAATATATCCAGAATCAGACCACTTTTCACCAGATCCATGCTTCTACCCTGGCTCAAAACCATAATCATTGTTCACTTGGATTACTACATAACTTCCTAAGAGAGCTCAATGTGTCTACCCCATCATCTTATGTCTGTTCTCAACAGAGCAGCCAGAATTATTTTTTAAAAAAGGAAGTCAGATTATATCACTCTTCTGCATAGAATGTTTTAAGGCCCTTCATTTAAGTTAAATTCAAAGTCCTACAAAACTCCACATGATCTGGCCTATGTTACGCTTCTCACCCCTCTTACTCTAATGCTGTCCCCTTGCACATGTCACCATGTGACTGGAGAGCCAATGAAGAGTTGATGTGCAGGGAAGTAATGTGAGCAATGCTTTACCCCTGCTTTTTATGACAGAGACAGAACTTAGGACAGTGCCGAGTAGGTGTTCACAAAAGCATTTGTTTAATGAACTGAATACATAAATAAACTGATTTTTCTCCAGTAATACAGTAAGAAATTATAGGTATATTTCACCTATTATAAACAAGATTGAATGAAGTGCCCTATTCTGTGGTAGACTCTCAGTGCTTGCCTAAAGCCTCTTGCACTTACTCTGGGTCATGTGGCAGGATCCCAGATGAAGAGATATGGGAAAAGTAAATGAAGGCCACTTCTAGTCCCAACCCATAAAAACATCTTGTCACCTGCAGTGCAATAACCTGGAAGGATACATATTGCAGATGGCATAGCTACCAGGTGGTGAAGGGCTGCCTAGTCAGCCTCGGACTTTGGGTGTTTAAGAAATAACCTTTTATTGCATTAACTCACGGATATTTGGATATTTATTTGTTACCATAGCACAATCTGGCTTATTTTGACTAATAGAACTTCAGTTACTTTTCCAACCTGCCACCCCACTATATATTTAAAATATATCCATGTTTACGTGACTATCCTATTTATAACTCTGGACCAGCTCCCCATTTACTCAGAGGATGAAGTCCAGACTCTCCCATTATCCACAGTGCCTCTAAGGTCTAAGCCTTGATTATCACTCCTGACTTCAACATCATCTCCACATTGCATTCCATGATTCAGTACATTAAACTCCATGGTGACTTTGCCTGCCTTATATTTACCTGCCTGGAGCGGGCATCCCTTCTCCAAACTTCCCTCCAAACAGCTAACCGCAGCTCAGCTAACTTTTTCTTCAGAAAGCCTTTATACCTCTTCTAGCTGGATTTGGTGTTTCGGTTCTCTATTCTCATAATACCCTGACATGTCACCACCACTGCACTTATCACGGTGAATTTATCAGGTGCATCATGTGATATCAGTTAGACCTGTCTTCCCGGCTAAACCGTGAGTTTCATCTTTGTATTCCCAGTGCCTGGTGGTATACCTGACTCTGAGTAGGGTTGATAAACGAAGTAATTATCTAATAAAAATAACATTTAAAGAAAAAGGCAGTGCCTTAGTTACTTATTTGTAGTATCCTTCAGTGACTCTACATTAAAACCTATGGTAAGGAACATAATCTCTGATATTAAAACCCCTGAGTTCAAATTACAGCTCTACTTTTCAGCATTGTGGACTTTGTTAAGCTATTTAGCCTCTTCATGTCTGGTTTCTTCATCATATTCATGCTACTTCTGTTTTCTTTGAATCTTCTCCAGATAATATGATGCCTTGCCTGAAACAAGAAATTAAGAATTCCAGCACTATTAGACACAGTACAGTCTGATTATTTAAATGTGGAATCATACTTTCTCCCTCCAGAGGGATTTTGAAGAACCATATAAAAATAAAATGCTTAGAATAAGAAAGGAAAATCGATTTGATAGAAAAGTAGAGACAGCTGCAGTTAGAACAAGATAGAAGTGTGGTCTCCGGAGGCTGGCTCTGCACTCGGTAGGTGGTATTTTCCTTGGCTGAATTGCCAGGCTCCGCATCTGCACTTCAGTTTAGCTTAGGAACTCCAATGTGTCAGTGTAGACAGAGGTCACTGGACTCACAGAGAGGTACACAAAAGATCAATCTATAAACTGGATAGATATCTATCCAGCAGATACCTAATCAGCCCTATTATATGCCAGGCACTGGTGTAGGCTCTTAGGACATATCAGAGAACAAACGATAGTTTCTTTAAAATAAAAAATAAAATTTCAAACAGATTGAAAGTGTTTTAGTTTATACTCTCCCAGGTGAACATCTATGTGAAAATAAAACCTGTAATCCGAAGGTTATTTTAGGAACCTGGAACAAGAGCAGGATGAATTAGCTGGATAATATTAATAGTGATTATTGCTAGCATGAACACATCCATTTTAATAAAATCTACATAAAGAGACCCCCTAATTGTGGAATGAGGAGGATAGATAAGACTTTCTTTTTAAATGTGTTTTAAAAGAATTATGCTGAGCTAATGTCAGCATTAACTCAGTTCCGTGGAAACCACTCAGCGAAAGAACTTTTCTGTTGAACAATGAAAACCTTTATTAACTGATTTTACAGTCTCCCTCCACACCTACCCTGAGATCAAAACTTGTTTACACAGAGATCATCCACAAGAAGATGTCAAAAACCAATAAAACCTTTCTGCCTAAGATTCTGCTATTTTAAATTTATATATTTTGGTAAATTTTAAGTTGTTTATTGAATGACTACCTAAGAAAATTGTATTAAGATATGCCTTAACTAAAACACATGTACACTTTTAGTTCTGAAGCACACTTAGGGACTTTTTAAAATCTTATTTTGAATCTGATTAGAAGGTTTGTAACTAAAAACAGGAACAAACGAAAGTTCTTGACATTCATGTGATGATTTCTTTTGAAAATCATTTCTCCAAATGACTGTGTTTTGCTATAAGGCAGCATGAGTGATACAGATAGATGAATGCAGAGGAAAATGTGCTACCTACAAGTGGGAGTTGTATGTAAAATCAGTAGAAACATATTTCTCTCTTTATTGACTTTTGGATACATACACACACACATGCACATATATGCTTAGTCTCTTTGTTTCCCTCCCAAGTCAAATTCTCTCACTTCTTATCTCAAAGGAAATCTCTGTTATGAATTTCTTATTAGCTTTGATGAACATAGTTTCATCTTTGTGTACATTTATTACATATATCTATTATTTGTGATACAGTCTTTATCTCTATCAACCTGTGATATAATACATTTTAGAAATAGGTAATACAGTATTATTGTTGTATATACTAATTCTAGAACCAGATTGTCTAAATGTAATGATTCTTCTATAATTTTTAAAGCTCAATATTAATTTTTGAGAGCTATCTATGCTGATTCATGTATGTACAGTTTGTTGATTTTTACAACTGCCTACAGCATGTACAGCAATTTACACATCAATTCCGATTTTTCACAATTACAGATAAGGCTGCAATGAATATCTTTGTAGTAGGTGTGTAAAAAATTCGGTATGGTCTCTTAAAGGAGAAGGGAATATCCTCCTTTCCTCTACTTTTTCCCTTCCGCTAGACAGAATGTGGACCTGATTTTGAGCCATCTTGTACCATGTGGACAGAAGCACCCTTTACTTTTCACATGCATTAAAATACCTTTTGTCTGATACCCATGGTAACATTGAGTTTAGTGAAAACAGAAACTCTATTTATCTTAATATTGAATTTGTAGCATATAACACTGTGCAGAGATCAATTAATGCTTACTAAATGAAAATTCTATCAAAAAACATCTCTTTGTATTAGACGGAATGTGATATGTATACCACAATTTTGGCCACGTTATCCTCTGAAAATTCTTTGAGAGAGAAAATATCACCGTAGAATAGTCTAAAGGGGCAACTTACCTGAATTTAAATGTGGAAAATTTCAGAACGTCCATGCTTGTTTTGTGGATGTATCTTTCTCAGTTATTTTAACCCAAAAAGTTGATTTAGCAATTTGTCTTTTTCCCTTTCTTTTGGTTTTGCTCTAGCCAATTTCTAAATAATTCAGCAATGAAAGAAAAGTTAAAATGTGCCCTGAAATGTACATGTAGAAAAATATCCAATTCTGTAACTCTTAATTTGAAACATGATTTAAATAGTAATCATTACAAAACTGGCTATAATATGTCCCTGACTTTTCTTAGATATTTTTCCAGCAATGTACTTTCTTATGTAATCATTGGCATTAGTTAGGGAATGATGTTTATTCTGAAAGATAGGTGTTTTTTACCACCTTATGTGCTCCTTGTCTTAGTTCTAAATCTGAGTAAATATAAGCATAACTTAGAGTTAATATGTTTATAATTTGATATATACAAATATATCAAATTATAATTTATAAAATATTTATATTTTATAAATATATAAAATATCATTTGATATTATATAAAATGTATAGAATAAATGTTATGAAAAGAAAATTTCTTTTTAAATGCCAGCTTCATGACTAGTATATAAAATTTTACTTGTAACAAGAAATTGTTCAAAATGAGTAGTATATTGCCATGTCTTATGTATTTTAAAGAAGAAAAATATATGAAAATTCAGAGCCTGAAAAATGACTAGCCAGTTATGCTTCTATCACTATATGCTTTAATTTTCATAACAAGGTAAATAAAGTAAAAAATGAAACCATAATAAATTCTGAAAATATCAATAACATACATAGTATGTTGTATTAGTAAAACTAGTGAAATTTTGATTCTAAAACTGAATTATGACAATACATGAAAAAAATTATAACCTCACGTTGTTAATAAACATTGATGAGAAAAGTCTAAGTAAAATATTAAATATTAAAGAACATGACTTGGTCAAGTAATTTCATCTCATGAATGCAAAAATGGTTCAACAATACCAAAAAAAGATCAATTATAAATTTAATGGTGATATGGGACATTGGAACCTTCATGCACTTTCAGTTGGCAAGTAAGCCGGGAGCCAGTAATCTAACTCTGGGTACATATTTTCACAAAGTTCACCAAGGGCATGTTTACTAGGATATTCAATATAGCATTGTTTGTGAGACTGAGGAGATGGAGGCAACCCAGGTATCTTTCACAGAAAAATAGATCCATAAAATGTAGTGGGTACATATCATGGAATATTGTGGGGCACTTAGGAAAATGGGTTAGATGTCTACATAGTAACATGGATAAAAAGTAAAAACAGTGATAAGTGGAAAACAAGGGAAGAAACATAATGTTGTATATTAGCACAATAATATTTTCCTTTTTTTTTTTTGAGACGGAGTCTCACTGTGTCGCCCAGGCTGGAGTGAGTGCAGTGGCACGAACTGGGCTCACTGCAAGCTCCGCCTCCTGGCTTCACGCCAGTCTCCTGTCTCAGCCTCCCAAGTAACTGGGACTACAGGCGCCCGACACCACTCCCGGCTAATTTTTGTATTTTTAGTACTGACGGGGTTTCACCGTGTTAGCCAGGATGGTCTTGATCTCCTGACCTCGTGATCCGCCTGCCTCGGCCTCCCAAAGTGCTGGGATTACAGGCGTGAGACCCCACGCCTGGCCTATTTTTCTAAAATTTAGATAAATACACAAAACAATAATAAACATTTTACAAGACTGAAAAAAATAGGCAAACACCAAACTCAGTATGTGGTCTTATGTAAGTCAAAAGGACATGAAATTGTAGAATGGTAATTAGAAAGAAATAGAAAGATAAGGATGACGGATGGAATGAATCGGCAGGCAGACAGGAAACTTGCATGATCTAAATTCTTAAACAAGGTTCTAACCTCTCCTCCAACTCAAAGAAAAAAAGAGTAAGTCTAAAGGTCTGCAGTAAAATATGCTATATTTGTGGTATCTCTGGAGTCAATTACCTAAACTTTGTATAACTTTTCAATTGATATGAATTTAGCATCTAACAAGTATAAAACTCAGATTTAATGTTGACTCTTTCTGCCCCACGTGGCCATACACGAAATTGAAATGGCGACCTCTGAAATTGTGTCGTGTTATAGCCATAAAACTGCTGTAGTGGAGTCAAGAGGTATAATCAATATTGTGTCATGTGATTTTTATTTTAATGTGTTCCTTCTTCAGAAACTTTCATTCTTTAAAGATGGTTTTCCTTCACAAATGGTGATAGGAAAAAATGAATTCATCTACAATGTGCTTCTTTATATTATAATACTATCAAGTAAGTTGTTTGGAACATATAATATTTCACTGAAGACTATAGTTTGAGTTATTTCACTTAAAATTTTTCTATTTTTCACATTGTGACTTTGTATAATAGTTACCCAGGAAATTGATGAGTCTTGAATCTGTTAGTTTTAAAATATAGTTGTTGATTGGGATGGGACATTTTAGTAAGTCAAATTACTCCAAGCTCCTGAAAAGTCCAGTAAACATAATAAATTGGAAACATAATTTTTTTTTACAATTGTTTGACTCTAGTATTTCCCAAATTTCCTGCTGCTAAAGGGTTCTTGGCTACTTCAGAAAATACAGGATATCCAGTGAAGTGCGCAGGAATCTGTATTTTTTAACAAGTTAGTAGAATGATACGTGACATTAAGCAACTATTCCATTAAATAGAACTTTGTCACTATGGATTCTGATATTCTATTTACTTTTTAGTTTTTCTTTTTAGTAAGTATCTAGAGAAAAACTTGCACTGAAAATTAAACTGTGAAAAGAACTACAGTATGTAAAAAATCTGTTTAAGAACTGTTTTTGCCTAATAGTCTGTATTATTTCCCAAGGCTTGCGCTCCTCTTCCCCAGCTTCCCAGAAGTTACACAGTTCTTTATATAATTCCTTTTAAAGAGAAGAAAATGGTAGATGTTACTTGTATTACTGAATCCTTGGTAAAACAATACAGCAATTAAGATCAACACGGAGGCAGTATGGTGGAGTATATTATAAAACCCTCCAGTGTAGGAATTTTATCTCTCTTGCTCACCAATGCATTTTTTATATCCAACCTAACGCTTCACATATACTAGGCATTCCATAAATAGTGGATATAATAGTTGCCATTTTTATTTATAATACATGTGAATCAAAACCATAAGATTTTAATTTTAATTTTAGTTTTACAACTCAACTAATTATAACAAATTAACAAATCACTCAGTAGCCACTGTTTTCTCATCTCTAAAATAATGCAATATCTTTTGTCTCTACTTCAGAGGTAGTAGAACTCTGATTCTAAAATCAGGAGGTGTTTACACTTAGGGAAGCATCTAGTGAATTAGAAAGTAGTGTAGAAACATAAGTAATTAAAAGAGAGAAATATACAGAGATAGAATTAAAGTTAAAATATCATTTACTCAGTGATTTCATTGAAATCTTGGGGTGAAAGTTAAATATGAAATTTTAAAGCAAGAGGTCAGGAACTCTAATCCATCTAAAATTCTCTCTATATGGTTAAGTTTAATGCATTTTTAATTGCTATTTTCAGCCTTCCAGGAAATACTGATGTAGTTATTCTCATAGTTTTGATTTTGTTTATATATTGTGATTATACAAATATATAACACATATATACATTTATATAATTATATTTATATAATTAATATATATTTTATATAAATATAATTATATAAATGTATATATATATATAGAGAGAGAGAGAGTGAGTCAGGTTATCCTCTCTGAAGAATATTATTGGTCATAATTGTTTAATTCATCACCAGCAACAAAATCATGTGAATAAAATGGTGTTGCATTAATGAAATGGTATCTAATGTGCTGATTAGACATAGTCTCTTTTATTAAAAGTCTCATATTTTGTAGCATGTTTCTTCTAAAGTTCCTGATTCGTCAGAACAGTGTCAAACAGAAGGCATAAAACAAAAATACAGCAATTAATTATGCTAAATTCTAGAATATATATGTATTTTTGCTATCACTCATAAGTGGTGTCTATATATAATCTCTGATAGATGGCTAGCAAAGACAGACTAGATTGTAATAATCCAGTAATCCAATTTCCCCTTGCTCTCTCCAGAACAAGTTAATGGATAATGGAATCTCACCAGGAAATGAATTGGTCCCTTTCTTTATTTCCATGATGCGTTTTATTTTCCTTAAATATGCTATATGGCTCTCTATAGAGGTGTTCAATTTTGTTACCATTCCTTAAAATATCTTATTGAAAATGCAGTTTATGTATCCTGTTTTATTGATTTTTACAATTTTATCTATTGAAAAATTCTATCTTTGAGACGTTCTTCTTTGGCAATGGTGAAAATGGCCAAGAGGAAGCATTCAAAATTATGCAGGAAGATTAGTTTTGAGCTTTCTGTCTCATACAGGAAAAAGGATTTAAATGTAATTCATTTATTCACATATATACAATAAATAAAATTTGTTGACTTCTTGTTGTGTACCAAACACTAAGAATAAGAGAAATTTCAGTGAACAAGACAAACACAGTCAGTATCCTCATGGGACTCTAGCCAGAGAGGTAGACATTAAAAAAATTATTAGACCAATAACTGAAATAGTGTCAGATGCCAGGCAGGCAGGGAAAATATAATGCAGTATTAAAAGAAAAACCCATCCTAATCTGGGATGTAGGGAAGAGTAGAATTTAAAATAATATGGTTTCTGTTAGAAATACATCCAGACAGACTCTGCTGGAGGTGGTAATTCTGGAGATGTGTCCCTACAAAGACCAGGGAAATGTCACAATCAATCAATCAATCAATAAAACAAAACAAAACATTATCTTACTTTCATTTAAAATCCCAGTGTAGTAGTACCTAGAATTCTATAGACAGTTGTATTTTTCATCGCAGCGAAGAGGTACGGTAGAATCACTTTCGTTGGGCTTCTGCTAAAACTATCTTAGCTCTTTCATCTGTACTGTGCCTAAACCAATGGTCAATCATCTGGCCTCATTTACTTAACCTATCAGAAACATTTGTTATTGGCCACTCCATCCTTCCTAAAATACTTTATTTTCTAAATGTCTAATTGCTATTCTTACCAGCTTTCCTCTGACCTCACTGACTGCTCCCTTTTGAATTATTTGCCAAATGCCATCCTCTACCAGGCCTGTAAATGTTAGAACTCCTGGGGTTCTGTCCTTGGCTTTTACTCTAGCTACACCGCTTCACACACAAAACAGTCCCATAAAAACTTGGAGGACGCCAACCAATTGAAAAACAGAGTTGTCTCCAGGCCAGGATGAAGGAGGCAGACCCTTTTGCTTTGATTCTGGAAACAGCTCTTACAATTCCTAGGGAAGAATTGGTTGTCCTGCCTGCTTCATGTCAGCAAATAACCTTGTTTTGTTTTGGCAAGGAGTGGATGTCTTAGGAAGAGATGCAGCTTTGAAATCAAACCCACCTGGATTCAAATAGAGGCTCCCATCAATTAGGAAGCTATTGAGTCTTGGACAAGTTACTTCGTTCTTCTAAGCCTCAATGTTTTCATTTAGAAAAAAAAAAGGATAACAATAATTGCTCATAGAATTGCTGTGAGGATTAAATGAAAGAATGTTTGTGAATCATCTTACTCATAGGTATTCAGGAGATGGTCCTTTTCTTTATTCCATCAATACTTGCCTTGTTTTTGTGCTAAATTCACTGACCAGACAGGAGTTTGTGCTATAACACCATGCACTGAAACACAAACAGTTTTTGATTCGGTGCTGCTTCTACTGATTCTGTTAGCCTTATAAAAATGGAGGAGATTATAACACACAAAATACATAGTTTGCTGGACCTACCAGGATTACTCTGAAATGCATATACTGTCACTCTCCATCTGCTTGCAAAGCATCTTCCAGGTATTTGGAAGCATTGGAATGTGCTCTCTAATTAAACTTGGCACTGACAGCCTATAAAAATTACTGGAAATGTACTTCATTGTGCTTTTCTTCTTTTTGGCCACACAGCTTCTGGAATAGGTTTCCTTCAGTGATAGTAAGAGGAACAAGGTTGTACAAACCAAAGTAGTACTTCCAACTCAAGGAATATCTCAACTTTACTGTTACTCAAAGAAAACAACTTAAAGATCAGTGCCCCCAAATTCTGCATAAAATGTAACTTGGAATTAAATAATATGGGAATAGTTACTTGCTATGGTTTGAATGTTTGTCCCCTCTAAAATTCATGTTGAGATATAATCCCCGATGTGGCAGTATTGACAGATGAGGCCCTTAAGAGGTGATTGGGCCACAAGGGCTCTGCCCACATGAATAAATTATTTCATTTATGAATTATTGTGTTAGTGGGCGATCATAGGAGTAGAGTTGATGGCTTTATTGGAACAGGAAGAAAGGCCTGAACTATCATGTTCAGCCTCCTTGCCACGTGATGCCCTGTGCCCCCTCCAGACTCTACAGAGAGTCCCCACCAAGAAGGCCTTCACCAGATGTTGCCCCTCAACCTTGGACTTCTCAGCCTCTGCAATTATAAGAAATAAATGTATTTTCTTTATAAATTTCCCAGTTCCAGTTATTTTGTTACGATCAGCAGAAACAAACTTAAAACTTTACTTATGTAATTATCAAGTATCAAAGACAAGCAAGAATTAGAATTATTTCTATGATCATGCAGTCTACACATGTCATGTTTCATTTCATTATCTCTGAATTAATCTTGATTTTTAATCTCACTTTGCTTTTTTTTTGATACAGAGTCTCACTTTATCACCCAGGGTGGAGTGCCATGGCGCGATCTCGGCTCACTGCAACCTCTGCCTCCCGGGTGCAAGCTATTCTCCTGCCTCAGCCTCTCTAGAAGCTGGGGCTACAGGCACGCACCACCAAACCTGGCTAATTTTTTGTATTTTTAGTAGAGACGGGGTTTCACCATGTTGGCCAGGCTGGTCTCGAGCTCCTGACCTCAAGTGATGCTCCCACTTCGGCCTCCCAAAGTGCTGGGATTACAGGTGTGAGCCACAGCACCCAGCCCTCACTTTGCTTTTAATTCCAGTTTTATTTATTAAATTTTTTGTTAATATATTTCTCAGGCACATAATTTAAAAGATTTTTTTTTAAAGTATAAAGTAAAAATTATCCTTCTCATACTTTCCCCAAGTACTCAGCCTCCCCTCCTGGAAATAAACAATATTATCACCTTTCTGCATATCCTTTCAGAGATACTGCATTCATACCTATGTATATATATGCTTTCCAAATATGAACGTGTCATAGATGTATATATAGATATGTTTGTATATATGAAGACACGTACACATACAGATATATGAATCACCTTTTTTACACAAATAGTAGCATATTATACATACTCTACTGCTCTGTGCTTCATTTAACAATATGTCTTTGAAATGGTTTCATCTCCAATGCACTAAAATATTCTCATTTTTTATGTCTGCGTGGTATTCCACTGAATGGACATTTCACAATGTATTTAGCCTGCCCCTATTGGTGGAAATTCAAGTTGTTTCTAAGGTTATGTTTTCACAAATGATGCTAGAAAGACATGATATATATCTTTTTGTAACTCATAAAAGTATGTATCAAATAAAATTCAAAATGTGTATTTGATTGATGGAACAAATGTCATATAGATTGGGAATTTTAGTAGATACCAACAAATTAACCTCCAAAGGGGTTTTATTAATTTTCAGTCCCTCCGGCAATCTCTAAAAGTGTTTTTTTTTTCCATACCTTGTCCATATACTGTTCTACCAAAGATGTCTTAGTCCTTCTGGGCTGCTATAACAAAAATACCTTAGACTGGGTAATTAATAAACAACAGAGATTTATCGCTCACAGTTCTCAAAGCTGGGAAGTTCAAGATCAAGATGCCCATAGATATAGCGTCTGGTGGGATATGCTCTCTGCTTCCAAGGTAGTGACTTCTTGCTGAAACCTCACCTAATGGAAGGGGCAAAAGCAGCTTTCAGCCTCTTTCATTAGGGCCCAGGTCTCATTCATAAGAGCAGAGTTTTATTATTTGATAATTCCCCAAAAATTCCCAACTATTAATCCTATCACATTGAGTATTAGGAATACTTTAGCAATAAAACATATGATTTTTTGTGGGATACCCAACATTCAGACCGTAGTCATTGTCTTAATAGTTTTTACAAATTTGATAGATATAAAAAATTATTGCTGAGGAATTTCAATTTACATTTATCTAAATATTGATAAGTTTAAACATATTTGTATATTAAAAAGGCACTTCAATGTTTAATCAAAGTTTTCTTCATTTTTTATTGATTTATGTATTCTGATCTATAGGACCTTGTTCTATTTTAAGGAAATTGCACTTTGTCTTGATAAAGGATTCAAACATAATTTCTTTAGATTTTGTTTAAATTTCTTTAGTTTTTTTTGAAGTTTACAGTGTTAATTGTATCAGTTTACAGCTTATAGGTTTTATGTTATGTTGTAAACTACAGTCCCCACTTTGAGATTATTTTTAAAAATCTCATCCGATCTTTCCGTCTAGAATTTTTAGAGTATTTTTAGGTTAAATGTGTATGACTCACCTGGAATTTATTTTTATATAAATTGTGATGAAAACATTGTCTTAAAGCAGTGTTTTATTATAAATTTCAAAATAAAAGATAATTATGAAGTATAGAGCAGAATCAAATCAACAAATGTTTTTGCTTTGCATTCTCTCCATCCTAAAAAACAACCTGGAATATTTTTAAAATATTCTTATTTTCTTCCATTATCCAACAGGACTTTCTGTACATTGTTTTCATGAAATATTAAATTTGAAAATATTTGTTAAGCTCAGCTTTAGGAAAAAATAATTTTTTATTCTAATATTATTTGAAATTCTTAAATTTTTAGCATTATACATTTAAACATACTTTTTGTACACTGATAAATATTCTTAAAAGATAAAGCAGAAATTGAAGAGGTTTCAGCATATGCGTATATTAAAAAATAACTTTAAGCCTCTAAAGTTAGCATAAAATTAGACATATTAGGAGGTATAAACGTTTTAGGAGAAAGTAATCTGGGGAGATAATTACTGAGAAATCCAGGGGAAAAATACAAACACATTCCTTCAACCTTTCAGTAAACTGTTCTTTGGTTTCCATATAAATTTCCCTTGCTCTTGGAGTAGGACTTACAAAACACATTTTTCACATATATATGAGAAAAAACACACACATATATGTGTGTGTGTATTTATGTAAACCATTATTTTATATGTGTTTGTATGTATGTATATACATTAATCTTTATTATTATCAAAAGCCCAAAAGCCAGTGAGACTTGCCTGTACTAATCATAGTGCACAAAGATATCTATTAACTCTTTTTATTTAAAAAATATCTAGGAGTTTCTGCATTTACTCAGTATGCAATCGAGCTTTCCTAGCACCATTTATTAAGGACTATCTTTTCCCCGGTGTATATTCTTTCCAACTTCGTCAAAAATGAGTTGGCTGTAAGTGTGTGGATTTCTTTCTGGGTTCTCTGTTCTATACCTTTGGCCAATGTGTCTGTTTTTATGCCATTACCATGCTGTTTTGGTCACTACAGCTTTGTGGTATGTTTTGGGGTCAGGTAGTATGATGCCTCCAGCTTCATTCTTTTTGATTAAAATTGCTTTGGATATTTGGGTCTTTTGTTGTTCCATACAAATTTTAGGATTGGTTTTTCTATTCCTATGAAGAACATCATTGGTATTTTCATAGGGATAACATTAATCTTTAGCTCCCTTTGGGTAGTACAGACATTTAATATTAATTCTTCCAATGAGTGGACACAAGACACAAAATGTCATTCCAATTATTTGCATCTTCTTCAATTGATTTCATCAGTTATCTTATAGTTTTCAGTATAGAGATCTTTGACCTCCATGTTTAAATGTATCACTATTTTATATTTTATAACTATTATACATTGGATTACATTCTTGATTTGAGATAGTCTGTAATTGGTGTGTAGAAATGCAACTAATTTTTATATGCTAATTTTGTATGCTGCGGCTTTACTAAATTCATTTATTTACTGGTTCCAATATTATTTTTGTGGAGTCTTTGGGATTTTCTGTATTTTTAATCATGCTGTCCTCAAACAGGGATAATTTGACTTTCTCCTATCCAATTTGGATGCCCTTTATCTCTTTCTCTTGCCCAATTCCTATAGCTAAGACTTCCAGTATTGTGTTGAATAAAAGCAGTGAAAGTGGACATCCTTATTTTGTTCCATAACTTAGAGACAAATGCTCCCAACTTTTCCTAATTGAGTATGATGTTAGCTGTGGTTTGTCATATATGGCCTTTATTGTGTTGAAGTATATTACTTTTATATCTAATTTGTTGAAGATTTTTTTATCATGAAAAAATGCTAAATTTTATAGAATTTTTTTTCTGTGTCTACTGAAATATTCATATTTGATTTTTTGTTTTTTGTCCTTGATTCTGTTAGTATGATGTATTACGTTTATTGATTTGCATGTGTTGAACCCTCCTTGTATTCCTGGCATGATTCCATTTGGTAATAATGAAAGATCTTTTTAATGTGTTGTTTAATTTGTTTTGCTAGTGTTGAGAGTTTTTGCATCTATGTTCAACAGGGATATTGTCCTATAGTTTTCTTTTTTTGTTGTATCATTGTCCGGTTTTGATATCATTGTAATGCTGACTTTATAAAATGAGTTGAAAGTATTCCCACCTCTTCAATTTTTTATGATGAATTTGAGAAAAGTTAATATGTGTTCTTCCTTAAATATTTGATAATTCAATATTATTGGCAAATATTTATTAGCCGTGAAGCCATCAGGTCCTGGACTCTTCTTTGATGGGAGAGTCTATTATTGCCTCAGTCTTCTTCCTTATTATTAGTCTGTTCAGGTTCTCTATTTCTTCATGATTCAGTCTTGGTAGGCTGTATGTGTTCAGGAATTTATACATTTCTTATAGATTTTTCCACTTGTTGGCATATAATTGTTCACAATATTATCTTTTGTATTTGTATTGAATCATTTGTATTTCTGTGGCATCTGTTATGATGTCTCCTTTTATCATCTCTAATTATGCTTATTTGAGTCTTCTCTCTTTTGTACTTACACTAACTAAAGGTTTATAATTGTTGTTTATTTTTTGAAAACCAAGTCTTGGTTTTGTTTTTCATATTTTTAAAATCTCTATTTTATTTATTTTTGTTCTGTTCTCTGTTATTTCTTTTCTTCTACCAATATTAAGTTTAGTTGGTTTTTGTTTTTCTAGTTTCCTAAGGTATACCTACCTTTCTTGATGTAAGTGTTTATTGCTATAACTTCCCTCTTAAAACTGCTTGTGCTGTATCTCATAGGTTTGGGTATGCTGTGTTTCTGTTTTCACTTGTCTCAATGAATTATCTAATTTCTTCATTGACCCATTATTGTTCAGGAGCATGTTGTTTAATGTATATGAATTTGTACAGTTTCCAATATTCCTTTTGTTATTGATTTTTAGGTTTTTCCATTGTAATCAGAAATGATACTTGATATTATTTTGATTTTTAAAAATTTAGTAAGACCTGTTCTGTGACCTAACATATGATTTGTACTGGAGAATGTTTCAAGTGCTGTTGAGAAAAAATTTTATTCAGCAGCTGTTGGATGACATTTTCTGGAAATGTCTGTGACATCTATTCAGTCTTGAGTGCAGTTTAACTTTGATATTTCTTTGTTGATTTTCTGCCTGAACAATCTGTCCATTGCTGAAAATGGAGTACTGAAGTAATCTACTATTATTTTATTGCATCAATTCCTTTAAGTCTATTAATATAGTATTTATATTTTTAGGTGCTCTGATATTGGGTACATATAGATTTAAAATTCTTGTGTCTGCTTGCTGTATTGACCCCTTTATCATTATATAATTGCCTTTTGTTCACCATGCTTGACATAAAGTCTGTTTTATCTGATATAAGCAAAGCTACTTTCAGATTAAAGAACTCACCTTAGCATTTTTCTTGTAAGATAGGGCTAGTGTTAAGGAATACACTCAGCCTTTATTTGCCTGGGAAAGTTCTCTCTCCTGTATGTTTCCTGGATAGCTTTTCTTAGTACAGTATTCTTGGTTGGCAGGTTTTTGGGTTTTTTATTTTTCCCATCAGCACTTTGAATACAGTATTCCACTCTCACTGAGAAATTCTCTGAAAGGTGTATTGGGGCTGTGTTGAATGTGATATAGTTCTCTGCTGTTGCTGTTTTAAGTATTCTTTATTTGACTTTGGTTGATAATGTGATTATTATTTGCCTTGGGAAATTCATTTTTGGCTTAAATTTGGTTGGCAATCTCTGTGTTTCTTGTACCTGAATGCTGTCATCTTTCTCCAGATTTGGGAAATATTCACCCATTATTTGCTTAAATATGCTTTCTGGGTCTTTTCCCTTCATCTCCATTAGGAATTTTTATTAATATTTGGTGAAACTTAATTCACTTGATGGTGGCTCATAATTCTCATAGGACTTCTTTACTCTTTTCTATTCTTTTTTCTTTTATCTCCTATTTTGTATATTCTCTCTTCAAGCTTGTTAATTATTTCCCTTCTTTGATCAAGTCTATTGTTGAGGCTTTCTAATGTGTTTTTCAGGTCAGTTATTGTATTCTCTATTCATTGTATTCAGTATTCTTCAATTTTAAGATTTTTACTTGGTGTGTTTTTACTTGTGTAAATACTATTTCTTTGTCAATTTTCTCATTTTATTATTAGATTATTTTCCAAATTTCATCAGTTTTCTATCTATATTTTCTTGTGATTCCCCTGAACTTCTTTAAGGAGATAATTCTGAATTTTCTGACAGACATTTCATAGATACTCAATCTGTGCCCCTTGCTGAAGCTTTGTTGTTTTCCTTTGGTGATGTCATATTTCCCTGAGTTTAACAATGCTTGCATTGATGTCTTCACATTTGAGAAGAGAATCACCTTGCCCAACTTTTGCAGTATTCTTTGGTGGTATTAGACCTTTACTACTTAGTACCAAAAGTTAATCCTTTGCTTCCGATTCTGGGGAGGACTTACAGCGAGCACTAGAACTAAAACACTGCACTGGAACTAAACTGCTACCCTACCTCTCTTTCCTGGTTTGAGTAAGACTTACTCTGTGAGTTGAAGCTGAAATGCTGCATCAGAACTGAATTGCTGCTCTGCTATTATTTCCCAGTCTGGGGAAGACTTATAGAGAGTACAAGAACTTAAATGCTATACCAGAATTATATTGCTGTCCTGCTATTTTTTTCTAGTCTGATGAAGACTTAAGTGGCACCAAAACCTAATTCCAACATTTTAGTTATTTCTAGGACAGAAGAAAGATTCACATGAACATCTGGGTTTGTAAAAAAATATGGCCAGGGATTTGGGCCTTCCTGCATATTGTACCTACTGTAGCTCTATGGCTCCAGCCAGTCTCCTTACTGTGGCATCCATGCTGATTAGAGGGAAGAATAGCTGCCAAGATCTGTGTACCACTCACTGTGATAAAAGACGTACTCTTTATCCAATTTACCCCAGGTGATTGAGCCTTCCTGGCACTCCCAGTCTTTCCAGTGGGATGGAACTGGAGTTGGCTTCCCATGAAGATTATCAGACCAGTGGAGAGATTGAATATCCACCTCCAACTCCTTCCTCTCACCTCAGAACCCACAGGTCTAGGGAAATTCTTTGCAAATGGTGTTATGCCAGCTTGGAGGAGGGAGCAGCACAGACTAAAATGACTATTTCTCCTACTGGTCATGCCTTCTCTCGATACTGTAGGCCCAAGAGATTTCTTCATTACTCCCCTGAATTCAGGGTGGTGTTCCTGTCTTTGAATACTTTCTAATTATATTTTTGTGGGAGTAGTGATACAAGGGAATCTTATATTCCACCATCATGCTGACATAACTTTTCTCAGTTTTTTTCCATTGCAGGGTTCACAAAAACGGAGTTATAGAACCATAACATCACTTTCAGATATATACATCCTTAGGACCCACTCAAGAGCTACTGAATCAGAAACTCTTGAGGATGGGGTCCAACATTCTGCATTTAAACAAGTCCTCCAGGTACACTCTAATGATCGAAAATCACTCATCTACTGCATGACTCAGACAAATAAAGGGAAAGTTAAAATGTGGAAAATGCTCTGAGAGAAAAAAAGGTGTTCTACGAGTACATAGGAGGCTCACATAATCCATTGGGGATAGACAGATCATGAAAGGCTTCTAGGATGAGAAGAAGGCATATAAAGAATAGGTAAGTTAAGTGGGAAGGATGTGTTAGGGAAAAGAAGGATGGGGCATGGTGATGGACAAAAGGCCAGAGAGAATATTGCAAATAAAGAAAAGCCCCACAAGTGCAAGATCTCAGAGATAGGAGAAGGTTGATGCCTTTCAGAGCTGAAAACTGAAGCAACCATAACCAATCACAGTGCTGAGCTAATCACAAGGTTTGTTTTGTTTGCTTGTTTTTGAGACAGAGTTTCACTCTTGTTGCTGAGGCTGGAGTGCAATGGCACGATCTCGGCTCACTGCAACCTCTGCCTCCTGGGTTCAAGTGATTCTCTTGCCTCAGCCTCCCAAGTAGCTGGGATTATAGACACATGCCAGCCCACCCAGCCAATTTTTGTATTTTTATTAGACACGGGGTTTTGCCATGTTGGCCAGGCTGGTCTTGAACTCCTGACCTCAGGTGATCTGCCCACCTCAGCCTCCCAAAGTGCTGGGACTACAGGTGTGAGCCACCTCACCCAGTCCTAATCATGAGGTTTTTATCGAGGTGAATATGTCACAAGTCATTTGATACTAGTATCAGTGAAAGTCATAAGGACTGAAAATTATTTCCTTTTACTGGTGACAAATCAGGTTAAAGAAGAAAAGAGATGTTTTGTAAACCAAGTTAATGGATTTGGATTTGTCCTGGAGGAAATGTGGAGCCACTAAGAATTTTAAGCCGCAGCATGGCATGATCAGATATGTGTTTATAAAAGTGTATCTGACTACAGAATTGAGAACTAATTGGAGGGGTGAGACTGGGAGCAAGTAGAACAGCTATAGCAACAGACTATTTGGGTAAGCTGTCTGTGTTAAATTTCCTGATTTTCTCTTGCTAAAGAATTCATTTACAAAAATATGCCCTAGCTTTTTGATGTATGTTGAATAAAAATAATACATACAGAAAAATTAAAGTCTAATGTCTTAAATAAGGATTTCCATTTTAAAGGTCCTGAGCAATTATAGATATTTGTTAAAAAGTAAGGGGAACTAACAAGCAATTTTCAGTATATTAAAAAGCCCAACAAGTGTCATACATTTGCGTAAATGCAAATTAAAAATTCATGGTTTTCTTTTTAATTTGGGGCGAATTACATCAATTCAGTACAGGCACTCTAGTGATTTAGTGCTGATTGGAAACTCCAGCTTGACCTTTACATATTGCTGGAGAACAGAAACATCAGAAAATGAGCTTTTTGCTTAACAGATGCTATATGAAAGAAAAAACAATGAAATTCAATGGTAGAAAAATAAATCCATGTGTCTTGATAGTTGAAGATTACAAAACATGACATTTAATCTATTTTATAATATAGCTGGACCCAAGTGAATTAGGTAGTCATCTAAGTATTTATTAGACCAAAAAATGACCCCCCCCCAAGAAAAATTTAATTGCATGAAAATAGCTTAATTTTTGAGATAGTCATATTTTATTTATAAGTATTTACACTCAGAGCTGCTATGAGAGGGAAAAGTTAGCCACCAACAAAGCTCAGAGACATCAGAATTTGAGCAGGGTCCCAAATCAATGCTCGTTTTTCTTAGATGTAGGGAGCTACTGGGGTTTAATGTCATTTTGTACACATTTAAATTCAATTTAGTATCATCTTTTGAGTGGCACCTTCTTTTGGAAACTGACTGAGCTGATGACAGTTTATACTTTTAGTGAAGTAGAGTAAGACTTCACTGTAGTGACTTTTTTGTTGGAACAAACTCACACAAATCTAAATAAGACATCCAAAACCTTTATGGAAAATAGTGCCCACTAGAAGTGTAATATAGTACTGACTGTACTTATGATATTCCCATTAAATGACTTAATGAACCTTATTCAATGTAATTTGTGTCTAGATGGTGCCGGTAACACACTTAGCTAGTGATTGATTCTCACTGATGAATAGCTGTGTGAATTAGAAAACTGTGAATGAGTCTAATTATAGTATGCTAGAGCTACTGCTAGATGTACATAAAAACGATCAAACTCGGGCATAACCACTGTGCAGATGAATGCTTTTCCATATGTGGATGCTTACACTAGCGCTATGTCTATGGCAATAGCTCTGATTAGATTGCAAAGTAGCCCCTAAGATGGCACAGCTCAACTGCCATTCCAATTTTGACAGCCTTTTTTTTTCTTTTTGCCATTTAGAGAGAGAAAGAACTCCCCGTCAGATCTGCAAAGCTGCAAACCCAGCCACAGGCTTGGTCTGTTTTCTTGGCCCTCTCAGTATTTTCCTGCGTCCTTTCTGTTCCTGACTTGGCTCAATGCAGGCTCCCCACTGAGATCATTTTCTCTGTATAACTCTTCCCCTTCTGGCCAGCTGGTCCTTTTTGGAGGCTAAGTATTTTGTATCCATTGGAAGTCTCCCTCTCATTTTCATAGCACCTTGGGGAAAGGTGTTTCTCTGATTATTGCACAAGGTCCCTGAATTTAAAGTAGTTTTCCTCTTTTTTAAAAACCACTTTGTTGAGGTATGATTGATATATTTAAAAACTGTACATATTCAGTCTATACAACTTGATAAATTTGGGGATAAATATACACCCATGAAACCATCACCACCATCAAGGCCATAAACATATCTATCACCTCCCAAAGTTTTCTTTTTATTTGCCCAAATTAATTTAACTAATATTCATAAGATATCTTTTGTATTACGTAGGAATTTGGGATGGCATATAAGACCATGTTGATTTATGATTTTATGTGTTAACTATGAGCCTTGGGAGACTCAGGATTTATGATGAAAGAGTTGGAGTCTTTCTAGTGGGCCCTTATATGACAAATGTCCTAGGCTCCTCACTGGCACTGCTCCCCGCTCAAAAAGAAAAAAAGAAAAAAAAAAAAACTTGACCCAAGAGACAGTCCCACTTTGTGAACATCGTATATTCTTTAGAACTTTTTTAGTTATACTATGTCTTCCTGAAGGTTCAGTACTTGGACTGCTTATCTTAGTTGTAAAATCATCGTGAGTTTTTATAAGGGAAGGAAAATATATCGTTTTCAATTCTCCATCTTGAAGACCCTTAGAATTATGTTAACTGTTGTGACCTTTGCAGCACATTCGGAAAAAGTGTTCCAGGAGAGTTTGTGATTATTTAATTGTTCCACAGAAGAAGAGCTAGTTGGGATATTGCTTGGATATATTATTTTATGTCCTATTTTTATTAATGACTCCCTTTAAATTACAGCATCTCTCTGTTAGATGAAAAGGCCTTATTTTTATTTCAAAAGCATCGTTTATTATGGTTATTCTGTTATTTAGAATTTATTGCAGACATTTCATCTACATATAATTTGGGTGGTGCATTTTCTAGTTGCTATATAACAGATATATTTCCATAACGTGGCAAAATGTAAAGAAGCTGGCAGCTTGGGGTATTTATGTTCAGCCCTCTTCAGATTTTCCTTATGGTTTTACAGATATGAATTGTAATCATGCTTTGTACTTTGCCTGAGATTCATTTTCCAGTCCAATTTTAAATCCCCAGGAAAAAAAGCATTTCTACCTGAAAACATTTTACTGTATTTTAGTTATGTGCATATGAACACACATACACACACATACATCCATCGATATGTAGTACATTTAACCCACTGTAGTTTTTTGTTATTTTTTTTGATATCTTAGGTTTACAAGGTTTGTGTGCTAAAATGGTAAATATTATCTATTAAATCATATTTTTAGAAAATAATTAACTCTTTGACCCAGGATATTAACAGTAATTGAGAAAATCAGGGTTGGCTGGAAGAAACAAATCTGACCTATTGCTGGAAATAAAAAAGAGCTCTCAGTGATTTTTTTTATTAAGCATCATCTTGGCAATGAATGGTGTTTTGTTAATGCAGCGTTTTTCTTCATTTTTCTGAAAAATGGCTAACCTATCTTAAAGCAGATTTGGACAACTCTTGACTATATGCATGGAATACACTCAGTCCTCTGGTGGCTACAAGGCCCTAACATCCCTGTTACAGCACAGCAGGATACTATTCCTTAAGAGCCAGTTAGACCAGGAATTGTTGAGCTCTCACACAACTGTCTTCTCACAGGAAAACTGGATGGCTGTCATTGAACCTCAGGGGATACAGTGACCTTATGATGCATGTAATTTAATTATGCATAAGATCAGGCAGATTAATGACATGACACTTATTTATTAATTTAAATCTATTAGTATTAAAATTGTATTCACATTAATATAGTTTCTCAGAAGCTATCAGAACAGAAAGTACCAATAAAACAGAAGAAATATGCCAACCCCTACACACTTTATATTCCAAACCAACCAAATAGTTCTTCCCATGTATGGCTCAGATTTTCCTCTAACCTTGACTTTTCTCATTAAAAAGGTAGTAGCTCTCCCTGCAACTATATTTACATTTTCCAATCCTACCTATTCATAAAGGCACAATGTGAATACCATCTTTTCTGTAACAAATTCTTGATAGATTTAACAGTAAATAATTTCTCCCCACCCTTAATTCCTATTTGGGAGTTTATTCCACTTTATGTTACTGTTATTTTTTGCAAGTCTTAGCTTTCCCATTATGCCACAGGCTCTTTGAAGGGAGGATCTGAGTTTAATTCATCTGTGAGAATCACTTTCTTGCCCCTGTCCATACACAGTACTTTCCACAAGGTATCTGCTCCATGAATACTGATAGAACGAATGAATCAAAAATATTTAAAAGTTTTTAGACAGAGAATGTAAATGATCCAACAAATTATAGCATAATAAAAGCTGCTTTTAACCTCTCCTTCATTCTGGAGTCCATTATAGCATCTAGTCTCAGTTAAATCTTGGATTGTAGACTGAGGCAAGTCAGTTCTGTCCCACAAAATTGTCTGTGATGGTAGATATATTTTATATTTGCACTATCCAATATGGAAGCCTCTAGCCACATGTAGCTGTTGAGCACTTGAATTGTACCTAGACCAACTGGATTACTGAAGTTTGTACTTTATTTACGTTTATTTTAAACTTAAATAGTCACATTTGGCTAGTGGCTACTGTATTGGAAAACATAACTCTGGAACTCAGAACAAATGGCGACGTTCATATTGTATTAAAAAACTTCAGCTGGACTGCAACTAGGGTTCACTAGGCTGAGACTTTCAGGGTAATGCAAGTACATGGTTGACCCTTAAATTTTGCACTCAAGGACACCCCATGTGCTTCACCTTAGTCTCAGCCATGCATTTCAGAGATTACTAGCCAGAGTTTCTTACTATTGACACTTTACCCTATGTTTTTGGGCCCATGTTAAACCACAGATGGCACTGAGATGCTATTACTGACTATTGAAGAGTCATGTTATCTAAAGAATGAATTGTTCACAGATCTAATGGAATTTGTTTTCTGCTACAGTGAGAATTATGATGTTTTCTTTTATTCTTTTCCTTTCCCATAGGAGCCTTTTAAATTATCAAATCTTCTTTCCATATTCAAATCGAATGTTATCTCCTCTATGAAGTGACTCTTGGTGCTTTGTATATTCACTTCTCCTGACAAAAGTGTGGTAGAAATGCCAAGTGTTAGCTCTATAGAAGTGCCACAACATGTGAGTTATGGCAAAGAAAAATTCAACAAGTGCTATTAGGTACAACCAATGAGCCCCCGAGAAACCAATGTGGTCTGCTATTTCTTACCACCCTTAAAAACACAAGGAGAATTAACTTCACTGTGCCTCAGTTCCCCCACCCCACAGCATGGTGATGCTAACACCTAATTTATGTTAATTTTCTTAAGTGCTGTTTAATGAGTATCTGCTATATGACTGATATTTGCACTAAAGGCAGAGATTTCATTCATCAAGAGAGATTTTGCTTTTTGTTTCACAGAATAGACCCAACAATTAAATAAGCAATTGCAATAAATGTCTATCATGACTACGAAACTCTTGTTTTAGTAAATGGAACAGAGTAGGCACTCATTAATTCCAGTAATATCCTTTCAAATATTAAAGCTGAGGAGTCTATTTCATAAAGTCCAAAGAGTAAATGTGTTAGTAGGACATAACCATGTTAAACAATTGTAGATTAATTTTACCAAAGCTTGTTGGTAAAGGAAGAACCATTAGAATAATCTCCTCCATGAAGTAATGATTTGTTCAAGTATAACTTATAAAGTCCTTCAGAGTTAAAAATGAAAGGAAAAAATACATTTTCTCTAGTTAGCACAATTGGTAAAATTAAACATCCCTGTATTTTGATAGCTACAAGTAGATTATAGAAATAGACCATCTGGGATCGATGATTAACCTCCCCCCCCCAAAAAAAAAAGTTGAATGCTAGAGGACATCAGTTGAATGCATTTTAATTTCATGTTATTATTGGTAGTTTTGAGCTGCAGTTATTTGGGATAAGGTTAATTCGTAGACTTTCTCCCACAACAAAAGCATTGCCTTTGCCGAAGCCCTTTTGTTTATTTACTTGCTGATTGCAATCCAGCATAACAGCCACATTTACAATTAAATTGGTAATTGACCATTTAGATCACTGTTCCCCATGCAACACTAAACTTGTAAGTAATGATTCAGGCATTAATAAGCAAGCCACACAATTTTAAAAATGCACCACAAATTTTATATCTACCTAATGAATTGATAAATCCAGAAGAAAATTCCAGTTAGATACTATCTGCTATAAAATTAAAGATAGAATATGAACAAAACATAGCCTAACTTTAGTTATTTACAGATGAGTTATCTAGTTTGAAAGGTTCTTAGATTGTCTTTTCTATATTTTGGTCATCACAGTGTCACTGACATTACTTCACCAATGCATGGATAAACAATGAAGAAAAAATGACACTCAGATTAGTCAACTTGCATGCTATAAAGGGCTTGTAATAGTGTTGAGCCTGAGATAAGAAGAAAAACCAAAAGGGTATGTGGGCCTGTCTGTGCCTGTCTTCTAATAACGCATCTCGCTTGTTTCTACTATTTTTAAGAAAAATGAGAGTTGGCTGTATTAGAATCTCTGGTTAGTTAGGGATCCTCGGTTTCCTCTTGACTACATACTCTCCTTGTGTTTTTAAGGGTGGCGAGAAATAATAGGCCACACTGGTTTCTTAGGAGCTCATTGGTTGTACTTAACAGTGTTTGTTGAGTTTTTCTGTGCTATAACTCACTTATTGTAGGACTGCTATCGAGCCAACGCTTGGCATTTCTGCAATATTTACTATTTTCTTAATGTGTTTATTAACTACTTCCACCTCTTTCTATGCACAGATAGGGGGAAAAAGACAATATGGTGGCTTGCTACATCTTTTCAGCAAGCGTCAAATTGTACAGATATCCAGTCTCTTCATTGACCCCATTTAGTCTGGCTGTTAAATACTGAGAAATAGTCATTTTAAGAACAGCAAGGCCCTAGGAACTGTCTATTGTTGCTAACCCTGAGATACATTTTGGAATCCTGAATCACCCTCAAGTGATTTAGTTCACTAAATACCTCATAATGAAATATAGACATTTAGACATATAGATTTACTTACTTGTCATTAAGCCTAGGGAAAACCAAGACTTGCAATCTTTAAGTCCCCTTTCAATTCTAAAACTTCCTGACAATGAGCAATCTGACAGTTATATCATGATACGATCATGTCTGCCACTGCTTCAGTGCTAATTCACATTGAATTGCCCTTTCCTGCCTCTCGACTTTCAGATTAGTTTTGATAAAACATGAATATGGTATTTTCTAGCTGATCATTCTGATTTCTAATCTGACATGTTGTCATATTTTTATTTATAGATTTTGGTTTACAAGTCAGCACTCCAGAGAGATTTCTGGTTTTTTGACCTTCACTAAGGGTCTCTTTCATTCAAATAATATCTGAATATGGTATAAGTATCTGAATTTCACTCATATTATAAAGCTATTTTTTAAAATCTCAATTATAAAAATTAAAATATCCTTCATTAAAATATAATTTTTTTACTAATTATAAACTTAAAAAGTTTTTAATTGACATGAAATCACATGTTAGTGTACAACATTTTATTTTGAAGTATATGTACATTGTGGAATGACAAAATATAGCTAATTAACATATGCATGACCTCACATAGTTATGATTTTTGTTGTGAGATTACTTTATATCCACTCTCTTAGCACTTTTCAAGAATGCAACACATTGTCATTAACTATAATTACATATTGTACAATTGATCTTTTGAACTTATTTCTCCTATCTAACTGAAATTTTGTATCCTTTAATCAAGGTCTCCACAACCCATCACCCAAACTCCTACCCCTGCCCGACCATTCCAGCCCCTGGTAACCATCATTTTACTCTCGGCTTCTAAGAGATCAACTTTTTTAGATTCCATATATGAGTGAAATCATGTGATATTTGTTTTTAATACCTGATATTTCATTTAACGTAACTGGAATGATTATCAAACATTATCAAAATGATGGAAATGTATAGAATATAAGCTCTTAGGTCCAATTAAACACATACACTACTCTTCCGCCATTCTTGCCATCAACATTGCACCCCATTAAGTTTCCAAGTTGAATAAAGCGGAAGGCTTTATTCAAAATGTCATCTCAAGACTTTTTTGAATGGCCTGAGGCTTAGCAGCAGTTCTTAGTTCAGTAGTCTATTGTGGTTAAGAAACTTTATTATAGAAAGTTTTAATGTGATATAATTAAAAGTTTTGCCATTCTGTTTGGCTTCTCCAATCTTATTTCCATGTGTAATTTTTTGATATTCAGGATTTGTTTATGGCTTTACCACAGCTTTAAAATAAAATACCCCTTAATAATGGATATATATATATACACACACACACACACACACATACCAGTGGAATACTATTGAGCCTTAAAAAAGAGGGAAATCCTGTCATTTGTGGCAACACGTATGAACCTGGAGGACATTATGTTAAGTGAAATAAGCCAGGCACAGAAAGACAAACACTGCATGATCTCACATATTTGTGGAATGAAAAATAATTCTACTCATAAGAACAATGAGTAAAGTGATGGTAGCCAGAGGCTGAGGGAGGGGAGATTGGGGAGATCATGTCCTTGTTGATCAAAGCACACAAGTTTTAGTTAGAAGGATAAAGTTCAAAAGATCTATTGTACAACATGTGACTATTATTAATAACAATATATTGTATATTTAAAAATAGCTAAGAGAGTAGATTTTAAGTGTTCTCAGCACAAAAAAGCATTATAGTATGTGAGGTAATGCATATATTAAAAAGCTTGATTTAGTCATTCTGCAGTGGATGCATATATCAAAACATCATATTGTGTACCATAAATGCATACAATTTTTACTTGTCAATTAAAAAGTATAAAATTAAAAAATATAGTAATATGTCATATCAGTGAGCTTTATCTTATACTTGTTTTCTATTAGTAATAGAAAACATATCAGTTACCTTTTCCTTAAGAGCCTAGATTATTGAAAAAATATTTTATTGTGAAAAATGTCCTACATAAAAATAGTGAATATTTATGATTTATAAAAAGATAATAAGATAAGCACCTTAATACTCGTGACCCAAGTTTAGAAAGAGAATACACTGATAACATCAGTCTCCAAAAATAACCACACTCTTGAAGCTTCTGTCAATGATTCCTTTTCTTTTCATTATAGTTCTACTACATGTAAATATTTATATACTTTATTATCTAATCTTGTTTTTAAATTGGTATATATGGAATCATACTAAATATGTTTTTCCATGTTATGTTCCTTGGCCTCCACATTATGTGTTTGGTATTCATTCAGGCTTCTGTTTGTAACTGTTTGTTTTACTTTGGATTCCCTGAAAATAGATTCTGAGGTGAAGAATTGCATGCAGAAATTTCACCTAAGAATGCTCTAAAGCAGTGCTGGCCAATAGAACTTTGTGCAGTGGTAGAAGCATTCTATACCTGCATTGCCTAATAGAGTAGCTGTAGCCACTAGCCATAGGTGACAATCGAGTTAGTCAATTTAAAAATTTAAAAATAAATTTCAACATCCACATATAGCTTATGAACTATGGTACTGGATAGCAGAGCTCTAGAGAGACATACCTGTAAGAAAGTAGGAAGCAGAATTGGACAGAGGTAGAAGCTGACTCAGCCAGTCCTCTGGGCACGTCTAGAACTGGGATAGGCTGTCAAAGGTGTCCCCAGTTGAAGCAAAGCAACTGAACTTTAGTATGACAGCATGAGACAGTCATTGGTGCTGCCTCCTAGAAGAAGGAGCAACCTTGGGTGAGTCAGCTCTTCACTGGAAATTAAGGGCAATTTCCAGTGAAGAGCATATCTGTGAGCCTTTAGCAGCCAATATTACCAGAAGCAAGTATTACAGGATACTGGGAGTGTTGCTTCATTAGCCAGAAAACTTTGTGGCCAGTGGCACCTTTGCCTGAGTTTTGCTCGAGCCCACTGGACTTGTTTCACCCACTCACACTGGCAGGCCATGCTTGGCTTGTGCTACTGGCCTGGATCCCATTCCTTCAAGGGTGAACCAGGCATGAAGCAGTGAGGGGTGTATGAGTGAGCAAGCATGGAGTCCGGCTGCTCTGCACAGCCAGGCACACTGGCTGTGGTGGGGTAGGCAGCTCCAGATGCTGGCATGGGTGCCAGCTCCCTGCAAGGCTGCAGCTGGTCCAGGCTTGCCACAAGCAGCTTCCACTGCTGGCACCAGGGAACATGGTGGTGCCTGGAAGTCTGGAACACCAGGAACCATAGAGTCCCAAAGAAGGTGTCACAGCCCTGGCTTGGGAGCTTCTAGTCTGGGTTCCCCGAAGGGCTGCAGCTCTTCTCTTTTCCTCTCTTCTCTCCTTCTTATTGCCCGCAACATGGTGAGCAAGGGGCATGTTTCTGCCCTGTTTGTGTTACAGCTCTTTTAGTCCTGCTATTCAGTGGGTCCCAAGTTCTTGTCTCACATCCAGGAAGAATGAGGTACACCGACAACTAAAGGGTGAGTAAGGTGAAGAGGTGCTTTATTGAGCAACAGTACAGCTCTCTGGAGACTCGAAGTGGGTAGCTCCTATCCATAGGCAGGCCATCCTGTCAAGGGTGCAGTTTTCAGCAGACAAGAAACCCAGAGTGGGTAGCTCCTATCATCAGGCAGGTCATCCCAACATCTGCTTAGCTCTCAGCTGAAAGAAGACCCTCAGTGGGCAGCTCCTCTCTGCAGACAGGTCCTCTGAATGTCTCCCCAAGTCTGTCTGAGTCTGGGGTTTTTATGGGCTTCAAAAGGAGGAAGTGTGTTCTAATTAGTTCATGGGTGGCTATGAGAGGGCCCAGAAAAAGCACCATAAGTTCTCATTCCAGTCTGTGGAACTGGCAGCCCAGCCCCCAGCTTCAGGCCTTCCCAGGCCCTTTCCACCCAGGAGCCTATCTGCCTCCCACTGTCATCAGCCTGTCAGCCCAGGTGCCCAGGCTGTTTGTACTGAGGGACACCTGCAGGCCTACACCAAGGCAGCCTCAGTAACCCCCACCCCGGCCTCCCTCTCATGCCCCTCAGCACCCAAAGTCTGGAGGGGCCAAGGCAGCAGGGAGCTGGCATTTCTGCACCACCTCCAGCAAGCAAACACACCTCTGGGTTGTGACAGTGCCCAGGCTTAGTCTCAACTTTGCTTCAAAATTGGAGCAGGCACCAGGAGCAGGAAGAGGCCAGGCAGCAGGAGCAGGCATTTCTGAGCCTGCTGAAGAAGGGAGGCATTTCTGAGCCTGCAGAGGAAGGGAGGCCTTCTAGGGCCCCTGAGCTCAGGAATGCTCAGGTCTGCAGCTGCACCCAGAGGGGCAGGATTTCCATTCCTCCAACTTGGAAGGGGTGGGGGCTTCTGCCTGTTCCTGGCTCCTGCTAGCTCTGTGGAGCATGCAGTCCTGGCTGCGCCTCGCCGGCTGGCTGCAGCTGTCATCTTCACAACAGCCTCTCCAGATGGGCTGCCACTGCCATCATTAGGGGATTGGCGCTAAGCTCTGGAGAGATTCTGAGCAGATCACTGCAGTATCCATGATAGAGCTGATCATTTATTTGTACTGCTCTATAAGAATTTAATTCTATAAATAAACCACAGTTTACTAATATATTCTATAGATGATAAGAGATTTAGGTTATTTCCAGTTTGAGGAGGTATGGCTATGGTAAACCATGTTTCTCTAAACAGTCCTGTATATGTCTTCTGGTGAATAAATGCAAGAATTTCTGTAAGATATATACCTGTAAGTAGAATTACAGAAAGTTAGGATATGTGTGTAATTGACTGCACTAGGTAAAGCTTGGATGTTTTCCACATAGTTACAGAGTTTACATATTGCAGCCTCTCATTCAGTGCCTCAACTGTATCAAATGAAAGGTTTATTCAAAATTTCTAATCTACCTTGCAGAAAATAAACTTGGATTTTTTAATATCATTTTTCTCTGAATGCAGTGTTGAAATAAATTTAACCCTGTAGTGGTTGGCACTAAATTCTAAAATAACCACCAGTGAGTAATGCTATTGTTTAATGCTTTTCCCTTGAATCTTGACTGAATCTGTGACTTGCTTCTAGCCAACGGAGTACGGCAAAAACCATAAACAAAAACAACAAATATAAATTCACATTTAGATTATTTTGTATGTTAAAGGTAAAGGATTTTTACAGATGTAATTAAGGTCCTTAGTAAGTTTGAATTGAATCAATGAAAAGAAGGACTACATTGTGTGAGTCTGATTTAATCAGGTGAGCTCTTTTAAAGGGGGCTTCAGCCTTTTCTGAGGTCAGATACATTGTTTTTCTGGTCTTAAAGAATCAAGCCTTCCTGAATTCTAGAGATGCATGGAAATTAATTCTGCCAACAATGATGTGAGTTTGCGTGAGGACCCTGAACTCAGATGAAACACCACCGCCAGCCAATGGCTAGATTGCAGCCCCCTGAAACATAGAGCAGAAGACCCAGCGGAGCTGTGCCTGGACTCTTGACCCATTAAAACTGTGTGACAATAAATGTATATTTTTTTAAAGCTGCCAAAATTGTAGCAATTTGTTACACAGCAAAAGAAAACAAACACCCATTTGCAGCAAAATTTCCCCTTTTTTTAATCACAATATTTTATTTTCTCCATCTGACTATTACCTTTTCTTGAGTATTTTTTATTAGAGTCAGAGACTGTATTCTTTCTGTCTTTAAGACAATCCTTAATTCCTGGAGAAGAGACATTGAATATCATTCAAATTGCTTTCATGTAGTATCTAGTAGTAACTGTGTCCTTTCAAATAAATTTTTAACTTTCCCAAGGATAAATGTACTTGTAGGAATTCAAGGATTGAATAGAAGTTATTTATGTTTATTTCAAAGATAAAATATATAAAAATAAATTTCCTGGAACATCTAAGAATACCTAAGTTTAAGAAAAGAAAGGTATGGGTTATAGTATTTTAAGATTCCTCTAAAGACAAAAAGGGGTTTTAAGAAGATAACAATGACAGAAACATAAGGAAAATTTGGATGACACCTGAAACATAGCCAGAAAAAGCATATACGAGTTTAAATTTTATAAAGAACAATGGAATTATGTTATTACAGATAAAACTAGCTGCTAAATTAAATACATTTAAACTCAAATATGAGTAACAAGTTTTATTGTTACATGAAAGTCTAAAAATCAGTCTGACTGATACTCAAGTAGTCTTCCTGTCATAGTTTGGGTTGTCCAAGAGCAGGGCCTAAGAGAAAGACTCGAAGGTAGTTTATTTGAGATGTGATCCCAGGAAAGAGAAGCTGAATATGTAGAGAAAATGACATAAAGAACAAAGAAAAGCAGTAACATGTGCTATAGTGAGCTGGTAAATCTATGCTCTGCTTCTCTGAGAACCCATTGAAAACCACATGAAACATATTTGAGAATTGTCCCAGTGGAAGATGGTGAGTTCAATAGGTTTCATGATGTCCCCCAGAAAGACTTGCTGTTCACCCAGAACCTCAGAGTGTTACCTGATTTGGAACAAGTGCCTTTGCAAATGTAACTAAGGTAATCATCTTGAGATGAGATCCTCCTAGATTAGAATAGGCCCTAGATCCAATGACAGACATTCTTAAGGGAGCCAGAAAAGGAGCAGACACACAGAGAGGAGAAGCCCTTGTGAAGGCAGAGGCAGAGATCAGTGTTATGCAGCTACAAATTGAAGAATATCACAGCCTAGCAGCCGTCAGGTGCTAGGAGAGAATCATGAAATGGATTTTCCTTCAGAGCCTCCAGAAAGAACCAACCACCGCCCCACAGGGCTGCTTGGGCTTCCTCACAGCATAATGGCTGTATTTTAAGAGCACATGTTCAAGCATCAAGAGCAGAGACAAGCATTGAGAATTGCATTTCTTAAGACTACAGCCTGGAAATAGATCAATTCTGCCATATTCTATTGGTCAAAGTCACCCATGTTCAAGGGGAGAAAAACAGACATACTTTTTGAAGGAAGAATTGACAAATAATTTGAAACTATCCTTAACCCTCCACACTTGTTAGGTGTGTACCCAAGAAAAAGGAGGAACAGATTAGGTGAACAGCTATTCAGCCTCTGTCATGATTGGAGCTTTTTAAGCTGTTTATCCTTTTAAGCAGTAACTGTATATTTTGATCAACATCCTATGAAGTACTTAAAACTTGTCTTAATCCATTCAGACTGTTATAAGAAAAGTCCTTATACTGGGTAATTTATAAGCAACAGAAATTTATTTCTCACAGTTCTGAGGCCAGGAAGTTCAAGATGAAGGTGCTAGCAGATTTGGTGTCTGCTAAGGGTCCATTCCTTATAGATAGCACAGTCTTTCTGTGTCCTCACATGGCAAAAGGAGTGAACCAGCTCCCTCAGGCCTCTTTTGTAAGGGCATTAATCCTCTTATGGAGGGTTCCACCCCCATGATGACCTAACAACTTCCCAAAGGCCTCACCTCTTAATAGTATTGCATTGGTGATTAGGTATCAATGTATGAATTTGGCCGTGGGGATTAGACCATATCACTTATGGATTACATTTTCATATCTGTGAACTTAGTTACAAGTATATAATCATAGGAATGCATATTAACAAATGCACAGGGCATGTAGTCAATTTTTAGATACAGTATGGGATTTTTTTTTTGGTACAGCATTCCCTGAAAAAAGTGATGTTTTTATATGTAGATACCCATGTGTACGTGGAAGTTTATAACATTTGGAGACATCAGATACTAGAACATTTTTATTATGTTACACTAAAATCTTCTCTGTTGAACATTTTACTCACAAGTAAAAGTATTAGTATTATTTTCTTGACCACAAGAAACAAATCCAAGTTATCTTCTAGTCTTCTGTACAACAACCCATCATGTATTTGAAATCAGCTATCATGTTACTCCAGAGTTTGTTATCTTTGTTCTAAGCACTACCAGTGCTTTTAAAGAGGTGATATATGAAGCAGAAAATAAATGCTAGCCAGATATGATCTATTGCATTTTTCTTTTTTAATACAAGTGTAATTTACCTAAAGAGAAAGGAGCAGCTATTAGTTTATTAAAATGGTAGTGTTTTATATTCAAGAAACTTTCATATGCATGTCTCTTGGATCCTCAGGACCTCGTCAATTACTACAGCATATACCATAAACTTAATTAAATGTAAGTATTCCCCCATTTTGGTAATAAATATATAATATTAAATATATTCTACACATACACTTGCTATAACTATCAGAAATATAGAAATATATATGTATATATTATCATTTCAATATTAGGAATCTAAAGTTTTGAAGAGATTAATTCTTTGCCCAAATTTATACAATAAATTAAGGTAAGCTGAGACCACAGTAAAAGTTTCTGATCCTATGTTCAGTTACTATTTTTCTATTATAACGTGCTGTTAAATAATTTATATATTTAAAATTCCACATTCAGAATTGTAATATTTTATAATTATGTATAGTTTAATTAACTATGTACAGTCTATTCAAATTCAAGGAACAATTTTGAGATGTTAAAAACCACTTAGAGTGCTCAAACACTTTGAAATGCAGTTTTGGCAATTTAAATGTCAGGATACCTCTGACTCATTTAAACTGAAAGGACCCTGTAAAGACTATTGAATATTTTATGGTAATGAAACTGAAATACTCTAATATATGGAAATTCCTAGTTTTGTTTCTAACCAAATTAATGTATTTTTAGCTTTTGATAATTACTCTTAAGACCACTAGTTGCTCAGTTTTTTTGTTTTCAGTTATTAATAGCAACAGTCTTATTATGTTATTTGAGAAAACTAGTAATCCCTTAGTAACTATTAATTTTAAAAGTAATGTTTTATATAGGGTCTAGTATGAAAGTCTATCAACAGCTAGAAAGGATACTACATAAATACCTAGTAAACTATTCCACTTCCTCTTAAAATTAGGGAATTGTGTGTAGTTGGAAATTCATCAGGTCTGAAGGTGAAAGATACATCTTTCATTATCATGACAGAATACAAAAATCTAGCAAACTCATGACTGATACTGGCACCCAAAAGTAAGTGTATTACTCTTGTTTCTAAAAAGCAAGTCCTGTTTTTAATCTGACTTTATTATAAGTTATCTTTTATAGCCTTTATTATACCTTTTTTAATACCTTTATTATAAGTTACCTTTTACAGTGAACTTTTCCTACGAACATGAGACTTCATAAGAGCAGTGCTATGTATGTAAGGCCAAATTTGCAGGCCATATTTTCAGTTATCCTGATTTAGTAGGTCTACAATAGAGGCTCTAAAATCAACTGTATTTCTATCAAGCAACCTACATGGTTCTGATGGAGAAGATCCGTGGACCAGACTTAGAAAAGCAATGGTCAATAGGAGCTGTGAATATTGGCCCCAATTCCATTCCACATACGTTTCTTTTACATTCTCTGTATAAGTTGCAATTCACACTTTGCTCAGGTATTTTTGGTATGGGTTTTAAAATTATTATTTTTTAGTTGAAAGATAAATTGAATGTATTTATCATGCACAACATGATGTTTTGAAGGATATATACATTGTGAAATGACTCAATCTAGCTAATTGATATATACATTGCCTCACATAGTTATTATTTCTATGGTGAGAACAATTTATATCTATTCTCTTAGCATTTTTCTAGAATACAATATACTGTTAACTATGGTAAACATGGTGTACAATAGATCTCTTGAATTTATTCCTTCTAACTAAAATTTTGTGTCCTTTGACCAACAGCTCTCTAAGCCCCCACCCCCAACCCTACCCTAACCACCCCTGCCCCTGTTAACACCATTCTACTATCTACTTCTATGAGATCAACTTTTTTAGGTTCCATACATGAGCGTGATTTTTGTCTTTCTGTGCCTGGCTTAATCCCCTTAACATAATGTTCTCCAAGTTCATCCATGAAGCAACATTTCCGTTCTTTAACACTACATAGGATTCCACTGTGTTTATACATATGTATGGTTTTTATCCACTCATTCATTGATAGCTACTTAAGTTGATTCCATATCTTGGCTATTGTGAATAATGCTACAATGAATATGGGAGTGTCACTATCTCTTTGACATACTGATTTAATATCTTTTGGATATATATACAGTGGTCAGCTGAATCACATGGTAGTTCTATTTTTAGTTTTATGAGAAAGAGACTGTTTTCCATAATAGCTGTACTGATTTACATTCCCATCAAAAGTGTGCGAGAGTTCTCTTTATGTCCTAACCAACACGTGTTATCTTTTGTTTTTTTGATAATAGCCATTCTGACAAGTGAAAGGTGATATTTCATTGTGGTTTTAATTTGCATTTCCCTGATAATAAATGATGCTGAGCATTTTTCTGTATATGTGTTGACTATTTGTATATCTTCTTTTGACAAATATCTGTTTAGGTTCTTTGCCCATGTTTAATTGGGTTATTTGTTTCCTTGCTATTGAGTTGTTTGAATGTCTTACAAATTTTGGGTAGTAACTCCTTATCAAATGTATAGATGGCAAATATTTTTCTGGTTCTATAAGCTGTCCCTTCACTATTTTGAGTTCTTTGTTGTACAAAAGAACAAAGTTTTTGTTTAGTGTAAACCCATTTGTTTATTTTTGCCTTTGTTTCCTGTGCTTTTGGGATCACATCCAAAAAAATCTTAATCCAGTCTAGTGTCATGGAGCTTTTCTCCTGTTTTCTTTTAGTGATTTAATAGCTTGTGGTCTTACATTGAAGTCTTTAAAGATTTTGAGTTGGTTTTTGTGTCTGGTGTCAAATAAGGGTATAATTTTATTCTTCTGCATGTGGATGTCTAGTTTTCTTAACATCATTGATTGAAGAGATTGTCCTTTAACTATTGTGTGCCCATGGCATATTTTTGAAAATCAGGTGGCTAGGATTTATTTTTCAGCTCTCTATTCTGTTGCATTGATCTGTGTGTCTGCTTTTATATTAGCACCATACTGTTTTGGTTACTATGGCTTTGTAGTATATTTTGAAGTCAGGTAGTGTGATGCCTCCAGCTTTTTTTTCTTTTTTTACACAAAATTGCTTTGGTTATACAGGATCTGTGGTGGTTTCATACAAATTTTAGGATCGTTTTCTCAATTTCTGTGAAGAATGCCATTGGCATTTTGATAGTGATTGCATTGACTCTGTAGATCACTTTGGGTCATATAGATATTTTAACAATACTACACTTCCAATCCATAAACATTGGACATCTTTTTATTCATTTGTGTCTTTTTAAATTTCTTTTATTCCTATTTATAGATTTTAATTTAGATGTCTTTCACCTTCTGGGTTAAATTAACTCTTACATATTTTTTGTAGCTATTATATATATGCACCCAGATTCATAAAGAAAATATTACTAGATATCTAAAAAATCTAAAAATATCTTTTAAAAAGATACAAACTTCAACACAGTAATAATGGAAGATTTCAACATCCTACTCTCAGCATTAAACAGATCTTCTGGACAGAAAATCAACAGAGACATTGGACTTAAACTGAACTTGCGACCAAATGAATCTAACAGATACTTACAGAGCATTTTATCCAACAACTACATATTCTTCTCATCAGCATGTGGAACATTCTCCAGAATAAAATACATGTTAGTCCACAAAACAAGTTTCAAAATATTTTAAAAATCAAAATTATGTAATGTATCTTCTCAGACTACAGTGAGTAAAACTAGAAATCAATAGCAAGAAGGACTTTGGAATCTATACATATACTTGGAAAACAAACAACACACTCCTGAATGACCATTGGATCAATAGGAAAATTAAGATTTATATTAAAACATGTCTTGAGAGAGAGAAAAATGGAAATATAAAATATTAATTTCTGCAGGACATAGCAAAAGCAATGCTAAGAGGAAAGTTTATAGCACCAAACAACTACATAAACAAAAAGTGAGGCTGGGCTCAGTGGCTCACTCCTATAGTCCCCACACTTTGGGAGACTTGGGAGGCAGAGGCAGGCAGATTGCTTAAGCCCAGGAGTTTGAGACAAGCCTGGGCAACATGGCAAAACTCCATCTCCGCAAAACGTACAAAAATTATCCTAGTGTAGTGGCATATGCCTGTAGTCCCAGCTACTCAGGAGGCTGAGGTGGGACCCAGAAAGTTAAGGTTGCAGTGAGCCAACATTGAGCCGTTGCCCTCCAGCTTGGGTGACAGAGTGAGACCCTATCCCAAAAACAAACAAAAAACAACAATGAAAAAAAAAACTCAGAAAGATTTCAAATAGTCTCATTGTACACTTCAAGCAACTAGAAAAGCAAGAATAAATCTAACCCAAAATTAGCAGAAGGAAGGAAATGATAAAGGTGAGAGCAGAACTAAACAAAATAGAGACTAAAGAAACCAATGCAAAAGTTGGTTGTTCAAAGAGATTTAAACATTTGATAAACTGATAACTAGACTACCCAAGAAAAAAAGCAAGAAGCTCAAAACAGACGACCTCAGAAATGAAAAAGGAGACATTATGACTGATATTTTGAAATACAAAAGATCACCAGAGATTATTATTAACAACTATACACTAACCAACTGAAAAACCTAGAAGAAATGAATAGATTCTTGGAAGCATACAACTTACCAAGATTCAATGAGGAAGAAACAGGAAATCTAAACAGGCCAATAATGAGGAGCAACATTGAATCAGTAATGGAAATTCTATGAACAAATAAAAGCTCAGGACAGGATGGATTCAATGCAGAATTCTACCAAACATATAAAGAAGAATGAATACCACTTTTTCTTAAACTATTCCAAAAATTGAATAGAGAATTCTCCCTACTCATTCTATGAGGCTAGCATTTTCCTAATACTCAAACCAGACAAAGATACACACAAAAAAGCTATAGACCAATATCTCTGATAAATATAGATGCAAAAATCCTTATGAAATACTAACAAACTGAATGCAACAACACATTAAACAGATAATGCATCATGATCAAGTGAGATTTATCCCAAGGATGGTAGCATAGTTCAACATATTCAGGTCAATAAATGTGATCTATTATGTCAGCAGAAGGAAAGACAAAACCCATAGGATTATCACAATAGATGCAGGAAAATATCGTTCTTTTATAACAACGGTGAGCAAACTAGGCATAGAAATATCATACCTCAAAATAATAAATACCATATATGATAAACCCACGCTAACATCATACTGAAGGGGGAGATTTGAAAGCATTTTCTCTAAGAAATGAAACAAATGGTGAAAAATGCCCGCTCTCACCACTCCTATGCAACATGGTGCTGGAAGTCTTTGCCAGAGAAATCAGGCAAGAAAAATAAGTAAAAGTCACCAAAATTAGAAGAGAGTCAAACTGTCCCTTTTTGTAAATGACATGATCTTAGGTCCAGATAATCCAAAAGACTACCAGAAAATTCTTAGAACTTATAAACAAAGTCAGTAAAGTTGAAGGATACAAAATCAACATACAAAAATCAGTAGCATTTCTATCCACCAATAATGGCATAGCCAAAAAAGAAATTAAGAAGGCAGTCTCATTTTCAATAGCTGCAAAAAAATACCTAGGAATAAATTTAATCAAGGAAGAGAAAGACCTCTACAAGGAAAACTGCAAAACACTGATGAAAGGAATTGAAGAAGACACAAACAAATGGAAAGACATTACTTGTTCATGAATCAGAAGAATTAATATTATTGAAATGACCATACTACCCAAAGCAATCTATGGATTCAATGTAATTCCTATCAAAATACCAATGCCATTTTTTACAGAAATATAATACACAATTCTAAAATTCATATGGAACAAGTAAAGAGCTGAAATAGCCAAAGCAACCCTGAGCATAAAGAACAAACCCGGAGGCATCATGCTATCTGACTTCAAAATATATTACAAAGCTATTGTAACCATGACAGCATGGTATTTGTATGAAAGTAAACACATAGACCAATGAAACTGAATAGAGGACCCAGAGATAAATCCACATATTTACAGCCAACTCATCTTCAACATAGATTCCAGGAACATACACTGGGGAAAGCACACTCTCTTCATTAAATGATGCTGGGGAAAATGTATAACTATATCCAAAAGAATGAAACTGGACCCCTGTCTCTACCGTATACAAAAGGCAACTCAATATGAACATGTTAAACCTGAAATTATAAAACTACTAGAAGAAAACAGAGGGAAAATTCTTCAGGATATTGGTCTTCCGAAAATCTTTCTAGGGAAAGATTTTATGGCTAAGAGCTCAAAAGCATAGGCAACAAAAACAAAAATAGACTATTGAGACCATAGTAAAGTTAAAAGCTTCTGCACAACAGAGAAACACTCAACAGAGTGAAGAGGCATCCTCTTGAACTAAAGAAAATATTTGCAAATTATTCATCCTACAGGGCACTAATATCTGGAATATACAGGGAACTCAAACATCTCAATAGTAAAAAATAATAATTCTATTAAAAAGTGGGCAAAGGATATGAATAGATATTTCCCAAAAGAAGATATACAGATGTCCAACAGGTACATAAAAAATGCTCAGTATCACTAATCATCAGGGAAATGCAAATCAAAACCACAATGAAACATCACTTTACTCCAGTTAGAATGGCTATAATTTTTAAAAGACAAAAAATATCAGATGCTGGCAAGGACGTGAGGAAAAGGGAACTATTACACACTGTTGGTGAGAGTATAAATTAGTACAACTACTATGGAAAACAGAACTACCATAGAATATAGCAATCCCGCTACTGGGAAACATGTACTCATGTATTTATTGCAGCATTATTCACAAAGAATAGTGGAAAGATATGGAATCAACCTAAGTGCCCATGGTGAACGATGCCCACTTTCACCGCTTCTATTCAACATAGTACTGGAAGTCCTTCGGTACTATGGAAAGATATGAAATCAACCTAAGTGTTCATCAAGGGAACAACAGATAAAGAAAGTATGGTATATATTCATAATAGAATACTACTTGACCATAAAAATAATGAAATCATGTCATTTTCAGTCACATGGGTGGAACTGGAGGTCATTACATTAAGTACAATAAGCCAGGCACAGAAAGACAAATACCACATATTCTCATTTATATGTGGGAGCTAATAAACTTGATGTGGAAATAGAGAATAGAATGATAGATACCAGACACTGGGAAAGGTGGGTTGTGGCGAGGGTTGGAGGGGGGCAGGATGAAGCAGGGTTGATTATGGATATAAAAATATAGTTAGATACAAGAAATAAGTTTTAATGTTTGATAGCAGACTAGGGTTACTATACTTAGCAATAATATTATGCACATTTCAAAGTAATTGGAGGACAGGACTTGAAATGATATCAACAAATAAAAATGATAATCATTCAAGGTAATAAATACCCCAAATATGCTGGCTTAATCATTATATGCTCTATGCGTGCAAGGAACACTCACATGTACCCCATAAATTTGTAAATTATTATATATCAATAAAAGGAGAAAAAAGAATGCTCTAAAACTGGGTGAAAATCAAATGGAAATTAACTTACAGCTAGACCTTGATTGTGCCTATAATTCTCAAACTGCAAATGAGTGCTCAGGAGTTGTGACATTTGAGAACTCAGGAAGTGCAAAGGCATTTAACAAAGGTATCAATCATTTTGTTCCCTGAAAGCTTTTCTTCTCATTCAAGATATATAACACAAAATAAAAGTTAGCTCCATATTATTAATGTGAGGTGATGGTTGCCGTCTGTATATATAAACTCAACCAGGTCTTGGCATTGAGGCTAAAGAGAAAAAACCGAGGCTACTAACTTGTGTTATTTGCAGTTAAGAGGATGTGGAAATTAAGATAACCCTCAGTTTACTTATCTCTAAAATGATGATAATGGTATTTGACTTTAGTATTTGGAAATAAATGAAGAACATCCAAGTGAGAATACACAGTTTATTTATTCAGACATTGCTATAGCAATAAAGTCAGCTACCATCACTAGCACTTGGCAGAGATTGAAAGTCAGGCAGGGAAGTGGAAAAGCCTTATAATAAAAAACATGGAAGGCCTCAGGTGTGATGTGTTTGGAGCATGTTAGCATGGGAAAGCTAGGAGTCAGCTAAATGGAAGTGACACATCCTGTGTGATTTGTTTAGGGAGTATATTTGGCTTTCTCTTGTTGGTTTTCAGTTAAAAATTAGGGCAAAATATAAGGAAGCTGGCAGCCATTGACCAAATCCTTACCATTCCAGGTCAGTTGCTGCAAAGGTTGTGATTTGGCCTCCTGCACTTGTTGATGCAGAGATTGTGGGCCAGAGTTCTATCAGATATGGTCTAGACATTATTCATTTGTATGTTCAGTCTTCATGGCTAACAGTTTTTTAAATGAGAATTGAATTGTAATGAGTTGAAAATATGCCTCTGTTGCTGCTTTTGGAAGTAGTGGAGGTAGCATTAGGTGGTAAGTTGAAGGCAGCAGTATCTGGAAGAGAGAAGAGGGGCATGTGGCTCCACTGATGTCAGGAATGTCCCAATAGGTTATCTTGAGCTAGGGGAAGAGGACTTAGAGAAATTCTCTTTCTCAATCCTGTCTAAATGTAGAGTAGAATAATTGCCCTCTATTTTCCTAGCTGATAAACTGTCCACATTGCTCTTCACAAGGATCCTTGATCTCCTGGGTATCTGAAACTTTAGGTTCTACTTCTAAACTGATGGTGAACCCCAATATTGGGGCCCAGACAAGGAGTGTTCTTGGCATCATGCAGGAAAGAATTCAAAAATGAGCCAACGGAGTAAAGTGAAAGCAAAGCAAGTTTATTAGAGCAACAGAGTACAGGAAAATGCCTGCTCCGTGACAAAGCAGGGCTACCCCATAGGCAGAGTAGCACTTGTGGATCTAGCACCAGTTAGCTAGATTTATAGCTACTCCTTAATTATATGGTAAATAATTTTCTAGAAAAGGGATGTGGATTTCCTGGAACTGAGGGTTTCTTTCCTTTAAACCATGTAAGATAACTTCCAGGCATTGCCATGGCATTTGTAAACTGTCATGGTGCTACTGGGAGTGTCCTTCAGCATGTTAATACATTATAATTAGTGTATAATTAGCAGTGAGGGCAACTAGAGGTTGCTTTCTTCCCCATTTTGATTTTAGCTGGTTTCTTTACTACATCCTGTTTTGATCAGTGGGATCATAACCCCACTGATGTGGAGAACAAGTCCTGCTGATCTCCTACCTCAAAACTAATGAGAGAGGGCCCATTTTTCTAACCTATGAACTTCTATAGCTAAGATTTCCTTATCTCAGAATTATGAATAGGTAAACAATCAATTTGTATTCAGAAGAAGTTGCAAACACATCATATGAGAGCTATCTAGTGAATGATTTAATATTATTTTATCTTGCCACATATTTCTCACATTTTAAAGCTTACCTCTTTTAAAATATTCAGGCTTACATCTATCTTGCTTTCCTTTTTGTTTCTTTATATCTACCCTGTCCTGATTATTCAAATTCTTGGCATCAGCAAACCTTGTTGCTAAGATCTTTAATCATTGCTTAGCTGCCATGACTACAGCTACCTTGCTTTGCACATTGCAAAGCACTTATACACACACACAAGCACACAAATTCTTTAAGTTCTGTTCAGAAATACCACAGTCCCTTTGGCCTCTCCTAGACCTCCTCATTTCTAGAGCCCTTCACCTAATCTCCATTCTTGATTCCCATTCCCATGAGCTGAATGACGAAACACAAATATCCTACTGACCTCAATTTCCTGTCCTGCCTTTTTCACTCCTTGTTTCCTCTAGATCTGTTTCTTCACCTTCCCTTCCTTTTTTTCCTTCCTTCCTCCAGACCAAAATATATATTTGTTCTAGCACTTCAGTAATTCTCTTCAAATATTTAAATCTCATTCTCCTTTCCTGTTTTTATTGTATGCTCCGGAAGCACATCCAACATTCTGGCTTTTAGGCTTCAACATTCAACACTGGAGAAAACTCATAATAGTCCAGCGTAGTGTCACTACAAGTTCAGAGATCCACCCCACACTGCTTGGCAATGCCACTATGGGTCCAACTCGAGGCTGTCTCTCATTCCTCACAGGTGCAATTTCAAACTTTTACTACCCCACCAGTACACTGTGCACCACCTCTTCTCTGAAGAAGGAAATTCCTAGCTAATTTTTCTCACCACCAACAAGGCTTATCTGCAAGATATTTTTATTATCTTACTCAGAGCAAGTCACATTCTTATTTATGCTTGAAGCTAATTATTCCACATAGACTCCGGATCTCATTCTCTTCCGTTTCAGCAGGGGCCTCTCTCCTTTACCTATGTCTCTTATAAAATTTTATTCTTATTGTTTTTTAGACTTTTTCTCCAAGGTTTTGTCTGTGGTCACATATTTATCTCTCTCTTTTTGAGTAATCTAATTTATTCCATAATTTCGGCTGCCACATATATACTGGAATTTTTTTTGATCTACATCAACATGTTCAGAATGCTTTTGAAACTTCAGATAGGTCTACCTAATTACCTTCTAGATTCCTCCTTTTCTCTTTCTCACCCATTAGTCAATAAGTTCCAACAATTTTACTTATTAACTCTTTAAGTTAATAAGTAAACTGCCAAGTCATTTAGAACACAAATGTAACCAAGTAATCCTATGTTTAAAATCTTTTAAATGGTCCTTATCATGTTTGGTTTCAATGCAAACTCCCTGACATGACACACAAAACTTTTCATGATTTGACCCCTGCATTTATCTCTCTAGTCTTTTATTTCCCAAAGTATGTTCAGAAGAACACTTATCCTGTGAAAAGTCTGGCACGATGAGATGGGGGAACAGGAAGGGAATGGAGGGCTTTAGCAAGTTCAAATCCATTTAAGAAACTAATGCTTTAGTATTACCTCTTAGAGAAGTGGTTCTCAAATTGGTTTCTGGAGCAGAAGCACCAGCATTATTTGAAAGGTCACTCTCAATACACATTTTCAAGCTTTACCCTAGACCTACTGAATCAGGAACCATGGGTCCCAGGACCTAGCAACCTGTCTGTGTTTGTGAGCTTTCCCAGTGGGGCTGATATACACTAAAGTTGGAGAACCACAATCTTAGAGAATCACCATGCACATTAGCATATTAAAGGCTTCAGGAAATCTGAAAATAACGTATTTAACTTTGTTTAAGCAAAAATTTTGAAGTTAGTTGAGCCCTTGTGTGTGTAAGTACATGATACTAACATAGAGTAGAACAAACGTTGGAGAAGCACACTTCATCAAAAGCTGTTATAGCCCATTTTACTCATAATTATTCAAATATAGTAGGCATCTGTCATGTGGTTTTGTGTGTACACAGCCTGTCTTTGCATTTTTCTTTTTTTTTTTTCTGTGATGGAATCTCGATCTGTTGTCCAGGCTGGAGTGCAGTGGCACAATCTTGGCTCACTGCAACCGCCACCTCTCAGGTTCGAGCAATTCTCCTGCCTCAGCCTCCCAAGTAGCCGGGACTACAGGCATGTGCCACCATGCCCAGCTAGTTTCTGCATTTTTAGTAGAGATGGAGTTTCACTATGTTGGCTAGGCTGCTCTCCAACTCCTGACTTCAGGTAATCCACCTACCTCAGCCTCCCAAAGTGCTGGGATTACAGGCATGAGCCACTGCGCCCGGCCCGTCTTTGCATTTTTCTACCAGAGGTCTCCTCCCAACCCAAGTCTTGTCAGCTCCTTAGAAGCAGCGTTTCACAATTACATGTTTATTGAATGAATACATTGAATGCCACAGAAATATTTTATAACAGTTTTAAAAGTATTGTATAAGTTCCACTAAGTTGAAGATATCATTTGTTATTTCAATACTGTCTTTTGCATGTAATGGCTCTTTCTATATACTGATCTCTTCTTGATGGAATATACTTATATTTTCTTATGTGATATCATGAAAGTGTAATATACATCCCATCAGCTTGTCTGTAAAAACTTTTCTCTATATGCTTTTCTGTAATGAAATGACTTTGTAAACATGACCATTGGAACTTTCTTCAGATAATCCTATAACCTGGCAACTTTCCACTTTCAAAAAATTACCTCCCCATTATACCCTTACAGATTTTCTGTAAAGTCTGTTTCTTCAATAATCTATTAACAAAATAATTTTAGTCACTATTATAATAATTACTATAATTATGATTGATTTACTGGGTCATATTTTAATAAATGTATTTTTATTTGCTATTAAATGATTTATAATTACCATATTTTCTTGATATAACAAATGTTATTTCATAACATTATTCATAGTAATGTTTCAGTCAATATGAATATACTTATTATAAGCTTTTCTTAATTTCTACTACAATAACCTTAATTTTTCCAATCATAAGGTTAAATGCCCTATTAGATTTCTAGGGTATATTAAAAAGTTTCACATAGAGAAACTTAATTCTTAAGAAATTGAGTAAATATTATAATACACCAGATGAGACCTCATCCTTTCAGCATGCAGTCTATTACAATACGCTATTAAAGTAGGGAAAGCCTGGTTTATGATAGTATTGTGTGCTATATAAAAACTTAATGATTCAACATCCAGTTTGATTTATTCTAATGCAACAAACGTTATATGATGTGAAAAATAGCATCATCAGTAATCTTCTGGTGTCATAAAAAAGAGTGATGGAAGTACAATTTGCGACAGGTAAGGGACTTGGGAATGAATGCATATTTCAACTACTTCTGTCTCTCCTCCTTTCCATGTCACTCTTTGCAAAAATGATAAGTGGCTGTGATGTTACACATATCATGTGTAATAATTTTCTTTCATTTAATCACATTACTTAAAATATGTAAGACATATATTTTGGCTATGTACATATGACGATAATTAATGATAGTGTTCTAATACAAATATCTCCCCACTGTGGCTATTAGAAGTAGTTTTATTTATCACCTTCACAACTCACCAGGTTATCTGGATTTCTAAATCCTTTAGAAATCTATTGAGCTTAATATAATGCACAAATAATTACATTATAGTAGTGATAACAAAATTCTGTTTACAAAATAAAAATAAATTTTAATAAAATTTCTAACTTAAAAGGCAGCAAAGCTTGACATTTGTAAGCCTGCATTACTGTCCATTACTTCCTAAAGATTCACTAATATAACCCAGGAATTGAAAGAAGAAGCTTGCCAAGAACTTTCAAGTTGTTCTCGGGGATCATATATACATACTTCTTAAAATCCTTTGGAGATTGCTTATCATTTATTCTGGATATTTGAAGTATTTTGTGTCAGCCACTAATTTTTTTTTACCATTTTAATCTAGTTCTGCAAGTTTTAACATCTGTTGCATTTCAAACATAAATGTAAATCAAAGGCTCTTGGATGTATCCTAGGGAAATATATGCTCTTAAAAGTACATTATAGTCTAAGAATAGAGGTGTCTAGTACTAAGTGAGTTCACTATAGGACTGTCTTTCAAGTTACACGAGAATAATTAAATGACAACTCAACAAAATATGGTTACATATCATGATTTGCACTGGAACATATGCATATACAACCATTCAGCCGAGAGGGTGGCTGATCTGGTCACAGCAGAAGACATGGCAATTGGATATGGCAATAGTTTGGGCCAAATACAATCTAATACCCATTTTACATTAGAGTCTTTGAGTTTCTGGAGCCATAAGTTGATGTTTTCAAATATCCTGCACCTATAAGCTTGTAAAGGGTTTAGCAAAACTTTTCATATACTTAAGCGAAAATGTATCTCTGCCTATATTTTTAGCCAATTTTAACAAGTAAATGTAAAAGAAGTGCTCTAAGAGGAACACCCACCAAAATAAATGACCAGAATAGCTTATCTCTATGTTGTAAAGAATTGCATATGTTGAGTATGAAATTTATATGTGAAACATTCAAGATTGATATTGTACTCTGTTAACCTCAAAGTAAATCTAGATCATCCTATGTCACATTCTGCTTTCTAGACTGAGAGTTGAAGACTTTGAGCAGTGTGGTAAATTGAGAAAGTTTCAAAGACATTTTAAAAAAAGGAAAAAAAGAGAAAAAGACAAACTTACAAAATTTTAGTTACCTAGATAAATTTGTGCGTAAGAAGGGAGAATTTAAGTCAATTAATGTTGCATATATAGTGTGGGATTTAACAGTACTGAGTTTGAGTAACAGTACTGACAGGCAGCTGTCAGTTCTGCATACTTACTGCTGATGTAACTTTGAGCAAAATATTTAGGCAAGATAAATTTTATGCATACACACACGCACACACAAACACACACCTTTGTACACACAAAATTCAATCTTCATCCTTGGAAGAAGCCACATTAAAGGCATAATTTCTAATAATAATAATTCTTAAGGTCATGAACTTGTAATCATCAGAGGCAGGAAAAACCTCTAATCCAGAACAACAACAACAGCAACAAAGCAATGGAAGTTAAACCAATATTTAAAAAGTGATTAGAAATACAAGCCAGGCCACTGTGAGTTTATTCTATGGGATGTCATTCAATGAAGAAAAGAAACCTGAGTTTAACAGCTTTGACTCCCATAATCTAAGTTTCATTTCCACAATCATTTTTCTTTGATCTTCTATTTGACAGTGACATCTAACTAAAGTCATCCCATTTAACCTTTTCTTTTGCATGTTGCGTGAACTTGTGAGCAGAGTAAGAAACAGGATATTCCTCGTGAAGATCAGGGACCAACCACCAAGAATTTGGATTTTTGGCCCCAACTTATTACACTGATGGTTACTATTATTGATGAGGATAAAACTGCCTACACACCTGTCCTGAATCAGTAAGTACAATGTTTTGGAAATGAATGGATTTTATTCCACTAAAGTTCAAATAATACATATTTTAAGCGCAACATATACTGACGACAATAATAAACTTTTCCATAATTAAGCTATAGAAAATAGTATTTTTCAACTTTTATCAGTAAATATCAATTAAATGATATTATGAATTTTTAGTTTGAGCTCCATGGAGTATGATTCTTTGGATATGGAGAAAAATATTTTCCAAGATTTGATGTTTATGTAATGTAAAACTTTTCCTCCACATCCTTTCATAGCTATACCATTGTCTCAAAAGAAAAAAATGTACACTCCCCCAAAACTAAAAATAATTTTGAAGAGCTAGTGTTAAACATATTGCATTGTGGCTTTTTAATAATAAAGATTTGGCAAAAAACCTGCTTTCAAAATAGATGTGCATATTGATTTAACAAATTTAATAACATATTTAATAAAACAAGTTGATTTTCACAAAGTATAATCTAAAGTTCATGCCTCTAAGACATGGCAGATGAATTAAAATTCATGACTATTCTAGAAGAGACCGTAAAAATCCTCATTTTATCAAAATACAACTAGCTGTGTGACCTTAGGCAAATTATCTAATTTCCCTGGGTCTCAATTTCCTCCCAACTAAAATAAAGGTGTTATTATTAGATGATTTCCAAGATCCAATCCAACTTTAATATTGCATATTTAGATTTTATTTTACACCCACATATTAAAGACCATAAAAGCAAAAATAACATCAGACTTCCAGCTAGGCACTTGCAGTCTGGTTAATGAAGAGGATTGTCTTGACAATATTAGTTAGACCTGAAATGTTATGGGTAGCAAAGATAGCAGAAATAGACAAACAATGAAGTAGAACAGTGAAGTAGACTCAGACTTACTATGGATAAATGACTGTATTCTTATCCTCTATACTGGTCAAGACCGTTAGGGTCATTGTTTATGTTCAGTCCAATTAAAATTCCAGTTAAAGAAGAAATACATTTAAGTATTTCAGTCTTCATCCTTTTCTACTTACTATTAACCACCCATTTTCAACAGTCCCCCAATTCCTCCTAATTGTGGAGAGAGTGGTCCTATTTTTGGTATACAATCATGATAATATCAAGTTTGCCCTTTCACTTTCTTCTCCCTTTTCCCCCACACCTAATTCTTATATCTGCCTTTTCTTCCTGATGGCCTTTGTGTTTCCTAATCTCTGTACAGACTTTGCTCTTCTATTCTCTTCTGTTAGGACTAGAAGATCTTCTCTTAATCTATAACATGTCGTCATCGCATCATGGGTCCTGGGAAGTACATCTCAGGTCTCTGACAGCTTTGTAGAATAGAGTTGTGTTTTCTTATTTACTCTTTGGACCTTTCTTGAGGACAGAGTAGTTTTCTGAAAGATTGGGAGACCGACAACTTGTTTCAAGACTGTGTCCTTGGACTGGGATAGGCCATTTTACAAATGGATACTGGATGAAAACAAACATCTACTGAGAAACACAAATTCAGTTCTATGAAGAAACTTTGGCTTTAATAATCAAAGAAATTTCTTATGTTTACCAAGTATCTTAAATCAGGATTTGATCAGTAAAAATACATTATAAAATCATGGAAGAAATTAAAGTATCCATGATTTATTTGTAATCATGTGCCACAAAATATATACAAAGATTTTAGTTGACTTTATGTAACTGTAGTAAAGAAACTGGAATAAATACGTTTATTTATGGCAAAAATAGATTTAAAATTATGAACTAAATTAAGCCTACCAAGTATAAAAATTAGCAATGACATGTGCAAAAGAGAAAATTGTTTTTGTTTTTTTCAATTTTGTTTTTAATGTCAGAGTTTAAGTCCACTTTTTTCCTTTGGAAACCTGTCCCTGAAAAAACCAAATGCCTTCCTCTATTTGGAATCCATTTTTTATTATTGTGTTTGGTCAGATTTTAAGGATGCTGTAAAACTTTTTTTCACATACTGAAGATCGTTCAATTTAGTTTCTCATTTAATTTAATAAATGCCTTAAGTGAACTCATCTGGAGACCAAGATGGCATCCTGGTGGCCAATGTTGCATTTGTATAATGTGGTGAGATTTCATTTATATCTGTTACTTTGTTTGAATACTGCATCGTCACATTTATGCTTAATTAATCATCTCCTTGGTTACCTAAACTAATGCAGAATTTCACAAAGTAAAAAATCCAGACCACTAGGGTAAGGATCACATGGGCTACTAGCTGGATTTGCAGATCTGAGCCCCATCCCAAATCTGTGGAGTCAGAAAACCTGCAATTGACACAGAAGTCTGCAATATTAATAAACGATCCCTGTTATTGTGTCTTATGGTCACTAACAATGAAGGCACAGATCAATATGTGAAGGACATGCTAAAAGTAGCTTGGGTTTTGTTTTAGAGGCAAAGGCAAGTGAATTTAATGATTTTAAAACATAGGACATTTTAAAATCTCTTTCAATGTAATCCCTGATTATTGATTCAGATCATTTAGTGAAGTTCTTATTGTTATCATGAGTTTGAGAAATCATTGTAGGCTTTTGCTTACTCAAATTTGATAACAAGTTTACAGTGACGGTAGACTATAAGCATGAGGGAAAAGACTTGTATTTTGTTGACTAATGTATATTCAGGCATACATATTTGTTGAATGAATTAATAAATTAAAGTAAATTTATACATGTAGTCAGTGTTTGTTCTGTCTATTCCCATGTTGATTTATTAATGAACTACAGTGTTTATTTGAGTAATATTTTCTCAATTTTTAAAATTATTTATAATGAATTTTAGATGTTTTAGAAATTTCAATATTTCATTAAAACTAAATAGTATTAAGCAGAGTACTTTCAGATTTAGGTCCAGGTTTCTGTCTCTTTTTCTTTCTCTGTCTTTCTAACAGGTTTATTGAGGTATAATTGAATATAATAAAATTTCACATATTTAAATAGTCTAATTTGAATAGTTCTGGCATATGTATTTAGCCACAAAATTATTGCTATTTTCAAAATAATGAAGATATCCATTACCCCAATAATTCATCCACTTTTGTAATTCATCCACTCCTCCACCATCCCCAGGCAATGCCCCTCATCTGCTTTCTAATACTATGAATTAGTTTGGAAATGTTATCATTATGTGTAAATGTAATCATAAATTCTCTCCATTCTTTTGTCTGGCTGCTTTTATTCATTACAACTATTTTGAGTTTCACCCATGTTATTTATTCATTACAACTATTTTGAGTTTCACCCATGTTATTGTATGTTTCTTTTTATTTTTGAGTAGTATTCCATTGTACGTATATACCACAATATGTTTATTCATTCATCTGTTAAAATTTGTACTTTTTCAAGATTAGGTTGCTATGAATATTTGTTTACAAGTCTTTGTATAGACATACTCTTTTATTTCTATTGAGTTACGTGGTAAGTATGTACTTAATATTAAAACTGCCAAACTGCTTTCCAAAGTGGCTGTACCATGCCAACACTTGGTTTGATAAATCTTTTAGTTTTACCTATCCTAACAGGCATATATTATCTAACTATGATTTTAATTTGCACTTTCCTGAATCCTAATGATACTGACCATATTTTTATCTGAATATTTGAAATTCATATATCTTCTTTGGTGAAATTTCTGTTCAAATCATTTTCCCATTTCCAAATTAGGATGTTTATCTTATTATTGTTAAGTTGTAAAGGTCTATACTAGATAAAAGTCTGTCATCAGAAATAAATGTTGCAGTATATGCTTCTAGCTTGTAACTTTCTTTTCCATTATCTTACTAGTGCCTTCTGAAGAGCATAGTTATTGCGCATTTTTAAAAAAATTTTGATGGAATAGTCCAATTTATTGATCAGTTTCTTTTATAGTTTAAGCTTTTAAAAAAATTCTATTTTAGAAATCTTTGCAATCTGCACAGTCAGCTTGCAACACAATTTTCTTCTAGACATCTTACATTTAAGTCTATAATTCATTTCAAGCCAATTTTTGCTTGTTAACTGGTGTGATAATCAAGTTTAACTTTCTTTGGATCGTTTTCATATGGTTATCTATTTTTTTATCTCTACTTGTTGAAAATTATTCTTTCCTCATTGAATTGCTTTGGCATCTTGGAGAAAACTCAATTGACTGTATATGTAAGAGGTTAATTCTGAAGTTCTTTGTAATCTGTTCCACTGATCTATATAGCCGTAATTACACCAGTACTGCATGTCTTGGTCACTATCATTTTCTAACATATTTTGAAATATTATAGTAAAATTTACTCAACTTTGTTTATATTTTTGAAAATAGTTTGGCTCTTCTAGCTCCTTTGCAATTCCATTTAAATTTGTATCAGTTTGTCAATTTCTACAAGAAAAAGGTCTGCTGGACTTTTGATTGATATTGCATTAAATATATAAATCTATTGGGGAGGAAAGAAAACAGCAATATTGAATTTTATAATCCATTAACATGGCATGTACATGCATTAAGGTCTTATTTAATTTCTTATTTTGGTGAAAAGGTGTTACATATTCTTTGTTAATTGGTTTCTAAGTATTTTTATTACTATCTTAAATGGTACTTTTAATTCTAATTTCTCATTCTTTGTTAATAGTACATAGATATACAAATATATATCTTCAGCCTTTCTAAATTTACTTTTTTGTAGGTTCCTCATGATTATTTAAATAAATTATATTCTTGTCTAAAATAAATATGGTTTTACTTATTTCTTTCCAATTTAGATGTATTTTATTATTTTTCTTGCCTTATTGCTCTGGTTAAAATCTTCAGTACAATGTTGACTAAAATTAGTGAAGAGCAGACATTCTTGCCTTATTCCTAATCTCATAGGGAAAGCATAGAGATTTTTACCATTGAATATCATGTTAACTAACTGTTTTTCATGGATAATGCTTTATCAAGTTGAGGAAGTTCTGTTCTGTTCTTATTATTCCGAAAGTTTTTATCATGAAAGGGTGTTGGATTTTGTCAAATATCTTTTCTGCTCATAATAGGGTAATCACATAATTTTGCTTTTCAACAATCAGTATGGTGAATTGAACTAAGGAATTTTTAACTTTAAACCAACCTTGCATTCCTGGAACAATCTCCACATGGTCTTGATGTATAATCTTTCCTACATAATATTATATTTTATTGATAAAATTTTGTTAAGTATTTTTGCCTTTGTGTTTATGAGGATATTGCTCTATGGTTTTATTTTCTTATAGTGCCTTTTTCTGTCTTTTATATCAATGTAATGATGGTTTTATAGAAAGAGTTAGACAGTATTTCCTCCAGTATAATTTGCCAAAAGAGTTTTTATAAAATTTGACATTTTCTTTTCTGAATTTTTGATAGAATTTACTGGAAAAATCATCCGGGCTTAGAGTTTTATTGTAGGAGGTTTTTAAACTAAAAATGTTATTTCTTCATTAGATATAGGGCTATTTAGTTTACCTATTTGTTCAAATAGGTAACCTAAATTTAGGTTTTTGTAGTTTGTATCTTCAAGAAAATTTTCCATTTAATCTAAGTGGTGAAATTTTCCATCATGTAGTTGTTTATGCCAGTCTGTTATTATTTTTTTATGTCTATTAAATCTGAACTGATTTTTCCTCTCTCATCCTTAATATTGATATTTTGTGTCTTCTCTCTTTTGTTCTGTCCAACTGTCTGAACGTTTATAAATTTTACTGGTCTTAAGAAACAGCTTTTGATTTTATTCAATGTTTTGTTTTTTGTTTTAAATTAATTTTTTTCTCATTCCTTTACTATTGTCTTTCTTCTGTTAGTGAAGATAAATCTTAAATGGTTATAGCAGTAATCCAGTGAGAAGATATGAAAGCCTTGTATAAGATGATGGAGAGTTAAGGTTAGATTTGTGAAATAAATCAAAAGATCTTTATGACTAAATGCACTGAGTGGAGTGTTAAGGAAGAAAGTAGAGACCATGGAAATGTCATATTTATAGGGGCATCATTATTGGAGATAAGAAATACAGGAGGAAGTATCCATTTAAAGAAGTTCACAGTGACTTATATTTTGATATACAGATATTTGGTTACCTGTGGGTCTTCCAAGCATTATATGCAACAGACAATTGTATACATAGATAAGAAAGTCCTTTAGGTTGATATCGATTAAATACATAATGTAGAGAAGTTTTGCTATATGTGCCTAAAAGTAAGAAATCTTAATTATTTCTAAATATTCATAAAATTTTACTCATTTTACTTAAACTGTCATGACTTCATATTACTTTGTTTTTGTTATGCAGACCAAAACATAAGCAGAAATATCTTTCATCCATTCTGTTATCTCATTTGTTCGCATGCATTGTACTATAACATGTAATTTCTTTTAGTTTTCTCCAAAAATATACATACAGTGAAGTCTCAACTCATTTTCTCTCTGCATTAAGTGTAGATAGCAGAAAGTATCTCAATGTATTGAGTAGAAAATGGACCAGTTTTAAAAGTTGTCTTTTCCATTTGCAAGGATAAAATCTGCCTATTTTTCCCCTCTCGGGGTTATGTGATGAGCCAGAACATTAGTTTCAAATTGCATGTTTTTAAAGATAGGATGTTTTATTTGCTGAAGTGAGGAAGTTTAGGTTTAAGCGACTTTGATCAGGGATTTGTCCTTTGTTCTTTCTGTTTTGGAAATAATGTTCAGAGTATTAAAGTTCTTGATTTGTTTGCTTACACTATGGCTTCCCTAAATTACTTTTATATTTAAGAAATTGTTATGAAAGTGTTTATCCTACTATAAAGTACAGAGACTATGCAGTAGAGTCCTGTATATCCATTATTCAAATTCAACAATTATCAAAATTTTGTGATGTTTTCTTCATCTATATTCTTGAGTTTTCACCTTCTTTTTCTTTTGGCTGAGTTATCTTAAACAAACTTGAGACATTCTATCATTTCATCCCTTCTTAGTTTAGTATTTATCTCTAAAAATTATGGCTTTCTTTTGTACATCACAACTAATAACATTAACGGTAAGGCCCTGGTATTGTGTAATCCCTATTCCATAATCAAATGCTCCTGATTTTCTTTAAAGAAGATTTTTTTTACATTGGTTTGTTTCAGTCAGGATCCAAATAAGGTGTTAGCATTGCATATGGTTATTATGTGTTACAGGTCTCTTTCATACTAGTTAAGTCCCCCCTCCCTTTTATTTTATTTATACCGTTGACTTCTGCAAGAAGCTATGTTCATTATCCTTTAGAATATGCCACTTTCTGGGTTATTCCATTTGCTTCCTTGTGGTGCTATTTAACTTGTTCCTTCATAGTCATTACTCTCCATAGCTGAACATTTCAGATTCATTTTTTTAAGAACACTTCATAAGTGACTGTGTGTATTTCATACTATGTCACATCAGGTAGGACATTATCTGGTTATTCCCTTGTAGTGATGTTAACCTTGATTAGTGCTGACAGTCTTATTTCTTCATTGAAAATTTCTTCATCAACCTTTCCTATAATGGTTTCATTTATTTATGATCACTTCAGAATTCGCTATTTTATTAGGGATGACAAAACGGTGGGTTTTTATATTTTTTTATTATACTTTAAGTTCTAGGGTACATGTGCACAACGTGCAGGTTTTTTACATATGTATACATGTGCCATGTTGGTGTGCTGCACCCATTAACTCATCATTTACATTCGGTATGTCTCCTAATGTTAAGAAAATGTGGCACATATACAGCATGGAATACTATGCAGCCATAAAAAGTGATGAGTTCATGTCCTTTGTAGGGACATGGATGAAGCTGGAAACCATCATTCTCAGCAAAATGGTGGTTTTATAAGGTTACCATTTCTTCAACATTTATTCATTAGAATTTTTTGTAAAGAAGAACTTTCTTTCATTAATTAGGTTTACTTACTTGGTTACCCATATGTGTAATAAATATAGGAAAGATAAGGTAAATATTTAATTATTTCTTTTAACCTAAAGTATTTTATCTCATTCTTTTCTTTTCTGCTCTATTGAACTTTTATCATCTTTCATTAACAGTTTCATTTCAATTTAATAAATATGTATTGAACCCTTAATAAATATATGCCAGTCACCGTGCAAGGCTAGAGTCACAAATATTTAATTTGTAAAAGAGATATATACGAAATTAATCAGGAGTCTGAAAGTGGTTAACTACTGTGCCTGCCACAGTCACAAGTCATTCTGTGATTAAACTCCTCCTACACACCCTTGTTGACGCAGCCTTATGAGAAAAATTTTGCACAATAAGAGAAACTAGGTTCACTCTCTGGAACTGTACCAAGAAATACTAAGAGTGAATCGGCTGACAGGGAGAATAGACACTGAAAGTTTATGAATTTGAAGATACCTGTAGCAGGTGATCAACAATTAAGTCAGAATGAAGTATAAACAGGAACGAAGATCGCGTCGAGAGAGAAGAAGGTAGTTGACAGTGAGTGGAGGGAAAGGATACTTGGAAGGAAAAGCAGATACAAGAATAGCAGAGTCACGTACTGGAGGACTTTGTGCCTGATGATCCCCATCTGTGGTCGTTCAACGCACTCTTCAGCGCTGCCTTAAATCCGGAAGGAGCATCTTGTCTGTCTTGTCTGAGGGTCCCTGAAGCCTGACTCCAGGGGCTGTTTGACTCCAGTAGACAGAGTTCAGCTTTTCTTGGGTTCCAGTACAATGTGGTAATGGAGTTTAGTCTTGTTTCTCCATTACCCAAAGTATCCTTACAAAAATTACTTTTTAATTATTTGTAGTTACTTGAGCCTCTGATTTTTGGAACCAAAGTAGCATAACTAACCCAATATAATATTATATGAAATGACACATGTATTTCAATATAGTTGCAGTTTGTTTGCTGTTGAAATGTAAAAAAAAAAAAAAAAATGCTTTAATTTGAATTCTTAGGATCTAGGTGAACGGTTCATTTCCTACAAGCAATCAGTTTTGCAGACCTGCAGTTCATAGTGGGCAGAATAGGTAGCGAAAAAACCCACAGATCTGTTGTAAAAATCTACCTAACACTAAAGATATAAAGTAAAATTTCAAAAGTAATTTAAAAACTGTTACTCATATATATCATAGCCATTTTGAATTTTAAAACAGATCAAGTGTGTTACTCTGCAGTTTTCTAAAATATTACATTATATGGAAAGAATTCAAATACTTTTCTAAGTGCATAAGGGTACTGCCAAAGAATGCTTACCAATAATTATACTAATTTAAACACCTCTGAAGATTTCAATTTTCTACCTCCCTGACCACATATCACAGAGGTGAAAAAGAGTTGATCTTGAATTTTTCAAGGTTTGTCATGCTTGCTGAAAGATTTTAACACAACTAGATATTTATATGTTATAAATATCATAATCATTATATAGGGAACCATGGGGAATTAGCTGGAGACAGGCACTATTCTAAGCATTTTTACAGTTTAATGTTTAATCCTAAATTTATTCTAATGATATCAGTACCATTATCATCCCCAAACTGCAGATGATGAAACTTAAGCATAGAGAGGACTAACTTACGCAAAATGACTTATCTAGTAATAGGCAGAATCAAAATGTAAGCAGCCCTTTGAAATAACAAAAGGGTTAATGTTAACAAAAGGATCCCATAAATAAGATGGTGAGCATTAATCCTTCCAAATATTTCTGATATTTTAATGATTAATCTGGATCTGATTGCAACATCTTTTAGGCTTTCTATGTTTTAGAAATTAGGAGGCAAAACTTAATTCATGAGACCATATCAGGATTTGTAGAGATAATGCACAGAAAGCACCTGGCCTAATGCCTGCATTGAGTAGGTGCTCCACAATGGTAATCTCCATCTCTGCTCTACTGCCTTAAGCTCCCTGCCCTGCAATATGAACATGAGGACTTGCTTGTACCAGGTCTTGCAGTTCGAGAAACAGTTATCTAAACTCAGTAAATTCTGTTGACTATTTACCCCATGCACATCACACACGTTATTTAGGCTGTCCCTGGCCATCTCCAACTCCTTTGTCATACTGCCAGGAGGTATTTTCATTGTCTTATGCAATGCTGATTTCAAGAGTTAACTTAGAGCTGGGCTCATGCTGGTATGCCTAGCTACTTGGGAGGATGAGGCGGGTGGGTCTCTTGATCCTAGGAGTTCAAGGCTGAAGTGAGCTATGATCAGACCACTGCACTTCAGCCTGGGTGACAGAGCAAGATCCTGTCTCTGACATAAATAAATAAAAACTTTTAAAAAGTGGAAGCCAGGAGCAGTGGTTCACGCATGTAATCCCAGCACTTTGGGAACCCGAGGCAGGAGGATTTCTTGAGGCCAGGAGTTTGAGATCAGTACATAGTGAGACCCCGTCTCTACAAAAAAATACAAAAATTAGCCAGGCATTTTGCCACATGCCAGTAGTCCCAGCTATTAGGGAGGCTGAGGCGGAAGGATCTGCTTGAACCCAGGAGGCAGAGGCTGCAGTGAGCCAAGGCAACACTCTGAGCAATAGACTGAGCAACAGAGTGAGAACCTGTCTCAAAAAAAAAAAAAAAAAAAAAAAAGGCTTACATAGATCCATTCACAGTTTTGTTTTTCATGTTAAAATTAAGTATATACTTAAATATCTGAGTTCATTAAAATAATGCCTTGAAACAGAAAGCAAAAAGATAAAAAGGGTGATTGGCTTCAAATGGCACTTATGATCAACTTGCTTTATGGTACAAGAGAACCTAAGTACAAAAGGAAAAATTTCTACCACAGCATTAATTCGTAAGGATGGCTTGTAATTTACTAGTAGAGTCCTGATTAATAAAATTTATGCTTAGTTGTTCACTACATTCATGATAATAGCAGTTAATTGCACTAAATACATGTCAAGCATCTTAAGTGCAGAGCATACTAACAAAGGCTTAATAAGTTTTATAATGTAAAAAGGGCACAACAAACTGTCTCTTAAGTTCTAGCTATGACAAAGAAATTTCAGATGCATACACGACAGGCAGTTACAGAGAACCATTGCTTACTTATTTGTAATAATTAACCTACTTTTCTTCAAAGACAAACTTTGCATATCAAAATAATACTTCTCATTTAATGGATTCTAATTTTATCCATTGTGACTGATGAATCAGTATTATCAAATTTGGCAGTGGCAGATTATGTTTTCCTCATTTCACTAAGAAATTTGCAAGATAATAAATTGGATTATTAAATTGTTGTGTCTCATAAGATTCAAGATTTAAAACATTTGTGCTTTGTTAATTAATTGCTGCAAATTAAAAACAGGAGACAGTCACATAATGGTGGAATGGATCAGTTATTTCATTAAACCTCCTCTTTATGATGGTAGATTAAGTTAAGCTATGACTGCATTGAAAATGAAGAAGAGGTAGAGCTCTACCTTAGAGAATTTAATTTGTGCACAAGAAAACCTCATGAATTCAGATTAGTGTGAGAAGGGTTAATTTAAATATATATGGTACATAGGAATATTTAATGTACCATATTTATGTGTACTTCTTTTAACTTCTAAGTATGTATGACAATTTCTACAAAGTTACAAAATGGTTGTGGAAAGGTAAACCTCTTTCAGTTTTGCTTCTATCACAGTTAGGAATTTATTTGTAGTTAATGTATGAATTGTTAGTGTATAGCTCAGTACTTCTGAAGTTCATAAAACCATTCAGTGCTGTGAGTACATAAACATTTTCCTTTGCAATCAAGTTTATTGCTATTAACTTTATTAACAAATTTTCTCCTACAGACTAAATACCTAGTAAGTACAAATATAAATTTTCATTCACTTTATGTGATTATTTTTATGTTAGAAATCAATGGAATCTAAATAATATTTTCCTGTCTGTCTCATTTATACTTAGAATTTCATCATTATCAGCAGGAAACATTTATTGAGTACTCACTATGTGCCAGTGACTATGCAAAATATTTACATGTAAAATCTCATTTAATCCTCACAGCAGCCCTAGAAACAGTCCCAAGTTACACAATTAATATCATCCCCATTTGACAAGTGAGAAAATGGAGTTTTGAAGAGATTACTCACTGCTCCACTGGGTAAATTTGCTAAGCAGCAGAGGAGAAATGAAATTGCTGTCTTTTGGAATGCATTGCTATTTAACTTCTATATTATACTGCTATGTATTATGCAGAAGAAATGGACAAAAATGTGTTAAATTTTGGAAAATAAGCCTCTAGCAAATATGCAGATGGTATAGACTCCTTAGGTAGCCCCCACCAAAAGGCAGAAGTATTCAATTGTGGAATGTCAGAAAAACAAACTCTGCCTTTTAAATAATGATTTGATACTGGGACTACAGCATAGAAAAAGCGAATAAAAAATTTAGTGTCAAAGTGAGATTACATATTTACAAGTCTACAAAGGCAAGTTAGACATGGTGAAAAAACACTATTATGGAAATATTATTTTGTGGCCCCTTAAAAATTAGAAACGTAAAATGTAGCCATTAGTTACCCAGAAATTGATAAAATCTATGTTGTCTGAAAAATGGAGTGTTTCTCCTTTCATTTCCAGTACCGGCTTTCCTCTTTCACTTACTGTATTTTACTCATAATTGTTCATTTTTTCTCCCCTATTTCCACAAGGCAGAAAATAATAAAGAATTGTTTGGGAAACTGTTAGCTTTGCAAATGTTACTAAGTTATATTCTGGCTGCTAAAATGGTTTGAATAGTATGGAGAGAAAAAATTATATACATATGTAGGTATTGAGAAGACTGTGTAAATGTAATTAATACTGTTAGTTTACAGTAAAGAGATGCTATGTTGAGAGAAGTGTGGGGGGGGAAAGAATATCTTATCCTTCTATCCTCTGAGTCCTCAGCTGTAGTCACTATAACAAGATCCATTAACAAGAGAAGAGCATACAAATTTATTTAACATAAGCTTTATATGACACGGGAGACTTCAAAGGAAATAAAGACCTGAATAAATGATTAAATTTGAGTATATTTTGTGCTAGGTTCGACGAAAAGTGGAGAATTGCGGGGACGTGTATAGAAGCCCCCAGAAAAGTATAAATACAGTAAACTTGGAAAAGCAGCAAGGCCTGCTCATTCACATTCCTTTTGACATCCCTGTCTTCAACGATAAGGATGCTTCTTTCTTTCCTTTTGATATAGGAGCAGCACCTCTCACATAAGGATCTTATTTCCTGCTTCAGAGAAAGATCAGAAAATCCTTTCTAGGTTTTACGTCTTGCTGCAGGGGAAAATCATAAAGTCCTAACTGCATGTGCCATTTCTCAGATTCCTTCCACTTGAAATATGCAATTTGCCAAGGTGCCATATTTTGGGGTAGCATGTCCTAAATCCTGTCAGGAGAAATGTTTTATAATGCTAGACAAAATTGTTTAAAGAGAAAAAATGTTATTCCCCTTATTTTCATCAGTTTGGAACTACAAAGCAAACATCAATAACATTGTGCCAGTTCAGTTAAACCTTGTGTCACGAGTACAATTATGGAATTTCCACAGTATAAAAGCACCAATCCTGTCACTAATTCTTAATATTAAGTGAGCTCAGACCCATTTATAGTCACTATGCACTTCTCTTTGCCCTTATCATTCACAACTATTTAATCATTGCTAATTCTGCCTTGAATACAACAGAACACTTAAAGGGAGGTGATACTTGAGCTGTGCTTTCCAGGGAGAGAGAGAGGTTATTATCTCATAGAAATTAAGAAGAAGAGAGAACAGGAAGGTGGAAAATGATCAGAAGATATATAGAATGTCAGGCGTGTCAAGAAATAATAAATAATAGGGGTAGCTAGATTATTCATAGTAAGGGTTGGGGAATGAAGGTGAAAGAAATGAAAGTTGGGGCCAGATGGTCAGAGCAGGATAGTCATATTAATGAATTGAAACTATTATATGCTAATAAATGTGTGACAAGCAATTTATGGTTTTAAAGCAGTAGTTAGAAATATGATGGCCTGTGTTTTTAAAAGGTAAATTTGGTGATAATATAGAAGATGTATCAGAAGAGGGAAAATAGAGGCAAAGGCATAAACTAATTGATTAGTGCAATTATTAAGGCAAATGAAGGTAACGACTTGAATTAGGAACAGGGAAGAGAGAGGCAAATTCCATAGGTAGACCAAAGAAAAAATTCCCAGGAGGGTGGAAAGGAGGGGACACTGTGGATCGTGGCAGAGGTGGATGACTCTGGTAGCTATCTAAATTCATTAGCTAAATAGTATTGCCATTAATTTAACTATGAAATACGTAAGAAAGAGTAAGAAAAGTTCTTCCAAAGGTACAAAAAGTACCATAGAGTGGAGGTAAAGTAAAATAAAATACAGGCTTCGGAAGAACTTGTGTAACTGTTAAAGAAAGAAACTTTGCATTCTTTTTATTTTCTATCATGGGATATCTATTATCTCTATAGGTAATAGCACAACCAAAATTGAAACCAGTGTATCATAATGTTTTATAATGGAAAAAAACTTCTAAAACTGATCAGAATGAGACCTCAGACCCCAAATATTGTTTTCGGTATAGAAGCAGATCTTAGCAAGAAGTAGATCTTGAGATTTAAATTTAAAGAGGGACTACTACATAAAATATGAAGCCAATAATTTAAACTGTAAATATTTTGAGGAAAAACCCAATAGCCTAATACCAACAAAAAAGAAAGAAAAAGTTAACTGTGAAAACATTTTCAATGCATGGGAATTTTTTTGTTGTAAAAGAAAAGAATGGGCGGGGTGCGGTGGCTCACACCTGTAATCCCAGCATTTTGGGAGGCCAAGGTGGGCAGATCATGAGGTCAGGAGATCGAGACCATCCTGGTGAACACGGTGAAACTCCGTCTCTACTAAAAATACAAAAAATTAGCCGGGCATGGTGGCGGGCGCCTGTAGTCCCAGCTACTCGGGAGGCTGAGGCAGGAGAGTGGCATGAACCCGAGAGGCGGAGTTGCAGTAAGCCGAGATGGCGCCACTGCACTCCAGCCTGGGTGACAGAGTGAGACTCTGCCTCAAAAAAAAAAAAAAAAAAAAAAAAAAAAAACATGGGCAAGAACCATAGGCTCTGTTTCTGATTCTGTCTTTGATTCATTTCATGTTCTAGTACACTTTCCTAATCTCTAACGTTACTAAGTCTAAAATGAACGTTATTAAATTTCCCTTTACATCTCCTCTAAATATCAAACAAACTCATTGAATATTGTTTTTTCTTTATTGGAAAGATCTCAGTGCTTAACTCCTGACCACCAATTTTTGAATTAGAAATAATAACAACTGAATAGGGGTTTTGTGAGAAACAAATTAATATTATCCATCTTTTAAAAGAACTCACGTATATAGTAAAACTCCGATTGATTCTACTTCAAAATTGAATTTCAAAAATGATATGATTACAAAAATAATCTTATTCAGCTTCACAGGCTGTATGAAGTAGAAAATAAGAGTTCTAATGTTTATTTATCATTTCTGTGAAGTAAATCAGTAAAAATTAAAAGCGTGACTCCCCAACCTAAGCTTTACAAATTTTCAGTAGTTTGGTGTGTTTTCTTCCAGCTAATCTTTCACACATATAAACATAGAAATTCATTTAATAATGTTTGCTTCTATAGTGTTTTTTATGAAATATGCGATCATATTTTATATGCTAATCTATAATTTGCTTTATTCACCTAATACTGCCTGAGAGACATCTATTCATGTCAATTGAAAGAGATCTGCCTTGGTCATTTCAATAGCTGCATATTTTTCCGTGGTATCATTTAACATCAGGATGATGCAGCCAATGAGGGGACTCCTGGGGCACAGACAAGAGAAGGGGATAGGGACAACACAGATATTGGTATAGAAAAGAACTGAAGTCCTGTAGAGAGTCATTAGATAACTATGAGAAAATCAACTTCAACAAAAGCCTGAATTTTCATCAATTTTTAATTGTTTCCAGTCTGATAAGTAAAAAATTTTTACTCTTATTAAGGTGAACAGCTCCTTTCTTGTGTTTATTAGGCTTTGATTTTTTTTAAATTTCCCTTTCATCTCAGCCACTTTTCCTTTCATTTCTTCTATAGATTTTTAACATGTTAATAATATGTTCCTTTTATATTAATAATATTCTTTTTGTCTTTTATATAAGCTGTATATATTTTTCCAGTTTGTTGTTTTATTTTAAATGGGGGTTTTTGTTTTGCTTTTTCTTTCCAACTTTTATGTGAGGTTCAGTGGGTACATAGGCAGGTTTGTTACATGGGTAAATTGTAAGTCATGGGGGTTTGATATACAAATTATTCCATCACCCAGATGATAAGCATAGTAGCCAATAGGTAGTTTTTAGATCCGTACTCTCCTCCCACCCTCCACCCTCAAGGAGGTCCCAATGTCTTTTGTTCCTTTCTTTGTGTCCATATGCACTCGATATTTAGCTCCCACTTATAAGTGAGAACATCTGATATTTAATTTGTGTTCCTGAGTTAATTCACTTACACTGATGACCTCCAACTCCATCCACGTTGCTGCAAAGGACATGATTTTATTCTTTTTTATACCTGTGTGGTATCCTATGGTACAAATGTCCCACCTTTTCTTTATCCAGTCCACTGTGTATGGGCTTCTAGGTTGAATTCTATGTCTTTGTTATTATGTATAGTGCTGTGATGACCATACAAGTGCATGTGTCTTTTTGGTAGAGAGATTTGTTTTGGTTATATTCCCAATAAAGAGATTGCTGAGTTAAATGGTAGTTGTATTTTACGTTCTTTGAGAAATCTCCAAACTGTTTTCCACAGTGGCTGAATTAATTTACATTCCCACTAGCAGCGTATAATTGTTCCCTTTTCTCTGCAACCTCACCGGCATCTGTTATGTTTTTACTTTTCAATGATTGCCATTCTGACCAATGTGAGATAATATCTCATGGTGGTTTTGATCTGCATTTCCGTAATGATTAGTAACATCAAGAATTTTTTCACACGCTTTTTGGCCATGTGTATGTCATCTTTTGAGAAGTCTCTGTTCATGTTCTTTGTTCATTTTTAATGAGGTTGCCTGTTGTTTTTGCACGTTGACTTAAGTTTCTTACAGATTCTGGATATTACCTTTGCCAGATGTATAGTTTGCAAGTATTTTCTCCCATTCTGAAGTTTGTCCCTTTACTCTGTTGATAGTTTCTTTTGCTGTGCAGAAGCTCTTTAGTTTAATTAAATCCCACTTGTCAATTTTTCTTTTCATTGCAATTGCTTTTGGGGTCATCATAAAATCTTTGCCAAGGCCTATGTCCAGAATGGCATTTTCTAGGTGTTCTTCTGGGTTCTTATAGTTTCCAGTTTTACATTGTCTTTAATTCATCTTGAGTTGATTTTTGTATATGGTGAAAAAGATCCAGTTTCAATCTTCTGCACGTGACTAGCCAGTTATCCCAGCATCATTTATTAAATGGGGAGTCGTTTCCCCATTGCTTTTGTCAGCTTTGTGAAAGACCAGATGGTTGTAGGTGTGTGGCCTTATTTCTGGGCTCTCTGTTCTGTTCCATTGTTCTATGTGTCTTTCTTGGTGCCAGTATCATGCTGTTATGGTTACTGCAGCCTTGTAGTATAATTTGAAGTTAGGTAGTGTGATATCTTTGGCTTGGTTCTTTTTTCTTAAGATTATTTTGTATGTTTGGGTTCTTTCTTGGTTCCATATGAATTTAGAATTTTTCTTCTAATTCTATAAAAATGTCATTTGCCAAACTGCTTTCCAAAACAACTATAACATTTTGCATTCTCAAAAGCAATGTGTCAGAGTTCCAGCTCCTCTGCATGCTTGCATGTTTGCTAGCCCTTAGTATTGGTGGGCTTCTGCCTTTTGTTTTTTTTAAGCTATTCTAATAGACATGTAGTATCACATCATAATTTTATTGGCAAATATCTAATGACTAATAATGTTGAGCCTATTTGCATGTGTTTATTTCCCATCTAATTTTTTTCTCTGCTGAAGTGTCATTCAAATCATTTGCCCATTTTTATTGAGTAATGTTTTTTCTCTATTATTGAGATTTTAGTGTAATGTATATATCCTGATATAAGTCCTTTATCAGTCACATGTTTTGCAAATTTTTTTCTCCCTGTTTGTGGCTTATGTTTTTGTTTTCTCAACAGTGTCTTTTGAAGATCAGATTTTAATTCATGAAGTTCAATTTATCAATATTTTATTTTATGGGTTTACACCTTTGTGTTACATCTAGACAATTTTTGCCTAATATAAGGTCATAAGGATTTTCTACTATGTTTTCTTTCAGAAGTTTTATAGTTTTAGGTTTGGCATTTTGGTCTGTGGTCCTTTTTGAGTTAAATGTTTAATTTGTTGCAAGGTATGAGTCAAGATTTTTTTCTTTTTTGCATGTGGTTATTCAAGTATTTTAGCATCTCTTGTTGAAAAGACTGTCCTTTCTTCACTGACATACTGTTACACATTGTTGAAAATTAGCCACTCTTGTAAGAGTAGCCACTCTTGTCTTGTAGTTGAAGACATTCTGTATAAATTATTATATTTTCATAGAAAGCTGCAAATACAAGTAATGTTTGTTCTTTACTTTTAAAAAAACATTTTTTCCTCTTCTAGTGCTTTTACTTTGCTATGTCAATTTTAGAATCAGTTTGTTAATTTCCACAAGAAATTCTGCTAGAATTTTGATTGAGATTGCATTGAATCTATGAATCAATTTGAGAAAAGATAAAATTCTAACATTACTGAGTGTATCAGTCTGTAAATACAATATATTGATTTAGGCCTTATTTAATTTCTTTTTTCAATACTTCATAGTTTTCTTCATATAAATCTTGTACATATTATCTTAGATTTATAAGTATTTAATAACTTTTGATGCTGCATTAGTCCATTTTGACACTGCTATAAGGTGCACACCTGTAGTCCCAGCTACTCGGGAGGCTGAGGCAAGAGAATCGCTTGAACCCAGGAGGTGGAGGTTGCAGTGAGCCAAGATCGCACAACCGCACTCCAGCCTGGGTGACAGAGTGAGACTTCATCTGAAAAAAAAAACAAAAAAAGTGCCCGAGACTGAGTAATTTATAAAGGAAAGAGGTTTAATTGACTCACAGTTCCACATGGTGAGGGAGGCCTCAGGAAACATAATCATGGTTGAAGGCTGAGGGGAAGCAAGCAGCTTCTTCACAAGGCAGGAGGAGAGAGGCAAGAGCACAGGAGGGAACTGCCAAACGCTTTTAAAACCATCAGATCTCATGAGTACTCACTCACTATAAGAGAACAGTATGGAGGAAACTGCCCCCATGGGGATTACAGATCCCTCCCTCAACATGTAGGGATTACAGTTTGAGATGGGATTTGGGTGGGAACACGGAGCAAAACCATATCAGATGCTATTATAAATGATACTATTATTTTAATTTGAATTTCCAATAGTTCATTGGTAGTATACCAAAATACATGATTTTATATTCTGTGACCTTATATTTTGTAGCTTCTTAAATTAGTTTTTTAGACATTTTCTATGCAGACAATTTTTAGTATGCCATTTTTTATGTAGAAAACCATGTTGTCTGTGAAAAGTCTTATTTCTTCCTTTGCTATCTATATGCCTTTTATGTATTTCTCTTGCATTTTAACAGAATTTAGGAACTCCAGCACAATGTTATGTAGAAATACTGAGAGTCAACATCATCATCTTCATCCTTAAGTATCAAGTGTGAGACTTAACTATAATTTTAGCAGTAGGGTTTTGTAGATTCTCTTTATGAGGTTAAAAAAGTTCACTTTACTGTCTTTCAGAGGGATTTTAAATCATGAATGAATGTTGAAGTTTGTCAAATACCTTTTCAGCATCTATTGAGATGATCATAAAATTTTTCTTCCATAGTCTAACAATATGGTAAATTATGTTGATTCATTTTTGAAGGTTGAATTAACATTGTATTTTTGGGATAAACCTCTCGATCATAATGTATTGTTCATTTTATATATTGTGAGATTAAATTTGGTATTTTTTGTTGAAGATTTTTACATCTATGTTTATAAGAGATATTCTTTAGTTTTTTGTGTGTTTTAGTTTTTAGTTTTAGTTCTTTAGTTCTTTGTTTCTTGTATATTGTACTATAAAGTTAACATAATCTTATTCTTGATTCAAATAAATTAAAATAGCTAAGCAATTTTGCCTTTTTATAAGCATAAAGTACTCTTATTATATCACTTATAATTTTGATGCCGCATATTAATTACATAAAATCTAATGTACTACAAAATGTGTTATGCTAGTATTTATGCTCAAATGAAACCTTTTGAAATAAATTGTTTGCCTAGGGTTATTTTTATATCAGTAAAGTAAAATTTAATATTGAAAACTAATTTATATGTATTCAGATTGTATTAAATTTTTTAGAAAAGTTCTGAACTTAAATACTTGATAAATGTAAAGCTTCTGATTTAAGTTTTAAAATCGAATGCCTTATTAGACAAATTGATAAAATTGGCAGTCAGTAAGGGAAACTGATGCAACACACTCTAATTTTGATGAAAATATGGACTAGAGTAGTTCTGTATGTGTCAATAGTCTTTTCTTATTTGAGGTTGTTTTGAGGTCATATTTCCTTAGGTAACACTTTCCATACAGGATTATACTCTTTTTTTATTCGAACCCCCAAATGTGGATGAATGTGAGAGCTAGCTCTGTTCTTTGATATAAATATTTTTATTCATGTGTGCAAGTCTGTATATATATAGAGAGAAAATACTTCTAGTCTTACATTCTGGCATGGAGTGAGTGTTTACACTGTAATAAAAAGACTCGGTCATCATATTCATTGGGCTTATATTATTAAGAGCCTTATCATGAGACTGAAAACACATGCAAACAAAATAAATTTTTAGAAGCAGTCAGAATCTTGTTTTTAACCTAAGCTTGTTTAGTCTAAAACACAGACCTGCCTGGAAGTTCTGGAGTACAGATTAGTGGGTGTGTCCACCAGGAGCCATTTTGCCAGAGGGAGTGAGGAATCTTTGTTCATATAATTCACATGAAGATAATAGATAATAGAAAAAATAGAAGTACTTAATTGTGCTTCAAAGAAAATGGCTGAGGGACATATATGAGGTGTGATTTTTTAGTGTCATATGGTGTTTGCTATTCAGCTTCATCTGATCTATCCTCAAAAGTGAGACATAAAAAGACGGAGTCGGCCAGGTATGGTGGCTCATGCCTATAATCTCAGCACTCTGGGAGGCCAAGGTGGTTGAATCACCTGAGGTCAGGAGCTCCAGACTAGCCTGAACCAACATAGTGAAACCCTGTCTCTACTAAATACAAAAAATTAGCCGGGCATGGTGGCACACGCCTGTAATCCCAGCTACTTGGGAGGCTGAGGCAGGAGAATTGCTTGAACCCGGGAGGCAGAGATTGCAGTGAGCCAAAATGGCACCATTGCACTCCAGCCTGGGTGAAGAGTGAGACTCTGTCTCAAAAAAAAAAGAAGAAGATGGAGTCTTCGATAAAAGTGAAGGAGCTCTTGAGACACAAACACTCATCACAAGACATCCACAGGGAGACCCAGGCACCATTACTTTGGCACTGATATAATGAAGTCTCTTTTCTTACCATCCAATAACTTTTTAACATTAAACTCTAGTGTGTAACATTTTTTTTTTTACTTACGAAAGTTCATAAAGAGAAATGTCATAAATAAAAGTATTTATGAACTATGTAATAACTACTGTGGTATATATGTAAAATGCTGTATTTTGGTTTTTAGGCATGCTTTTCTTCTTCATACACTAATACAATGTGTTTGGTTTTAGGTTTCCTCAAGAGCTGAACATGGGAAAAATAAGTGCCGAAATTATGTGGACTCTTTTTGCTCTGGATATGAAATATGCATTAGAAGGTAATTATAAATATTTATACTTATTCGAATACATGTTAGAGTTAAATGGTGATATTGTGTTCTTGGCTTTAAATGTTGAGAATTGAAACATTAAAACACTGATTACTGTGATCAGTTTAGTTCTAAAACTTATTTCCGTATGGTGAAAAGATAAGGTCTCAAAGTACTCAAAAAGCCCTAAAGAAGTATATACATTTTTAATTATATGGTCTAAGTTCTTGGATCATAAAAATATTTCACTGATAGGATTATGCTCATATGCAAGAATACTTTATGGTAGTTCATTTACCAAAGCAGGCCATATTGAGGGGGTGGATGAGTTGTTTAGTCCAGATATTTGTCTACGTGGACTTGGAAATAGTATCCACCAGGAGGCGGGTCAAAATCCTACCAAGTTTGCTCAAGAACAATGGCAGAGGTCTTCACCCGAAACTCCACTCTGAATAAGTACAAATCATTCAGTGTAGAAAAGAGAAATACAGCTCTAAGTTAAACAATTCTATAAATATTCTTTGTGCACCCTCATTGTGTTTACAGTTAGAGATAGAACCATAGACCTGGTTACTATCCTCTAGAAACTAACAACCTAGTAGAAAAATTTCTTTGTACTTATTCAGTGAATATATATTGAGCCCATAGATACTAAATGACCATTGGTGCACTGGATGTAGGGGATGCAACAGTGAACAAGATAGCCCTGGTCCCCACCCTCATCAAGATTGCAGAGGAGGACTACAAGAATGCAAACAGTTGCAATGTGGAGTGGTGAGGACTTATGATGACGGAGTGTCTGGAGAAGCACCTACAGCAGACATGGGGCTAGGGGACAAGGCAGGCTTACTATGGGAACTTCCTCTAAGAAAATGTAACTTTGATAAAGACCTAAAGGATAGGTAGGAGTAAGAAGAGCTTTTGGTAGGACAGAGCACTAGCAATTAGAGAAAGCACAAGGTGCATTTGAGAAGAGAGAACTCAGTGGGCCCAATGATCAAGAAAGAGGTAGCAAGAAGTAAGACAGGAGAAATTAGCAGGGACCAGCAGACAGGGCCTTGTGGGCCATCGTGAGGAGTTTGACTCTGTGCTGAGAGAAACAAAGTCCCATAAAGGATTTTCAGCAGGTGCATGTCTTACTTAGATTTGCAACTTAGAAAAATCATTTTGATTACAATATGGAAAATAGGTTGCGAGAGTGAGACAGGTTTTATAGCGTTCGTGTTTATCATGCTAATGTTTAATAGCTTTCCTGTACCAGGTTGCAGAGGGAACATTCAGTTTTTCTTATTTGGAAAAAAAAGGTACTAGATAGATCATAATATCTAGTTTTGTGATAAAGTCAGGCTCTCCCACTCACAAATAGAGAGGTTTATCTAATCTTTAAAATCACACCAGAACTGCTCAGAGGTACAATTCCTTACTTTGCAATGAGGTGTTTCTTCTACAGTTTATTAATGACCCAGCCCTTCCTACCTCTTCCATCTTTGTCTCCTACTAACCACATCCTTTTACATCTCTCTGCTTTCACTGTCTCTTTGGGACCCCAAGATTCTCTTACATCAGACAGGAACTACCAGTCCACTCAGCAAATAACTTTTTTTCAGAGAGCGTTCACTACCCTAGGCCTATACTCTGCATCCCCCCACCCTACTTGAAAGTCTATCAGGCATCTGAAGATTTTTAGGGTCTGTATAGATTCTTAATCTCCTTTGTCAGAACAGACTCTTCTCTGCTGTTCCCTATAGCAGTTATTGGTGCCACCATTTATGCAGCTACTTAAGCACTTACGGGTTATCATTGATTCCTTTATTGTCTTCGCTACAGTAAAAGTTTATTCCTGCATGAGGGATTTTTTGGCCAGCTGCTCTGATGCCTGGATTTTTCTTCCCACCAATCTTCATAAGCAGCCATGGAGGGCTCAGCTACTGACACCTCCTCAGAGAAGATTTCCCTCACCGCATTATCTGTAGTAGCTCCCAGGAATAAACTTATTTTAATCTGCTGCGTAACAACTGATTTTATTTGTTTATTTGTTTGTTGATTTGATTATGTATGTGTCTTTTTTACCAAAATGTAATTTTTTTGTCTATGACTTTTACCAACATATCTACATTGCCTATAATGATGTTTAGAAAATAGAAGCTACTCAATAACTACTTGTTGAACAAATAAATTGCCAACTTTACCAGGTAATCCCAACTCAATGGATTAGTGGCAAGGGCAGTAGAGGAGACATCATTTTGTGACCGTCTTTTGCTGTGTGACCTTGGGAACATTCCAAGAGCTCAACACCTTTGTGTTTCACTGTTCTCCCCTTTTGTTTGAGTAGAACAAAACTCAGTGCATTTTCAAACATTTATTGCCTTTTTGTATCATAATGTATAAGCTAAATGTTATAGAAAGTTGACAATTAACCTTACCATTTAAGTTTTAGAGTAAATTTAAAACTTACTCTAAATCTATGTCTTAGAGTAAATTTAACTGGGGACTTGGGTACAATTCTGCATAACTGTATTTTCCATATTTAACTATGATTCAGCATACTTCATATATATTTTGAAGATTAAAGTGTTTTAATGCTTTTTAGTAGAATAGATGGTCTTACTAGTGACATTTTCAATTATATGAGATTAGAGCTTTTTGAAAAAAAGAACTATGTTAACCATGTGTCAGTCCTTAACACAAGCCTGGCATATAGTAGTTGCTCAATAAATAATGGTTGCATGAAAATCTAAGGAGCACTAAAGCAGTGTGTAAATGAATATATATGAGTAGATTAGTGACATAATTCAGAATTATTTTCATTTATATTAGAGCCAGGCAGTTGTACATTGTTAAAATTTCCTATATGTTTTATGTATGTTTGTTTGTTTGTTTGTTTGAGACGGAGTCTAGCTCTGTCACCAGGCTGGAGTGCAGTGGTGTGATGTTGGCTCACTGCAACCTCCGACTCCCTGATTCAAGCCATTCTGCTGCCTCAACGTCCCAAGTAGCTGTTTTCTAGTCCCTTCTATATTGAAGTACATTGTTCATCAGTTTAATTGTCCATATTGATATTTGCACAACAGAATAGTAAAGCTTTAGCTCATCAGAATGCCTTTTAGCCTCAATCCTTACCCAAAGGCTTTCTAATATATAACAATCTATTTTACATTAGCAAACACAGCCCACAGAACACATGGCAAAATGCTGCTTTTATGAGATAAAACCACATTTTAGCCATCAAACAGATTTCACAGACTGGTTAATAAAAATCAGCTGTCAGACTGTCTAATACAAAGTCGAAAAATATTCCATTAAATCCCCTATGTCGTTTTAGTGGGGAAATGGAGATCAGGGAGAATAGACGTTGAGAAGCAGGGCAAGACCAAGGTGGACAGATGTGTTCTAGGCTCACCTTCCACTGCTTGTTCTGCATGTTTCTTCCCGCACCCTGTCTGCCCTGCCCCTTCTTTATCTATATCTTATGAGCACCTGGTGCATTTAGGGCTTTCGAAGAGATTAGACACACTAAAGCATTTGGGGCATCCTGGTTATCCCTTCCAAAAGATCTGAAATCACAATAAGGAAATAAACACATTATAATTAAAAACTGGGAGGGTTGGGGGCTTGGTAAATATATCCTGCATACACTGATGAGCTGGAAGTGGCTATGTGGGAATAAACATAAAAGACAATAAAACGGGAGCAAGAAATGAAGCTAATTAGCATCCGCTTTTCACCTCTAAACACGTATCTCAGAAATTTAGGAGATTCTTGCCTCCTTTCATCTTTACATTGAAGGAAAGCATCAGTGTTAATACCATTGACCTAAACTTGGAAGCACAGTTCCTCTTTCACACTTATAGTAAGCACATTCCACAGTTTCCTCCACTGGCAGTTCCCTTCCAACCCGCACACTCCCTCCTCCCTTGCAATTGAGTTGAAACTACTTGTTTTGTATATCTGGAGTAGATAGAGAAGGCAAGCTCTGTATAATTAATCTAGAATCATGCTGACTAAAATATTTGGTTTCTAAATAACAGAAGAAAAATAGACATCTAAGACTGTTTGTAATGCTATTATTTAGGTACACCTTTGACCATCTACTAAATCACTTTGTTATCTATTTCAGTAAAAGATAATTAAAATATGTTTACCTGAGTAATATACCATGCTCTTTTGATAGAGATGAATACATCAGAGTAGGTATGTAATTAACTGGTCAGCCACTTTCTCTGGTCCAACTTAAAAAGTAATCAAATGGAAAGAACAGGACTAAACTAACTTCTCAGGCTATGAATGTGGTCCCACTTGTAGTATAGGCAAATCTATTTGTTGAACACACAGCTGGGTGCTCTGATACTATTAGAAGTTCAATGGCTAATAACTTCAATAACTTTTAAATCTGTCTTTCTATTATACTATGGTGAACTTTAGCAGAATCTCACGTAAATGGAAATGAGTTTCCAAAAGCCCACTGAGCTGGTATTAGAATCAGGATATGGAGACTTACCTGTTTAGATATTTTTAATTAGTAGATGGTCACTATATAAATAGAACATAAGGCCTTAATGAGTATTTTATCCCTGCCTGAACTCAAACTCTAAGATTCTAGTTTTATCTCATATAATTCTGCCTCTTTGGTTTTGAAATAAGGAACAACAGTGGACACTGACATTCAAGGATTTAGTTAAGTTACCTGGTCATCTGTGCTCCTGGAAAACACTGAGCTTTCTCACATTTTTTTGTTTCAGATGGTATTAGAATTTAAATTTCTTGTTAACTCAATTCAGAGTCTGTGTTGTCGTGAATACAGCTGGTCTCTCACTGTTGAGCTTGGTACTCACTCAAGTATGACAACTTTTTTTCTTTCTCTCTTATATGAGGCCTCAGGAGACTAAAAGGCTGAGACTGGGTGATCTTTCTCTCTCCCTCTTACAACATACCCCCTTTCTAGTTAATTGTTTTAGTAGCTAATTATTTTTGGTGTGCTTAAGGAGTCAGAAAAGAATAAGATGAACAGATCCCCTGCAGTAGCACCAAAATAGTAAAAGAGAAACTCTCAGCTTGGATACCTAAAAAATATAAGGTTTAGGGTTAGTGTATCAGTTACCTATTATGATATAATGAATTATCCCAAAATTTAGTGGCTGGCAACATACGTAAGTAGCTCCTGTTGTTGAAGAACTGATGGGCTGGGGGATTGCTTTCCTAGGTGACATACTTACATGGCTGTTGAGTAGTTGCGGGCTGTCAGCAGGAGACCTCAGTTGTTCTCAGCATGGACCTCTCCACAAACTCCTTGACCATCTCCAAGATACAGCTGCTAGCTTTTCCCAAAGTGGGCAATGCAAGAGAAAAGGCAGAAGCTGCCATCTTTATTATCTATACTGTGAAGCCACACTCAGTCACTTCTACAATATCTCGTTGGTCGCACAGTTCAGCTTGTTCAGTGTGGGAGAGAGTATGCGAGGTGATGAACTCTAAGAGTCAAGGATACAGGTGTCATCTTGAAGGCTGGCTAGCACAATTAGTATTTGCCTTTCTGATCATTTCTGTATAATATTAGCATATTCTTATTTTAGGTCAGGTTTTTGTTTGTGATGATTTTAAACAAAAATAATAGTCAGTGTGGATAAAACCATTTTTTTTCCCTTCGGCTTCATTTCTCTCAGCCCTTCCCATAACAACAGGAAAATGAGGTGAGCAAGAAATGACTCTTGAAATTTTATAAAAATAAATTATTGTCTAAGATGCTAAAGCTCTTGTTAACCCTCTCTAGTTTTCCTCACCAAGCTCCTCTGGGAAGGGAATTCTGGTTCACTGAAAAGAAATTAACCAGACACTTTCAGGAAAGGCATTCATTGATCTACTGTGCTCTCTTCATTTCAGAACAGTGGTTTTCAACACTGATTATACATTAGAATCACCAGGGGTAGAGCCTTGGCCTTTTGAAACATGCCCAGATTTTTAATCTTATTTAGCAATTGCCTATTTAGCACTTGCTAGGTACTGGTTTAAATGATTTATGAATATTAACTTATTTGATCCCCACAACAAGCCTATGAAATAAATACTATCATTATCCCCCTTTTAGAGAGGTTATTTTGCCTGAAATTATATTGCAATTGAATGGAAGAGCCAAGATTCCTGGTGATTCTAGTATGTATTCATACTAGATTGATGTATTCATGATTGAGTACCATTATTCATAACATTAATTACATTTTGGTGGCCTTCTTGGAGAATCTAATAAAATATGTAGACTGTATTACTAGAAGAATGCTAAATAGCCTATACATCAAAACTCTGCATATATTCTCCCAAAGATATGTATACAAATGCCCTATAGCCCAATCATTGACTTCTTCCAAGGATCCATGGACCCCAGGTTCAAAACTTTTGCTTGCTAGAGCAGTGATTATCCCTGGACCAGCAGCATCAGCTAGGCAGTTGGTGGAAATGCAAATTCTTGGGCCCCATCCCACATCTACCTAATCAGACATCCTGGGAATAGGGCCCAGCAATTCCTGTTTTGACAAAACTTCCAGTTGCACCTGATGTGCACCAAAGTTGAGAACCACTGCTCTAGAAAACCGCTGTGTGGAAGCAGGTGATTTAAGTAGCAAATGAACCCATTTCATGATTCTTTATAGACATCTCATTGTTCTTGGCTCATCCTTATGCAAGTAGAAACTATCTTCTGTTAAAACTTGGTTTATTTGATAAAAATGATCACCAAAGGAAAATTACTCACAAATATTCATTTAATTTTTCATTAATACACACACTTATGTATTATGTATTCAAGGAATTCCCAGAATGCTTGCTCTATGCCAGGCATTATGCTAGCAAGGCTCAATGCAACACAACAGGCATGATCCCTGCCTTGAGAAACTTTTACTTTACAATAAGCAAATAATTACACAAATAAACATATAAGATTTAAATCAGTGATATGGATGAAAAGCATGTCCATTAGACATCTCTAACTTAAATGTTTAAAGTAAACCTAGAAGTACAACCTTCTCACCCAAACCCTATTCCTCTCTTGGTCTTTTTTATTACAGCAAAATATGTTACCATTTGTGGATTATCAGACATTATCTTTGATTCCTTATTTCTCTTGCTCTACCACCATCTCCAGACACTTGACATAGACAAATCCATAAATACTTACCTATTCTAGCTCCAAAGCATATTTGGCTCTCACACTTCTCTCCATCTCTACTACCTCCAACTAGTTCTAGCCACAGGCCCCCTTCACTTTGATACCTATCATAGCCCTCTAAGTAGTTTGCACATTTCCACTCTTGCTTTCTTATGATCCATTAGCTCATAACATTCAGATTGACTTTCACACACTTAGATTACATCAAGACATTCCCTGGTATATAAAAGTTTCCAAAGGCTTCCTCTTTCAATTGACCAAAATCCATTATTTTTACTATGGCGTATAATGTAGCATGTAGTCTGGGCTCTACCCATCTTTCCAACTTTACCTCATTCACGTTCCTCTCACTCAAATGTAGCCACACTGTCCTCATGACTTCCTTAACTGAGCCAAATGTCTTCCCACACCAGGGCATTCATATTTGCTTGCTTTTCTGCCTATGAAGCTGTTTCCCTTCTCTTCATAGAGGGCTCCTTTCCATTCTTCAAGTCTCATTTCATGGTCACCTTCGTTCACAACCCTACCCTGACCATCCCATCCCTCAGAACACTCCCACGCATCTCCAACTCTTTTTTCTCCCCAAAACACTTATTATATCTGAATCATATTATTTAGCCTGGTTATTTGTTCACTTCTTTACTACTTTTTTTCTGTTTTTGATGCCTTTTCCTTTTTTCTGTTTGTACATGTTTTGGTCACAATCCAAAGCAAAAAGAAAATACACTTCTACAGCAATATAGTACACACACACACACACACACACACAACGAAAAAAAAACTTCATGAAATATAAACATCATGATAAAGATAACAAATTCTGAAATTGTATTTCTTCATAGCTGTGTGTGTACATTATATATATCTGTATATACATGAAGATATTACATGTTTATAATATATAGCATACATATATGACATATTGCATATAATTTATGTATATATATTTAAATTCTGGTCATAACCCTCTAAATTGATGTTATGACCCACTGATGGGTTGAAGCTAGCAGTTTAACAACACTGTTCTTAAAAATAAGCTTCATAGAGTATGAAACTTTGTAATTTCATTTAAAATTAAATACTCCTATTCAAAAAATAATAATTGAATATTTTGAAAATATATTATGCCACCTTAAATCTCACAAAATACATATTTTAGATATATTCAGATATATTTCTATGTTGATAAGTTTGCCAGTATAATACAGCATATAGATAATTTCCCCAGCAATATTTGGAATTTGACACAATTTGGGGCCTGTTTTTGTGTACCTAGCTCTTTATTTCTAAATATACATAAAAAATGTTATATTTATGCATAAAAATGTTTTCTCTTCAAACAAATTAAGATATTCATGGTGAATGATCACATCTCTTGGGCAAGGTATTTGAATGGAGCATTTGAAAATAAAAATCTATAGAAAGCCATTATTGCCAGAAGGAAAAATATAGTAAGAGTTCAATCAAGAAAATAAAGTTGGTATTGGCTGAAAACAAGGGAACAGAGCTAACTGCATTTTGCATATGTCATTATCATAACATGGTAGGTTTTCACTTATGTGAAAATTATATATTTAACTTTGTATTTTTTCTATCATTTTCCTGCTATTAGTTTTTCAGCCATGTACCATCTGGGAAGAGATAGGAGGAAAAAGAAAAGAGAAAGTGATGAAAACTTGCTTAGATTTTTCTTCCTTATTAGTGGTTTTTAGAATTTTTTTAGAGAAATAATAAATTGAAAGAATTGTTAAAATTAGTTTAGAAAATTTCATTTTAAAAAGGAAACAGAAATATTTACATGTCATGGCCTTAGGTGCTCATTGCTGCCTTGCTACCTATAATAAAGAGGATAAAATTATTCAGGAACAAATGAATATTATCTAAACTACTTGAACTTGAATTGTGGAACTTGTAAATTTGGCTGTCTCCTCATTAAATCAAATGAATCACAAGCCCAACAATGCATGTAGATATGTAGATATAACCAATGAAAAAAAAAATAGCTGTGACTATTTTTGTAATATTTCGGTAAAAAAATCTGTGACTTTGTTTGGAGACTGCTGATACTCAGCCAGTGAAAATGTTTTGGCAACAAAAGAAACTTGGGAAGGAGGTAGCAGTTGGCATGAAATCAGCTTTCTAGAAACTTTCTCCTGATGAGAAGCTTAGGAAACCATGGTTTTTTTTGTTTGTTTGTTTTTATTTGGAAACCTTCCAGGGAAAGCTCTGAAGAAATGACCTCCTGTTGGTTCTGTTGGGTTGACTGTCAATTACACATGTTTGTTTTAAGTGCGACCTGGCTGCAAATTGAGGAGAAGGGGAAAGGACTTGGGTAAAGCCCATTTATGCTTTAGATCAAACCTTTTCAAGCATTATAGATAACATTCACATGTGTGTTATGCTATCAAGAGAATACCTGTAAATGGTTTGTGGTGAGTAACTTCACAGACATATTAATCCTATATCAATGGGATATTCAATTTGGCAAAAACAATAGAATTAGGGGCAAGAAAATGGCATTTTTAGAATCATAGTAGAAGAGGAAGATATAGGCTAGACCTATTGACAGTCTGCTGGCTGGAAAGGACAGGAGCAGCTTGGATCATGGAGCACATCTTGGAGAGAAAACAAAAATGTTTCGTGGGTAAATTAGTGTATTGTGCTGTGCTCTGCTCTGGTCATCCCTCTGCGTCTCCCCAAGAAACTTCATTGCACTCTGCATTACTTGTCATTGGAAGGGTTCTTTAAGAATGCTCCAAAATGCTGATCTTAGCTTCAAAATGTGTCCTGATAAGCCAAGGCTGACATGCTATGTATACAATGCCATGTGCTACAAGAAACTCCAGGCCTTTCTGGCCTACCAGGGACCACTTCAGCATGTGAAAGAGTATGAGTGACATTAGGATATAGTTTATTCTTTTACATGAATAAACAAATTATTTGTAAACCTTAGTACCATCACTAGAATGAGTAGAAACACATTACAGTGAGTAAAAACTCACAATTCACTATGTAGATGGCAGAGTTCAATGACACCGTGACCCCAAATCACTGCTCTGGCTTATTGGAAAAATACGAAAGCAGTAAGTAAAAGGATAAAAACTGGACCTGGGGCTACAAGAGAAGATTTCTACAATGAAGGGAGGCAACAAGTAGTAAGTGGTTTGCAAATGGGAGAATTCACAGTACAGGTGAATCACAACCCAAGTTATGAGGCTAAAGAATTTTCATGCTATGCTCCACATAAGAAAAACTTACATGGACAACCAGGCATGAGAGATCTTACTAACAGACCCAAAGGCAAATGACACCTAGAATTAAGTGATTCCTTTCTCAATTATTGTAGTCCCTCTTAGTGCTACTATTCAAAGAAATTTATTCACCTCCTGAGAAGTTAGTCTAGATCAGTGGCCTTCACACTGCGTTCTATGGAACACTAAGTTAAAATTTCAGGGACTGCTTTGGTGGTAGCTAAGGTTCAGAGAAGAATGACTACTAGCCAGCTATTTTTTCCTCTGTTTGACATAGTGTGTTTATTAGTCATCTATGCAACAAATTATCACCAAAGTTAGTGCATAAAACAATGCAAATGCAAATATATCATCTTAGAGAATTTTGTAGGTCAGGAAGTCTGATGTGGGTTTCATTGGGTTAAATCAAGGTGTTGGTAGACAGCCTTTCTTTCTGGAGACTCTAGGAGAGAATCCATTTTCCTTTCTCTCACAAGCTTCCAGAGGCTTCCCACATTTCATGGCTGTGGCCATCTTCCAAATTCTTTGTCAGCAATATCCAGGTATTTTTCTCATGACTCTAACAATGACTCTCCTGCCTCCCTCTTCCACATTTACATGTCCTGTTGAGTACATTGAGCAGAACTAGAAATCCAGCATAATCTTTTGTCTTAAGGTCAGCTGATTAGCAAACTTAATTCCAGCTGAAGCCTTAATTCTTCTTTGTCATTTAACAGAACATATTCATATTCAGTAATCTGGGCATGATTTCACTGGGTCCTCTGTCCTAGAGTCTCTTACAGGCTGAAATGAAAGTGTCATACAGGACTTGGCCTCATCTGAAAGTTCAACTGGTGAAGGTTCTGCTTCCATATTATCTCGTATGGTTGTTGACAGAGTTCAGTTTCTCAAAAGTTATCACATGGATGGCCTCACTTCTTCCTTGGCATTTGGCCTGTGGCCACCTTCAGTATCTTTACAAGTAGTGCCCTCCAACATGGTGCCTTGCTTTATCAAAGTATGCAAGCCAAGAAACCAAGAGTCTGAAAACAAAAAAAAATAAAAGTTGTAATCTCTTATAACCCAATCACAGAAGTGAGAACTCATAACTTTTGTTGTATTTTAGTCATTAGAAGCAAGTCATTAGGTCAAGTCTATGTTTAAGGGAAGGGGACTACCCCAGAGGGGGTAAATAGTAAGAAGTAGAGATTATTTGGGATTATTTTAAAGGCTGCCTACCATGGAGTGTTGTTTAGTCTCAAAGACATTGGCTTTAGTCAGACAGGATGAGTACGAAAATCTGTCTCCATTACTTACCCGCCATGCAACACTGAGCAATTGTTTTGTCAACTCTGTACATCAATTTATTCTTCTGAAAAATCATATTGTTGTGAGGATTAAATTAGGTGCTACGTGTAAAATGGTTAGAGAATTTCCTGGTACATAGTAGTAAGTGCTCAAATATTAGCTTTGGTGATGATGATCATCAGTCTTCACTTGAATGAAGAATTCAGTGCTAAAACCTGAGTTAACCATTCAGCTAGATATATTCTAAAGCTATATCTGAATAAAGAATCTATATGTTTCATTAATGACCTACAAATTCAATTTTTCTACTCTTAGAATATATAAAGCATAACATTTTACAAATACCAGAGGATAATATGACCAAATAATTTCTTCCTTTACTATTGAAAATGTATATGATATGGTTTGGCTGTGTCCCCACTGAAACCTCAACTCGAATTGTGTCTCCCAGAATTCCCATGTGTTGTGGGAAGGACCCAGGGGGAGATAATTGAATCATGGGGGCTGGTCTTTCCCATGCTGTTCTCCTGGTAGTGAATAAGTCTCACAAGATCTGATGGGTTTATCAGAGGTTTCCACTTTTGTTTCTTCCTCATTTTCTCTTGCTTCCACCATGTAAGAAGTGCCTTTCTCTTCCCACCATGATTCTGAGGCTTTCCTCAGCTATGTGAAACTATAAGTCCAATTAAGCCTCTTTTTCTTCCCAGTCTCAGGTATGTCTTTATCAGCAGCATGAAAACAGGCTAAAACAGTATATTATTTTTCTGATTTAAAAACTTACAAAAAAATTGAAAAATACAAAGCACAAAGAACTTCAGAATTACCCAGTGTATTTATCCAAAAATTATGTATACACTTACATATTTGCTTTTCACACATTTAATACAATTTTATATAAAACATTTATAACTTTAATTTTACATAATAATTAACCAAAATACTTTTTGTGAAAGAAATTGTAGCTTATTATATTTTACTATTGACAACTTTTCTTTTTATAGTCATAAATGTTCTCGACTTAGTTATTTGGTCAGCCTATACCTACAGGTCAATTTTTTGAGGGGAAATGTTCATGGATTATAATGTTGTAAGTCCCTGCATGTCTGAAACTACCTCTGTTGTGCTTGAAAGACAGTGTGGCTAAGTATATAATTCTTAAGTGATACCTATTTTCTCTCAGAACCCTGTGGCTACTTCTCCATTGTCTTTTGGTATATAGGGTTATAGCAAAGAATTAGAAGACCAGAATAATTTTCTTCTTTGAACACAGCCTGTTCTGTTTTGTTTCAGCCTAGATGTGAATAATACCTTTTATTTATTTCAAGGTTGAAAATAAACTGAAGGGTTTCTTTCATTGTTAGTTGTGCCTAGTACTCCATGAGTGCTTAAACTTTGTAGACTCAGATATCTCTTTAATTCTAAAACATCTTTCTACTGTTTCTTTGTTTTGATCTGACAAAAATCAAATCATGTCTCTCTTCTGTTCATGACCCTTGTCACACACAGAATGAAATCCAGTCTTTACCCTGAACTGGAAGGCCCCGCATTGTTGCTGGAGGCCCTGTCTCTGAACTCATCTCCTTTGACTCCCAGCTCATCCCTTTGGGACAATCGCTCTGAACTCTTTGTCCTTCCCCAATCACATCATACAAACCTGTCCCTCAGGTTGTCTGCATATCTGTTCCCTCTGCTTGGACTACTCTTTTCCTGAATATTCACTTCAGGTTTCTGATAAGGAAATCCTTTACTACTTTATAAAATAGGAAAGTAGAGCCACCCTCAATCTATCAGCCACTGATATACTTGTTTATTGCCTGTTTCCCACCTTAGACTGTAAGCTCTGTGAAAGGGACTTTTCTGTGTTGTCTACTGTTATAACCCTAGCATCTAGAGAAGAATCTGTCATGTGGAAGGTAGGTACCTAACACGTGTTGCATGAGTAAATTCCTCAGTTTAGGTTCCTGGTATGGTCTCTGTGCTAGATCTGAAGTGGATATGAGTAAGTACAGCTGCAGAATCCCCAGGCAGTGTGCCCTTTGATCCCTTGTTTGCTTCCCCAAATATTGATAGATTGCAAATGTGCTTGTACTGTCCCATGGTGCTTCCTGACTCCTGCCCCACCCTTTCTCGGATTGGTGGTTGATCAATCACTGAAGGATTTCTGCCTCTTTCTTCACATGCTTCTCTCTCTTCCCCCCAGCCCCCAATCGGGTCCCGTATTTCCCATATATTGTATAATTCCTTAAAGTTTCTTGCATGTGAATGCTATTCTTCTCTAGAGTCTAGGCTTTTAAAGGATTTTGTAGCAATGAAATGAAACAGTGCTCAAAATGCTTTATTATATTTACGGAGTTGTGCAATCACCATTATAATTTAAATTTATTCATCATTGCAAAAAGAATCTTTGTACCATTAGCAGCCACTCTCTGTCTTTCCCTCTCATTGAACTGTAGACTTTAAATGGGTAAACTTTATGATATATAAATCATATTTCAATAAAAAGTAATTTATAAGTGAAAGTATTATACGAATGTTTTTAATTATTGTGATTGAAAGAGCAATACAGAAATTCCTGAGGACAAGTTAAAGCATTATTCTTTTATGAACTTCCCATATTTTTCCACGTCTTTATCTTTTTAAAAGTGTAATGATTTCTAATGTTATCACATTATCCATAATTTTCTCAAATCACAACAGTTATTTCCCACAAATGATAAAAAGCAGTATAGAAACATATAGTTATATTTAGCCTTAACATATTAACTATAACTAGTATTTCTCCCATCATTTCTTTAATCAAATTCATTTATGTATAGCATAATAGAGGTGGATAATTTCCATTATAAATAGGTATTGATATTTGTGAATATTTATTCACTTGTAATTTTAATCAGATTTTTTCCTAATTGAATTCTACACAAGGTACATTCAGATTTTATCATTTACTAATTTTTATTATTTATCTCCATGGGAATTTGATATTGACATATTGAAGGCAGTGTAATGACAGCATTGCCATTTTGCTATTCCTTTAATTTATTTCTATTTGCCTAAGGAGAACTATGTCAATCACTCTGGGAGTAAGTAACAGAAAGTAAAAAGTAATATAGTTGTGGATAAAATGTAAGTGATTTGATTTGGAGAATAAAACTGAATTTTAATGGTATTTTATCTTTTATACTTAAAAATGCATATGGTACATCAAAATGCACACTTGTAACTAAAACACTTTATTTCCAAAATAATATGCCAATTTGAGGGTGGGAACATGGGAGCAAATGTTTGTATAACTATCGCTTATTTTTTACAGTATTCTATACATTCAGCATTTTTTTAATTTAACCCTAAGATAACCTCTAATCTAATAGTATGTTGACATGTTTGATAAGTGAAAATTTCAGATTCTATATTCAGATTTTTGTGAATAAGAAAAAAGCTATTCATTCTATTTTTTAAGTTGTGCTTTATCAATTTTTGTACCACTTACGGTGATAAAGCATTTTTACATTTAGTTTTTTACTCTTCAAATTATGAAAGTGTCTGGAGCATATTGGTTACTGCTTGATGACCAAGTCCAACTGATATCAGCTATTAAAACTTTTGGAAAATTTGTGGTCAGTTGTAAAAGAAATCCAAAATTATTTTACTACTACTCTTTTCATGCTTCTTTCGTATTGAATTTTGCCTCTCATTTATATGTTTGGATTTTTTTTTGCTTTCTTATCATGCTGAAGGTTTAGACATTTTTTAATGTGTTAATTGCTCAAACTCATTAGCCTGTTAAGCCTCTCAACATCATATAAGGTAAATCAGCATTAAATATTAATAGAAATTAAGGTACACAGAGGTTAAACAACTTGTCAAATTACATTTTCTATACCATTGCTGTTAAAGGAGTTATCTTAAGTCTTGTTTTATCTTGTTTAAATTTGCACTAACTGAATAAAATTTTGCATGAGAATTTAAAACACATTTTGTTTTCACTGCACTAAATACTATCTCAGGAATTTCAAGAACTAGAATGAGCTTTCTGGGAAATGGAGGTCTTTCATTCAGTTATTCCACTGGGAGGTTCTGGCATTTGACAACAATATTTAAATAGCTAATGTAACTGAGGGAACAGTTGGTGAGTGGGTTTGAACAAATCTTGCCTCCTTAGTGATCCAAGTCTTCCCACGGGAAATTTCAGATGTCATGAACCATGTTGCAACTTCTCTTTAGAGAAAACCTGGGCAGAAGATGGTACACCCAAAGCAGTTACATTAACACTTTTTACTTCCTACTGCCCTTGCAAACAAAGTAATTTGTTAAGTCACTACTCAATCAAGAATATTCAGAATAATTATTGCTGACGGAGTACTGGACTTGGAGATTTATTTTTTGAATGTTTGCATTTGTTAAATTATATATCCAAGAAATTTAATGTATAAAGCAGAAATTCAGGTTTATAACATGTGCAAATTTCCTGGAATAATTAACAATTTTAAATATTAGATATTCTTAAATATTGTGTCGCCATATTGGGGGATCATCTCTGCCAACTTTACTTCTCTGAATCACAAGCTTTTTTTTTCTGCCTTGAGAGCCAATACTTTTTCTGTGCCTTCACAGTAGTTCTGAGAACTTATCTCCTTTTTCCATTAATGGCTAAATATTTGGAATGTCTAATAGGGTATCTAATATGCAATATCACATATTGTCAGTACATATTAGTATATTAGAGTGTACAACTATCTGGTTTTATCTTAAACTCTGAAATTTGATGTCAAATATTTTTATTGTTTCACTATTCTTGCAAAATCCAATTTTTATAAAACAGATCTACTTAAAGTTAATATGCGCTGCAGTCTATGTAATATGAATTAATTGCCACTGAGGAAGTATTTTTCAAGACTGTTGGTTATACATTCTTCACATTACTTTCTTTGGTAAAAAACTTCTGTATAAATTGGAAAATCATATGTGCAATAAGCACAAGCTCAGAGAATTAGACCATATGGTCTCTGTAGCTATAATACTTGGAGGTATCAGATAGTCATTCTTTAAGATCATTTTAAAAATCTACTGCACAGATTCTTTCTAGAGATCACATTAATCAATTTTTACATTTCAAAATAGCTAGAAGAAAATAATTCATATATTCCTAGAGTAACAAAAAGATAAATATTAAGGTGATAGATATTCTAATTACCCTAATTTGATTATATGAATATATCAAGTTAGCACATGTACCCTGAAAACATGTACATCTATTATGTATCAATAAAATAAACAATTTTTAAAGATATGATTTCTATATATTTATATTTAAATACATTTCTAACAACCACAAAAATGTTACTCATTTGACCATTTAATAAGCTAATATTTAAATAGCTACTCTGTGTCAGGCACTGTGCTAAGTACTTGGGACAATAAAGACATAGAATCTCTGCCCTAATAGAGTCCATAGAGTCAGGGAGATAGGTATTTAACAATTATTCTTGCTTATTTAAGTAAGAGCGACTGTGATACCTGTTAGAAAAAATGAGTGTGTGGTGTTAGAAAAATAATTGAGAGGGGCATTTTGTCAGGTGATTCAGAAAAGCGTTCCATAAGGAAGTGATTTTTGTGCCAAGATTTCACAAACAAGCAGGATTTAACCAGTTGAAAAGGGTTTGTGCAATCAAATTAGAACTCAGGATTAAGAAACTCACTCAAAACCGCACAACTACCTGGAAACTGAACAACCTGCTCCTGAATGACTACTGGGTAAATAACAAAATTAAAGCAGAAATAAATTATTTCTTTGAAACCAATGAGAACAAAGACACAACGTACCAGAATCTCTGGGACACAGCTAAAACAGTGTTAAGAGGGAAATTTATAGCACTAAATGCCCACATCAGAAAGTGGGAAAGATCAAAATCGACACCCTAACATCACAATTAAAAGAACTAGACAAGCAAGAGCAAACAAATTCAAAAGCTAGCAGAAGACAAGAAATAACTAAGATCAGAGCAGAACTGAAGGAGATGGAGACATGAAAAACACTTCAAAAAAATCAATGAATCCAAGAGCTGGTTTTTTGAAAAGATTAACAAAATAGCTGCTAGCCAGATGAATGAAGAAGAAAAGAGAGAAGAATCAAATAGACAAAATAAAAAATGAGAAAGGGGATATCACCACTGATCCCACAGAAACACAAACTACCATCAGAGAATGCTATAAACACCTCTACACAAATAAACTAGAAAATCTAGAAGAAATGGATAAATTCATTAACACATATATCTTCCAAGACTAAACCAAGAAGAAGTTGAATCCCTGAATAGACTAATAACAAGTTATGAAATTGAGGCATATCCTACCAACCAAAAACAGCCCAGGACCAGATGGAGTCACAGCAGTATTCTACCAGAGATACAAAGAGGAGATGGTACCATTCCTTCTAAAACTATTCCAAACAATAGAAAAAGAGATTCCTCCCTAACTCTTTTATGAGGCCAGCATCATCCTGATACCAAAACCTGCCAGAGACACAGCGAGAAAAGAAAATTTCAGGCCAATATCCCTGATGAACATCTTTGCAAAAATCCTCAATAAAGTACTGGCAAACCAAATCCAGCAGCACATCAACAAGCTTATCCACCACGTTCAAGTCAGTTTCATCCCTGGGATGCAAGTCTGGTTCAACATATGCAAATCAATGAACATAATCCATCACATAAACAGAACCAATGACAAAAACCACACAATTATCTCATTAGATGCAGAAAAGGACTTCAATAAAATTCAATACCCCTTCATGCTAAAAACTCTCAATAAACTAGGTATTGATGGAACATATCTCAAAATAATAAGAGCTATTTATGACAAACTTATAGGCAATATCATACTGAATGGGCAAAAGCTGAAAACATTCCCTTTGAAAACTGGCACAAGGCAAGAAGGCCCTCTCTCACCGCTTTTATTCAACGTAGTATTGGAAGTTCTGGCCAGGGCAATCAGATACGAGAAAGAAATGAAGGGTATTCAAATAGGAAGAGAGAAAGTCAAGTTGTCTCTGCTTGCAGATGACATGATTGTATATTTAGAAAACCGATTGTCTCAGCCCAAAATTCCTCAAGCTGATAAGCAACTTCAGTGAAGTCTCAAGATACAAAATCGATGTGCAAAAATCACAAGCATTCCTATATACCAATAATAGACAAGTAGAGAGCCAAGTCATGAGTGAACTCCTATTCACAATTGCTACAAAGAGAATAAAATACCTAGGAATACAACATACAAGGGACATGAAGGACCTCTTCAAGGAGAACTACAAACCACTGCTCAATGAAATAAGAGAAGACACAAACAAATGGAAATAAATTTCATGCTCATGGATACAAAGAATCAATATCGTGAAAATGGCCATACTGCCCAAAGTAATTTATAGATTCAATGCTATCCCCATCAGCTACCATTGACTTTCTTCACAGAATTCGAAAAAGACTACCTTAAATTTCATATGGAACAACAACAAAAAAAAGCCCATATAGCCAAGACAATCCTAAGCAAAAAAACAAAGCTAGAGGCATCACACTACCTGACATCAAACTATACTACAAGGCTATAGTAACCAAACAGCATGGTACTGGTACCAAACCAGATGTATAGACCAATGGAACAGAACAGAGACCTCAGAAATAACACCACATATCTAAATCATCTGATCTTCAACAAAATGACAAAAAGGAGCAATGGGGAAAGTGTTCCCTATTTAATAAATGGTGTTGGGAAAACTGGCTAGCCATATGCAGAAAACAGAAACTGGACCCCTTTCTTACACCTTATACAAAAATTAACTCAAGATGGATTAAAGACTTAACCATAAAACCGGAAACCATAAAAACCCTAGAAGAAAACGTAGGCAATACCATTCAAGACATAGGCATGAGCAAAGACTTCATGACTAAAACACTGAAAACAATGACAACAAAAGCCAAAATTGACAAATGGGATCTAATTAAACTAAAGAGCTTCTGCACAGCAAAATAAACTATGATCAGAGAGAACAGACAACCTACAAAATGGGAGAAATTTTTTGCAATCTATCCATCTGACAAAGGGCTAATATCCAGAAACCGCAAAGAACTTAAACAAATTTACAAGAAAAAACAACCCCATCAAAAAGTGGGCAATGGATATGAACAGATATTTCTCAAAATAAGGCATTTATGCAGCCAACAAACACATGAAAAAAAGCTCATCATCACTGTTCATTAGAGACATGGAAATCAAAACCAAAATGAGATACCATCTCACGCCAGTTAGAATGGCAATCATTAAAAAATCAGGAAACAACAGACGCTGGCGTAGATGTGGAAAAATAGGAATGCTTTTACACTGTTGGTGAGAGTTTAAATTAGTTCAGCAATAGTGGAAGACAATGTGGCAATTCCTCAAAGATCTAGAACCAGAAATACCATTTGACCCAGCAATCCCATTACTGGGTATATACACAAAGGATTATGAATCATTCTATTACAAAGACACATGCACACATATGTTTATTGCAGCACTGTTCACAATATCAAAGACTTGGAACCAACCCAAATCCCCATCAGATAAACTGGATAAAGAAAATGTGGCACATATACACCATGGAATACATACAGCCATAAAAAAGGATGAGTTTATGTCCTTTGCAAGGACATAGATGACACTGGAAACTATCATTCTCAGCAAACTAACACAAGAACAGAAAACTAAACACCATATGTTCTCACTCATAAGTGGGAGTTGAACAATGAGAACACATGAACACAGGGAGGAGAACATCACACACCAGGTCCTCTCGGTGGGTGGGGGTGGGGGACTAGGGGAGGGGTAACATTAGTAGAAATACCTAATGTAGATGATGGGTTGATGGGTGCAGCAAACCACCATGGCACATGTATACCTATGTAACAAAACTGCACGTTAGGCACATGTATCCCAGAACTTAAAGTATAATAGATTTAAAAAATAATAAATAAAAATAAAAAAAGAAACTATCATCAGAGTGAACAGGCAACCTACAGAATGGGAGAAAACTTTTGCAATCTATCCATCTGACAAAGGGCTAATATCCAGAATCTACAAGGAACTTAAATAAATGTACAAGAAAAAAAACAAAACAAAACAAAAATCAAAAAGTGGGCAAACGATATGAACAGACACTTCTCAAAAAAAGACAGTTATGTGGCCAAGAAACATATGAGAAAAAGCTCATCATCACTGGTCATTAAAGAAATGCAAATAAAAACCACAATGAGATTCCATCTAACACCAGTCAGAATGGGGATCATTAAAAAGTTAGGAAACAGCAGATGCTGGAGAGGATGTGGAGAAATAGGAATGTTTTTACACTGTTGGTGGGAATGTAAATTAGTTCAACTATTATGGAAGACAGTGTGGCTACTCCTCAAGGATCTAGAACTAGAAACTGGTAATTGTTTCATGACTAAAATATTATGAGCATAATCAAATAGCTAAAGATGGACAAGTATTTCCTCTAGAAATACCATTTGACCCAGCAATCTCATTACTGGTTATATACACAAAGGATTATAAATCATTCTGCTATAAAGACACATGCACATGTATGTTTATTGCAGCACTATTTACAATAGCAAAGACTTGGAACCAACCCAAATGCCCATCAGGGACAGACTGGATAAAGAAAATGTGGCACACATACTACACCATAGAATACTATGCAGCCATAAAAAAGGATGAGTTCATGTCTCTTACAGGGGCATGGATGAAGCTGGAAACCATCATTCTCAGCAAACTAACACAGGAACAGAAAACCAAACACTGCATATTCTCACTCATAAATGGGAGTTGAACAATGAGATCACATGGACACAGGGTGGGGAACATCACACACCAGGGCCTGTCGAGGGTTGGGGGTCAAGGGGAAGAAGAGCCTTAGGACAAAGACCTAATGCATATGAGGCTCAAAACCTAGATGATGGGTTGATGAGTGCAGCAAACCACCATGGCACGTGTATACCTATGTAACAAACCTGCACGTTCTGCACATGTATCTCAGAACTTAAAGTAAAATTAAGAAAATAAAAAGAAAAATTTAGAACAATAAAAGGAATAGAAAAAATGCATTTTTGCTATGCAGTTATCGTATTAATTTTTTAATGAAAAAATTATAAGCAAAAAGTACGTAACAAAATGTTTTTATTTAAGCTGCTGGTTTTCAATATTAACACTGACCCTGTTAGCCCATAGCCTGCAAAATTTGAAATTTACATTTCTCTGATGGCTGCCTACAGTGAGATTATTTAGTTTATGTGCATATGCATTCACCGATTTGGCATGTCTGGTAACAAACTTGTCTTTTCCCCATTGTAAAATCAGTATCCCCTTGGATAATTGCTTTCACTGGTCACCGTTTTGCCTCAAATATTTTTTGTGTGTGTTGGCAAATCCCCAGAAAGTTCCAAAAGAGGAAATACATGTCCATCTTTAGCTATTTGATTATGCTCATAATATTTTAGTCACGAAACAATTACCAGCTGGCAAGCTTTACATACATATTCAATAGCATCTAAATATTGTTGTTACATCTATTATATAAGCTTCAAAGGAACTCACTCAACAGATGCTCTAAAATTTATAAAACTTGTAACTCTCAAAACATTGGGGCTTCTTGGTAATATAATCTGAGTCTAATCTATGACTGATTTGATTGTTCACATTACAGCTTTTCCTTCCTTAGATCTATCTAGTTTGTTTATTTTTGAGGTTCCCACATGTTCCATTTCTTCAGGATTGAGCCATTTTCCTGTAAGTCACGCCACAAAGTTTAATGATACAATAGCTTTTGAGGGGAGAGTCTTGCTAGGTTAGTTAGCACTTAAGGCATATCAGAGAGTAGTCAGTTAGTCCAGTTCTGATCGATTGCAAACAGGAACACTGTTGACAAGGAACAATAATGATCACTCAAGGTCACACAGGTGGTTAGAACACAGACGACATGTTTGAACCCATATATGCAGAGTATATCCAGTATGGTTTCTCCTATACATTTTATAGGATCATGATTAAGACCAAGTTTTGAAATCCATGAAATTAAAAGGATTTTAAGTAAGGTACTTACAAGCAGCTCAAGGTTTTGCTACCTTTTAGGTATACGATAAAAGCCATGTGTCATTCCTATGTCCTTTAATCTCTTACCTTGTATTCTTTGACTATCTAAAACTCTTACATTTTTCTAGTTAGCAGGAGTAAGTGCATTCATAAGAGGGAACTAGGGTAAAATACACTTCAAGTCATCATCAGTTTAGTCTCTTTACAACATATTTGGTGAGGTTACTCTTAAGGAAAGCCTATAGACTCATCTATAGAAAAAAAAGGACACATGTCTGGAACAGCTCACATTAACTTTTCAATGTAAAATCACCTATCCAGCAGGTGTAGTCCCATAGAACTTCTAAACTGCATAAAGTCAGTGACTGCATCCTTCCAAACTCAATGGATTCTCTGAAGCGTGTCTTCTAATGGCTCTGATTCCTCTACTAAAATATGGATGGAATATAAAGACGCCCAACTGTTTGCTCTTCTTCTAGTAAAGACTACAAGATATGTCCATGTCTACAAGAGAGCTGCATTTTAAACATTGAATTCTTTTGTCTAAGTCTTTGTGTTCACCAATTGTAAGCAAGCACATTTTTAAAATGTAGATTTAAACGGGGTTGACCACTCTGCTCTAGTCAACATAAGGAGTCCTCTTTCTTAGTTCCTGGTTACATATAACTAGAATCTTCTTCCAGTCTCTAAAATGGCAAGCAGAGCATACCTTAATGTTTATGTTCTTGCCATCAAGGCATAATTTCTCTAATTTGTTATCTAGGTAAAATTTCTCAATCTCTTAAACTGCTTATAATTTATACAACTGTGAGTTGCAATTAGTACCTCTAGAGAGCTGGTGGTGAGGAAATATTTCTAGAATCCCACCAGCACATCAAGAATTTATCCTCTCCTCAAACCTGTTCTTTCTCCTGTATATCCTATTTTTAATTGTACTTGACAGCTTCACTCTGACCTCAATAACCCTTCAAGATCGCTAAGTAACATTAAGTTCTTCCCTCACCTTTACACTTTACTCAGAGTCCAAGCTCTTAACTCAATACCTTGTGTTGTTTGTAAATAGCTTACTGAAATATATTTTTTAATTTAATGGGTTTTAGAAGTTTAACTTATAAAGTTCTCACCCTTAAGTATCTGGTTCTCTTACCCCTTCTTCTCATACTTACCTGTTACTGCACTAGATCAGGACAACATTATCTTCCCATAGAATCCTTCCTAGAAGCCAGGCTGCTCAAATTACCTATGTTCTGCTGCTGTATAAAATCCATCTAAACTCAACGCATCTCTCTCACAATCTCTGTTACATGGAATAGTTTGAAATACAAAACACTTCACTGGGATACCAGGAATAACAGTAGTAAGTCCAAAATCTTTTAAACAAATTAATTACCTAATCCTTCATGAAAGTGCCATTTATGTGTAGGTGTGTTACTACTCCCAAAAGATCAGTAAGAACCCAGTGCCTTTGGTAGGTTTCTTTCGACTATGTAATCTAGAGTTTACAGTAAAATATATAAAATAGGATAAAATTCTCTTCTTCAAGGAAAATGAAAGTTGATAATGATAATTTTGATAATTTTGAAGTTATTTGACTTGTATATATTGCTCAATTATAATAGAAATAAATTTTAAATTTTAAATTACCAAGATCCTACAATCCTATTCTCTAGTCCTACATAAGCATACAAAATTTTATATAATTGTAATAATAGCATAGATGCATTTATGTATTTTCACATATTTTTAGATTTTTGCATATTGATACAAAGTCTCAAGTTTTTTTATCAATATGTGATATTTGTACATATTTATGGGGTACATGTGATATTTTGTTCCATGCATATAATATGCAAGGATCAAGATAGGATATTTAGGGTATCCATCACCTCAAATATTTATCATTCCTATGAATTGGGAATATTTCAAATCCTTGCCTCTAGCTATTAATATTTTGACATACACAATATATTATTGTTGACCATTCTCACACTACTCTGCTGTTGAACATTAGAACTTATTTCTTCTATCTATGGTTGTAACCATTAACCAACTTCTCTTCATTTCACCCCCACTCCTACCCATACACTCTTCTCAGTTTCTGGTATCTCTCTCTCATGGTTTGGCTGTGTCCTCACCCAAATCTCATCTTAAATTGCAATCCCCATAATGTATCAAGGCAGGGATGGAGTGGGACGTTATTGGGTCATGGGGGGTGGGTTCCCCCATGCTGTTTTCTTGATAGTGAGCGAGTTCTCACAAGGTCTGATAGCTTTATAAGTGTCTAGAATTTCTCCTGCCTCCACTTCTCTCTCCTCCTGTCATGTGAGAAGGTCCAAGGTGCTCCCCCTTCACCCTCCATCATGATTGTAAGTTTCCTGAGGCCTTCCCACTTTACAGAACTGTGAGTCAATTAAACTTATTTCCTTTATAAATTACCCAGCCTTGGGTATTTCTTTATGGCAGTGTGAAAACAAACAAATACTCTCTAATGCTATGAGAATCACCTTTTTAGCTCCCATATATGAATGAGAACAGGCAGTACTGTCTTTCTGTGCCTGGCTTATTTCACCTAACATAATGACCTCCAGTTTCATTCATGTGGCTCCAAATGACATGATTTCATTATTTTTTATGGCTGAGTAGTATTCCATTGTGTATAAATACCACACCATCTTTATCCATCCATCCATTGATAGGTACTTGGGTTGGTTCCATATCTTTTCTATTGTGATTAGTACTGGAAAAAAGATGGGGCTGTAGATATCTCTTTGATGTAGATAATTTCCTTTACTCTGAATAGATACCCAATAGTGGGATTGGTGGATCCTACAGTAGTTCTATTTTTAGATTTTGGGGAAATCTCTATACTGTTTTCCATAGTTGCTATACTAATTTACGTTTCCACCAACAACGTATAAGTGTTCCCTTTTCTCTGTAACCCTGCCAGCATCTATCATTTTTTAATCTTTTTAATAATAGCTATTCTAACTGGGATAAAATGATATCTCATTGTGGTTTTGATTTGCATTTCCCTGATGATTAGTGATGTCGAGCATTTTTAATATACATGTTGACCACTTGTATGTCTTCTTTTGATAAATGTCTATTCATGTCATTTGACTACTTTTTGATGAGATTATTTATTTTCTTACTGTTGAGTTATTTGAGTTCCTTCTATATACTGAATATTTGTTCCTTGTAAAATGAATACTTTGCAAATATTTTCTCTCATTCTGCAGATTGTCTCTTTACTCTGTTGGTTATTTCATTTGCTCTGCAGAAGTATTTTAGATTAATATAGTCCCAGTCCCATTTGTCTTTTTTTCTTTCTATTGCTTGTGCTTTTGAGGTATTAGCCCTGAAATCCTAGCCTAGACCAATATCCTGAAGTGTTTTCTTCAAGTTCTCTTCTAGCAGTTTTATTATAGTTTCAGGTCTTATGTTTAGGTGTTTAATCTATGTTTGGTTGATTTTTGTATATGATGAGTGATAGGGGTCCAGTTTCGTTCTTCTACATATAGATGTCTAACTTTTCTAGCACCATTTATTTAAGAAGTTATTCTTTTCCTGATATATGTTCTTGGCACCTTTGGAGGGAATCAGTAGGCACCCTTATCAAAAATCACTTAGCTATAAATATGTGAATATATTTTAGGGTTCTCTATTGTGTTCCATTGTTCTATGTGTCTGTTTTCATACCAATACCATGCTATTTTGTTGACTATAGCCTTGTAATATGTTTTGAAGTCAGATACTCTGATATCTCCAGCTTTGTTTTTTGATCTGAATTTCTTGGGCTATTTGGTGTCTTTTGTGGCTACATAGGAATTTTAGGATTTTTTTTTTCATTTATTTGAAAAACTACGTTGGTATTTTAATAGTGGGTACACTTAAACTATTGGTTGATTTACGTGTATGATTGTTTTAACAATATTTCTTCTTCTAATCCATGAGCATAAGATATCTTTCTATTTGTGTCATTTTCATTTGCTTTCATCAGTGTTTTGTAGTTTTCATTGTGGAGTCTTTTATCATCTTTGTTTAATTTATTCTTAGGTATTTTTTTGTAGCTATTTTAAATGGGATTTTCTTCTTTCTTTTTAAACTAGTTCATTATTATTGTATAGAAACACTACTGCTTTTGTGTATTGACTTTGTATCTTGTAATTTTATTAATTTGTGTATACATTTTAAGAATTTTCTGATAGAGTCTTTTATTCTTTTCCAAATATAATGTCTTCCACAAAGAGAGATAATTTGACTTATTCTTTTTCCAATTTTGATGCCTTTTTTTCTTTTTCTTGCCTGATTGCTCTAGCAAGGACTTCCAGTACTAAATTGAATTGAATGAAATTAGGCATCTTTCACCACTTGTTCCAGTTCTTTTTTTTTTTTTTTTTTGAGACAGGATCTCACTCTGTTGCCCAGGCTGGAGTGCACTGGCTCCCAGATTCAAGCGATTCTTCTGCCTCAGCCTCCTGAATAGCTGGGATTACAGGCATCTGCCATCATGCTCAGCTAATTTTTGTATTTTTGTAGAGACCAGGGTTTCACAATGTTGGCTAGGCTCGTCTTGAACTCCTAACCTCAGGTGATCCACCTGCCTCAGCCTCCCAAAGTGCTGGGATTACAGGTGTGAGTCACCACGCTCAGCCCCAGTTCTTAGAGGAAAGGCTTTCAGACTTCCTCACCCAGTATGATGTTAGCTGTGGGTTTGTCATGTATAGTCCTTATTATGTTGAGTTATGTTCCACTATGCCTAGTTTATTGAGAAGATTTATCATGAAAGGATGCTTTTTCTACATCCATTGAGATGATCTTTTTTGTCTTTCATTCTTTGATGTGATGTATCACATTTATTGATTTACATATATTGAGCTATCATGGCATTCCTGGGATAACTTGTTCATATTGTGCTGTCTTTGTGATGTGCTGTTGGATTTGTTAGCTGGTATTTTGTCGAGGACTTTTGTATCTATGTTCATCAGGGATATTGGCCTGTAGTTTATTTTTGTTGTTGTGTCCTTTTCTGGTTTTAGTATCGGGGTAATTCTGGCCCCATAGAATTCACTGGAAATAATTTTTTCCTCTTAATTTTTTGGTAATAATTTGAGGTTAATTGGTATTAATTCTTCTTTATATATTTGCTAAAATTTGAGAGTGAAGTCATCTGGTTATGGGCTTTTCTTTCTCCACAGACTTTGTTACTGATTCAATCTCATTGCTCACTGTTGATCTGGTCAGGTTTTCTATTCTTCCTGATTCCATCCTGGAAGGTTATATGTGCCCAGGAATTTATCCATTTCCTCTAGGTTTTCCAGTTTGTTAGCATATAGTTGTTCATAATAGTCTCTGATGATCTTTTACATTTCTGTAGTATCAGTTATAATGTCTCTTTTTTCAATTTTGACTTTGTTTATTTGGATCTTTTTCTTTTATTCTTGGTTCATCAAGCTAATGGTTTATCAATTTTATCTTTTCAAAAATCCAATTTGTTTCATTGATCCTTTGTATTTTTTAGTCTCTCTTTTGTTTAGATTTAGTCTGTTGTTTATTATTTCTTTCTTTCAACTAATTTCGGATTTGGTTTCTTCTTGCTTTTCTTGTTTCTTGAGGAGCAGCATTAGATTGTTTATTTAAAAATCTTTTTACTTTTTTGATGTCAGCATTTATTGCTAAAAATTTCCCTCTTAGCACTGCTTTGACTTTATCACATATATTTTGCTATGCTGTGTTTCTATTTTTATTTGTTTCAATAAACTTTCTGATTTTCATCTGGATTGCTTCATTGACCCAATGATCATTCAGGAGCATGATTTATAAATTTTCATGTATTTGTGTAGTTTCCAATAGGTCCTCTTTGTATTGATTTCTAATTTTATTTTATTGTTGTATGAGAAGACACGATGTCATTTTGATTTTTAAAATTTGTTGAGACTTGCGTTGCAGCTTAACATATACTCTATCTTGGATAAAATTTCATATACTGATGAGAAGAATGTATATTCCGTAGCTGTTGAATAAAGTGTTCTGTAAAGGTATATTAAGTTCATTTGCTCTAAAATTTAGTTTAATTTCAAAGTGTATTTGTTAATTTTCTGTCTAGATGATCTGTCTAATACTGACAGTAAGTTCCCTACCATTATTTTATTGGAGCCCATCTTTCCCTTTAGATCTAATAATATCCACTTTATATATCTGGATACTCCAGTATGGTTACATATATATTTAGAACTGTTATGTCCTCTTTCTGGATGATCCCTTATCATTATATAATAATCTTCTTTGTTTCTTTTTATAGTTTTTATTTTACTTAAAGTATGTTTTATCTTGTGTAAATATGACTTCTCCTGCTCAATTTCGGTTGTTGTTGACGTGGAATATCATTTTTCATTCCCTTACTTTTGATAAATGTATATATATACACAAATATATGTCATATATATACATATATATAATATGTCATATATAGTCATGTATATACATATATATGTATATGACATTTGTATATGTCTTTTCCATTCCTTTACTTTGAGTCTATATATGTCAGATAACAGGAAAAGTGATCTTTTGTAGGCATGATATAACTGTATCATGTACTTTTATCCATTCATCCAGTCTATATCTTTTACGTAGGAAAATTTAATTTATTTCAATTCAAGGTTATCATTGATATATGAGATTTTGTTCCTGGTATATTGTTAATTGTTCACTGGATCATTTGTATATCCTTTGTTTCACTTTTTCTCTCCTATTATTTATTATTGTGGTTTGGGATTTTCTATAGTCATAACATTTACGTCCTTTCTCTTCCTAATTTTTTTGTGTGTGCTCTACCAGTGGGTTTTATCCTTTTGTGCATTTTTATGATGGTGGATGTCATCCATTCACTTCCAGGTGTAGAACTGGCTTAAGAGTTTATTTTTTATATATATATTACTTTTATATATATGTATTTTTTATTGTACTTTAAGTTCTAGGGTACATATGTACAACGTGCAGGTTTGTTACATATGTATACATGTGCCGTGTTGGTGTGCTGCACTCATTAACTCATCCTTTACATTAGGTATATCTCCTAATGCTATCCCTCCCCCCTCCCCCCACCCCACAACAGCCCCTGGTGTGTGATGTTCCCCTTCCTGTGTCCAAGTGTTCACATTGTTCAATGCCCACCTATGAGTGAGAATATGCAGTGTTTATTTTTTTGTCCTTGCGATAGTTTGCTGAGAATGATGGTTTCCAGCTTCATCCATGTCCCTATAAAGGACATGAACCCATCATTTTTTATGGCTGCATAGTATTCCACGGTGTATATGTGCCACATTTTCTTAATCCATTCTGCCATTTTCAGACATTTGGGTTGGATCCAAGTCTTTGCTATTGTGAATAGTGCCGCAATAAACATACATGTGCATGTGTCTCTGTAGCAGCATGATTTATAATCCTTTGGGTATATACCCAGTAATGGGATGGCTGAGTCAAATGGTATTTCTAGGGAATGGGCACACTGTCTTCTACAATGGTTGAACTAGTTTACAGTCCCACCAATGGTGTAAAAGTGTTCCTATTTCTCCACATCCTCTCCAGCACCTGTTGTTTCCTGACTTTTTAATGATCTCCGTTCTCACTGGTGTGAGATGGTATCTCATTGTGGTTTGCATTTCTCTGATGGCCAGTGATGATGAGCAATTTTTCATGTGTCTGTTGGCTGCATAAATGTCTTCTTTTGAGAAGTGTCTGTTCATATCCTCTGCCCAGTTGTTGATGGGGTTGTTTTTTTCTTGTAAATTTGTTTGAGTTCTTTGTAGATTCTGGATATTAGCCCTTTGTCAGATGAGTAGATTGCAAAAATTTTCTCCCATTCTGTAGGTTGCCTGTTCACTCTGATCGTAGTTTCTTTTGCTATGCAGAAGCTCTTTAGTTTAATTGGATCCCATTTGTCAAGTTTGGCTTTTGTTGCCATTGCTTTTGGTGTTTTAGACATGAAGTCCTTGCCCATGCCTATGTCCGGAATGGTATTGCCTAGGTTTTCTTCTAGGGATTTTATGGTTTTAGGTCTAACATTTAAGTCTTTAATCCATCTTGAATTAATTTTTGTATAAGGTGTAAGGAAGGGATCCAGTTTCAGCTTTCTACCTATGGCTAGCCAGTTTTCCCAGCACCGTTTGTTGAATAGGGAATCCTTTCCCAATTTCTTGTTTTTGTCAGGTTTGTCAGAGATCAGATAGTTGTAGATGTGTGGTATTATTTCTGAGGGCTCTGTTCTGTTCCATTGATCTATATCTCTATTTTGGTAACAGTACCATTCTCTTTTGGTTACTATAGCCTTGTAGTATAGTTTAAAGTCAGGTAGCGTGATGCCTCCAGCTTTATTCTTTTTACTTAGAATTGACTTGGCAATGCAGTCTCTTTTTTGGTTCCATACGAACTTTAAAGTAATTTTTTTCCAATTCTGTGAAGAAAGTCATTGGTACCTTGTTGGGGATGGCATTGAATCTATAAATTACCTTAGGCAGTATGGCCATTTTCACGATATTGATTCTTCCTATCCATGAGCATGGAATGTTCTTCCATTTGTTTGTGTCCTCTTTTATTTCGTTGAACATTGGTTTCTAGTTCTCCTTGAAGAGGTCCTTCACATCCCTTGTAAGTTGGATTCCTAGGTATTTTATTCTCTTTGAAGCAGTTGTGAATGGGAGTTCACTCATGATTTGGCTCTCTGCCTGTTATTGGTGTATAAGAATGCTTGTGATTTTTGCACTTTGATTTTGTATCCTGAGACTTTGCTGAAGTTGCTTATCAGCTTAAGGAGATTTTGGGCTGAGATAATGGGGTTTTCTAGATATACAATCATGTCATCTGAAAACAGGGACAAGTTGACTTCCTCTTTTCCCAGTTGAACGCCCTTTATTTCTTTCTCCTGCCTGATTGCCCTGGCCAGAACTTCCAACACTATGTTGAATAGGAGTGGTGAGAGAGGGCATCCCTGTCTTGTGCCAGTTTTCAAAGGGAATGCTTCCAGTTTTTGCCCATTCAGTATGATATTGGCTGTGGGTTTGTAGTAAATAGCACTTATTATTTTGAGATACATCCCATCAATACCTAATTTATTGAGAGTTTTTAGCATGAAGGGCTGTTGAATTTTGTCAAAGGCCTTTTCTGCCTCTATTGAGGTAATCATGTGGTTTTTGTCTTTTGTTCTGTTTATGTGCTGGATTACGTTTATTGATTTGCATGTGTTGAACCAGCCTTGCATCCCAGGTATGAAGCCCACTTGATCATGGTGGATAAGCTTGTTGATATGCTGCTGGATTCAGTTTGTCAGTATTTTATTGAGGATATTTGCATCGATGTTCATCAGGGATATTGGTCTAAAATTCTCTCTGCCAGGCTTTGGTATCAGGATGATACCTCATAAAATGAGTTAGGGAGGATTCCCTCTTTTTCTATTGATTGGAATAGTTTCAGAAGGAATGGTACCACCTCCTCCTTGTACCTCTGGTAGAATTTGGCTGTGAATCTGTCTGGTCCTGGAATTTTTTTGGTTGGTAGGCTATTAATTATTGCCTCAATTTCAGAGCCTGTTATTGGTCTATTCAGAGATTCAACTTCTTCCTGGTTTAGTCTTGGGAGGATGTATGTGTTGAGGAATTTATCCATTTCTTCTAGATTTTCTAGTTTATTTGCATAGAGGTGTTTATATTATTCTCTGATGGTAGTTTGTATTTCTGTGGGATCGATGGTGATATCCCCTTTATCATTTTTTATTGCATCTATTTGATTCTTCTCTCTTTTCTTCTTTATTACTCTTGCTAGTGGTCTATCAATTTTGTTGATCTTTTCAAAAAAACCAGCTCCTGGATTCCCTGATTTTTTGAAGGGTTTTCTGTGTTGCTATCTCCTTCAGTTCTGCTCTGATCTTAGTTATTTCTTGCCTTCTGCTAGCTTTTGAATGTGTTTGCTCTTGCTTTTCTAGTTCTTTTAATTGTGATGTTAGGGTGTCAATTTTAGATCTTTCCTGCTTTCTCTTGTGAGCATTTAGTGGTATAAATTTCCCTCTACACACTGCTTTATATGTGTCCCAGAGATTCTGGTATGTTGTGTCTTTGTTCTCATTGGTTTCAAAGAACATCTTTATTTCTGCCTTCATTTCGTTATGTACCCAGTAGTCATTCAGGAGCAGGTTGTTCAGTTTCCATGTAGTTGAGCGGTTTTGAGTGAGTTTCTTAATCCTGAGTTCTAGTTTGATTACACTATGGTCTGAGAGACAGTTTGTTATAATTTCTGTTCTTTTATGTTTGCTGAGAAATGCTTTACTTCCAACTATGTGGTCAGTTTTGGAATAAGTGCGGTGTGGTGCTGAGAAGAATGTATATTCTGTTGATTTGGGGTGGAGAGTTCTGTAGATGTCTAGTAGGTCCGCTTGGTGCAGAGCTGAGTTCAATTCCTGGATATCCTCATTAACTTTCTGTCTTGTTGATCTGTCTAATGTTGACTGTGGGGTGTTAAAGTTTCCCATTATTATTGTTTGGGAGTCTAAGTCTCTTTGTAGGTCCCTAAGGACTTCCTTTATGAATCTGGGTGCTCCTGTATTGGGTGCATATATATTTAGGATAGTTAGCTCTTCTTGTTGAATTGATCCCTTTACCATTATGTAATGGCCTTCTTTGTCGCTTTTGATCTTTGTTGGTTTAAAGTCTGTTTTATCAGAGACTAGGATTGCAACCCCTGCCTTTTTTTGTTCTCCATTTGCTTGGTAGATCTTCCTCCATCCTTTTATTTTCAGCCTATGTGTGTCTCTGCACGTGTGATGGGTTTCCTGAATACAGCACACTGATGGGTCTTGATTCTCTATCCAATTTGCCAGTCTGTGTCTTTTAATTGGAGCATTTAGCCCATTTACATTTAAGGTTAATATTGTTATGTGTGAATTTGATCCTGTCATTATGATGTTAGCTGGTTATTTTGCTTGTTAGTTGATGCAGTTTCTTCCTAGCCTCGATGGTCTTTACAATTTGACATGTTTTTGCAGTGGCTGGTACCGGTTGTTCCTTTCCATGTTTAGTGCTTCCTTCAGGAGCTCTTGCAGGGCAGGCCTGGTGATGACAAAATCCCTCAGCATTTGCTTGTCTGTAAAGGATTTTATTTCTCCTTCATTTATGAAGCTTAGTTTGGCTGGATATGAAATTCTGGGTTGAAAATTCTTTTCTTTAAGAATGTTGAATATTGGCCCCCACTCTCTTCTGGCTTGTGGAGTTTCTGCCGAGAGATCCACTGTTAGTCTTATGGGCTTCCCTTTGTGGGTAACCCGACTTTTCTCTCTGGCTGCCCTTAAAATTTTTTCCTTCATTTCAACTTTGGTGAATCTGACAATTATGTGTCTTGGAGTTGCTCTTCTCAAGGAGTATCTTTGTAGCCTTCTCTGTACTTCCTGAATTTGAATGTTGGCCTGCCTTGCTAGGTTGGGGAAGTTCTCCCGGATAATATCCTGCACAGTGTTTTCCAACTTGGTTCCATTCTCTCTGTCACTTTCAGGTACACCAATCAGATGTAGATTTGGTCTTTTCGCACAGTCCCATATTTCCTTGAGGCTTTGTTTGTTTCGTTTTCTTCTTTTTTCTCTAAACTTCTCTTCTCGCTTCATTTAATTCATTTGATATTCAATCACTGATACCCTTTCTTCCAGCTGATCAAATCAGCTACTGAAGCTTGTGCATTCATCACATAGTTCTCGAGCCATGGTTTTCAGCTCCATCAGGTCCTTTAAGGACTTCTCTGCATTGGTTATTCTAGTTAGCCATTCGACTAATCATTTTTCAAGGTTTTTAACTTCTTTGCAATGGGTTCAAACTTCCTCCTTTAGCTTGGAGAAGTTTGATCGTCAGAAGCCTTCTTCTCTCAGCTCATCAGTCATTCTCCGTCCAGCTTTGTTCCACTGCTGGTGAGGAGCTGCATTCCTTTGGAGGAGGAGAGGCACTCTGATTTTTAGAATTTTCAGTTTTTCTGCTCTGTTTTTTCCCCATCTTTGTGGTTTTATCTACTTTTGGTCTTTGATGATGGTGACGTACAGATGGGGTTTTGGTGTGGATGTCCTTTCTCTTTGTTAGTTTTCCTTCTAACAGTCAAGACCCTCAGCTCCAGGTCTGTTGGAGTTTGCTGGAGGTCCACTGCAGACCCTGTTTGCCTGGGTATCAGCAGTGGAGGCTGCAGAACAGTGAATATTGAACAGCGAATGTTGCTACCTGATCGTTCCTCTGGAAGTTTCGTCTCAGAGGGCTACCCAGCCACGATGAGGTGTCAGTCTTCCCCTACTGGGGGCTGCCTCCCAGTTAGGCTACTCGGGGGTCGGGGACCCACTTGAGGAGTCAGTCTGTCCGTTCTCAGATCTCAAACACTGTGCTGGGAGAACCACTACTCTCTTCAAAGCTGTCACACAGGGACATTTAAGTCTGCACAGGTTTCTGTTGCCTTTTGTTCAGCTATGCCCTGCCCCCAGAGGTGGAGTCTACAGAGGCCGGCAGGCCTCCTTGAGCTGTGGTGGGCTCCACCCAGTTCCAGCTTCCTGGCTGCTTTGTTTACCTACTCAAGCCTCAGCAATGGCGGGCGCCCCTTCTCCAGCCTCGCTGCTGCCTTGCAGATGGATCTCAGACTGCTGTGCTAGCAATGAGCGAGGCTCCATGGGCTTGGGACCCTCTGAGCCAGACGTGGGATATAATCTCCTGGCATGCCGTTTGTTAAGACGATTGGAAAAGCACAGTATTAGGGTGGGAGTGACCCAATTTTCCAGGTGCGGTCTGTCACAGCTTTGCTTGGCTAGTAAAGGGAATTCCCTGACCCCTTGCGCTTCCCGGTTGAGGTGATGCCTTGCCCTGCTTCAGCTCACGCTCGGTGCACTGCGCCCACTGTCCTGCCCCCACTGTCCGACAAGCCCTAGTGAGATGAACCCAGTACCTCAGTTGGAAATGCAGAAATCACCCATCTTCTGCATCGCTCACACTGGGAGCTGTAGACTGGAGCTGTTCCTATTTGGCCATCTTGGAACCACCCAAGAGTTTCTTTTAGGGTCAGTCAGTTTTTGCTTGTCAGGGAAAGACTTTATTTTGCCTTTATTTATGAAGGATAACTTTACTGTGTATAGTATTTTTGGTGGATACTTTCTTTTTCTTTTCAGCACTTTGAATATATCATCTCTGTAAGAGATGTAAGCTTCTACGTGTTATTTTGTTAAATAGAGTTTTTTAAATATTTTTTCCTCTCCTTCTGGGTCACTGAAAATTCATATATTTAGTCATTTTATGCTAAAGAGTTTATTGCAGGGTCAGTCTAGTGATGAGGAATTACCTCAGTTTTTGCTTGTCAGGGAAAAACTTTATTTTGCTTTTATTTATGAAGGGTAAATTTTTGGGGTGTAGTATTTTTGGTGGATACTTTTTTCAGCCTTTTGAATATAACATCTATGTAAGGGATGTAAGCTTTACCTAATATTTTGTTAAATAGGTTTTTTTTATTTTTTGTTCTCCTTCTGGGCCTCTGAAAATTTACATATTTAGTCCTTTTATGCTGTCCCATATGTCATGTAGGCTTTGTTTCAACTCTTTTTAAAAAAATTGTCTGACTGGATTATTTTAAAGACCTGTCTTTAAGTTCTGAAATTCTTTCTTCTGCTGGATCTAGTCTTTTGTTGAATAAATGCATTTTTTACTTCATTCAATGTATTCTTCAGTTCCAGGATATTTTGGTTATTTTATATTATAGCTATCTCTTTTGTATGTTTCTCATTTATATCCTGAATTGTTTTTCTGATTTCTTTGTATTAGTTATCTGTATTGTGTTGTTCCTTACTGACCTTATTTAATATCATTACTTTTAATTTTTCTGGTATTTGATAAATTTCTTTTTCATTGGAATATGTAGCTGCAGAATTATTGTGTTTTTTTGGAAGTGTCATATTTCCTTCCTTTGTCATGTTTCTTGTGTCCTTATCTTGGTATCTGTGCACCTGATATAACAGTTGCCTCTTCCAATTTTTTGGATTTGCTTTCATAGGGAAGGACTTCATACTGAATGTGTATCTGTGATTTTGGTTAGGTAGGGAACATTGGCTTTGATTCTCAGTGCATGCAGTAGTGTATTATTTGTATCATTTATTTGACCATACACAGCCAAATCAGTGGTATCTGTGATTTCCTCAGTGACTTAGGGTGTGATTCTTAGTGGAGACTGTGGCGAAGCTTTGCTTAGGATGGAGGCATCACCTGGGTGAGTCCTCAGACCCCAGTGTGAGCAGTGATGGAGCAAATGTAGCTGTTCTTGAGCCCAAGAGCAATGTACACTGGCCTCCATATTGGCAGGTCCAGGAGGGCCAATTCTTGGGTCTCCACTTGGTTTGCTCAGATGCCAGCAGTGGCAGCAGTGGGTCAGGTTGGTGGGTGGGTCCTTGTGGCCCTGGATAGTGCGTGGATTATGGCAGTTATAGTGGTGGCTCAATGCTCTGGTTCCCAAGCCATCTGCACTGGTGTTGAACATGGCTGAGACAGGCTGGGCAAGCTGGTCTTCTGTCCCACAGGTGGTGTATAGGGGTGGGTACCTACAGTGGTGGCAACAGCAGGCTGGATGGGCCCATCTTCAGCTGCTGAGAGGAATGTTTAGGTGCAAATGCTGGTGGATAGGGCAGGACAATCCCAAGATTCCTGGACAGCATGCTCAGGTACTAGGGGAAGTTGGAGAAAGCCAGGTTGGGAAAACCTGTCCTCAGATTTCCCCATGGTGCATAGAGGTTGGCTGTGGTCAGACGGAGTGATCCTCAGACCCCAGCAGCATGCTTTTGTGGAGATGGCTGCATCTGCACTGTGGCCCTGCTACTGCTAAGGGCCAGTTTGCTTTCAGTGTCGGCAGCCATAGGTAGCTGGCTGGGGAGTGTGCACTTTGGCCCCAGGTGGCAGCTGCCAATGGAGCAGCCACTTTTCTATGTGCATGAAAACGCACAGCAGCCCTTCTTTCTGGGAAAATAGAGTTGCTGCCAGTGGCTCACATTTAGCCCAGGTGGCAGTAGCCAGCAGCAGCAGCTCTCAGCAGGGGATGACAATGGGATTCTAAGGGTGTGGAAATGCAGAGGCTGTTGGGGCCCAGGACAGGATGCATTCTGGTGGTGGCTAGGTTCTCAAAATGGCACCATTTTGTAGCTGCTTAGGGCTTGAGTTTCCAGTATGAGGGACCAAACCTGAGCTCATTCTCTCTCTCTAAAGCAATGCCATTGCACAGTCTCCAGGCAGCTTTCTCTGTTTATCTCCGTGCCCACAAGTGTCAAGAAACATTCCCTTGGTAGGATTGGAGGGGTCCATGGTGGGAATGTAGACTGCTAGGGATCACTCACTTACCCTTTTCCTGCACTGTTGAGTCTCACTGGGCTCCCAGATGATACTAGCTGAGCAGGCTACCTTGCTTCTCTGTCCTTCCTTCTTTTACATGTCTCCTGTCTCTTATCTGTTGAATCCTGATGTTCTCTCTTAGAGGATCTATTGAAAGCATGACTACCAACTCACTATTTGTTAGATGCCTCTAGTCAGCCATCTTGAAATCCCTCTTCAGATGGTTACATAATATTCCACCAAATCCATAACCTTCAGCTTTTTAACTACACCCTATATTTGGATAATCAGGTTGTTAGATTTTTTAAGTACTGTAAATAATGCTACAGTAAAAAGTTCTTGTATTTTGCCTTTTCCTCATTTTGTTTACATCTTTGTGCAAATTATCAGGAATGAATTTACTGAGTCAAAGATGATTAACATGCTATACCTTTTGAAATATATTGACAAATTTTTTTCTGATGTTTTCAACAGTGTTCACTGCCACCAGCTATAAATAGATATTCTCAGTTAAGCACACTTTTGACAAAATGGAATGTAGGAATTACTTTTTTTGATATAGTATATTATTTTTAATGTAGGTGAAATACACATAAAATTTACCATTTTAAAGTGTACAATTCAGTGGCATTTAGTTTATTCACAGTGTTGTGCAACGAGCACCCCATCTAGTTACAAAATATTGTCAGTTTCCCCCTCCCTCAGCATCTGATAACCATCTACCTTCTAGCTCTGTGGATTGGCATATTCCAGACATTTCATATAAATGCAATCATAAAATATGTTGCCTTGTGTCTGGCTTCTCTCACTCAGCATAATGTTTTCAAGGTTTACCCATATTGTAACATGTATTGGTACTTTATTCTTTTTTATAATTTTTATTGTGATATATATATATATAAAATACAATTTACCATTTTAACCATTAATATGTGTGCAAATCAGTGGCATGAGGTGCTACATTCACAATGTTGTACTATTATCACCATCTATTTTCAGGACTTTTTCATCTTCATCCCCAAGAGAAACTCTGTACCCAGTGAACAATAACTCCCTGGCGGGGTGCAGTGGCTCACGTCTGTAATCCCAGCACTTTGGGAGGCCAAAGCAGGCAGATGACCTGAGGTCAGGAGTTCGAGACCAGCCTAGCCAACATGGTGAAACCCCGTCTCTACTAAAAATACAAAAAGTTAGCCGGGCGTGTTGGCGGGCACCTGTAATCCCAAGGTCTCAGGAGGCTGAGGCTGGAGAATCACTTGAACCCGGGAGGTGGAGGTTGCAGTGAGCTGAGATCACACCATTATACTCCAGCCCAGGCAACAATAGTGGGGGAAAAAAAAAAAACAACAATAACTCCCCATGCCCTTCCTCCAAGCCCCTGATATCTTCTATTCTACTTTCTTTCTCTATACATTTACCTATTCTGAGTACCTCATGTAGGTGGAATCATACAATTTGTGCATGGCCTTTTGTGTCTGGCTTCTTTCACCCAACATAATGTTTTCAAGTTTCATCCACAGTGTAGCAACTCCCAGTACTCCATCTCTTTTTTAAATTTTATTTATTCATTCATTCATTCATTCATTCATTCATTCAGTAGTTTCAGGGGAACAAGTGGTGTTTGTTTACATGGATAAGTTCTTTAGTGGTGATTTCTGAGATTTTAGTGCACCCATCACGTCAGTAGTATACACTACACCAAAACTGTAGTCTTTTATCCCTTACCACCCTTGCCCCCAAGTCTCCAGAGTTCATTATATCATTATTATGTTACATTACCATAGCTTACCTCCCACTTATAAGTGAGAACATAGGATCTTTGGTTTTCCATTCCTGAGTTACTTCACTTAGAATAATGGTCTCCAACTCCATCTAGGTTGCTGTGAATGCCATTATTTCATTCCTTTCTATGGCTGAGTCATATTCCTCTCTCTCTCTCTCTCTCTCTCTCTCTCTCTCTCTCTCTCTATATATATATATATATATATATATATATATATGTTTTTTAATCCACTCATTGGTAGATGGGCATTTAGGCTGGTTTTGTATTTTTGCAATCGCAAATTGTGCTGCTATAAGTATGCATGTGCAGTGTCTTTTTCAAATAATGGCTTAATTTTTCTCTGGGTAGATACCCAGTAGACGGATTGCTGGATCAAATGGTAGTTCTACCTTTAGTTCTTTAAGGAATCTCCATACTGTGTTTCCACAGTGGTTTTACTAGTTTACATTCCCTCTAGCAGTGTAAAAGTGTTCCTTTTCAGCACATCCACACCAACATCTGCTTTTTTTTTTTTTTTTTAATTATGGCCATTCTTGCAGGAGTAAGGTGGTACTGCACTGTGGTTTTGATTTGCATTTCCCTGATCACTAGTAATTTGAGCATTTTTTCATGTTTGTTGGCCATTTTATATCTTATTTTGAGAATTGTCTATTCATGAACTTAGCCTGATTTTTGATGGGGTTATGATTATTATTATGATTATTATTTTGCTGATTTATTTGAGTTCCTTATAGATTCTGGATATTAGTTATTTGTCAAATGCATAGTTTGCAAAGATTTTCTCCCATTCTGTGGGATGTCTGTTTACTCTGCTGATTATTCCTTTTGTTGTGCAGAAGCTTTTTAATTTAATTAAATCCCATCTATATATCTTTGTTTTTGTTGCATTTACTTTTGGGTTCTTGGTCATGAACTCTTTGTTCGTCATTGTCTCAAAGACTTTTTCTGATGTTATCTTCTAGAATTTTTATGGTTTCAGGTCATAGGCCTAAGTCTTTGATAAATCTTGAGTTGATTTTGCATAAGATGAGAGATGAAGATCCAGTTTTATTCTTCTACTTGTGGCTTGCCAATTATCCCAGCACCATATGTTGAATAGGGTTTCCTTTCCCCACTTTGCCGAGCATCAGTTGGCTGTGAGGATTTGGCCTCACTTCTGGGTTCTCTATTCTGTTCCATTGGCCTACATGCCTGTTTTTCATACCAATATCATGCTGTTTTGATAATTATAGACTTGTAGTATAGTTTGAAGTTGGGTAATGTGGTGCTTCCAGATTTGTTCTTTTTTGTTTAGTCTTGTTTTGGCTACGTAGGCTCCTTTTTGGTTCCATATGAACTTTAGGATTGTTCTTTTCTAATTCTGTGAAGAATGATGATGGTATTATGGGAATTGCATTGAATATATAGATTGCTTTTGGCAGTGTGATCATTTTCATAATATTGGTCCTACCCATCCATGAGCATGGGATATGTTTCAATTTGTTTGTATCATCTGTTTCTTTCAGCAGTGTTTTGTAGTTTTCCTTATAGAGATCTTTCACCTCTTTTGTTAGGTTTACTCCTATGTATTTTATTTATTTATTTATTTATTTATTTATTTATTTATTTATTTATAGTTGTTGCAAAAGGGTTTGAGTTCTTGATTTGATTCTCATCTTGGTCACTACTGGTGTATAGCAATGCTCCTAATTTGTGTACATTGATTTTGTATCCTGAAGCTTTACTCAATTCGTTTATCAGATCTAGGAGCTTTTTGAATGAGTTTTTAGGGTTTTCTAGGTATATGATCATATCATCAGTAAACAATGACAGTTTGACTTCCTCTTTACTGATTCGGATGCCCTTCATTACTTTCTCTTGTCTGTCTGCTCTGACTAGGACTTCCAGTACTATGTTGAATAGAACTGGTGAAAGTGGGCATCCTTGTCTAGTTCCAGTTCTCAGATGGAATGCTTTCAACTTTTCCATGTTCAGTATAATGTTGGCTGTGGTTTGTCATAGATGGTTTTTATTACCTTAAAATATGTCCCTTCTATGCTGATTTTACTGAGGATTTTAATCAGGAAGGGATGCTGGATTTTATCAAATTCTATTTCTGTGTCTGTTGAGATGATCATATGATTATTGTTTTTAATTCTGTTTATGTGGTGTATCACATTTACTGACTTGCATATGTTAAACCAACCCTCCATCCTTGGTATGAAACCCTCTTAATTATGGCATGTTATCTTTTTGACATGCTTTTGGATTCAGATAGCTAGTATTTTGTTAAGGTTTTTTGCATTTATGTTAATCACGGATATGTTCTGTAGTTTTCTTTTTTTATTCTGTCCTTCCCTGGTTTGGGTATTACAGTGATACTGCCTTCATAGAATGAGTTAGGGAGGACTTCTTCTTTCTCTATCTTTTGGAATAGTTTGAGTGGGATTGGTACCCATTCTTCTTTGAATGTCTTATAGAATTCAGCTGTGAATCCATCTGGCCGTGGACTTTTTTTTGGCAATTTTTTTAAAGACTATTTTAGTCTTGCTACTTGTTCTTGCTCTGTTCCGAGTTTCTATTTTTTCCTGGTTTAATTTAGGAGGCTTGCATCTTTCCAGGATTTTATCCATATCCTCTACGTTTTCCAGTTTGTGTGCATATAGGTGTTCAAATTGCCTTGAATGATCTTTTGTATTTCTGTGGTATCAGTAGAAATATCTCCCATTTTGTTTCTAATTGAGCTTATTTGGATCTTCTCTCTTCTTTTTCTTGGTTAATCTCACTAATGATCTTTTGATTTTGTTTATCTTTTTAAACAACCAGGTTTCTGTTTCATTTATCTTTTCTATTTTTTTGTTTCAATTTCATGTAGTTCTGCTCTGCTTTTCGTTTTTTTTTTTTTCCTTTTTTTTTTCTGCTACTGGATTTGGGTTTAGTTCGTTCTTGTTTCTCCAGTTCCTTGAGGTGTGAGCTTATATTGTCTACTTGTGCTGTTTCAGATATTTAGATGTAGGCATTTAAGCTATTAACGTTCCTTTAAGCACCACTTTTGCTGTATCCCACAGATTTTTATTGGTTGTGTCATAATTATCATTCAGTTCAAGGAATTTTTAATTTTCCATCTTGATTTCATTGTTGATCCAAATATCATTCGGGGCAGATTATTTAATTTTTATGTATTTGTATAGTTTAATAGTTCCCTTTGGAGTTAATTTCCAATTTTATTTCACTGTGACCTGAGAAAGTACTATATATACTTTTAGTTTTCTTAAATTTATTGAGACTTGTTTTGTGGCCTATCATATGGTCCGTCTTGGGGAATTTCCCATGTGCTGATGAAAAGAATGTATATTCTGCAGTTGTTGGTTAGAACGTTCTGCAAATATCTGTTAAATCCATTTGTTCTAGGGTATAATTTAAGTCCATTGTTTCTTTGTTGACTTTTGGTCTTAATGACCTGCCTAGTGCTATCAGTGGAGTTGACATTGAAATCTCCTACTTTTATTTTGTTGCCATCTATCTCATTTCTTAGATATAGTAATAATTGTCTTATAAATTTGGGATCTCCAGTGTTAGATGTGTATATATTTAGAATTGTGATATTTCCTATTAGACTAACCCTTTTATCATTATAGAATGTCCCTCTGTCTTTTTTAAACTATTGTTCCTTTAAGGTCTTTTTTTTTTTTTTTTTTTTTTTAAGGGAATAGCTACTCCTGCTCACTTTTGGATTCCATTTCCATGGAATATCTTTTCCATCCCTTTACCTTAAGTTTATGTGTATCCTTCTCTGTTAGGTGAGTCTCTTAAAGACAGCAGATACTTGATTGGTGGGTTTTTATCCATTCTGCCATTCTGTATCTTTTTAGTGGAGCATTTAGGCCATTTATATTCAATGTTAGTATTGAGATGTGAGGTACTGTTCTATTCTTCATAGCAGTTGTTGACTTAGTATCTTTTTTTCATTGTGTTATTGATTTATAGGTCCTGTTGATTTATGCTTTAAAGAGATTCTATTTTGGTGTATTTTGAAGTTTTGTTTCAAGACTTAAAATTCTTTTTAACAGTTCCTGTAGTGCTGGCGTGGTAGTGGTGAATTCTCTCAGCATTTGTCTGAAAAAGACTTTATCTCTCCTTCATTTACGAAGCTTAGTTTCTCTGGATAAAACATTCTTGGCTGATAACTATTTTGTTAAGGAGGCTAAGGATAGGACCTCAGTCCCTTCTGACTTGCAGTTTTTCTGCTGAGAAATATACCGTTAATCTGAAATCTACTGTTTCCTTTATAGGTTACCTGATGCTTTTGTCTTATAGCCCTTAAGATTCTTTCCTTCATCTTGACTTTAGGTAACCTAATAACTATGTCCCTAGGTGATGACCTTTTTGTGATGAATTTCCCAGGTGTTCTTTGACCTTCTTGTATTTGGATGTGAAGATCTTTAGCAGGATCAGGGGAGTAATCATTGATTATTCCCTCAAATAAGTTTTCCAAACTTTTTGATTTTTCTTCCTCCGCAGGAACACCAATTATTCTTACGTTTGGTTGTTTAACATAATCCCAAATTTCTTGGAAGTTTTTTTCATTTTTTTCTCTTGTTTCTTTGTCTTTGTCAGATTGAGTTAATTTGAAAGCCTTGTCTTTGAGTTCTGAAGTTCATTCTTCTACTTGTTCAGTTCTATTGTTGAAACTTTCCAGTGTATTTTGCATTTCCCTAAGTGTGTCTTTTATTTCCAGAAGTTGTGCTCGTCTTTTCTTTATGATGTCTATTTATCTGGAGACTTTTGCATCCATATTCTTTTTTTTTTATTTCTTTGAGTTACTTTTCACCTTTCTCTGGTGCCCTCTTGAGTAGCTAAATAATAACAATCAAACTTCTGATTTCTTTATCTGGTAATTCAGAGATTTCTTCTTGGTTTGGATCCACTACTGGAGAGCTAGTGTGATATTTTCTGAGTGTTATAGAACCATGTTTATTCATATTACCAGAATTACTTTTCTGGTTCCTTCTACTTTGTGTAGACTGTTTCAGTGGACAGATCTGCGGCTCAAACTCTGCTGTTCAGATTATTTTTTCCCATTGGGTGATCCCTTGATATGGTGCTCTCCCCCTAGGAATGGGGCTTCCTGAAAGCCAGACTCGAGTGATTGTTATTGCCCTTCTAAGTTTGTCCACCCAGTAGGGCTACTGAGCTCTGGGCTTGTGCTGTGGAATGTTTGTAAAGAGTCCTGTGATGTGATCCATCTTCATGTCTCCCAGCCATGGATACCAGCACCTGCTCCAGTGGAGGTGGCACAGGAGTTAAGTGGACTCTGTGGGAGTCCTTGGTTGTAGTTTTGTTTAGTGTGCTGGTTTTCTTGAATGCTGGTTATGCTAGCAGTGAAGCTGTCACTTCAACAGACTCAGGACCTCTGATTAGCCAGGTTATTGCTGGCAGTAGAATTAGCTGTTGTCTTCTCCTTCATTGGAGCAGGGTTGTTCTGTTATGAGTGGCTGTAATGGCTGGAGTTGGTTGGCCTCCAGCCAGGAAGTGGCACTTTCAAGAGAGCACCAGCTCCAGTAATAGAAGGGGGATATAATCTTACCCTAAGTTGGCCAGGATAAGTACTTGGGTTTCTCAGGCAATGGGCAGGGTCATAGAGCTCCCAAGAGTTTACGTCCTTTGTCTTCACAGTTTTCCAGTTGTCTTGCAGCATTTGCAGTAGCAAGCTGCTTCTTTCAAAGGGTCTGTGAATTTTTTCGGTTTTTCTGGTATGTTCTTGCAGTGGTCCTTGAAGCAGAAGTTCACAAAATGAATCTCCACACACTGTTCTGTCCATCCAAGTGGGAGCTGCACGTTAGTCCTGTCTCCTATTGGCCATTTTCCTCTCAAGTCTAGAATATAGGAATAACTTCAAATCTGCTGTTGTAATAGTTATAAATTAAAACCTTATTGTTTGTTTATATTTTTTATTTATTTTATAACAAAAGAGTGGAACATATTTTATGTTTGTTGACTAATTTTATTTCTTGCATTTTTATTCATGACTTTCCCCTTAAATATTGGTCTTCAATCAGTATGTTTGAATTTCTTATTTTTTTGACTTATTTATAAAATATAATTTTTAATTTTTAAAACAATTGCTGCATATATTTTTCTTAGGATATTTTTATTCAAGTTATATTATTTTTGTTGTAAAGATTTATTATAGGTTGAGCATCCCAAATCCAAATATTCAAAATCTGAAATGTTCTCAAATTTGGCATTTTTTGAGTGCTGACATGACACTCAAGGGAAATGCTCACTGGAATATTTAGAATTTGGATTTTCAGATTAGGGATGCTCAATCAGTCAATATATTGCAAATATTCCAAAATTCAAAATCCAAAACACTACTGGTCCCTAGCATTTTAGATAAGGGATATTTAACCTGTATATCATATAATCTATCTTTGTATTTATGGTTTCTTTTAGCTTAAATGTCATCTAGCAAAATATTTTGTTAGTCTATAATTTGATTTATATATGTGTGATGTTCTTTAATCTCCATGGTCTTCATTTTAATATTAAAAATCCATTAATAATTGTGAAAATACTACATGTATTTATGATTATGGGAATAATTTAGTAGACAGAGAAAAATTGATAATGCAGAAGAGAAAGTACACAATTGTGACAATTGAGTCATTGAGTAAATCAGGTAGGATTCACTAAATAAATAGACTGGCTACTCTTAGATAATAGTATGAGTAGGTCAGCCACAGTAGCAGAAGGAGAGGCAAAGTATGTGTCTACAGAAGAGAGCAGATTGGTAAATGTGGTAGTGATAGATGTGGATACTAACTGATCAGTTGAGAGTGAGGAGATTTGAGGGGTTGTTCAATGTTTGAAGAAAAAGAAGAATACTGGTATGAAATAATAACTTCTGAGAGTAGGAAGCAAAGATAGTGAAATGCAGAGATCACTGTCAGTACTGGTCTTACCTTCAAGTGATGACCACAAACCTTTTGAGTTTTGTGGCCATCACTTGAAGGTATGACTAGTCAGCAGAGTTGTATGTTTTCCAGTCATGTTAAGTACTGGGATACAAGCACAAAATAGATAAGGATTTGGGTTTACCCAAGTTAGGCCTTTGCCAGGGGTGTGACAAAGAAAAAGAGAGGCCAAGTAGTTGAGCATGTATATAAAAGAGAGACTACAATCATGAGCCACAAACTCATAATAAAAAGAAAATAGAATTATGAAGGGACTATTTATAGAGAAAATGTAAATCTCAGTGGATATAAGAGGGAGTGAAATTGAGAGGTGACAATGTGCTGGTGGCCCTCATTCGCTCTCAGTGCCTCCTTCGCCTAAGCGTCCACTGTGGCCATGCTTGAGGAGCCCTTCAGCCCACAGCTGCACTGTGGGAGCCCCTCTCTGGGCTGGCCAAGGTTGGAGCTGGCTCCCTCTGTTTGCAGGGAGGTGTGGAGGGAGAGGTGCAGGCCGGAACCGGGGCTACGCACTGCACTCGCGGGCCAGCGCCAGTTCTGGGTGGGCGTGGGCCTGGTGGGCCCACACTTTGAGCAACTGGCCAGTGCCCCCGGCCCCGGGGAGTGAGGGGCTTAGCACCTGGGCCAGCAGCTGCGGAGGGGGCGCCGGGTCCCCCAGCACTGCCGGCCTGCCCGCAATGCGCTTGAATTCTCACCAGGCCTCAGCCACCTCCCCAGGGGCAGGGCTTGGGACCTGCAGCCCGCCATGCCTGAGCCCCCCAACCCATGGGCTCCCGCGCAGCCCGAGGAGCCTCCCTGACGGGCGCCACCCCCTGCTCCACAGCGTCTGGTCCCATCAACCACCCAAGGGCTGAGGAGTGCAGGCATGTGGTGCTGGACTGGCAGGCAGCTCCACCCATGGGCCTGGCATGGGATCCACAAGACGAAGCCAGCTGGGCTCCTGAGTCAGGTGGGGGCTTGGAGAACTTTCGTGTCTAGCTAGAGAATTGTAAATGCACCAATCAGCACTCTGTGTCTAGCTTGGGGGTTTGTGGATGCATCAATCAGCACTCTGTGTCTAGCTAAAGTTTGTAAATGCACCAATCAGTGCTCTGTGTCTAGCTAATCTAGTGGGGACTTGGAGAACTTTTGTGTCTAGCTAAAGGATTGTAAATGCACCACTCAGCACCCTGTGTCTAGCTCAAGGTTTGTAAACACACCAGTCAGCACCCTGTCAAAATGGGCCAATCAGCTCTCAGTAAAATGGGCCAATCGGCTCTCAGTAAAATGGGCCAATCAGTAGAATGTGGGCGGGGGGGGGGGGGGGGGCCGGTCAGGTAAGGGAATAAAAGCAGGCTGCCTGAAGCAGCAGTAGCAACCCACTGGGGTCCCCTTCCACACTGTGGAAGCTTTGTTCTTTCGCTCTTTGCAGTAAATCTTACTGCTGCTCACTCTTTGGGTCTGCACTGCCTTTATGAGCTGTAACACTCACCGCGAAGCTCTGCAGCTTCACTCCTGAGGCCAGCAAGACCACGAACCCACTGGGAGGAATGAGCAACTCTGGAGGAGAGGAGCAAGCAATTCCAGACGCGCCGCCTTAAGAGCTGTAACACTCACTGCAAAGGTCTGCAGCTTCACTCCTGAAGCCAGCCAGACCACGAACCCACCAGAAGGAAGAAACTCCGAACACATCCGAACATCAGAAGGAACAAACTCTGGGCACACCATCTTTAAGAACTGTAACACTCACTGGGAGGGTCCGCAGCTTCATTCTTGAAATCAGTTAGACCAAGAACCCACCAATTCCGGACACAAAATGAAAACCAGATCAAGAAGTAGGATGCTCGTCAAAAGGCAGAATTCTTGAAATTGAGAGTTGAAGGGAATGCCATTGTTGGTAATGACATGACAGAGGGTAAGACCATGGGAGGGGATGGCTGAAGTGGAAGAAGGGACAAGCCCAATGGAGAAGAGAAGGTCAGAGACTTATAGCCAGGGCACTAAAAAGGTCATCTACATAGTTATTAAAATCGCAACAAATGATAACAGGAATGATGGTGACGATAAAGAAGCAGTTAACGAATGTAAATTATAAATATCAGTAGTAATTTCTATGAAATTTTTATCATGTAAGATTTCCATTAACAGCAATTAAAAGTGCCTAGTTCTCCATATCTTGCCAACACTAGGTATTATCAATATGCTCAATATTTACTAATATCCTAGGTGAAAAACAATATCTTGGAATCTGAATTTTCCTTTTTAATAATTGATACAGTTGAATCCATTTTCCTATATGATCATTTTTATTACATTTTCCATTCATGAACTTTGTCAGTTTTTCTGCCAGCATATCCATCTTTTATTAGCTATTTAAAATAAATCTTCCTGGAATAGAGAAAACTTTCTCTGAGCTATCATTTATCTTCCAAGTATTTTTCAATTATTTTTATGTTGATATTTTAGTGAAGCATTACATTTTTTTATTCTTGAAAATAAACATTATAATTATTTATTAGTTGACTGTACATAAAACATCAGAATGATGAGTTGTATTTAATAGACTTTTTCTTCTAAAGGATGAAAACTCATTGTATATGAGTTAAATGTATTTTTGAAAATTCTGTAGTGGTCATAGTACAAGGAAAAGGACTCATCTTAAGTTTAAAAACTTTTAAATCAAATTTTTATTTGAATAATTTTAGAAGGAAGAACCTTAGATTCCCGATAGCAGTCACATACATAGAAGAGGTGGTATTGCTCCAGATAAATTCAGATTATCCAGTAGAAAATGAGTGTAAATTAATGTAATGTTAGGAGAAATGCATGTTTATTGACTATTCTCCTGGCCAGTAAAAGGTATTAAGGACTTACAAATGGAATGCTTTTAAATGATAAATAGTATTCAAAGGTATTCATGGATTGCTTTTTTTTTTTTAACCTCTTAGAACTTCTATTACAGGCTTCACTAAAATTGTCATTCATTGTCTAGCCCCAATGATTATAGAAGTTGATTTGTTATAACAAATACATACAAATAATACATTATACTCTTTCTGTATATTACACAGATAATACATATCTGATGGCAGCATTCAGTATCATATAATTTCAATATATATTGAAGCTATTGTTATCTGCTTTTGGAATATGCTTGTGAGGTACCACAGCTTGAAAGAAGTAATGAATAAAACTAAAAGGAAACAGTCAATAAGACAGTGACCAGAATAGGGTAAATTCTAAGATTTCAAATGAACTGTGCTAGTGTATGATTCCACTTATCTTCAGTTTACCCTAATACAGTCAATCGATCATCAAGAATACACCAGAAAATACTTAAATGTTATAGTATTCATAGTTCATTTAGCCAATCCTTTTGGCCTCTGAATGCTGAATTTAAATTCATGTATTTAAACATTTTATGGCTTCTATGCTTTATAAATACTTTGGTAGATATGATAAAACAAATAAGGATCTGAGTTATAGACTGCTTATGGGGAAGGGTTAATAAGAAAATGAAAGGAGCCATTAGTATAACTCCCTACTGAGTAAGAGGTCAACATGAAATGGTACTAGTTAGTAATAACTTATTGAATTATGAGAATTTGAAGCTACATTTAAGTAAAATGATGACTATGGCTGAGGCTAGATAAAATGATAACTCATTCAGGATGGGGAGAAAATAACCAATGTGAATGCACAGAGGCAGGAATAGTAGTATGATTCCAGAAAGATGGTCAAAGTGTGGCATTTTAATATGACAGATATTCGGCTAACAGGATTGGGGATACATAATGAGGATTAGACTTTGGAATTCAGAAACAGAATTACCAGAACAAAGATATCAGGTTAAGACTACATAAGAAGCAATGTAAGGAGCATGATGTTGCATATATTTAAGTTATTTTCCGCTAAAGCCTGAATTATTCCTAGAAAAGTGCTTTCAGATGTCAATGTGCAAAAAGATTATGTGCGTAGACAAGAATCTTGTCCATCAACAGATGAATAGATAATGAAAATATGGTCTGTATACACAGTGGAATATTATTAAGCCATAAAAAGAATGGAATCCTGTTATATGCAGCAACATGGACGGAACTGAAGGTTATTACATTTAATGAAATAAACTAAGCACAGAGAGTCAAATTTTGCATGTTCTCACTCATATGTGGGAGCTAAAAAGAATTGATCTCATGGAGGTGGAGAGTAGAATGGTGGTTACCAGAGGTTGCAAAGGTGGGGAAAGAGAGGTTGGTTAATGGGTACAAAAATACAATTAGATAGAAGAAATAACTTCTAGAGTTTGATAGCTCAGTGGGGTGACTATAGTTAACAAGAATTTATAATGTATTTCAAAATAACTGCAAGAGATTTAGAATTTCAGAACACAAAAGAACAGTAAATGACTGAGGTGATGTATATTTCAATTACCCTGATTTGATCATTTCACATAGTATGCATGTATGAAAATATCTCATGTACCCCATTAATGTCTACAGCTATTAGACATCAATTTCCAAAAAAGTCAGCTGAACTCTGGATACTGGTATTCTGACGTATGTGACAAAAGGGCATGTTGGAGATGAACTTCAGGCTGAATTTGCCTGTGGAAGTAAATTGATCTTGAGACACTATCGTGTCAGGATGTTGCATCTTTAAGACAAAAAAATTATATATGTGATTATTCTCTTTTGGCAAATAAAAACAGACCCCACCCACACACACATATTTGTATTCCTAAGAAGCGTATCAGTGTTCCATGGACATTCAGTGGAGGTGGGGTGGGATTGGAAGATTGATTTTCCCATTTATTCCAACAATCAGGTATTATTTTAGTAATTTGAAAAATATCAAATAAAATTCAAAAAGAGAAAAATGTAATAAAAGATTAATAATGGCTATGCAAATAAGCAGTAAATAAAGGTGACAACAAGAAGCATCTTAAAATATTATGATAAATTGGGAAACTAATATTTGATCCTAAAGAAATTAGGAGACCTGTGAATTTCCAGAGCTACTGTATTGACCAGCATTATTCTAGAGAAGTAGTTCCAAACCTGACTGTGCATTAAAATAAACTGTGACAGTTGTTAAAATATTCAGACTTCTGGGACCTACACTGGAGTTTCTAAATGAGAATTTCTGGGCACAAAACCATATTATCTATATTTTAAACAAGGACTGGAAATACAGCTGTGAACAAGATAGACATGGTTCCTTCGTTCATGGGGCTTACATTTTAACAGGGAAACATAAATTTAAATAACTCAAGAAGAATTTTTCAGTAAATGATGGAGTTTTCCAAAATTGTAGTTATTTGATGAAACTAATTATGATAATGATGGCTATTTAAATCCAAATATTTGCCAACAATTTCTAAATGAAAAGCAAAAAAGTACACAAACTTGAGTGTAACTAGAGGACAGAGATGACTACAAATTTCTTTTTTTTTACAAGATTTTAAGTTTTCATCAATTTTATTATTGTTTTCATTACCTCAAATATTTATCATTTCTTTCTGATGGGAACATTTAAATTCCTCTCCCTTAGCTATTTTGAAATACACAATAAATTATTATTTACTGTAGTCACCATGCTATGCAATAAAACACCAGAACTTATTCCTCTTGTTTAACCTAAACTGTCTATGGTTTCACTAATATATCCCCTTCTCCATCTACCCTGCTCTCCCATCAGCCTCTGATAACCACAATTCTATTCTCTAATTCTTTGAGTTTGACTTTTTCAGATCCCACGTCTAGGTGAGATCATATGGCATTTGTCTCACTAAGCATAATGTCCTATAGGTTCACTCATGTTGTCAAAAATGTCAGACTGCCCTGCTCTTTTAAGGCTCAATAGTATCTCATTGTGTGTATATTTCCCATGTTTTTAAATCCATTCATTAAATGATGATCACTTCAGTTGTTTCCCACATTGAATAATATTTCAATGGACATGGGAGTGTAGATGTAGATATCTATCTCTTCAACATACTGATTTCAATTCCTTTGGCTATACACCCAGAAGTGGGATTGCTGGATCATATAATAGCTCCATTTTCAGTTTTCTGAGACACTTCCATACTGTTTTCCAAAGTGCCTGTACTAATTTACAGTACCACCAACAGCATGTATGGGTCCACTTTTATCCACATTTTCACCGGTACTTTTTATATTATATCTTTTTGATTATAGCCAATCTAATAGTTGTGAGGTGATATCTCATTGTGGTTTTAATTTGCATTTATCTGACATTGAGCATTTTTCATGTATCTGTTGGCCATTTCTATATATTCTTGTGAGAAATGTCTACTTAGGTCTCTTGCCTGTTTTTAAATAGGGTTGTTTTATTGTTATTGAGTTGTTTGAGTTCATTGTATTAATGTATTTTGGATATTAGTCTTGTATCCAATGTATTTATTTGAAAATATTGTCTCCCAATCCATGGGTTGTCTCTTCACTTTTTTGTTTCCTTTGCTGTGCAGAAGCTTTTTATTTTGATTCATTCCATCCATTTTTGTTTTGGATGTCTATGCTTTTGGAATCTTAGCCAAGAAATCGCTGCCCTGATCAATGTCGTGAAGATTTTCCCCTGTGTTTCCTTCTAGAAGTTTTACAGTTTCATGTCTTACTTTTAAGTCTTTAATCTATTTTGAGATGATTCTTGTATAAGGGGTGAGTTAAGGGTCCATTTTCATTCTTTTGCATGTGGCTATCCAGGTTTCCCAGTACCATCTGTTGAAAATACTGTCCTTTCCCCATTGTGTGCACTGGCGCCTTTGTCAAAAATAAATTGACTATAAATATGTGGATTTATTTCTGGGCTCTCTATCCTGTTCCATTGCTTAGTATATCTGTTTTTATGTCAATACTATGCACTTGGTTTATTATAGCTTTGTAAGTATTTTGAAATCCAGTAGTGTGATGCTTCTCCTTTGGCTCAAGATTACTTTGGCTATTTCAAGACTTTTGTGATTCCTTACAAATTTTAGGATTGTTTTCTCTATTTCCGTGAAGAATAGCATTGAAATATTTATAGACATTTTGCTGAATCTATAGATTGATTTTAGCACTATGGACATTTTAACAATATTAATTATTCCAATCCATGAGTAAGGGATGTCTATTTTCTCATGTTACCTCCAATTTCTTTTATCAATGTTTTAGAGATTTCAGTATACAGATCTTTCACCTCCTTAACTAAATTTCCTTCTGTGTTATTTTTTATGTTATTGTAAATGGGATTGTGTTCTCAATTTCTAATTCAAACAGTTTATTATTACTGTGTAGAAATGATACTAATTTTCATAAGTTGGTTTTGTATCCTGCAACTTCACTGAGTTCCTTTATGAGTTCTAGGAATGTTTCTTATGTAGAGTCTTCAGGATTTTCTTTATATAAAATCATGCCATCAGCAAGCAGATTTTTCTTTCCTTTCCCATTTGGATGCCTTTCATTTCCTTCTGTTGTCTAATTGCTCTGGTTAGGACTTTCAGTACAGTTACCCATCAGTATTCACATGTCTCTGGTTCCAGGACCCCCTGTAGATACCAAAATCTGTGCATGTTCAATCCCCTTATCTAAAATGGCTCAATATTTGCATATAATTAATGCATATCCTTTCATATACATAAAATCCTGTCTAGTTTACTTATAATGCCTAATACAATGCCAACACATCACTTCATTTATGTGGGTTCAGGGTAGTACTTGGTACACAGCAAATTCAAGTTTTGCTTTTTGGAATTTTGTGGAATTTTTTGTGAGTATTTTCAATCAATGGTTGGTTGAATCCATGATATAAAACCAACAGTTATGAAGGGCTGACTGTACTATGCTGAACAGAAGTGGTGAGAGTAGCCATCCTTATATTGTTCCTGAGATCAGAGGAGAAGTCTTCGACTTTTTGCCATTCAGTATGATGTTAACTGTGAGCATGTCATATATGGTCTTTACTCTATTGAGGAATATTCCTTCTAAAACTAATTTGTTGAGTGGTATGTTTTATCATAAAGTGATGTTTAATTTTATCAAATGCTTTATCTGACTCTTTTAAGATGCTCATATGGTCTTTGTTCATTCTTTAATATAACATGAATCACATGTATTGATTTACATATATTGTACCATCCTTGCATCCCAGAGATAAATCCCACTTGATCATGGTGTTCATTCTTTTTAATGTACTGCTGAATATAGTTTGCTAATAATTTAGTTGAGGATTTTTGCCCATCTATGTTCATCAGGATATAATGAAAATAAATGTATCTGTCTGGCTTTGGTATCAGTTTAATGCTAGACTATGAAATGTGATTGGAAGTATTCCTACCTCTTCAATATTTGGAAGGGTTTGAGTAGAATATGTATTAGTTCTTCTTGAAATGTTTGGTAAAATTCAGTTGTGATGCTTCTGGTCCTGGACTTTTCTTTAATGGGAGACATTTAATTACTGATTCAGTCTCCTCACTCTTTATTGGCCTACTCAGATTTGCTATTTCTTTGTGATTCAGTCTTGGTAGGTTATATGATTTTAGGACTTTATCCATTTCTTTCAGGTTGTCTAATTAGTTTGCATATAGTTGTTCACAGTACTTTCTTATGATCCTTTGTACTTTGTGTTATCAGCTGTAATATCTCTTTTTTCATTTATGATTTTATTTATTTGAGCCTTCTCTCTTTTTTCTTAGTCTAAGAAAAAAGCTAAGATTTTTTCAATTTTGTTTATCTTTTTAAAAGCCAATTTTTTGTTTCATTAGTCTTTTAAATTGCTTTTCTAGTTTTTATTCCATTTATTTATGCTTTGATCTTTGTTGTTTCCTTCATTCTGCTAATGTTGCATTTAGTTTATCCTTGTTTTTTAGTTACTTGAGATGTAACTTTTTTTTACTTTTAGATCTTTCTTCTTTTTTAATGTAGGCATTTATTGCTATATATTTCCCTCTCAGAACTACTTTTGCTGCATCCCATAATACTCTCAAGATATTTTCAAATTTTTTCATTTTTTTAACCCTATAGTTTTTTAGGAGCACATTGTTCAATTTCCATATATTTGTTAATTTTACATAATTTTTCCTGTTATTGCTTTCTAGTTTTATATAATTATGGTTGGAAAAGATACTTCATATGATTTTGATCTTCTCAAATTTGTTAAGACTTTTTGTGGCCTAATATTTGATCTATCTTGGAAAATGTTCTGTATGCACTTGGAAAGAATGTGCATTTGTTGCTGTTGGATAGAATATTCTGAATATGTGTGTTATGTCTGTTATAGTTCAAGCAAATGCTTTTTTAGTTGATTTCTCTATTTGGGTTATCTATCTATTGTTGAAAGTAGGATACTGAAATTCCCTACAATGATTGTGTTGCAGTCTGTGTCTCTCTTCAGATCTCTTAATGAGATCTGTAGTTGCATATGCAGGTGCTTCAAAGTTGGGTGTATAGATCTTTACAATTGTTTTATCCTCTTGATGAATTGACCCTTTATCATTTTATTATGACCTTTGTTTTTATAGTTTTTGGCCTAAAGTCTGTTTTGTCTGAAATAAGTATAGATGCCCCCATTCCCCTTTGGCTTTCTTTGCATGTTCTACCTTCTCCTATTCCTTCACTTTCAGTCTATGACTTTTCCATAAGGTGAAAAGACCTAACTATATGCTATATGTAGGTAGCATATAGGTATAGTCTAACTTCTTAAGACTTATTTTGTGGCCTAACATATGATCTATCTTGGAAAATTGTTGGTATACACTTGAAAAAAATGTGTATTTTGTTGCTGTTGGATGGAATCTTCTGTATATGTGTGTTATGTCTGTTTGATGTAGTTCAAATTAATGCTTTTTAAATTGATTTTCTATTTGGATTATCTGTCTATGACTTGTCTGTAAGGTGAAAAAGACCCAATTATGTGCTATATGTAGCTAGCATATAGTTGGGTCTTTTAAAAAATTAATCTATTTAGCTACTCTATGCCTTTTGATTACAGAATTTAATCCACTTACATTTAAAACAGTTGTTGATAGATAAGAACTTACAAGTGCCATTTTGGTATTCGTTTGATGATTGTTTGCAGATCCTTTATTCCTTTCTGTACCTTTGCTTACTTTCACTGGTTTCATGGCTTTCTGTAATAATATGCTTTGGATCTTTCCTTTTTATCTTTTGTACATCTATTATAGCCTTTTTCTTGTGGTTACCCTAATGCTTACATAAAGCCTCTCATACTTTAAAACTGGCTATTTTAAGCTGATAATCACCCAACTTTGATAGCCAAGAAAAACTCTACACTTTTATTTCCTCTTCTCCTTGTTTGTGTTTGATGTCACAGTTTACATCTTTTAATAATATGCATCCATTAACCCATTATTTAAATTTTAGTTGTGTTTAACAGTTTTGCCTTTTAAACTTTTTACTGAAGATTATCATTGACTTGCCCATTGTTATGTCAGTTTTATAGTGTTTTGGATTTGACTTTTCTTTCATTAAAAAGTGCTTACTTTTACCAGTAAGTTCTATACTTTTATATGTTTTCATATCAGTAATTAGCATCCTCTTCCTTAATCTTAAAAATTTGCTCTTAGCATTTCTTCAAAGGCAGGTCTAATGCAGATGTACCAGTGATAAACTAGACCCGCCATTCTCTTCTTTTATTTGTCTGAGAAAGTATTTATCACTCCTTCCTTTTTTCTGAAAAACAGAGTTGCAATGTATAGTATTATTGGTTGACAGTTTTTTTCTCTTTCATAATTTTGAGTATATCATCTCACTTACTTCTGGCCTAGAATGTTTCTTCTGAAATATGTACTGATAATCTAATAGACGTTCTCACATATATAACAATTTGCTTTTCCTTTGCTGCTTTCAAGGCTCTCTTTTTGTTTTTAACTTGTTTCCTTTTTTAAAAATAATTTAAACATGTATTTCATATTTGGGGAGTCGGACATGTACAGATTTGTTGCATGGGTATATTGCATTATGCTGAGGTTTGGAATATGAATGATCCCATTACCGAGGTAGTGAGCATGGTACCCAATAGTTATTCAACCCTCTTTTCCCTCTCTCCCCCACCCCCACATCTAGTACTCCCCAGTGTCTGTTGTTGCCATCTTTATTTCCATGAGTACCTAATGCTCAGCTCCCACTAAAAGTGAGAACATGTGGTATTTGGTTTTCTGTTCCTTCGTTAACTTGCTTAGGATAATGGCCTAAATATGTATGCATTAGATGTTTGTTGGAGATTATTTTATTGATTATTTATTTTATTTTATTTTATTTTATTGATACATAATAATTATACATATGTATGGGACATATGATATTTTGATACATTCATACAAAGAGTAATGATCAAATCAGGGTAATTAGGATATCCATCGCCTTAAACATTGATCATTTCTTTGTGTTAGGAACAGTTCAAATCTTTTAGTTAGTTTGAAATATACATTGAATTATTGTTAACTTTAGTTACCCCCGCTGTGCTGGCAAACACTACAACTTTCTTATTCTTTCTTTGTAACTTTATGTTTGCACCCATTAACCAACCTCTCTTGATTCTCTCCTCTACCCTTCTCAGCCTCTTATAACTATCATTCTACCCTCTAACTCCATGAAATCAGCGATTTTAGCTCCCAAAATTTGTCTTTCTGTGCCTAGCTTATTTGACATCATATAATGACCTCTGGTTCCATCTATGTTGCTGCAAGTGCAAGATTTCCTTCCTTTTTACAGCTCAATAGTATTCCATTGTGTATATATACCACCTCTTCTCTTTTTTCTTTTTTTAGTTTTTTTTTATAAATTTATATATGTTTATGGGATACAAGTGCATTTTGTTACACATGTAGTGGTGAAGTCAGTGCTTTTAGGGTATATATCACACGAATAATATACATTGCATCCATTAACCAGTTTCTCATCATCTTTCCCCCTCCTACCTTGTCACCCTTCTGAGTCTCTAATTATCTATCATTCCACTCTCTACATCTGTGTGTACACCTTTTTAAATGAGAACGTGTGATATTTGTCTTCTGTGTCTGGATTTCTGCAAAAGACATAATGTCATTATTTTTATGGCCAAATAATATTCCATTGGGCTTACTGCATTTTTTAATCCATCTATCCATTGATGAAAACTTATCTTGGCTATTGTTATTAGTGCTACAATAAACACGGGGGTGCAGGTATTTCTTTTATATATTGATTTGTTGATTTGCTTTTTTTGGGAGGGGTGGTAAATACCCAGTAGTGGAATTGCCAGAACATATGGTAGTCTTATTTTTAGTTTTTATGATAAATCTTCATACTGTTTTCCATAATGGCTATACTAATTTACATTCCTACCAAGAGTGTAAGAGTTCTTTTTTCTCTGCGTCCTCACCAGCATCTGCTATTTTTTTCCTTCTGATAATAGCCATTCTAACTGAAGTGAGATAATTTCTCATTGTGGTTTTGATTTGCATTGCCTTGATGATTAGTGATGTTAAGCATTTTTTCATATACCAGTTGGACATTTGTATGTCATTTTTTTTGAGAAATTATTCATGTCCCTTGCCTGCTTTTTAATGTAATTATTTGTTGTGTTTGTTTGTTTTGTTTTGCTGTTTACTTGTTTGAGTTCTTGTATGTTCTGGATATTATTTTTGTCAGATGAATAGTTTGCAAATGTTTTCTCCCATTCTATAGGTTATCTCTTCACTCTGTTGATTGTTTCTTTTGCTGTGCAGTAGCTTTTTAGTTTAATATAGTCCTGGTGTTGGTCCATTTGCACTGGTATAAGGAATACCTGAGGCTGGGTAATTTATGTCTTTTTGGCTTATGTTTCTTCAGGCTGTACAAGAAGCATGGTGCCAGTATCTGCTTCTGGTGAGGGCTTCAGGAAGCTTCCACCCATACCAGAAGAAGAAGGGGAGCAGGCATCACACGACAAGAGAGGAGAAAAGAGAGAGGGAAGGGAGGTGCCAGACACATTTTAACAATTAGATTTTATGGGAACTAAAAGTGAGAGTTCACTGAATCCCACAAGAAGGATACCAAGCCATTAGTGTGAAGACATCCATCCCCATGACTCAAACACCTCCTATTAGGCCCTACCTACAACATTAGGGATCAAATTTCAACACAAGATTTGGAGAGGACAAATAGCCAAATTATATCACTCTGATTTGTCTGTTTTTTCTTTTGTTGCCTGTGCTTTTGAGGTCTTAGCCATAAAATAGTTGCCTAGACCAGTGTTCTGAAGTGTTCACCCTGTTTTTGTAGTGTCAGGTCTGATAGTCTTTAATATATTTTGAGTTTATTTTTGTGTATAGTGAGAGGGGTATGGTTTTTTGTTTATTATTATTATTATTATTATTATTATTATTATTATTATTATACTTTAAGTTTTAGGGTACATGTGCACAATGTGCAGGTTAGTTACATATGTACACATGTGCCATGCTGGCGTGCTGCACCCATTAACTCGTCATTTAGCATTAGGTATATCTCCTAATGCTATCCCTCCCCTCTCCCCCCACCCCACAACAGTCCCCAGACTGTGATGTTCCCCTTCCTGTGTCCATGTGTTCTCATTGTTCAATTCCCATCTATGAGTGAGAACATGCAGTGTTTGGTTTTTTGTCCCTGCAAAAGTTTACTGAGAATGATGATTTCCAATTTCATCCATGTCCCTACAAAGGACATGAACTCATCATTTTTTATGGCTGCATAGTATTCCATGGTGTATATGTGCCACATTTTCTTAATCCAGTCTATCATTGTTGGACATCTGGGTTGGTTCCAAGTCTTTGCTATTGTTAATAGTGCTGCAATAAACATACGTGTGCATGTGTCTTTATAGCAGCATGATTTATAGTCCTTTGGGTATATACCCAGTAATGGGATGGCTGGGTCAAATGGTATTTCTAGTTCTAGATCCCTGAGGAATCGCCACACTGACTTCCACAATGGTTGAACTAGTTTACAGTCCCACCAACAGTGTAAAAGTGTTCCTATTTCTCCACATCCTCTCCAGCACCTGTTTTTTCCTGACTTTTTAATGATTGCCATTCTAACTGGCGTGAGATGGTATCTCATTGTGGTTTTGATTTGCATTTCTCTGATGGCCAGTGATGATGAGCATTTTTTCATGTGTCTTTTGGCTGCATAAATGTCTTCTTTTGAGAAGTGTCTGTTCATGTCCTTTGCCCACTTTTTGATGGGGTTGTTTGTTTTTTTCTTGTAAATGTGTTTGAGTTCATTGTAGATTCTGGATATTAGCCCTTTGTCAGATGAGTAGGTTGCGAAAATTTTCTCCCATTTTGTAGATTGCCTGTTCACTCTGATGGTAGTTTCTTTTGCTGTGCAGAAGCTCTTTAGTTTAATTAGATCCCATTTGTCAATTTTGGCTTTTGTTGCCATTGCTTTTGGTGTTTTGGACATGAAGTCCTTGCCCATGCCTATGTCTTGAATGGTAATGCCTAGGTTTTCTTCTAGGGTTTTTATGGTTTTAGGTCTAACGTTTAAGTCTTTAATCTATCTTGAATTAATTTTTGTATAAGGTGTAAGGAAGGGATCCAGTTTCAGCTTTCTACATATGGCTGGCCAGTTTTCCCAGCACCATTTATTAAATAGGGAATGCTTTCCCCATTTCTTGTTTTTCTCAGGTTTGTCAAAGATCAGATAGTTGTAGATATGCAGCGTTGTTTCTGAGGGCTCTGTTCTGTTCCATTGATCTATATCTCTGTTTTGGTACCAGTACCATGCTCTTTTGGTTACTGTAGCCTTGTAGTATAGTTTGAAGTCAGGTAGCATGATGCCTCCAGCTTTGTTCTTTTGGCTTAGGATTGACTTGGTGATGCGGGCTCTTTTTTGGTTCCATATGAACTTTAAAGTAATTTTTCCAATTCTGTGAAGAAAGTCATTGGTAGCTTGATGGGGATGGCATTGAATCTATAAATTACCTTGGGCAGTACGGCCATTTTCATGATATTGATTCTTCCTACCCATGAGCATGGAATGTTCTTCCATTTGTTTGTATCCTCTTTTATTTCCTTGAGCAGTGGTTTGTAGTTCTCCTTGAAGAGGTCCTTCACATCCCTTGTAAGTTGGATTCCTAGGTATTTTATTCTCTTTGAAGCAATTGTGAATGGGAGTTCACTCATGATTTGGCTCTCTGTTTGTCTGTTGTTGGTGTATAAGAATGCTTGTGATTTTTGTACATTGATTTTGTATCCTGAGACTTTGCTGAAGTTGCTTATCTGCTTAAGGAGATTTTGGGCTGAGACGATGGGGTTTTCTAGATATACAATCATGTCATCTGCAAACAGGGACAATTTGACTTCCTCTTTTCCTAATTGAATACCCTTTATTTCCTTCTCCTGCCTAATTGCCCTGGCCAGAACTTCCAACACTATGTTGAATAGGAGTGGTGAGAGAGGGCATCCCTGTCTTGTGCCACTTTTCAAAGGGAATGCTTCCAGTTTTTGCCCATTCAGTATGATATTGGCTGTGGGTTTGTCATAGATAGCTCTTATTATTTTGAGATACGTCCCATCAATACCTAATTTATTGAGAGTTTTTAGCATGAAGCGTTGTTGAATTTTTTCAAAGGCCTTTTCTGCATCTATTGAGATAATCATGTGGTTTTTGTCTTTGGTTCTGTTTATATGCTGGATTACATTTATTGATTTGCGTATATTGAACCAGCCTTGAATCCCAGGGATGAAGCCCACTTGATCATGGTGGATAAGCTTTTTGATGTGCTACTGGATTCGCTTTGCCAGTATTTTATTGAGGATTTTTGCATCAATGTTCATCAAGGATATTGGTCTAAAATTCTCTTTTTTGGTTGTGTCTCTGCCCGGCTTTGGTATCAGGATGATGCTGGCCTCATAAAATGAGTTAAGGAGGAGTCCCTCTTTTTCTATTGATTGGAATAGTTTCAGAAGGAATGGTACCAGTTCCTCCTTGTACCTCTGGTAGAATTCGGCTGTGAATCCATCTGGTCCTGGACTCTTTTTGGTTGGTAAGCTGTTGATTATTGCCACAATTTCAGATCCTGTTATTGGTCTATTCAGAGATTCATCTTATTCCTGGTTTAGTCTTGGGAGAGTGTATGTGTCGAGGAATTTATCCGTGTCTTCTAGATTTTCTAGTTTATTTGCGTAGAGGTGTTTGTAGTATTCTCTGATGGTAGTTTGTATTTCTGTGGGATTGGTGGTGATATCCCCTTTATCATTTTTTATTGCATCTATTTGATTCTTCTCTCTTTTTTTCTTTATTAGTCTTGCTAGTGGTCTATCAATTTTGTTGATCCTTTCAAAAAACCAGCTCCTGGATTCATTAATTTTTTGAAGATTTTTTTTTTGTCTCTATTTCCTTCTGTTCTGCTCTGATTTTAGTTATTTCTTGCCTTCTGCTAGCTTTTGAATTTGTTTGTTCTTGCTTTTCTAGTCCTTTTAATTGTGATATTAGGGTGTCAATTTTGGATATTTCCTGCTTTCTCTTGTGGGCATTTAGTGCTATAAATTTCCCTCTACACACTACTTTGAATGTGTCTCAGGGATTCTGGTATGTTGTGTCTTTGTTCTCATTGGTTTCAAAGAACATCTTTATTTCTGCCTTCATTTCATTATGTACCCAGTAGTCATTCAGGAGCAGGTTGTTCAGTTTCCATGTAGTTGAGCAGTTTTGAGTGAGTTTCTTAATCCTGAGTTCTAGTTTGATTGCACTGTGGTCTGAGAGACAGTTTGTTATAATTTCTGTTCTTTTTCATTTGCTGAGGAGAGCTTTACTTCCAACTATGTGGTCAATTTTGGAATAGGTGTGGTGTGGTGCTGAAAAAAATGTATATTCTGTTGATTTGGGGTGGAGAGTTCTGTAGATGTCTATTAGGTCCGCTTGGTGCAGAGCTGAGTTCAATTCCTGAGTATCCTTGTTAACTTTCTGTCTTGTTGATCTGTCTAATGTTGACAGTGGGGTGTTAAAGTCTCCCATTATTAATGTGTGGGAGTCTAAGTCTCTTTGTAGGTCATTCAGGACTTGCTTTATGAATCTGGGTGCTCCTGTATTGGGTGCATATATATGGGATATCCAGCTCTCCTGGCACCATTATTGAAGAGGGTATCTGTTCACCAAGGTGTGTTCGTGGTGCCTTTGTAAAAATTCAGTTGGCTATAAATCCTTGAATATATATGCTGTCCAGTGCTTCAAGTGCTCTGCAGTGCTTCAATAATCACGGGGATTATTGAAATCCCCGACTATTATTTTATGGGGGTCTCTCTCTCTCTTTAGCTCTAAGAATATTTGCTTTATATATCTGGGTGCTTTGGTATTGGGTGCATATATATTTATGATTGATATATCATCTTGGTAAATTGATCCCTTGATTATTATATAATGTTCTTCTTTTTCTCTTTTTCTGTTTTTAATGTAAAGTCTCTTTTGTCTGCTATTAGTTATTCCTGCATGCTTTTGATTTCCATTTTTGTGGAATAATTTTTTAATTCCTTCACATTCAGTCTATATGTATCTTTACAGGTGGAGTAAATTTCTTTTAGGCAGCATACAGTCAGATTTTTTTAAATCCATTTAACCTGTTTACATCTTTTAATCAGAAATTTAAAACAGTTTGCATTCCAGGTTATCATTGTTAGGTGATAACTTACTCCTGTCATTTTGTTATTTGTTTTCTGATTGTTTCATATATCCGTTTTTCTTTATTCATCTTTTATTGTTTGCCTTTACAATTTTTTGGGTTTTCAAAGTGATAATGTTGGATTCCTTTTAGTTTTTTTTTCTGTATGCACTCTACTAGTAAATTTTATACTTTTTTGTTTTCATTATGGTAGATATCATCTTTTCACTTCCAAATATAGGGATTCCTTAAGCATTTCTTGTAAGGCCTGTGTAGTGGTGATGAATTCCTTCTGTTTTTGTTTGTCTGGGAAAGAATTTACTTGCCTTTCAGATTCGAATAGTAGCTTTGCTGGGTATAGTATTTTTTATTGGCAGTTTTTTGTTGTTGCTGTTTGTTTGTTTTTCTTTTGCACTTGGGATATTTCATCCTATTCTCTCCTGGCCTGTAAGCTTTCTGCTGAGAAGCTACTGTTGGTTTGATGGAGACTCCCTTATATGTGAGTTGACTTTTTCCTTACTGTTTGGAGAATTCTTTCTTTGTATTTGACTTTTGGCAGTTTGATGATAATATTCCTTGGAGGAAGCTTTTGGATTGAATCTGTTGGAAGATCTGTGAGCTTCCTGTATTTGAATGTCCATATTTATTGTAAGACTTAAGAAGCCTTCATTTAGCTCTGCTGTGGTCTTTATTATTTATTTATTATTTAAGCTATTATATTTAATAATATAAAATGGTTTTCTATTCCATTGGCTTTCTTCTCACCCTCTGGGACACTGAAGTTTTGAATATTTTGTCACTTTATAATGTTTCATGTGTTACATAGGCTTCGTTCATTCTTTTTTTACTCTTTTTTTTTTTTTTAGTTTTGTCTGGCTGGGTTATCTCAAAAGACCTGTCTTCAGGTTTATAAATTCTTCACTCTGCTTGACCTTCTCTATTGTTGAAGTTCTCAATTATGTTTTTTCATTCATTAAATATTTAGTTCCATGATTTTTTCTTTATAATGATGTTTATCTCTTTGTTGAATTTCTTATTCAGATTATGAATTTTCTAATTCATTCGTATTGTTTATCTGGGTTCTCTTGCTCTGTGTTTCTTTAGTATTACCATTTTTAATTAATTTTTAAGTATTTCATATATTTCCTTTTCTATGAAATTTGTTACTAGAGAATTATCGTGTTGCTTTGCAGGTGTCATGTTTCCTTGCTTTCTCTTATTTCTTGGGTTCTTGCATTTACTATCTGCACACCTGGTGTAACAGTCACTTTTTCTAATTTTATCAATTAGCTTTTATAGGGAAAGCCTTTTTCCTATAGTCACATGTAAGGAAATCAGATTAGCAGCAGATTTCTCAGCAGAGGGGATGTCAGCAGGGCTTCAGGGATCTATAGATGCACTAGCTGTAGGGTCTCAGGGTACAATGTATTCTCATGAGGACTTGGCTCTCAAAACCTATGTAACTATAGTATTGGTTTGGTAGGATGCTTTGGTTTTGTTTCTGGCAGGGCATAGTAGTGTGTTCTCTGTACCATTCCTTTGGCTGTAATCAGTATCATTAATGTCTTGGAGTTCCTCTGTGGTTTAAGCTGCCGTTATTAGTGGAGGCTATGGCAATGCATTGCTGTGGATGGGATGCTAGGCATGCTGGTCCTCAGGTGCCAGTGGTGGTGGCGTCAGTATGCATAACATTGGCAGTGGCAGTAGTGGTGGTGAGCCAACCCTCAGGCCCATGAGTGGTGCATGCTGGAGCCAGCAGTGGCAGTGCAGGACTGGGCAGGCCAGTCCCTGACCCCTGAGAAACACACTTGGGTGCAGACTGCAAGAAAGAAATTGGCCTTTCCTAATGCTCCTGGATGACATGCACATGCTACAGTGGGGGACAGGGTGAGCTGATCTTCAGGGTCTTGGAAGGTGTGTGTGTGTGTACCTGCAGTCGGCAGGTGGGTTGGATCAGTCCCCAGGTCCAGGATGATACATGCAAGTACTGGTTGCAGCAGCAGTGGCTTTCAGGGCGCAATATAGTCTGGTGAGGCTGGGCTCTCAAAATAGCAGAATGCTGCAGCTGCTTGGGTTTTGGGGGGTTTATGGGACAAGGATGGGCCTGTCTTTGGGTCCCTGGATGCTGTATGCAAGCACCAGTGGTGGTGGGCAGGACACAGAATCCAGAGGACATGAAAAGTTGCTGCATCTGTGGTGTGTAGAGCAGCCCTGTCCTCATGTCTCCTGATGGTGCATGGGGATGCCAGCAGTGGCAGGCAGGATGGACCAATCCCCAGGCCTCCAGATGACCTGTGTGGGTATAGGCAGCAGTGGTGATGTGCAGGACAAATCTCTCCTCAGGTCCCAGGATGACATGTGGATGGGCCCATAACCAAGGCCCTTGAAGGCACTTGCAGGTGTGTGGCAGCATTGCTCCTGTGAGGGGCAGGGTTGCTCTGCATGGCAGTGGTCCTAGGCAGGTGGCTCTCAAGCCCTGGGGAATATACACTTTGTCTCGCTTTTTTCTCATGGCAGCCTCTCTGGTGTGCTTTACCACATGTTCCCTGGGGTGTAAGGCACTGCATGGGCTAGAGTAGTGGAAACTCAGCTGCACTGCCGTGTCCAGCTAGTGTCATGATACTGCAGTCCTCGGGAAGGACATAGGGGGATGTCAGCAGAGCTTCAGTAACGTAAATGCAGGAGCTTTTAGCCCTCTGGGCACAGGATAGTCCAGTGAGGCCTGGGCTCTCAAAATAGCACAATATTGCTGCTGTTTGGGTCTTGGAGGGGTTACAGGACCCAGCGTGAACTCCTTCTTTGAATTAATCCAATCAAGTGAACTCGCAGCAGCTCCTATTCCAGTCTCAGGGCCTGTGAGAGCCAAAGGGTTCTCCTGTGTTAGGAATGTAGGAGCGGGCGGTGGGAATTTAAACCACTGGGGATCTTTTGTTCACCTTTTTCCCACAATGGGAGGTTCCTCCTGACTCTGAGCTGATCCTGAGGGGCCAGCTACTTCACTTCTCTCTCCTTCCTCGCCTCAGAAGTTCTCTGTCTCTTCCCTGCTGAATTCCACTGTTCTCTCCCAGATGCTGTATTCCACATGTGGTTACCTACTTGGTGTTTAGGTCCCTCTGTGTGGAGGAGGCAAGTGCCAGGTACCTCTAGTTTACCCATCTTGAAGTCTCCTGCACATTTAAAATGTTGATATATATTGCCAATTTTTCCCTAATGGGAAAAGCAGTGTATATTTTACTTTTTGTCAGTCTGACAAATATCTCATTAAATTGTCATTTCTTTAAATATGAACATAGTTATACATTTTTCACATGTCTAAAGGCCATTGTAAATGAGAATTTCTTATCCTCTAACTTTTTAATGAACTAGTTTATTAATTGTTATTAATTTATAAAAATCATTTGAATATTAAGAAAATTTAACTATTTGTCAGAAGTGCTCTAAACATTTAGGTAGCTTTTAACATTATCCAATTTAAATTTTACAGTGAATATTAATTTTCTAATATAGTGAATACTAGAGCTGCAACTCCGTCATAATTTGTAATCTTATTCTCTAAGTGTCTTTTCTTCTTATGGCTTTGTTTTCTTATTTCATAGAAAATAAGACATCATCTTACCACTTTGCATGCTTTTAAATTAAATTTATCTTCTGCTCTTCAGCTGGTTTTTCAGAGATCTGTGTTAACCTTGGTGACAGTGTCTGTCAACATAGGCCAGCCAGGTCACCTGCATTATATTCATCTGAATGCTTATATTCACCTGAATGCTTATTCCAGACTTACCAAATCTCTGAGAGTAGGGGTCAGGAATCTGCATTTTAACAAGCTCAGACTAAGGTTTGTGAACTACTCTAAATAATCCAGATGATTATTTAGAACAATTTTTCTTTGTTTTTAATTTCTTTTCATGAGAATTACGCTGTTTTCTTTTCTTTTCTTTTCTTTTTTTTGAGATGGAGTCTCACTTTGTTACCAGGCTGGAGTGCAGTGGCGCGATCTCAGCTCACTGCAACGTCCACCTCCCGGCTTCAAGCCATTCACCTGCCTCAGCCTCCCAAGTAGCTGGGATTACAGGTGCGTGCCACCATGCCCAGCTAATTTTTATATTTTTGGTAGAAATGGAGTTTCACCCCGTCTGCCTCTGCCTCCCAGGGTGCTGGGATGACTGTCATGAGCCACTGCGCCCAGCCCTGTTTTCTTCACATTACTTATTTTCTGTCTTTGCCATTGCATAGGATGTTAAGGTTATTTTAATTGTGAGAAACACTCTCCCTACAATGCAAAATGCCACTGGCATTTCTTTGTCTCCCTCTCACCTTTTTACCTACCTTTTACCAACAGAAACACACATATTCACGGAACATACACAAACACACACAGTACATACACACACACACATGCACACTCACACACTTCCTGGCTAGTTATCTTCTGGAAGTGGTCTTCCATACCTTTCATACATTGAATTATTTGTTGCAGGGTTGGGAAGGATTATGAATCAGAACTCTGGCTTCCCTGAAAAAAAAAAACCAGCATCTAGGAAGCTGATGATTAGCTACACAGTTTTCTCTTATATGCATTCATACCTGGCAAGCAACTGGAGGTGAGGAAGAGATGAACAGCAAGAGTCAGGATTATAGTGGGAGACATGGTCTTAGGTGCTCAAACACATCTGAATGGGTCATTGTATTGCAGTTTTATAAATCCAGTTGTTTTGAAAATTTCCCCTAGGTCCTAGCCATGGTTATTGATTGGTTTTACTTTTTAGCGAGCATGGAAGTATTCATAATTTTCTGTGTTCACTTATGCGTTTTCAGTGTAAAATTGAGACATGATACATTAGGAACTCCTATCCAGATGTTATTTTAAAACCATGAGCTGAATTGAACATGTCAGAACTAAAATGGCATACAGAGAAAGGAAATTTAGACTTATTAAACAAATACATTATCAGTAAAGTAAGTAAATAACTATTCCTGCCAATAATACATTTTAAATTGATCAAATATTTAGGATGTTTTTACTTCCTGTCAAAATATAAACTAAGTGAACATGTTTTCACTTTATCTTCATGACCTATCACTTGGGCCCATCTCCTTAGTAAATAATAAGGAGATGAAGGCAAATTCAGAAAAGCTAAGGAAAAAAGAGCTTAGTTGAAATCTACCAAAAAGAGAAATTCCTACAGTTTGTTTTTGTATGCTGTAAATCATTGATAGAAATCAATTTCCTCCCACAAAAAAGGATCTCAATTACAGGTTACATTTAAATAAGTAATGAGAAAATGTACCATAAATTTCAAGAGGTAAAATCCACAAAGATTTGAGTGTTTTAATAAAAAACTATAAGTAATGATTTTGTAATAAAAGTTATAAGATTCTGAGACATACTTGAAACTGATTATTTATGAGTGGTTAATTTGAACTATTATGGATGAATTTTTTTTTTGTTTTATCAACAATTCTTAGCAAAAAAATTTACTGACACAATCAGGGCCTTTTATTTTAATACAGAAAAAAAAATGAGTAAGATGCAGCAGTGACTTTTCCCCATTGGAAGCTATAAACCAGCAAAGCTGTAGGCCAAGTCCAATGTTGATTAGTCTGATTGATGATCCACTTCATTCCCAGTAAGACCTAGAAGAAAATGAAGAAATGGAAATGGCAAAGAAACTGGATACAATCTTTACATTCTTTCATCCATTTATCTATTCATCTATTCATCCATCTATGGTTCTAAGCAAACAAGATTGAGCAAGGATACAAAATTTCAATAAGTTACCATTTCTGGTCTCAGGTTATTTAGTAGGAAAGAGGTGAGAGGTAAGGCTATGTAGTGGAAAGACACAGAACCAAGATTAGACTTCATGCCTCACCGCTTCTACCACAATCATCACTGCTACCACCCAAGTGTCCAAGCTGCCCTGTCCCTTGTTCTACTGCAGTAGCCTTCTGCATCTCCTTCTGCCTCCACTTTCTCATCCCTGTCTTCTGTTCACCAGATAGCAACCGAAGTCATGTTTTACAGATGTAAATCAGACCAAAATCATGCAGTTTTATTCCATAACTCTTAGAGGAAAATGTCTCAGTCATGGGTTACAAGATCCTATGTGACCTAGTCCGGGTTTCTCTCTGAACCCAGATCTCAACACTCCCCTGAACTCACTTTGCTTCAGTCACACTGGCCTCCTTGCATCTCTTTGAGCTTGTCAAGCACACTTTTTTGCTTGAGGGCCATTTCACTGTCTGTATTCTCCACCAGGAATGCTCTTCCAGAAGATGGCTCTGTGGTTTGCTTTTTGACTTCATTCAGTTCTGCTCTCTTGTCATCTCATGAGCCACCTTCCGTGAGCACCCTATCAAAAAAGGCACTCCAGGCCCACTTCCTCCCCTTACATTACATTATATATTTTTTTTCCAGAACACATACCTCACATTATACTTCACATTATATTGAATGGCATTTATTGTCTGCCACTTGTCACTATATTATAAGCTCCATGATGGCAGGGACACCGTGTCTTTTTCTTTGCTGTATTTCCTGTATAGAAAATAGTACCCAGTGGCCGGGCATGGTGGCTCATGCCCATAATCCCAGCACTTTGGGAAGCTGAGGTGGCCGCATCACTTGAGGTTAGGAGTTTGAGACCAACCTGGTCAACGTGGTGAAAACCCAGATCTATTAAAACACACACACACACACACACACACACACACACACACACAATATCAGTGTGGTGGCGGGCGCTTGTAATCCTAGCTGCTCCAGAGGCTGAAGCAGGCGAATCACTTGAACCCCCAGGAGGTGGAGGCTGCAGTGAGCCAAGATCACGCCACTGCACTACAGCTAGGGTGACAGAGCAAGACTCCATCTCAAAGAAAAAAAAAAAAAGAAAAAGAAAAGAAAAGAAAAAAGAACATAGCACCTGGTTCATAGTAGAATAGTCAATAAATATATGTTGTATAAAGGAATGAAATCCACATTTTAGTCCTTAGTTCTAATTCTCACAGATATACTTTGTACTATATTTATTTATAGGATTATGGGTAAATATGCAAAGTAAGTGAAACTTATCTTTTTTAATACACTTAGTCAATGATTTGTCAATTAATGCCAAGAGCTTTGGACACCTATCTTTTATCATTATGATCCAGCCTGTTGGCTGTCTCTTTTTTAAAAATACCCTTTCTCTTTCCATCCCATTCTTTTTCTTTATAACTATCCATCTCTATTTCCAACATCAGATTATGTGGATCTACCTGTATACTGCTTCCTAATTTTTCAGGTCTATGGCTTGGACAAGTCATGCAGCATTCTTCCAAGTCATATCATGGAGTGACTCTTCCTCTAAACATGCCAGTATGGCTTTAGATCTAGACCAGAACTAGATATAAGCCAAGATTCAAGTAGGTCAATCAGAGAGTATATCTAAGAGGAATGTCCAACTGGAACATACCTCATAGATCAAGGCCAGAATTCTAAGTGGATCAATCAGAGAGTATATCTATGAGGAATGTCCAACCAGAACATACTCATAGATCTAGGCCAGAATTCTACGTAGATCAATCAGAGAGTGTATCTATGAGGTATGTCCAACCTCACATCATTCCTGGTTTAATGAACCCAGGGATCCTGGATTCATTCCGGGTTTCTGCTGAGGAATTGTTTGTGACTATGAGCAGAACTACCAACTGCTACTCCTCTCAAGAATAAAGCTTCCTTTGGCATGAGTTTCAGTGGTCATAAAGTAAGGCACTATTTCTTTAATTTTCTTTGCTTTTTTTCCTGGTATTTTGCTAAGATTTAATAACAGAAATGTGTCATGAAAGAAACTTCTATATCTTTTTTCTTACCCTACAAAAATTAACTATATTTGTTCCTCCAAAGTCATTGATTCTAAAGAAAGTTTATTACCATAATGGCCAGGCACAGTGGCTCACACCTGTAATCCCAGCACTGTGGGAGGCTAAGGCGAGTGGATTACTTGAGGTCAGGAGTTTGGGACCAGCCTGGCCAACATAATGAAACACCATCTCTACTAGCAATACAAAAGTTAGCCAGGTGTAGTGACACTCACCTGTAATCTCAATGACTTGGTAGGCTGAGGCAGGATAATTGCTTGACCTCAGGAGGTGGAGGTTGCCATGAGCCAAGATTGTGCCACTGCACTCCAGCCTGGGCAACAGAGCAAGATTCCATCTCAAAAAAAAAAAAAAAAAAAAAAAGACAGAGAGAGAGAAAAGAAATTTGATTACCATAATTTACAATTGTGACTAATCTTTCCTTTTTTCCTATTTTCCTCTCTAGAGGATTCACATTGGTCCAGATGATTTTTCCTGACATATTACGTATAGTCATTTATTTTTTCATTTTTATTACTCTAACCTTTAACCTTGTTAACACTATAGCTTACTTTTGGCAGCCAGGATTTTGATGATTTCTTGCCTCCAAAGATATCCCAACATTATAAGATCTTTATAAAGTTTCTCTAAAATGGAAAATGGCAACTCATCCTACCTTATTTTTTCAACTTCTAATTACATGGCTTACCATTCTTAGCATATAAAAAAGAACTCATGATCCCATCTAAATATTGTTAATGTGAAGTTATAATTACCTTGGAAATGCTTACGTGTGTTTTGTATCTATCATAGTCTGTCATAGTTTAGAACCAACGTTTCCTGGTGATAAAATTTTGTGTTTGTGAGCACACAATAGCTAGTAAAACATTATACATACTGAGTCCTAATACAGGCTTTTTATTTCATATTGTTTCCAGACCATTCATATTACCACCTATTAGAGCTAGAGCAGTCTGCCAAACATGGAGAGGGATAATTAAAATAGTCTTAATGAAATTATATGTTACAAACTATAGGATAAAGCAGTGTTTATGCAATAAAATGATGTCACAAAGTAAGGACTGAAAAACAACACTGTGATGATAGCAGCAAATTTTCCTTTGGCATGAGAATAGGTCAAGAATATACCATTCCTATTATGTAAACCAAAACATAATTGTACACTATACAGAAAAAAACTCATGAATAAACACTGACTTTCTGAAGAAAATATATTATTTTCAAGTGAATGCTTGTAAGCACCATTTAAAGGAAAATAGTCACATTCTTCCCAATTGCCAAGCCTTTTCCTTGTACAGTTTTAATGAACCATTTTTATTCTGGTAGTAAAATATTCACATTTCTCATTGAAATTCAAAGATTAAATTTTGTACAAAATTATACTGCAGTTTGGAAAACTAATTAAATGTTTTATTTTGTAAATGTAATGAGCTAGTTAAATCTTTGTTGCCAAAATTAAAAATGTAGGAGGATTGATGGCTAAATAAATTCTAAGAGTCATTCACATCAGTTGAGATTGATGCCATTTTGTCAACGCAGTCTACCACTAAGCAGAAGATAATTTGAGTAGAAATAAAGGTAATTTGAACTATATTTTTGAATTTGATATGACAATATCTTACATTGATTATTTGGTAGGCATTAGTTAGGATATAATTGTAGTTTATTTTAAATATCTCCTGTATAATATGTGATTACTCATTATGGAAGGCATATATGAACACATAAGAAAAACAGGCACTTGGATTTTGGAACAATAACAGCTCACTTTTTATAGAATCATTTAAGAGGCATTAACTACCCAGAATGTAACTGAGAGACCACAAATATGAAACAAGGATGACAGGAAGGTAAAATATGTATTAGATTATCCACAAAGCCTATGTATTTTACTTGTATGATTACTCCCCATTCAAAGCCTGTATACTTTTATCTTAGCATGAACTTAACAAATTTGATTAACTGGTTTTCTGTGCAGTGGTGCATCAATTCATAGTGGAGTCAGCTAGAGTTACACTGATACAGTTCCAACAGGGCAAGGAGACAGCCTCAATGTATGTGTGTATATATACATCTATATGTATGTATATGTATGCAAGAAGAAAGAAGCAGGAAATTAGAAAGCAGAGCACTCTGGAGGATAATTAATAAGTGGGTATTAAGCTTGGAAAATCTTGTTGTGATGTAGCAGAGCCCCAAATTCAATCATACAGCAAGGAAGGCTGGAAAATGTAGTCTGGTTGTGTACCTGAGAGGAAAAGGACATAGTTTGGTAACCAGTTAGTTAAACCTGCCACAAATACTGGGGTTCATGATGATTTCTGTACTACAAGTCACTGCAAACAAACCAACAAAATCTTATGTTTAGTATTTGCCACTTAAGGGCAAACATCACAGGTAGATCTCATTATATAGAAGCATATCATTTCTTTTCCTTTTTGTTTGTACTGTCCTCAAGATCAGACTTGTATCACCAATTAACTCAATATATTGAAAATCTTTTATTATATCAGCTGAAGTGCATAATGCATGAAAAAACCCAATTACTCTTTTGTTGAACTGGCAGAATGGGCAAACAGATACTGAGCTCCCCTGTTTCTGTCCACGGAGAACAATAAATATCAGCTGATAGTGCATGAGAGAAATATAGCATAAAGGGATAAAGATTAATTCCCATGGGTTTAGAAGCAACTTTGTAAGGAGGAAACTATTAGTAATTTTTCTAATGTTTTTTCCCAGCAAAGAGGCTGGTAAAACCCTGATACTTAGAGTTATCATAGCAGGTACACTCTTAGGAACTAGAATGAGTAGTCTCTAGATAAGAATAAAACTAGTTTTAATTCTTTAGAAAGATTTAGGTATCTTTCCTATCTCCTTTCCCATATCCATCCTCAACGGGAAGACTTGTGAAGTGAAGAAGTGGTCTGCCTATGTGTGGCTGCAGTAAAGTAGACAGAAGTGTTTCTTTTGTGGGAACAACAGGAATGAAGAGACTGCAGGAATGTAGGGAGTTTGCAGAGTCCAGGAGGATGAATTGGAGGAGATCTATAAGTTCTGAGCAGAGCAGCCAGAGAAGGAGGAAGAAACAACTCGAATTGAAGAACAAATGGGTTAAGCAAATGAACTGAAGGTCTTGTCTGAAAAACTGACCAGAATGCGGCCTACTGCTGGCTTTTACCTGCTTTCCAAAGTGTAGAGGCTACTGCATTGCAAGGGACAGGGATTGGGAAACTTTTTTTTTTTTTTAATGGCATGGCATAAATTCAACATTCACCCAGACTTACCACCAAAATATTTAAAAACATGAGTAGAGAGACAGGAAAAAGCTCAAGGTTTTAATTGGAAACATAGTTACATAATTTTGCGGACATGCACACATCTTAAATAGTATCCCATTTAAGTAAGAAAAATGTCTTGTTTTATGTTTCTTTTGACATAAATTCCTCTCTCCCACTAAATACCACTATCGGCAGATCATTTCATTATTAAGTTGTTCACTTAAAGCACAAAGTACAGCTAAATTCATCTCCTCCAGGAGACCACAACATCCTGTACCTGTCGAAAATCAAGGCACTTGCCATATTGTATTGAATTGAAAGTTAACATATCACCCTTTCTTCCTAAGCTCCATCTACTTCAGATCAATGTGTTTATATTTATATTTCCAATGCCTCACATGCAACCTGGGGCAAGAGACACACCCAGTAAACATTTTTTGGTAGTAAATGAAACTGAGTTGCTTTTTTCTTTAGCATTCTCTTCATGTACAAATGCTCTTGGAAGAAATAACACATTAATTCAGGCTCATTCCTAACATTTGCAGAGGCAAGAGCATAGATGAAGATCCACATACCATAGACCTAAATAGTTATAATTTATAAATCTAACTAATAAACTGTTAAATAAAACATATCCTAACTTCCTACCAAAGGAAAAAAAAACCTTCATATCAACATGATAAAAGTTGTACGTAATAGCAGTTATATTTTAAGATGCTAAAAGCTGGAAAAATGCAAAAGTTAAAATGTAATTATCAATATGCATATTTGAGTGTTGTGCTTAGATTGGTAATATTTTTGTTTTTAAATAAATGTATGCATAAATCAGTATATTTTTTCAGAAAATATACTTTCTCACCTTTATTTTAGCAAAATCACTAATTTGTTCTTATAATAAAAATTTTCAAATATTTTGCATTTGGCTTAATGTGGTGCCAAACAAACAATACCTTTCCTAAGTCACATGATATCTGCTTGCTTTCATTATTTTCTGTTTTTAAAATTTAGGCACACCTGGCCGGGCACGGTGGCTCACGCTTGTAATCCCAGTACTTTGGGAGGCCGAGGCGGGGGGATCACGAGGTCAGGAGATCCAGACCATGGTGAAACCCCGTCTCTACTAAAAATACAAAAAATTAGCCGGGCGTGGTAGCGGGCGCCTGTAAGTCCCAGCTATTCGGAGAGGCTGAGGCAGGAGAATGGTGTCAACCCGGGAGGCGGAGCTTGTAGTAAGCCGAGATCACACCACTGCACTCCAGCCTGGGCGACAAAGCGAGACTCCATCTCAAAAAAAAAAAAACAATTTAGGCACAGCTTCACTTTGAAATGTTTTCTCTCTTTTTGCTTTTCAGCCTTTACTTTTTCTACTCATATATTTTCTTTTTCTACCTAATCAGAGTTTACACAGCTTGTTAATATTTAAAGGATTAAAAAATAAAAGGTTGCCGTATTCCAAACACACATTTGAGTCTATAGTTTATACAAAGGTTCAATTTAAACTTTCAAATACAAAAATTAAAACAAAATTATCTCTATATGTGTTCTCAGATACAGTTTATATATAGTTTTCAGAAGGTTTTTTCTAAAGTACCCAAAATATTTATTTAAATGAAAACAAAATACAAATTATTAATATTAGATATAAATTTCTAAGGTAAATCATTTGAATACAGCTAAAATTTAGTTAAACCTCATGTATCTAGATTTTAAAAATAAAAACTATTGACCATTTTAACATTAAATGGCCATCTAGTTGGCAAAGAAGTATCAGGCTTCATGTATATTAACATAGAAATTTACATGCACAAATTTAAACATAATATGAATTATTTAATACTTAACATAGTTCTCAGCCATTATGTACACCTGTTTTGATTAATGGTACTGCAGTGATTTATGAGTATCTTCAGACACATACAGTTGAACCAAAGGAAAGTAAGCAAGTGGGTGCTTGTTAATGATGCTTTATTATGCAATAATCTGCTGCATTTCTGCTATCCAAAGGAAGAATTTGGCAAGTTAATTAGTTTGCCCCTTCTCTTACCTCAGTGCTTCCAGAGCACAAATTTCTCCCCACACTCCAAAGCAGTATCTTTCTGTTGTCAGCAATGGTACAACCCGCAAACCTTGGTAGCATTTGGACATTGTCACCTTTTGATTCTAGGACACAGGAGGAAAAATGTTCCAAAATGTTTCTCTGGGTCTTAGAGGGTGTTAATCATAAGAGTAGGTGGTGTTACTCACAAGAGGAAATATTTAGTATTCTGGCTTGTTCTGTGCCAGCACCAAGTGTAAGATCCCAAGTGATAGAGGAGCCCAAGAGCTATTTAATGATGAGTCTATATTTGTGATAAGTTGAACCTTCTAAATTCATCAGTCCCCGAGCGAAGGTCTCCATGATCTGGGTTTCAGGGTAGTATTGTGTGAAATTTCTACCTGAGTTTATCAAGTAAATGTTTTCTCTTAAAGAGCACAGGGATATTAGACATCTGAAGAAAGACGTTAGGGGAGAGCTTACACTGAATGGTGAAAACAGTGAAATGAATTTGGAGGAACCTAAAGCAAAATATCATCTTGACTAAAATCTTGTTTGGGAGTTTGGCCTAGAAGTATTAGTTTATTACTCTTGTTTCTATGTGAGTACATGTCTTTATGTTCCCCTCCCTCCCTTCCTGCCTCTCTCCCTCACTCTCTCCTCTCTCTCTCTTTCTGTCTGCTCTACAACTTGTCTTGAATTAATCATTGTTCAGATAATTTGGAAATGTTTGACCTGGGGTTGAGTTCTCTCTTATGTTCACGATTGGGATTTTAGTCCCTCTATATTCCGGTTTTGAAAAGCAGGGATGCCTTTAATTTGTTTATAACAACCTAATTCTTCAAATAGTGTTTTAAGAATTTAGCTTGGAATGTAAAGTATAGGATGTTTCTGCTATAAATCAAAGTCCTTAGGAGACTCACAGACCTCAAGCAGAATTTCTCAGAGGGCACATTCAACCTGGATATAGCTAGGTATATTTTAGGTTTCATTATGTTTACAGTTGTAGTGAAAACTGGCCAAATATTATTAAGGAGGGAAAAATAGCATAGATAAACATTCTCAGTAACATTATTATTTGTCTCTATTCCCCAGCCCTGTATGTCCAGGTCACAATAGCTTAACAACTGTGATAAGCTATATTTTTTGAGCAAGAGAGAAAAAAATGCCACATATTAGGAAATCCTGCTAAGAATGTATCAAAAAAGCCAAGGGGTGCAAGATAACTTTAGGTAAACCTACAGAATGAAGAAGAAATCATGTGCCTCATAAGTTAGAGATATTTTCTCTCCTTTTCAACTATTTTAATGCTTTAGGGGGTAAATAACTAGGCCAGAAATGTGATCTACTCACTTCATATCTCCAATATTGATTAATCAATGATTATAGCTCCTGACTCATGTTTTATGCATGCTTAGAACAACATGGCACATGTATACATACGTAACAAACCTGCACGTTGTGCACATGTACCCTAAAACTTAAAGAATAATTTTAAAAAAAGAATTTTAATTCTCTCTGTCACTTTGCATCAAGCTAAAAGCAGTAAAAATATGAAAATTTGCAGATAAACAGAAATTTTAGTATGTTATTACTCTGTAACTACATCTGACTTTTCACATTTTTCAGTAAGCTGGATTAGAACATTGAAGTTATTTTGCATTACTGCTTGACCTATTCTATGTGGGACTTATAATTATTTCTGCATTTTATAAAATTTTAGGTCAGCTTTTAGCAATTCATTATACCTTTACATCTAATATACTATTTTCTTCCTTTTAGAAATTCTATTAATAAAAATAGATTGGAACATAGCAGCATTGTTGGCAAACCAAGCTTTATTAAATATTTAATTTTATCTGTTATAGAACATGAAAATCAGCGGTTATGCAAGAGCACCGATTATATGAATTTGCATTTCAAAGTTAAATGGTTTTATAATGAATATGTGCGTGAACTTCCTGCCTTCAAGGATGCTGTTCCTGAATACTCCTTGTAAGTAGTGATTTTAACACACACACCCTCAGATCTAAATTCACATTCCTGTAAAATTACACCTGAATTGTGTACCACTAAAATCTCTTCACATAATCTTCATTGGAATGCAGAAATTTCCATTATGAAGTTAACATTAAAGGATTTGCATGTCTTTGGGAACCATATTTAATTGAATTGTGTTGCATATTTCAAATACGCCCTACCTGGATATTCAACTCAAAGACAAAAAATGCATAATAAGACATGGCTCATGTGATAACATGAATGATTTTCTGTAAAAATACCAGAACACAGATTTTTTTGGGGAAAGTATGGTGCTTGTATATTGACCTATATATTCAGATTTTCCTTTCTATTCAAACTTGTAACTCTCTTAGGAATTCATATTTCTAAAAATAGAAATAGTGGTTTAACAGGGAACTTTCTCATAAATATGCCTCTTTCAAACACATTTTAATCACACAAGGACTCATGTAATAATTTGCATTTGATATGTATTAGAATTCTGTTTTATTCTATTGATGGGGTCTTCCCTATGGCAGGCACTTTCCAAGTGCTGTAGAGCAATAGAAAATAAAGACCCCCACCCTGAAAGGAACTTATACTCTAGGAGATGCTGATAAGCTTAAATATCATTATAAAGCAAGGCAAAGTGAAATATGTGCTAATTTAAGGAGCATAAGCAAAGCGCAATAGGGTTTCACAGAAGAGAGAAATTACCTCTATTTGGGGAACTCCACACAATATTTATAGATGGGATAGCATTTGATGTAGACTTTATAAAATTTGCCAGGTTACAGAAAGAAAAGGGAGAAAAAGCATTAAGATGAAAATGAAAGTTATGAGCATAATTATGGAGGTAAGAATATATGAGCTATCATCCATAGGAAGTAAGGCATATTTCCATTTTTATAAAATTAATAGAAAGTAATATTTTAAAAAAATAATGTAGGAAAAGTAGTTTTGAGCTAGATTGTTATAAATAAATATTGTGAAGCTTGTACCACATTCATCAGGCATTGTGGGAGTTGGAAGAGACAAGGAATGGGGGGCAGAGAAGAGATTTAGAAGGTAATGAGTGATTTAGAGATGAAATTAGAACAGCCCTTTAACACAACTTTTCTCATACAAAGTATATAAGAAGTAAGGGGACAGTGGGATAACTTAAAAATGCCGTACTATGGGGTATAGGGTGTTGGGGAGATTTTGGTCAAAAGATACAACATTTTAGTTAAGTAGGAGGAATGAGTTCAAGAGATCTATTATACAACATGGTGACTGTAATTAGTGTATCATACTCTGAAAAGTTGCTAAGAGAACATATTTTACATGTTCTCACCATAAAAATGATAAGTATGTGAAGTAATGCATTTGTTAATTATTTTAGTTTAGCCATTCCACAATATATACATATTTCAAAACAACATGTTATACTTGGTAAATACATACAACTTCTTTTGTCAAATAAAACATACTTAAAATAAATACAATAAAATTATAGTCTTTATGTTAAATAAAGGCCATACTGAAAATATAGAGTGATTGCAGCAAGTATGTAAAGGGTGAAGATGTGGGAGAGAAATTTTGAAGATAGAATTTACAGAATTTGTCAACTAAAGACATATGGGGTTAAAAGAAAGAGGAAAGGTGAAGATTCCTTAAAGAACTAAAAGTAGATCTACCATTTAATCCAGCAATCCCACTTCTGGGTATCTACCCAAAGGAAAAGAAGTCATATACAAAAAAGATCTTTGCACATGCATGTTTATAGCAGCACAATTCACAATTTCAAAAATGTGGAACCAGCCCAAATGCCCATCAATCAACAAGTGGATAAAGAAATTGTGGTGTGTGTGTGTATATATATATATATGTACACCATGGAATACTACTCAGCCATAAAAAGGAATGAAATAATGACATTCACAGCAACCTGGATGGAACTGGAGACCATTATTCTAAGTGAAGTAACTCAGGAATGGAAAACCAAACATTATATGTTTTCACTCATAAGTGGGAGCTGAGCTATGAAGAAGCAAAGAGGCATGAGAATGATACAATGGACTTTGAGGACTTGAGGGAAAGGGAAGTTGGGGGGGAAGGATAAAAGACTACACATTGGGTACAGTAAACACTGCTTAGATAATGGGTGCACCAAAATCTCAGAAATCACCACTAAAGAACTTATTCATGTAACCAAACACCACGTGTTCCCCTCAAAACCTATTGAAATGAAAAAAATTTAAAAATAGAAAAATAAACAAGAAAGAGGAAAGAGTTAAATATGAAGTCTGTATGCCTAAGTTGTTGGTAGTATCATTGATCAGGAATAGAGAAGTAAAACAGAGGAGCTATTTGCCAGATGCTTCTGCTTCTGGCTCTGTCTAGACACTCTACGCTAAACTAAAATCAGACTAATATTTTCCCTGATGGCCAACAAAAAAGGTAAATAAAATTAAACAGCATCAGAAAGACAACAAAGGCAACCAGGACTTGAGAATCTAAGATCCCTGAGAAAAGAAAAATGCACTAAGGTGAGTCCTGTATTTTGTTGCATCTTCTCTCCCATGTTTTCACCCCCATACATCTGCCAATTTGCAATACGGGGCTTGCAGAGCAAACAGCCAACAGTAGCTCAGAGTTTACAGCTGTCTCCCTGGACTGGAGAAACAATATGGGTTATGGGGCTATGAAGGCTGCTTGGATTTGTGAGACCAAGATCCCAGAGAAAAGGAAACCACAGAGATATGAGTCCAACATGCTACAGGCAGTTCCCACTGAAGGCATTTTCTGATGCCTAATTTACCTATGTGTTGAGATTGGGGCAGAAGAAAATCAAGTAGAAAGTGGCCACTAAGAGATTGGGAACTAAGTAGATACTTTAGCAGTCTCATAGTGCTGAAGGGACAAATGTTAGAGATCAAGGCTGGTCCCCTTTGTGCCTACTTACAGTAACAGTCTCTCCTTCTGTTGCAGCAGTAACCACCTTCTGATGCCTAATAGCATAGATTAGTTTTATAGATTTTTATACTTTTTATAAATGGAATCATACATTGTGTACAAAAAATAAGAAAGAAGGAACATTATAAACACTCTAGGCTTTCAGGTGAGATTTTTGAAGGTCTCTGCCCTAGAAATAATGACAAAGTGGAAATAGACCAACCTAAAACCCAACACTGTCTAGATCAAAGGTCCACAGCTTTTCATGGACAATATATAACATTCATCAAAAAATTAAAGGCTACCAGACAACAGGACTAAATAACTATCTGGAGATTATGCTTCTTCAGCAATGAATTGAAAAACCAGACCCCAACAAACAGTAAGAACAAAGAAGTTTGAAAAATCTGAATAAAACATTTAGAGATATCTATCTATATAGGTATCTACATTTCTATATCTATATCTGATCATCCAGAGTTTCCATAATTTTTCATTGACAATGCTTACACACAAAAACACCCATATAAAATTTATAAACAAAAACAATAAAATACATATTGTTATTAGGAACACATGGTACATTTACCAAAATAGACTGCCTCCTGAGCCATAAAACAAAACTAATACATGTTAAGGGGAGAAATCATGTATTATATATTCTTGACACTGTAGAATTAAGACACAAATCAACTCCAAGAAGATAATTAGATAATTAAATACAGAAAAGCAGCAGAATATTCTAAATACTCATGAGTAAAAAAAGAAATCATGGTAAAAATTACAAAATATTTTGAATTAAGTGCTAATAAAATATGGCATATCCAATTTTGTAGAATGCAGCTAAAACAGGAAGTAGATGAAAATTCAAAATGTTTTTGAAGTAGAATTTTAAAAGTAAGTGTGGTCTATTTAAAACTTTATTAAATTTCTGTATTATAGCCACAAACAATTAGAAAATCATATATAAATTGTACCATTTAAATAACATTAAAATCACCACAAATAAATGTGATGAACGGCGTACAAGCCATGTTTTCAAGCAACTATAAAATATTATGAGAGAAATTTAAGATGAACTAAATGAAATCTGTAACATTCCTAAAAAGATGCATTATTATAAAGATAGCAATTCCCCCCACATGGACCTACAGTTTCAATACAACCCTATGCAAATTTCAAAAGATATTTTTGTGCAAATTGACAAGACTTTTAAAATGCATGTAGAAATGCAAAGTGCTTAAAAATACAAAGGCAATCTACAAACTGGAGAACTACATTATTGGTTAGCTAATAAAGTAGAGTTCTTAAGAGAGTGTCATGTTAATGCATTTCTCAGTCCTTTCTCACACTGCTATAAAGAAATACCTGAGTCTAGGTAAAAAATAAATAGGTTTAATTGGCTCACAGTTCTGCAGGCTGTACAAGAAGCATAGTGGCTTCTGCTTCTGGGAAGTCCCCAGGAAGCTTTCAATCATGGCAAAAGGCAAAGAGAGAATGGGGCATCTCACATGGGGGGAGCAGGAGCAAGAGAGAGTGAGGTGGGATGTGCTGCACAGTTTTAAATAACCAGATCTCATGAGAACTCAAACACTATCACAAGAACAGCACCAAGGGGATAGTTCTAAACTATTCATAAAAACTCCACCTGCATGATCAAAGCACCTCCTACCAGGCCCCACCTCCAACATTGAGGACTACAGTTTGACATGAGTTTTGGTGGGGACACAGATCCAAACCATATCAGTGCATAACAAATAAACCAAGGGAATAAAATAGTCCAGAGGCCAATTCACATGTATGGCATGATGACCTGATTTGCATCAAAGATGCAAATTCAATGCGGTGGGGGAATAAAGGGTGTTCTAAATAAATGGTGCTAGATCAACTGGGCACACATACAGAAAAAAGAATTTATGCTCAGAATGGAGAAAAAAATATCCTACACAATTTCCAAAAATCAGTTGTCCATAGATTATAGATCATAACTAAGGAGTCTGAGGTAAGCACCCACGATCGGTTACAGATTAGTGTGAATGGGTAGAAGCTATATGGCAAAGAATTTAAAAATGAGGAAATGCGTTGATAGGGAAGAGAGCACACAAGGTCTACATTTTACAAGAGTTTGAATTTTGAAGGGAATTACAGAGTAACTGTTGGAAACTAAGCATATTTGAGGCAGCATGCGAAGAACCAAGACGGGGGTAGAGGTTGGAGGTAAAGAGGAGGAGACTGATTTGATGGAGAACAGGTAAAGGTCTCTGAGGAAGCAAAACTGCAAGAGAGAATGAAAGGAGATTGTTGATTCTAAATTACTCTCATATGCAAAAAGAGCAGCATTCCTGTTAATTTTATGCAAATGATGTCCTTTGTGGTATGTAACATTATTAATTTGTTATAGGTGGTTTGAACCTTTTGTCATGCAATGGCTAGATGAAAACGAAGATGTGTCAATGGAATTCCTTCATGGAGCACTGGGAAGAGACAAAAAAGATGGAGTGAGTTTAAATTACCTTAAGAAAGTTCATTGCCATGATTCAGTCACATTGCTTACTTTTAACCTAATGGGAATTATTAGACTCATTGTTATTAATTGTTTCCATTCCCCAGTGACCAAAATTAATTTAAAACACAATTTCAGTGGTCTGGTCAGAACCCTAGAAACTTGCCTACATTTATTAAAAAAAAAAAAAATCAATCACCCATTTTTCCCAAGATTTTCTTTAATTCTTACATTAATCTGAATCTACAGGTTTCCTAACCTTGTACAAAACATCTTTGTTGTCCTGGAACTTTTCCAGGATTTCTAGATTAGGAGCAGACATTCTCCCAGTCCCTGTGAAGCAGCTCCCAAAATCGTGAGCCACAACCGTCTTGCTAAGCTAACCTATTGCCTGTGGAGAAAATGAAAGACAAAAGAACCAGTACCTCAATTCAGCAGTGGAAAAACCAATTAGCAGTAGCTTGCCCCATGATATTAGTTCCACCACACTTTCAAGAAAAGGAGATTAATGATTTTAAAGTGGGTAAGCATTTTATTACTGGGAAATGTAAATATGTGATACGGGAGATTCAGTTGTTGATGGGAAACAGTGAAGATTTTTCCATTCCGCCTCTAATGTACTGTTTGGGATGGTTTCACCTCCTCTCCCCACAGTTCCAGCAGACATCTGAGCATGCTCTCTTTTCTTGCTCCGTGGTTGATGTCTTTGCTCAGCTGAATCAGAGCTTTGAAATTATTAAGAAACTGGAATGCCCTAATCCTGAAGCATTATCTCACTTAATGAGAAGATTTGCAAAGGTAGGTTAAATAAAATGAGTCTTCTTTTTCTCTGGGTCTGTGGCAATCTGAAAAATGCTATTGTTTTGTGGTGTTAGTCTTCTCTGTCACCCCATCCCAGTTTATTTGTAATTCTGTACTAGTAAATTCAGTTGTTTCCAGGATTCCCATCTGATTTCCTACACTTCCTGTTTCTTTAATATGGATTTATCATCTTAAAAACCTATTTATTGTTCACTTCGAGGACTCAGTTACTTATAATCGAAGAAATTACCATGGATTTCCAAATTACTCCCATTTCAAATGTGGTGTTTTCTAGCTGAAAGTAAGCCTTGGCAATTTCACATTCAAATTGCCAAGTGTTTTAGCAGACATTGTAGTATAGTGCAATGTATATTGAACTTGGAGCCATGAAAACTGATTTCTGATTACAAATCAACCAATAATTGTAATTGAATCTCAATAGTTCAAGTTTTTTATGAATTTAGTTTTCATATTTGACATATTGATTTTGATAAACCAAGTTCATCTTAAGGCCCCTTCTCCTCTTAAAATCTAAAATGGCTTACCATGTGCTTACTACTTTCCCAAGAGTTTCAAGGGAAATATAAGAAATAAAAGAAGCAGCCACTGTCTATCAAATCTCAGAAAAAATCCATATAATATGCAAGACCACATGACATAAACTAATTGAAAGATGACGTGAAAAGGGACACAATTCAGCTTCAAGCTTAGTGAGATCAACCGTAAATTGAGTGGAGGGAAATCTGATGAGAGCCGAAATAGACAGAGGCTTCATGACAAGGGCAGGGCTCATAGAAGACTAAAACGGAGAAGTTAGAAAAGTATTCTAAGCCAGAGGAATAGCGGGAACAAAGGAAGAGGTAAAGCTGAGACTGACATGGGAAGGGCAGGGAGAAACAACCCTTGTGGGGAGAAGCAGTAGGAAATGTTGGGAGAGTGAAGATACCCCAGATCTTGAAGAACTTTGCTTCCCAGGTTGAGAAGTTTAGACTTAATGTGCTGGTCAACTTAGGAAACGCAGAACCTTTGGAGATTTTTATGCAGGGTAGTGACATAACAAACATAGTAATTTAGGGAAACTACTTACACAGTTCTATGTCTGGCTGATCTAAATATAAGTCTGATTCCATGGATTGAATGATGACTGAGGTTTTAGGCTGTTCATTCAACAAGTGCTTGCCTATATGCCTCACTCGCACACACTATAAGCCACCTTGAGGGATGTAGTCATGAATAAGCATAATCTGTGACCTCAGAAAACTTGTATGGAAGGGCCAAAGCTGCAAACAACTATGACAAAGTCAAATGTTATAATCAGAGCATCTCAGAAGTTGAAAGAGGCCCAGAATATAGATAAAGAAGCAGAGACAGACAGAGAGACACTAAACTGTATTATATTTATTTGCCATGAAATATTCTGATCTCATCTTCATTAATTAAGACTAACCTCCTACTTTTAAAATATTAAATAATAGCCAGTAATCATTTATTTAAACCATTCTTAGAGATGACTTTCTGAGTCCCCTTAGATGATTCTAATTTCCCAATATAGCGAAATCTGTAGAGCATAATTCTAAAAATTCTCTAAGTCTTTTCTTGATGAGCAGCTGTGTTTGGGTGAATGCCAAGAAAAGAATGAAACTGGGTCATTAGGAATAGTGTTTGACAAAGTATGTCACGTACTATTCTTGGAATTCTGTAGGATGTAGGGGAAGCAGGCTCATATGAGAATTTAAAAATCTCAGGGTTAATATATTTAGGTTAATATATTTAGTAACATATGATAATTGTACCTGATATTAGAAAAGTAACTAGAATTCACCCTCAGAATAGTCAGGCAGGTAGGTTATGTAAGTTGGGCGACATGAGTGCACGGTAACAGAGTAGAAAGAATGCTGAATTGAGATTCCTAGACCCTGAGCTGCAGCCACCCGTTTGTAGCTCTGACCTTTCTTCAGCTGTAATACTGAACATAGCCACAATATGCCTGCTTGGGTATAACCAAATGTACTGAATGGAAGTATAAAAGGGTGGGAGGTCACAAGGAAGGTCATATTAGAATCACACTCAGGAAAATACATTCTCTGAAGCAAGAAGAAAAGAATCAGCTTCCATGTATTACTGAGGAGATGTGTGCTTTTATTGGTGCAATAAAAAATTCAATTAAGTAAAACATTTTTAATCCATGGAAATTCAACAATATCCAATTGTCAGCAGGATATAGTGTAAGAACAATGAGAAGCATTTTCTGGAAAAGAAGAAATTAGTGATTTTCATTGAAAAAGAAATTCTATTTTATTGGAATGATTTAAAAATCTCTTGCCAGCATTTCTCTTTTTAACTCTTGCAGTAACTTACTATACAGAATAATAAATAAAAAGCAAAATCAATTAAACATAAATATAAAAATAAGAAACATCAGTCAAATCCATTTTACCATTATCAGCCTTTCCTTTTTTTTTTTTTTCTTTTTGAGACAGAGTCTCACTCTGTCACTGGAGTGCAGTGGCACAATCTCCGCTCACTGCAACCTTCACCTCCCGGGTTCAAGTGATTCTCCTGCCTCAGCCTCCCAAGAGTAGCTGGGATTACAGGTGTTCACCACCATACCCGGCTAATTTTTTGCATTTTTAGTAGAGACAGGGTTTCTCCATGTTGGCCAGGCTGGTCCCAAACTCATTATCAGCATTTCTATCTATAATTTGTATTTTATATAACAAAGTAGATAAAAATCGTTTGTGTTTACTATAATTAGCCATTTCACAAGAACTGCAAACTATTGCAATTTGTTTTTATTTCATCAGATGTGACTGACTAATTAGTCTTGAAAACTCTACGCTTCTAAGTATTGGAATCCTTATATCAAAATATACTAAAATCCCATTATCTTTATGGGATTTATATTGATTTAAACAGTCTCCTGGAGATCAGACACATTAATTGTATCTGTAGAGATTTAAAAATTTTTGCATTTTAAAATGGGATTTAAAGGGACAATTTATTCTTACTAAACAGGATATAAGACTAAAAAAGGTACCAAACAAAATGCTTCAAATTTCATATCAAGAACATTCAGAAGCTATGATGAGTGATAAAATGGGCACATGAGTAGTTAATATTCCTATGATTATAGTGCTGCTCTTGACAAGTATGGGTAATTTAATTTTAAAAATAGATATGAAGTAATGTTATTTTTAATATTGCCTAAAAACAAATAAACAAATATTAAGTCCTGGGTATGAGTCTGGCTGTTTGCCAGGTGCTGCAGATACTGTGGTAAATGACGCACACATATTTATTTCTATTCCTTGTTCTCTGGGAACATAATTCTAATTTTTAACAATAATAATGATAATTCATTGAGCATTATTATATGCTAATCACTTTATACATTTTCTTATTCTTCACAACCATCTAATTAAATGGGTACTATTATTTTCCCTAATTTCCATCCATGATGAAACAGACTAAAAACGTTTAAATAATTGAAATGATATAGATAGAATCAACCACTAAACTATACTCACTTCTCATTCTGGTGTGATCAGAATTAAGTTAGAAATTTGGAGAATAGAATCTCACTATTTGTTTTTTACCCTTAAGGTCAAACCTAGGCATTTATGGTGACAGAAATGGGAGACCCTATCTTATGTTGGATGTGTTAAAATACATTACATAAATCCGTGAAGTCACATTTCTTCACAATATGACAGTTTTCTTGTCTTCCTTGTGTTGCTCTAATACTGCATTGTTCCATGCATAAAATGTGAATGAAAAGATGGATTTTGAACCACACTTCTTATCTCACTGATCATAAGAGCAGTACACTAGATGGAATAACTGGAAGTGTTGACAGGATATTTAGCCCACTCCTAACAGGGTGGCATTAGCTCAGAAAAACACAATGCCTTTGTCTGAGTAATTGATGGCCGTCCCACTCAATGCTCCACCAGTACCTGTGTGTCAAATCAGAACTGATTGTAGCTGAAAGATATTTCAGTCACCCTGTCTAATCCTTTAAATGCAGCAGAATCACTCTCTGTACTGCCACACTCCTATTAGAATTTCATTTTATTTAATCTGGAACTTTTTGAATAGCAGCTCTTTATAGGCATCCGTAAAAGAGCCCTCTACTCCTCATGACTATTTCTTTAGAACAAGATGCAACAGTCCCTGCTAGGCTGTTTGTTCCCTCTGTCTGCACTATACTCTCTTCTGAAGACCAGTAGTTCCCCAAAGATAAAATCATGACCTAAGCTCACACACCCAGAAGTCTTATGTTCCAGGCCTTGCCAGGTGCCCCGTCCATCACAGCTTTTCTCTGAAGAGTTACCTCCACCCTGCCATGCATTCGTTAAGATAGTGGTTCTCAAACTTTGTATGCATTGGAATTACCTTAGACTTGTTAAAACCCAGACAGCTGGAGCCCACCTCTGGCATTTCTGACTCAGTAATTTAGGATAGGACCAAATAATGTGCATGTCCAACAAGTTCCCAGGTGATGCTTATAATGGTGCTGATTCCAGAACTACATTCCGAGAAACAATGAGTTAAGCATGTCATAAGCAACAGCTTATTAGTATTAAAGAGCTATTGTGTGATAGTGGTTTACTTAGCTGAATAAATTAGAATGAAATTGAAGTTGCCCACAAAATGTACTTTGCACACTCTCATTCAAGTGTACATTGTACATTAGTAAAGATGGGAGTTATTACGGCAGTGTGCTTGCAACTCTTATAGGCACACAGCTTTAAGCTATATTCTTTTTTTTTTTTTTTTTTGAGACAATCTCGCTCTGTCGCCCAGGCTGGATATATTCTATATGACTGTGCACTTTGTCTTACCTGCAGCCCATCCTGACTTGCTAACCATTGGCATTTGTAGGCTATTACGTGTGAGATCCCAGGATTCCTTGTCTCTAAGCATAAATTCAAGGGACTAAGGTTTTCCTATGAAGTAGACTCAAGCTGTAGGCCATAGGGCATACTTCAAGAATTATCGTAAAGGGTATCCAGCTTGCTCTTTCTTCTTTAGAAAACGATAACAAAGGCAAAAAACAAAATCTATGCTGTTCAGCAAGTCACCCGGCAGCTGTAGGATGTAGGGGAAGCAGAATCATAAGAATTAAAAAATCTCACATGGCAGTAAGTTGTAGAGGATTTTCACACAGCCCAAACTTTACCTTAAGCAAGTTACAATGTCTGAGTTACAACGATTGCCTAAAGTCAGGTTTATGGTTTGTGTTTATATGTTGTTGTGTATGCAATACAATATAATAATTCTTCAAGTTTATAATGTCATCAAGAAGCTGTAGATTGAGAGTAGTATTCATACGTACAAACGAATAAGTATTTCATAGGTAAGTCCAAAGTAATTGAACAGTATGTCTAAAGTAAAATTTGAAGAGACACATTTGAAGATAATTCAGTCTGATCAGTCATCTGTTTACCAGGATTTATTGGTCTGCTGCTTGATAAGATTTTATATTTTCAAGGTCAACTTTCTATTTGAGCTGATGCATATTATCACGTTACTGTGTACTTCAACGAAGTATTGATTTTCTGTCTGTGTGTTATCTCTTATTTCAGGATTTCATTGTGATTTTCAAAGTGTGTAAGCAAGCTTATAATCAATTTAGCGAATTCAGGTTTATAAATTAAACATCTCTTCTTCAGCTTAACTCTTTGGAGTGTCTCCCTCAGTTGATTTTGAGCCACTAAGAAAATTCAGGCATATGTTGTACAAATAAGAAAATAAAAGCTTTTTTGTCTTTACTTTTCTATCAAAAGAGATGACATTTCTACTGCTATTGTTGCCTTATCTCTTCTAAGAAAATCATATCTACATTTGGCTTATGATAATTTAATCTATGTATAAAAGCAGTGAGTGCAAACACATTCATGCATCTTTAAGTAATTGAAATAAAATTTAATTAACATGGTTTATTTTCCTCTGCTTTGCATAATTAATGAAAACAGAGGGCATTCTTAGGCTCAGAAACAGTTGTTAGAGGGAGAAAAAAATGTAGAACTAAGATGAAAAAGACAGCAAGAAGTTAACTTAGGATTAAACTTTATAGCATATTTGTAAACTACATACTTACCTGGGTAAAGTTCACAATGTTTTCTTTCTTAGACTATCAATAAAGTGCTGCTCCAGTATGCTGCAATTGTATCAAGTGATTTCAGTTCACATTGTGATAAGGAAAATGTGGTAAGTAAAAAATGTCTCTACTTTCAAGTATCTCTCAGTTGAGATTTACTTCTTCAAAGTATGAGTAAGCAAGATAAATTGTTGACTTTCAGTTTTCACATAGGATAATAAGAAATAAGGATCTTAAGAAGCTGGAAACTTCTCCAGGGTTCTTGAACTGGTTTTAATACAGGATTTACAGGAAGGTAGAGAGTGTCTCAATGCCAGCCAACTTGTGGTTTTCCATGTAGATAAGGAACAAGACTAGAATAAATCATTGAAAATAAACATACTCATAAAATACTGGAGCTGAGAAAAACAAGGGACTTAAAAATTAGATGAGTATTGGCACCAACTAGTTTCATTTTGGCATTAATACTCAAATAAGTGTAATTTAGTCTTTCAGTTTTCAAATAAATTGCAAACGTTAATATATGGAACAATGCTGATTTCTATTCTGAATTATTAAAATAGCTTTTTTAGATGATTGAGAAAATATTTATAAAATTCAAACTAGTATTGCAACTTAATCAAAGGCATAAAGAAAAGCTAGATAAAGGTATTTGAAATATAGTAAGATTTATTTTATGATGGAAGGTGAAAGCTTTCTTATTCAATCTGTAATATTAGGAGAAATACATTGGCAGCATTGTAAACATTTTGAAAAACAGTAGCTCTGAAAAAAAAAAGTGTTTAAAAAGTGAGTATAGGGTTTTTTTTTAAAAAAAAGAAAAACCAGTTTTTTCCCCCTCCAAAAATCAGTTTCGCTATCAGGTGAATCTAAATTATTCTAAAGAAAGCTACTAGTTTTCTCCCTGAAACCTCATTGACCTCTTGCTGACAGCTCATTAAGATAAGTCAGTCCTAATGGTTCTTGAGAATTCTATAAGATGCTTCTTTTCCTTAAATTAATATGCTGCCCAGAAATTTTATTAGAACTTTTTGACAACTCAAACAATTATTTCTTATTGCTATTGATTATACTCAAAAAGCAAGATATTTATTTATTGAAAGTATATTATTTCTGATTACAAGATAATACATGTCTAAAGTGTTACATTGAAAATCAAAACAGTATCTGATAATTTCACAAAAGGATCCTGTTTATACTAGGACAGCCAAATTGAAGATTTTGAAAGGTGACCATGAGCTCCTAAGGCTAATTCCTGCCATTCAGAAAGGCAAATTAGTTTTTAAAAGCCCCTGCAGAGTTCCACTTTATGTATTAACATTCTATATTATATTTTACATTTAATAAACACTGAGATAAAAATCATAACCCAGTATTTATTATATTATTCTATGTACTCTTTCTGTAGGTTTTATACTTGGAAAAATTAAATCTTTATAAAAAGAAACAAAAGCCCTCCAAATATTACAGCAAAGGAACTTCCTTTTCCTTCCCTCAGTGCTTTTCTTCCATAATTACTAATATCTTGACCAGCCTTATACACTGTTGCTTAAATGCCAAGTATCATTTTAGCTTTTATAAAAGAATATCACTTGGTTACTAGGCTTATGTTTTCATTCAAGGCAAATTGAAATGCTTTTGTACATTTCCATGAGTATATATAGTTACTATTACAGATACTTATTTATAATTATTTTAATATCAGATTTCAATATCAAGATCACTGAAACTTGTACATCTTTCAGTATATCTATGGCAATATATCTATTTCATCTGCAAATTGAGCTAGAAACATCTAAAGATAGACATCATTTAAGATACGACCATAATATAGGCCGGGCGCGGTGGCTCACACCCATAATTCCAGCACTTTGGGCGGCTGAGGTGGGCAGATCACCTGAGGTCAGGAGTTCAAGACCAGCCTGGCCAACATGGTGAAACCCTGTCTCTACTAAAAATATAAAATTAACCAGGTGTGGTGGCGTGCACCTGTAATCCAAGCTACTTGGGAGGCTGAGGCAGGAGAATTGCTTGAACCCGGGAGATGGAGGTTGCAGTGAGCCAAGATTGTGCCATTGCACTCCAGCCTGGCCAAAAAAGAGTGAAACTCTGTCTCAAAAACATACAAACAAAAAAGATATGACCAAAACATTTGAGTTCTCCGGGTTCAGAATTAAAGACCAGAGTTAAATAAAATATCCATGTCAGAATAATTTGTTTTCTACTGTAACATTTTAAATTGGAAATGGGTCAAAATATTTTTATTTATTTAATTTCACATTCCAAAATATAGCAAGACATCACAATCTAAATTAGAATTACTTTTATTTTAAATAATCTTTAAAATATTTTTAAACTCAGAAACACTTTGGCCATGTAGAAGTGTTCCTAGTCTGAAACTTTCATATTCACTATGTTTCAGTTTCCTAACTTTGTTCCAGATTGAGATAAAATTAAAGGTATTATTCTATTTTTAGGGAAAAAATCAAGATATAAAAATAGGAAGATATAAATTGACTTTAACATAGTTTGTTTTATCTTACTAAACTCAAAAAGCAATATCCCTGAATTAGGGTAATGTTTCCTTTGCTGTCAGTTTCCTTTTTTCATTTACTATGAAGTTGTTCTTTTTTTCATTTACTATGAAGTTGTCGAAAGTAAAAACTGTTTCATGATTAAATTTAAGGTGAATTTGTATAATCTGTTCCCAGTAGCAGTTTGATGAATTGATTCAGTAAAACTGCACTTTGAACATTTCAAGGTCAGGGAACTCTTAATGAAAAGGGAGAGTCTCAAATTTATTTTTGTTTCCCTCCGGATAACTGCATCTCCTCTTTTTTCTCTGTAGTCTAACTTGGGGTCAATAGCAATCCATGTCAAGTGAGCCAAACTGTCCATGTTCATTTTGTTCTCAGTAGCTCTTTTTCATCAGAAATCATCATAGTAAGAAGAGTTGGCAGTTGACCTTTATTTATAAAGCTAGTACTAGGGTCCTGTTACATGTGACAATAAAGATTAGCTTGAATGTTAATATCAAATAATCTAAGAAGAGTCTATCAAGCTAACTTAGACATGGGAAACAAGGTGATAATAACCACTCACTTGTGTAGTCTTCCTGTTTCTCATTATAAGTCATTGTTTTACTTTGACCTTGGATTTCTCCCTGGTAGGATTGCCCAGATTCACACCAAATCTTCCCTTTCTGCAATTAAAAGTAAATGTCAATGACCCTACCTCCTAATGAAAAGATAGGCTATTGGCTTAGTTTGTGGATTTTGGTTCAAGATGCTGAATCCTCTGAAAATGTGGCCCTACTCACTATGGAAAGGACTAAGCCCAGATCAAGTAGTTCTCACTTATGGCTATGGATCAGAATCATTTGTGGAACATTTTGATTCAGCTAATTAAAACAGAATCTTTGGGGGATACATCTCAGATATCTGTGTTAAAAAATAAAGTTTTTAAGTGACTGGAATCAAGGAAACAGAAAGGAATTATTAAATTGTTTGCATAAATCAAAGTGATGATGTGGTCACTTTAAGAGTCAAGTAGAAAGTTTTTCAAAGGTCATTAATGTGGCTCAAGTAATAATAAAATCTTTCCACTGATAAGAGCTAACACCTCTCTGACATCCCTTGAGTCCTTTGCATGACTCTGGTTATTGGGTTATTTCTCAGCAACTTGGAAGATACATCCATTTTCCTTCCTTTGTCTATTTCTCTTTCTGTGTCTGTTTTTCTCTGATATACTGGCTCTTAGGAATCAATATACAGCAAAGATTAAATGATTCTATAACTATTATGAATTGTTTTCTAATTATGAATTAATGTTTACTATTCTAAGTTCACATCTAGACCTGTCACAAAGCTTTACATCTTTGTTATTATTATATTATCTGGCTCCTTGGAAACAAGTGGAGAAACATTTTCTAAGCATGTATTATATGTACACCACTGTGCAGTAGTTTGTGAGTAAGAAAAGCAGAAAGAGACACAGCAGCATGTACAATGTATTTAACGTTAGCTGGTGAGAGTGAAAAGCAACTCAAATGTAAAGCAATGTAAAACAAATGCCAAGTGAGTGATAAGATAAAATCCAGGAAAAAAGAACGCTCTAACCTGAATGATGGATATGAGTCAAATAAGCAAGTAGGAAAATGAGAAGAAAAACACAGGTTAAAGCCAGAAGAAAAACACTTCGAATACCAGCATGTGGTCTTTACCTGCAGCCAGAAAATATATTTAAGTTTATTTTTAAAATGTTTTTGCATTTAAAAAATCACATGGTATTTTCTTTTCTAAAACAGTAAAATAACAGAAGAATTTAAGCTAACCTTTTTCTAAAAGTAAATCTATAAAAACAAAAAGTGTGCTTACTTTCTAAGTATGAAATGTTACAATGTTAAAGATAAAAGAAACTTTAGCAGCAAGTCTCCAATGGTTTATTGTCTGAGTATGTTTTTAAATTTCATTCCCCAATGTGGCATTATGTTTCTCTGTTTCCATTCTTAACTGTTACAAACTATAATGTTGAAATAGCAGAATTAGTATATACATCTAATATAATAGGAATCCAAGATAGCTATTTTCCACCACTTATAAGTTAAACTCATTCAATAATTTTATATAAAAAGATTGCTCATAATAGTCTTTTTTTCTATATTTAAAGCCCTGTATCTTGATGAACAATATTCAACAATTGCGGGTCCAGCTGGAAAAAATGTTTGAATCCATGGGAGGGAAGGAGGTGGGTATCTTTTTCTCCTACATTTGCTAAAAACCTACTTAGAGATTATTAGCAGCATATCTCTTGCTATGAAAGTGTCTTAATCAAGTTTTTACATGGTTAACTAAGAACAGGAAATGATAATAATCTCAAATGTCATTAACAACTAAAATGATTATTATCCACAACAGAATACTTTAGTAAATACATTAGAAGTGTGAATGGGAGGCAGAAGATAGTAGCCTTTGGTCTTCTGTGTGTGCGCATGTATGTTTGTGTGTGTAGTCATATATACACACATATATATTTGTATGCTAATGACTTGTAAAATTCCACAAATTGTGTTTTTCACTGTCTTGTACAATGTCAGCTTGATATCAATGTTTATTCTGCAATATGCTTTGTGGTGCTATTGGTTTTTGATGTACTGGAGTTTATTTTTCACATTGAGAAAGCTCTGTCAAAAATGTGTTGTGTGATGTGTCTGTAATGTGTCATGTCTTTGTCCAACATCTTTGACTTGCAATTCCATGAGCAGAAGAAGGAAGGAGAAAGATTCTTTTATGAGGTTTGTGATAGTAAGCATCTTATCCCTTACCTGGCTGTTCCCTCCAACCCTCACTCCATACCTAAAGACCATTGCATTTTCTACTTATTCCCATTTGCTTGTTTGGAACAGACAGACAGTGAAATACTAGCTATGCACCTGCATCTTCCTGCCTGCCACAGTCTTTTCTTTCATAAACTGACCTAAGCATTCAGGGATTGAGGACTGGAGAAGGTGCTGAGAGGGAGGGTCATGAAGCAGGGTTTCTCCCCATGCCCTTATTCCGCTGGAAACAATCTCAAGGGCAGCTATGTCAAGAATATGTAGATATATACTTCTGTTTAAGATTCCTTTACATTGTTCCTTCCCGTGGGAAAGTTTATGAGATGTGCGTAATGCTAGGATGCATTTCAAAGTAAATATCCCTTTTATTTCTAAACTTATGTGACTACAAATGTTTCTTTTAAGATTGGCTCCTTCCCATGTGATTTTGCTTTTAACCCCAAGGAGATGTTTTTACACTTCTCCAATGTCTGTTTCTTTTTCAGTATTTTGAAAAATGAACTTGCTATTTAGCATTCTGCAATGGTGAAGCACTAGAATATATGTGTGATGATGCAAAACTTTAAAAAAATGAACCTTTATGAGCTGTGCCTTCATTGCAATCTCAGTTTTATTTGTATAAAATAAGGCCTCATTCCCTAAAGTGTGTTAATGCTTTATGTAAAGTTTGAGGGCATTGATCTTATTTTAAAATTATTCTGCTGAATTAGGTAAGCACAACCAATTAAGGAATATAATGTGAGATTTCCTTTTCAATTTTACTGATGTTTTATATTCAGACTTGAAGTCCACTTAGCATTTAGAAAAGTGATGAAGAAATTATTGATTTCATGTGGGAAATATTATCTCCTTCCTATAAATTTTAAAGCCCACAAATCATTTAAGAATAAAGTTATATTTAAAATGTCATATTTCCATAAATTTATCCTTATGCTACTTATGCTATTTCATTACTATTCTGTGTTTGAACTCTAATGTGAATAACATATTGTTGAACTGAATTTAACCAGATAAATCAGACCTGTACTTAAAGGAAACTGGATGGGCCAAGCCACTTGCTAATTAAAAATGTTATAAAGTGGCTTGTTCACCAATCAAAAATGAATTCCTTATTTCAGATAGAATTGCTGGTTTGAAATATACAGGTTTCACGCTATTCATTTTATTTCAAATAGATGACTAAACCATAGAACTCCTCCTCTTATTGAAGAACATAATGAAAACAGAAATACTGAGCTTGGTACCTTCTTCCTTTAAAACTCTTGCAATGTCTACTTGCTAAACTCCTCAGACACGATTTAAGAAGAAAGCGTAAATAAATCAGTGAAATAAAATGAATGCCTAGCTTCTAACGATGTAATCTTCTCCTTTCTTTTTCTAAATATTTTTTTTCATTTCTTTCCTTCCTCTCTTTACCCTTTTCTGTGATTTTCTGTTTCTCCTGTTTTCTTTTTCTCCTCTCTATGCATAGATCTTTTCTCTTACTGTGTTCCATTTTCAGCTCAAAGTTTTAGGTAGGGCCAGTCAGCATTTGCATAGAGATTGATGAAATGTCAGGAGGAAGCAAGACTTGCATTCAAGTCTGAGTGCATCATGTGTCCTCCCAGAAAATAGAAGCTTAATTGATACAGAATTATGATAGAATTTCTGATTACTCTGGGGTCTCAAGGCAACAGAATTTCAAAATAATAAGCAGAGTTCTTCCAATATTGTTGTATAAACATGGCAGTATCTAAATGGTTTCCTTAACTTGGGGCTTTTATAAAGATGAAAAAGGATTTGATTGAAAATTATAGAATTCACCCTTTGATATGAGAAAATTACAGAATTCACCCTTTGATATGCAACACTTGATACAGACATGTTCAGGGGCCTTTAAAAGTTATACAATGTGTTCTAATTCAAATTCCCAGTTTTTTCCTTACAGTGGAACTGGTTGTAAAACCTTTCACTGGTATTATAACCAATTCCACTGTAAATAAGGGAAATATTCCAGGCTAGACCTTATTCTTCATTTAAGAGTTTCTTTTTATCTTATCCCCCACCATCTGTGCTGATATATGTACTTCTTGCTATAAAAATTAAATAGCAAATAATTGCTTGTGCACTTGCTCAAAATGGTTTTTAATGCTATGTGTTTATTAGCTGGCTTCTAACAACAGCATTGCTTTCCTCTAATATTATACTATCTGCAAAGTGCTGGCTGCTTACAGGCATGACTGCGTGCTACTGCAGCTCCCTGCTGCTTTAACCTTATCACCATGTAGTTGAGGCAGCTGTTTTTTCTTCACAGAATCAGCCTCTTTTCCCCCTGGAAATAAAAAGAGTGTTTAAAACCCTTTTTCAGTGGAAAAATTCACTCTCTGTATGGAGTTCAAATGGAAGCATTGCTTAACACCATGATGATCGTGGGATTATGTTGTTGACAATGGTTCCAAAAACAGTCACTTAAGCAATCATTGTTAGACAGTTGCATGCACAATATCCTATGGGCCATGTCAGCACATTTACTTTCTAATGCCCTATTTAGGGAAAAAAAAAGTCAAAAGAGAAAAGCAAACCACTAATTTTCTTCTCCTCTAAAGTGATTTTCCAACACACTTCTCTGCATACAAATCAGGGGCATGTTTTGGCATAACATCTCTGATTCCTCTAGAGAATATATAAAAAAAAATCTCACAAACCACGAAGAAAAACTAACCTTTAGGAATGGAGTACAGAGTCTGTTTTTTTAAAAAGCACCTCTGGTGATTTTTTATGTGGATACAGTTTTGGGAATCACTATACTAAAACAAGTAAAATAGCCAACCCGTGTTATAGATGTACTAGAGCTACAAGTTAATTTGCACTACAATCCCCATATAATATTATCTGTCCCTTTATAACACAATAACAACAAAATGATTATCAGGGTGCCATGTAATAATTTTCATTCATTGGTGAGTGATTACGTTAGGTTACATTATGTTAATAGCTTAATTATTTCATGAATATAATTTATTATCTATCAATTGCAAATAATTACTTAGCTTGTATTCATTTTGTAACAAAAACACATTGCTGCAGCCCATGAAAAGGACTTATCATTAATTTGTAATCTAATATATACAGGTATATGAAAAAATCCAAAATTTAATTTCTTTTCAGGAAGTTATAAGATATGCATTTTGAAACTCTAAAGAACTTGTGTTATGATCATTGATTTAGAAGGTGCATTAATCCTTCACAATATTTTATTGGTGCAATCGTTTTAAATGGTAGAATCCATAGTTATCCATAAGCCCACTAACTGTTGATGTTACTTCAAATTGTAGTTAGCTGTTATTAAGACATTCAGGGAAAAAGGAGGGTTCGTTTGTTCAGCTAAATTATTTTCATCTGTTGACCACAGGCAGCTCCATTAGGTATAATGATAATGCTATTTGTATTGTTATGACTCAAAAAAGGATTGACTCTTCTGTGTCATACCATGGTGGTAAAATTTCCCATGAGAGTAACTTCACATAAGTCCAGGCAGAATAGAGCCAAGGAATCTGGACCATAACCCCATCATTTTAAAAATATGGATATTGTAATGGTCAACTAAATTATCCTTTTATTTCAGAGATGTATATCTATGTCGCTTTTAATTTTTAATGACAAATTTGATGTGTCAACTAGAAATTGCATCTGACTGCCCAAAAGTGTGTGTATGTAGCTCATTGAAATTCATTGTAATACCTATTAGCCACATGGACTAAGTCATTAGCTAAGCAACCCTAGACCAGGAAGGAAAAACATTAATCTTCATCATTTTTCACTTGCCACTAGCCTCTCAACTTTAAACGTGCTGAGGCAACAGGAGATGAAAGATCAGAGCTTCAAAGGAAATAATACTCCATGCCAGTAGTTCTTCTTGAACTTCAGCACGCATCAGAACTACCTGATGAGTTTATGAAAAACACACATCACTGAACTCTACCCCCAGTGTATTTGATTCAGTACGTTTGGGGCAGGGCCAGGTGATTTGCATTTCTAACGAATCTCTGGGTGACGCTGATGCTACTGGTCTGGGGACCATGCATTGAGAATTACTGCTATATGCTTTCTGAAAAAGAATCAGGCCAGGTGTGGTAGCTCGTTCCTGTAATCCCAGCACTTTGGGAGGCCAAAGTGGGTGGATCACCTGAGGTCAAGAGTTCGAGATCAGCCTAACATGGCAAAATCCTGTTTCTACTAAAAATACCAAAAATTAGCCAGGCATGGTGGTGGGCGCCTGTAATCCCAGCTACTCAGGAGGCTGAAGCGGGAGAATCACTTGAACCCTAGAGGCGGAGGTTGCAGTGAGCAGAGATCGCACCACGGCACTCCAGCCTGGAAAACGGAGTGAGATGCTGTCTCAAAAAAAAAAAAAGTATCAGATAATTAGAAAATAACACAGAATACCCGTTTTTCTTATTTGTACACCAGTCCTGACCAGCCTACTTTCTGTGTTTTGAATCTTAAGAACACCTGAGATTCAAGGTGTTTGTATGGAAATTGGAACAGCATGCAAGAGTGCAGGCAAGTATTTGTATTAAAGAATAGGATAGTCCCAAAATAAAGGTAGTCGATTTGCAATCATATACAAAATTCTTGCAGTTTTTTAAGATTCTGGCCTTTATGCTTGAATTTTATATGTAATCTTATAAAAAATGGTGTTATAGTTAACAGAGGCCAAATTTTACATTCAGGTTTCTAATCTGTCTCACCTTTTCTTCTTAATATAGAAATATAAGTTACTAGTTAATAAATTAATAAGAATTAATCTACTGTTCTCATATTTTCAGGAATTACAAAATATAGAATAAATTATAAAGTATATATTAGATAGTAAAATAGACAATTTCAAATTGTCACATTATATCTTTCAGTTCTAAAACTGTTTTCTAAACCAATTTGAAAAGTTCTTCGTATTTAGTTAGAATATCCATTGTTGCCTACTTACATGTAGTTTATCTGCAGGTGGGCAGAAATTGGGGTACAAAATAAAAACATTTTTTAATGCCTGGGGTCTCAAGGAGCTTACAAGGTGTAAGGAACTTGGTAAAACATAATTAGACTAGAGATGCCTTTTAGCACTTACTGAAGGATATTCAGAAGCCAGCTGTTCCACGTCTTTCTCCACCACTGTAAGCACCTCTTCCTCTTGGGGCTGACTGCTGTATGAAAAAAAGGTCTGAGCACACTGAATATGATGACAGAATTTACTCCTTCGCTAATTCATTCAACAAATATTTATTTGCTGAGCACTTGTTATGAGCTGTAAATTTTACTAGGAACTGGAGATACATTAATTACTAAGATGCAGACCCCACCCTCAAAGAACTTAGAAGTTTTTAGGGGAATCAGAGCAATTAAAGAGATAAGGTTTGTGAGAGAAAAACAACAAGGACACTCCTAAATGTGAAGATATCCTTCAGATGAAAGTTTTAATTGTTATAACTTATCCTGCAACAATTCAGAAATAAACTCAAACCTCACCTCTTGTTGTATAAATAGAGGTAAAAAGGGAAATGTAATTTGGCTGACGTCAGTAAAAGCAACCAGTTATAGCTTCATAGCCCCAGATAATAAGGAGAATTGAATATTTGAAGTGCTGGCCTTTTATTGTGGCAACATGCACAGACTGCCTGGTTTCTTTCTCCTCCTAATCATCTCTGCAATTAGATTTAATAAATTGAACTTAATGGAAAATTAAGAGAATAATAAGGGCCAATAAAGCAAATTATATTAAAGTGATTTAATAAATATGTTTAATAATTTAGCACTACTACCACATAAAGTTTAGCTAACTGCTAAGCTTGTGAAATTAAGAAAAGGTGCTGCTGAGGAGGTTGAAAGGTTTTTTGGTTGGCGAGCCATGTCAAAATGAAATACAGACCCAGGCAGGTGACGCTTGTTAACCTCATTTCCCAGAGCATTTAAGAGAGCTCACAGGGTTACTCATATACTGCCAAGTCTCTTTTTAAACTCACCTCTCTCTGAACCTTAAGAAAACTTAAGGAGAAAGGACACATGCCCCAGCAAGGAAGGAGAGGGAGACGGCTTCACTTTAACTGCCATCTTCTATAATAAATCTATTTCATTATCTTGTTGTGATCACCTTCAGTTGCTCATGCCTGCTTTAACAAACCATAAACCAATGCCATTACTGGTAAAATTTAACTTCTTTAACCCAGTCAGTTCTCTTGTTTGCCCTACTAAGCAGAATAGTCCTCAGACACCCTGAGATAATGGCTCACAGAGAACACTCTGTCCCCAGCACTTGATGGTCAACAGGTCCTGAATTCAGTTGACTGGGTGGACTATATTCACATCGCTGAGCAGTGGTTTATAACACATGCAGGAATGTGAAGAAACAGCCAAATGGGTCAGACAGAGTAGGTCAGGGGAAAAGGGCAGAACAAAATTCTGAACATAAAGTGTCTCGTTGATTCTATTCCTAACTTATCCCTACCCAGTCCATTTTCACAATTAGCCAATAGATGCAACATGTAAGCCCTAAATTCCTTTCCCATTGTTATAAAACGGGGATTCCTGTTTTTTTAATGAACATTCTCAGAAGAGAATTTCTTCAGAGGAAATAGCTTCTAAGAATGCAGCTCTTCAGTCCCCATGTGGCTCCAAAAGCATAACACATTATCTGTGCTTTGGTTTTACCCATTTGGAAACAACGAGGAAGTTGAACTATGTGATTTCAGAAATTCTTTTTTTTTCTAAATTTCTGTCATTATAAGGACAATCCGCATGTTAGCAATCCATGAAGTAGAGGAATAGTGTATGTGTTGCAGGTGAGAAGGGAAAAAATGTATAAGAGAAAAGAATGTCACATCACTCATATAAAGCCTGAAGGTGTAATTTAAAGAAAAACAGTTCATAGAAACAGAAAAAGCCAAAATTCCTTATATTCACTAACTCAAAACTATATTGAGTGAATTATAAAAGGTAAGGCAATCTTTTTTTTTCCTTCAGTTGTCTAGACTGAAGAACCTCATTTAACATATCTCAAAGGCATTTTGTTGATTTGAAGCACAGTGACAGTTGGATTTACTGCATACTCTCTTTAATTAGGATGGGAGACAGCTATTGATGTTCAACTTTTTGAAACCCAGAAGTTAGAAACATGAATTTATACAACTGATACCTCTAGCATAACATTCATGCAAATCTGAATAGGATAAAGAAAATGCCATAGTCTGTCTGAAAATTGTCGTGTAAGTTCTTGGAGTTTCTCCTTAAGAGGCATTTTAAAACGAAACAAAAAACAGGGTAGTATGGTTAGAGCTGGGCACATTTGTTTCCGGTAGAGAGGACCGTGTATTCTTTTACTTCTGACAACAAACCACAGTATTCATGCTGACACCACAGGCTTATGAAGTGATTTAGGGCATTTCCAGGAAAGTACCCTACTTCTAGATTCACTAGGGAATTTTTGCTGAATTCTCAGTCATATATTTTAAGTTGAAGTAGACCCTATAAGATGAAAAGATTCCGGTCAAGTGGAAGATTTGAAGGAAAATGATGTTTTAAAAAGAAAACATAAAAAAAGCAAGAGCCCAGATAAGATTGTGAGAAGTTGCTTGAAGCAATTCCCTGGTGGAAAGCCAGCTTGAAGGATGATACGCCAGTGTCATGATCATATTTGGGTTTATTACACCAGTTAGGAGGATGAAGGGGGGAAACAGGAAATAGGAACACAATGTGTAGATGATTACAGTAGGCTAGAGGAGAAAAATTCAGAATCTGGAAGTGAAGAGGAAAAGGCAGGTGGATAAAACATTTCAGAGATATCACCAATCATATTTGGTATGGAAGTAAATATGGAGGGAAGAAAACAGAAGTCAAAGATGACTTTCACATTTCTGCCTTAAACAATTGTAGGCCATTAACCAAATCAGAGGAAATAAGAAGATAAATAAATTAAGAATAGTAATAAGTTGTGCTTTGATATGCTACAGCTGAAGCATGTATGAGCCATCAAAGTGGAAGTTTACTAGGTACTTGGAAATATAGACATGATTCTCAGGCATGCTGTTAAGAATGTTGATAATAGATTTGGGGCCCTTAGCATATGGGTGATAATTGAAGCCATGGGCATGAATTTAATTGCTCAAGGGGAGTACAGAGTAAAAAGAAAAGAAGACTGAAAAAGGAGAATTGAAGGACACTAATATTTCAGGGATATACAGAGGAGGAAAGTTAACAGAAGACAGACAAATCACAGGCAGTTAGAGAAGCAGGGAAGGACCTTGGGAAACAGAGCAAACAACAGTATGAATGAAGGCTAAGATAAATAAGGTCCTTGAAATTAAGAAATCATTGGTGACCATATGGAAACACGTCAGTGGCATATCTGTAACAGAAGCAAGCCACATTGCAGAGAACTAATGAATGTTTAGGAGAAAAGGATGTGGAGTCAACAAGTCTGACACTGTTGTAAGCAGTCTGAAGATCAAAAGAAGGAAGGATATTGGCTAGATGTCAATGAGAATGTAGTTCCAAATAAGTTTGGCTTCTCTTTCATTGTCTGTTGTTTATTTTAACATAAATGTTACTTGAGCATATTTATAGGATGGGGTAATAAAATTAATGGTAGAGGGAATGAAAAGGGAAAGAGATAATTGATGGAACAAAATCCGAAAGAAGGAACCAAGAGTGCAAGTTAAACAGCATTTTTCTTGGAAATAAGGCTTTTTCATGGAACTAGAGGTGAAATTTTTATTTATTAATGTTTTAATGCAAAAATATTGGAGAGTATGAAACCTACCAGAATAATGATTAAATTTTGGCCCCTGGTGAGATGGCCAGGAAGTTACCTTCCTTCCTGATTTGCACTTCTTTACAGAAAATAACCGATAACACTGATGAGCTGAACACAGGAAAGATAGCTTTGTAGCTCGTAGGAAATGAAGGAAATGAGATAGTAATAAAGACTGTGAAGAAGAAATAAAATTCACACTAAAGATCTTTAATTTCTTCCATGCAAAGTCTATTTTTCAAGAGTTTATATTGAGCTATCTGAAGAGTTTAAATGACTTTTAAATGACTTTGCAACTCATTGCTTGTAACTCTAGCAAGAGCTTGAGGGTCAGTTTAACAATTGCTGCTGTAAGAGAATATATAACATGTATTTTCTTTAGACCTCTAGGGAAATAATCTTTTCTGGAAAACAAACAAACATGCAGTGTGGGTATGGTAACCATTCTTCTGAACCAAACAAATAGCAGGGAAACACCTGACATGGTCTGGCAATGAGATAGATATTTGAAATCAGGATTAACTTGATAACTCTGGAATATATGGTTTCTAAGGAATGAAAGATTTCAAGGGCAAAATATCCTATTCATAGTTAATGCAAGGTATCAGTCCAAGGAGATGAAGATGATATAGGACTGCTTCTGTGAGGGAATTTTTATGCTTCTGTCTATCCTCACTTCCTTCCTCAACATGTGGTGAATGCCCATGCATGCAGGACACTGGAACAGATACCCAGGATAGAAAAGTATGAACAAGTTCTATGGAAGAGGTAGATTTATAAGAGAGCATTTAGAGAGAACACTGCATACACAGTTATAGTAAAGAGCATAGTCAGTGTAGAGGCTAGATCTACTAACTGCCTAGGGCTAGCTACACTTGAGCGAAAATTTGCAAAAGGAGATAAGTGAATTATCTTTTAAAGAAAAAGGAAAAGTAAGCCTTAAGGAAAATAACTTAAGATGAAGGAAAATAACTTAAAAGATGTCTTTCTGGCCAGGCGCGGTGGCTCACGCCTGTAATCCCAGCACTTTGGGAGGCCAAGGCAGGTGGATCACCTGAGGTCAGGAGTTCAAGACCAGCCTGGTCAACATGGTGAAACCCCATCTCTACTAAAAATACAAAAAAAAAAAAAAAGCTGGACATGGTGGCAGGTGCCTGTAATCCCAGCTACTCTGGAGGGTGAGGCAGGAGAATTGCTTGAACCCAGGAGGTGGAGGTTGCAGTGAGCCAAGATCGGGCCACTGCACTCCAGCCTGGGCAACAGAGCGAGATTCTGTCTCAAAAACAAAACAAAACAACAACAACAACAACAACAAAAAGTCTTGCCTACTAGCTGGCTCTCCCAGACAAGTTATATCTATTACCACAGCTCAATGGTATAAAATACCTCAATGGTGTAAAACTCAGTTAATACCTATGTGGGATTATAGTTTATTCTGATCATCTGAACCATACTTTGGCAGCCTAGATTTTGAAATTCCCAAGCCCTTCGTAGAGTGGGGAATTAAATCTGTCTTGAAAACTTTATTTTAAATTCAGAATTTGACTCAAAATCCTTAAATTTTCATTGTGTATATTCCTCATTACATAGAAACTTTATTTTTTTAGCCAGCCAACCAATTAAGTTGTTCATACACATGCTAATTGAGTTTCTACTTTAGAATACACTGTGACTTATGAATATTCGAAATTTTTCTGTTCTTTCCCTCTTAATTTTTGCTTTTAACAATAACTCTAAATAACAATACAAAAAGATTCAAGATAATTTTGATGTTATACTACTTATATAACTAGGATAAGCTTTAAACCTTTGAAAAAATATTAGATTGCCTTTTACCTTTACAAGGTACCCAATAATTTTAAAAATATGCTATTGATAATTCAGGCAATGAGCTCTCAGCTCCCAATCTATTATTTCTTAAAATTTTACAAAATTTGTAGGAGTAAGAAAAATGTCCTCAATTTGGACACATAGAGTAATGCAGAAGAACTCAAAAACTGGTAGTTTTGCTACCTAAAGAGATTGTTTTATTATTAGATGAGTATGATAATTATGTCCATTATGCTCATTATTGAAAAAGATCTGCAATTTGAAGAGCCATGTACACTGGCCTCAGAATTGCTTTGCCTGTTTTAATGGTATGATTCAGATCATGTAAACGTTAAATACTTAACTGAAACTAAAACTTTTCCTTTTGTGGGAGGGACTGGTTACATAACAGAGACATTCCGTCTGCACCTGCTTAGAAACATACCTATGTATCCAGAAATTAAAACTGTCATCCAATGTTCAAATCGCTGTAGTCTGGCAGTTTTAGGTTGTCAACTAATAATTATTTGATGAGAAATATCTATTCACCAAATACCTAAGGTGGACTAAAATAATTCTATAAGAAAATAGCATAATTTTGTGCAAGTGACCTATGTAGCCATTTCTGTATGACCTTGAAGGCCTTATCTGGTGATAATCCTACCTCAATGTGAACAAATTACCTCAGTGTGTATATTAAACTAATATGGAAACCAAAACACATTTTAAATAAGAAGCAACCCCCATTTCCTGAAGGAAATACTGCTTTCAGAGCGATTCCCTTGGAGGTGGTAGAGGTATGGGTGGGGAACTACCACCCATGTGAGCAGGAAGTGGAGAGCCTGAAGAAAGCCACATGGCAGAACTTATCTCTCATTCCCTCTTCCCCAACATTTTTATCAAATGAAATCAAGGTAAAATTGTTATTAGCACAATAACAAGAAAATATCATTTAAAAAAATTCAGCCTGCATGATTCCTTAGGATTGGAGTGGAAAATCCACATATGTTTTCTTGGTTAGGGGTTAGGGAGTTATAGTTTGTTAGGCAAATTGTGATTAAATTCATTATCCATATTTTAAGTCTTTTTAAAATAAGTATGTACTATCTAATTGTCTTTCTGAATTACTTCCCTGCAACTGGTTTTAGCTGAATAGAACTCTAGAAAGTATGAAGCTCACAGATATGTTAATTTTCTCACTCTTATAGAAGTCTCTATCTGTTATGATATGTTAATTTTCTCACTCTTATAGAAGTCTCTATCTGTTATGGTAGCCTGTGTGTCTGGACAAGAGCTGTCACCATAACTGATTACTGAGACAGAAGAAAAAAGATACAAGGAATCCAGAAAAATCACATTGCCTCTGATAGAGGGCAGAAGCTAACCAATCCTGAAAGTTAGGCGGACTTGAGTTAAAACTGATATAAAGGATTGGTTTGATATAATTAATAAAGTCTCAAATGCCAAATGCAATATTTGATTTTCATTCCAATGTTTTTAGTCACATCAGGACAACTTAGAGCTACCCAGCTGCAGAGATATGTAAATAATTCTTCTTCCTAACAGTTCCTTAGTATCAGAAAATAGTCTTGGAGGATTATAGGACTTATGTCCAATGCACCCTCATAGGGATACTTCTTGGTTCTGTATCGGCTCCCAGGAGTTTAAACTGATATTAGGTCCTATATTTAGTTGGCATTCTTAGATTCTCTTACTTATACTAAGTCATGCTTTAATTTGTTTTACTCCCCAAACTTGGCTTTATCCTGTCCTCTTCTTTTCAATAGTAGATCAGCTTGGGCAAGAACTAATGATATTAATGGTAGGAAACTAAATTTCTAAAGGTAGAAAGAAAGAGTCACGTTCCAATTTCAGAGAATATTTCAGATTGCTATTTACGTGAATTTCTCTCTGCTTGATACAATAGACCTATTATCCTGAACTTTCAGCTGTAAATTAGCAACCAGGAAGAAAAGTCAGGACTATCGTCTCCAGAAAAACATGGGCGTGCTTGGATACCTTGTCTATCCTATTACTCTTAATTCCAAAGTTGGGGAAATATGAAAACACCTTTAAATAATGCACAACACAATATTCAAAAGTTAATTTTTAACAACTTTTATTCTTAATGTGCCTATTTATTTACAGGGATATTAAAGATTTAAATAAATTTTGAAGCAACACATATATTCAGCTGAAGTATAACAGGTTTTCTAAATTACGGAATTATCATGTTCTGGAGGATATTTTTGTCATGCCTTGCATCTCATTGCTATAACCAACAAAGGCTTTGTTATCTAGCTGTTACTTGTATGCATGCCCTGCATTTCAAACAATTTTTTGTATATGAGAACCCCTTGGTTTCTTTAAAGTTTCCTAAATGTTTAGATTTGATTTCAAAGACCAAAAAAAAAAAAAAAGAAGAGAAAAAAGCTTACATGTTGTTTGAAGTTACCATATAATAATCAAAATGCTTGTAAGCAAAACAGAGGCATGCTTTCTCAAAACTCCAAAGTAATATTGTTTATGGTCTCTCTGCAGCTAGATTCTGAAGCTAGTACTATTCTAAAAGAACTTCAGGTTAAGCTCAGTGGGGTCCTGGATGAGCTCAGCGTCACTTATGGTGAAAGGTAAGTGGCCTCTGTTGTCATTATCTAAATTAGATAATTAGGTGTCAGTTCATGATATTCTTGCCTTCAATGCTGTTTCCTCTGACTGACTAAATCTACTTAACTTCAAGACCCAATCTAAATGTCATTTTCTCTGAAACATCTGTTATGACCCCACAATCTAATAGTGCTATCTTGCTATGCACTCCCTAGAACTCTGTGCATCCTTCGGTCGGATAACACCTATAACACTATCCTCAGAGTTTTGTTTTACCTGTCTATTTCCCACACTCAGGACAGAAACCATATCTCACACCTATATGCAGTTCTAGTGTTTAGAGCTGGGTGACTGGCTATTGAAAGACTAAAGACAGGGAGGGAAGAAAAGAGAAAAACTTCACATATATAAGAAGTATGAGTTGTATTCATACCATGCATATCAGTGTGGTTGCCGTCAGTATAGCTGGATCAACAACCCTATACCAAATTGTCAGGATTCTTGGTTTTAGGGCCTAGCAATCTGAATACAACTACCCCATGGGAAGGAGTTTGGAAACTATTGATATATCTATATATTTTAAATGTTTGTTAAAACTGGCTTTATCTGTGATATGAATCTAAAGAAAGATAAGTTCACCCTAGTTAAATTTCACTTCAGTTCTGTAGGAAAAATCTATCACCTCATCAAAATGTTAAAATAGCTAGGAAAGAAAATATATTTTTGAAGAGGTTCATTAATATAGAATTTGCTTTAAATATTAGTTAAATAACTGATGTATTATTTTAAACTATGTGTTCAATTTTCAAAAGAGACTATAAAGATTGCTCTTCAGGGCCGGGTACGGTGGCTTATGCCTGTAATCCCAGCACTTTGGGAGGCTGAGGCAGGTGGATCACGAGGTCAGGAGATCGAGACCATCCTGGCTAATACAGTGAAACCCCGTCTCTACTAAAAGTATAAAACAAACAAACAAAAAAGTAGCCGGGCGTGGTGACGGGCACCTGTAGTCCCAGTTACTCAGGAGGCTGAGGCAGGAGAATGGCGTGAACCCTGGAGGTGGAGCTTGCAGTGAGCCGAGATCGCACCACTGCACTCCAGCCTGGGCAACAGAGACTCCGTCTAGAAAAAAAAAAAAAAAAAAAAAAAAGATTGCTCTCTTCAGGTAGGGACTATCTCTGGCCACCACTCATCACCTGTTGTTGTGTTTTAGAAAGATCCACTATTAATAAACATTTATCAATTAGTTATGCCATTTTT